>NC_000016.10:1260000-1885000 GCF_000001405.40 Homo sapiens
GCTCACCTGCAGAAACTTCTGCGGAGGAGCCAGGAGCCTCCCCAGACCCTCCCTTTTGACCTTCCACCTCTTCTCTGCCCTGCAGAGGTCCCGAAAGCACAGGGGCAGAGGAGGAAGCCCCTGGTTTTGGGGGCCCGGGGGAGCGGACGCCAGAACCACACATTGACCTGCAGCCTGGGGTCTGGGCGCTGAGTCTGCCTGGTCCAGGTGCAGAATGAACACGGGGCGGAGGAGGGACGGGGCCGTTCTGGGCGTCGCCTGCCCCTCAGAGCACTGCTCTCCCTGCCCACACTGGCCTGGCCCTTAGAGGAAGCGCCCCAGGAAGGCACCCCATGCGGAGGCTGGGCCTCTCGCGGCCGTCCACTCCCGTCTCGCCCTGCGTGGTGGTGTCTGAGCTCTGGGACCCATGGCGTCGCCCGGTACAGGAGGGAGTCGGGGCAGGAATCTAAACCTAACCACTGCCCTGGGAGGCCAGGGCCCGGGGACGCGGAGGCCCCAGCACAGGAGCAGCGTGCAGCGTGCCGGCCTGGGTCCCCCGAGCCCCAACCCACTGCGCCTCCATCTCCGGTGACTTTCCTGCCTCGGTTTCCTCATCTGGAACCTGGCATTGAAGCAGCACCTGTGAGTGTCGCCCCCAGAGGACAGGAAACACACTTCCACACAGAGCCCGGAGACGCACGTCCACACAGAGCCCGGAGACCCACGTCCACACACAGCCCGGAGACCCACATCCACACACAGCCCGGAGACCCACGTCCACATAGAGCCCAGAGACGCACGTCCACACAGAGCCCGGAGACGCATGTCCACACAGAGCCCGGAGACCCACGTCCACACACAGCCCGGAGACGCACGTCCACACAGAGCCCGGAGACCCACGTCCACACACAGCCCGGAGACGCACGTCTACACAGAGCCCAGAGACGCACGTCCACACAGAGCCCGGAGCATGAATGTTCTCAGCATCTTTATTACCATAGCCAAAATGTGGAGGCCTCCAACAGGAGGTGGCTGAGCAAACCGCACCTGGCTGCAGCTTGGAATGCAAATCCATCCCACAGAGACGCCACACACTCTGCTCTTGCTCTTTAATCAGACAGAGACGCAGCGAGGCCCCCACCCTCCCTTCCCCGGCCCCTTCCCCACCCCGGCATCAGGGAGGTCCTGGGCGCTGAGGAGCCAGAGAAGCCGGGCTCAAGACGGTGGCCTGCAGCGGAGGCCGAAGCGGAGATCGCTGGGAGGAGGAAGGTCCTGGTCCCTCCTCAGCCGACCCAGGTGGGAGCCCAGCCCAGCCTGCTCAGGGCAACTCCCCGACTTGCTGCAGGATCCAGAGCACGTAGATCTGGACGTGGGTGTAGACGCCGGGAAAGTCCCGCAGGGTACAGCCGTAGCCCCAGCTGACCACCCCCACCAGGCGCCAGGACCCCCGCAGCCTGCAGACCAGAGGGCCGCCGGAGTCACCCTGAGGAAGGGAAGGAAAGGGGTCACCGCTGAGCTCTGCGGTGGGAGCAGGGCAGGCAGGCAGGGCGGGCCGGGGGCACTCACGTAGCAGGAGTCTCGGCCCTCGCTGCCGGCACACAGCATGTCATCCAGGATGAGCTGCCGGTCGCCAGTGTGCCCTGAGGCGTTGCGGTAGGGCTGCTCACAGACGGCGTTCTCCAGCACCTGCACACTCGCCTGCTGCAGGCGGTAGGGCGGCGGCAGCGACTCTGGGGAGAGAGGTGACCCCGGCTGGCACAGCGGAGACGCCCCTGCCGTCAACCCAGCAGCCCCAGCACCTCCCCAGGTTGGGAAGGAAGGTGGCTCCCTTGTGGCCAAGGGCCCCTAGTCCCGGCCTGAACCTCCCAGCCTGAGCACGGTGTGTGGGACCCCAGGAGGTGGGAGGGCTCGTGTCTCCCTCTAAACTCCCAGGGCTCGCAGTCGGACGGACCAGAGAAAAGTGGAGGGATGAGTTTTTCTGTTTTTTTTCCTCCAAAAAATGCCTTTTGGTTTTGAGGTGTTTTCGTTTGCGGTGTTTTTTCTTTTCTTTTCTTTTTTAGAGATGGGGTCTTGCTATGTTGCCCAGGCTGGCCTCAAACTCCCCGGCTCAAGCCAT
Organism: Homo sapiens; assembly: GCF_000001405.40. Taxonomy (NCBI): domain Eukaryota; kingdom Metazoa; phylum Chordata; class Mammalia; order Primates; family Hominidae; genus Homo; species Homo sapiens. The sequence continues at coordinate 1,262,096 of NC_000016.10, forward strand.
TCTCCTGCCTCTGCCTCCCAAAGTGCTGGGATCACAGGTGTGAGCCACCGCACCCAGCAAAAAAATTTAAAAACCTTTCCTAAGTAGAAAAAAATGAGAAGTATTTTCCCCTCTGAATAATGAGTCTGGAGCTTGGTGTGGCCATTGGCACTCGCAGGACCCCCGAGTCTCTGGGCCCGGGCAGCACAGAGCTGTGGGGAAAAGCAGCCGGAGGTGCTGCATGGCGGTGAGCAGCTCCGTCTCTTCCCTTTCTGGAACTCACCCACCCCACCACCACCCCCGGAGCCCTGGAATGAGGCGTTTTGGGCCCACAGCCCGAGTCCTTCCCCAGCCTCCACCCAACACGCCCCGAACATCCTGATCGCTCCCCAGCCAGTCACCCAGCACTGGTCCTTCGGGGTGAGCTCCAGCGAGACCGGGGAGAGCTTGACCGTCCTGACATTAGCGGCTCAGATCATGGGGCTCACCAGCTGGAGCAGGGCCACATCCGCACCCAGCCCCGCAGTGACATAGTTGGGGTGGACGATGATCCGGCTGACGTTCAGCAGCCCCCGGCCCCCGTAGAGATACACGTCCCCAGCGTGGATCCGGTAGATGGACGGGTCGGTGTCCTTCCTGGGGGAGGACGGATCCAGGCTGCTCAGGGGTCCTGGTCTGGGGCGGCCCCACTCCCACCTCCCCTCATTGGGGTCCCAGGCCCGGGACTCACCAGAAAATGCAGTGGGCAGCAGTCAGCACCCACTGGGGGTGGATGAGGGAGCCCCCACAGATGTGCGCCCAGGAGGCCCAGTGGTAGCTGTAGACCCTCAGGCTGACCTGCCACGGCCACTTCCCCGGGGGGGCATTGTGGCCCCCCACAATGCCCACCAGGTCATTCTCTGGGACGGGCACTGGGAACAACCAAAGGAGGTCAGGGAGCCGGGCCCCACCCTCCTGCAATGCCAGGAGCTTCCAGGCCCTGCTCGACGAGGGGGTCAGCTCTCCGTCCTAGCCCAGTCCCTGAGGGTCCAGTGTGGGATTGGGCCAGGAGTCACCTGGGGTCTTGGACATGGAGCCCCCCCAGGCAGGGGAGGGTCAGGAATAGCAGCCACAGCATCTGCGCAGGGAGGAGAGGGCTGGCTGGAAAGAGCCAGGAGGGACCTGGGTCTGGAGGCCACAGGTGGCTGCCGGTGGTCAGTGTCCTCACCGTGGTCTGTGGCCACAGCTGCCCTCCCGGACCCTCCCGGAGCTGCTTTCTCTTCCTTGCAAAGGAAGTGGGTGGGGCTCAGTCAGACATTCTTTTCCCAGGGTGGGGGCAATAGCTCCTAGCCCAGGCTGTAAACAGGGTGACCATGAGGATAGGGGCCACCCCCAGCCCCTCGCATCCCCTCTGCTGGGCCAACAGAGGTCCTGTACCCGGGTTCCCTGTCTACACCAGTGGCTCCCACGGGTGACTATGTCCCCCAGGGGACATTTATGCTTGTCAGGGATATAGGGACACCACCCACATCTAGTGGGAAGAGGCCGGGGTTGGGGGGCTAAATGTCTACGGTGCACAGGATGGCCCCACTGCAGAGGGCCCCTGGCCCCAAATGCCCACAGTGCTCAGGTTGTCGCCATGCTACCCATTCTCATGGCCAGTGCCACAGAGGCCAAGGAAGCACCTAGTAACCAGCTCTCCCGCAGCCTCTCCTGCCACCCGGGACGGGACGGGCACTTGTACACACCTCCACGGGTGCAAAAGTATCAGCCAGAGGGCCTGCCAGAGGCACTTGGAGCCTGGGCCAGGGGACCCGCCTGCTCCATGGTGGCCGCCCCAGGCCCAGGCTCCAGTCCTTGGAGGGAGTTTGTGGAGCCCACACAGGGAGATCTTCTGGATGGGCTCCAGGAACCTGTTTTAATCAGTACAAACCTCAGGTTGCAGGAGGGGCACACTCTGCTCTGGGAGAGGGGCCGTCACCTGCTGGGAGTCTCAGAGGGTGGGGAGCTGCATTCTCAGGCCAGGGCCCAGCCCCCTGGGCCCCAGCTGCCCACTGCTGTGCCTTGGGGCTCCGGCAGCAAATGCCTGTTTCAGCCCAGGTGGCAGACACGTTCTGGGGCTGACAGGGGCAGCAGAGGCCGAGGCCCAACCCTACAGCCTCTCCTCCAGAAGTCTTGCTTTGCCATGAGATTGTAACCAGGGTGATTGTGGTGGTGTGGGAACACAAGGGAGCACTGTGAATGGGTGGGGGTGTGGGGGGTGCCTGTGTGTGTGTGCATACGTGTGTGGGCATGGGGTGTGCACATGCCTCTGTGTGCATGTATGTGTGTGCATGTGTGAGTATAAGTGTGTGCATGTGTGTAAGCATGTGAGTGTGCATGTGTGTGTGTGAGCATGTGTGTGCATGCATGTGTGCATGTATGTGTGGATGTGTGTGTGCCTGCATGTATGAGTGTGTGCATGTGTGTACGAGTGTGTGTGTATGAGTGTGTATATGGGTGTGTGCGTGTGTATATGTGTGTGTGCATGTGTGTATGAGTGTGTGCATGCTGCTGTTTGTGTTTGCGTGTGTGTGCGTGTGTTTGCATGTGTGTGAGTATAAGTGTAAGCATGTGTGTAAGTGTGGGTGTGTGCATGCGTGTATGAGTGTGTGTGTGCGTGTATGAGTGTGTGCATGTGTGTATGCGTGTGCATATGTAAGGATGTGTGCGTGTGTGCGCGTCAGTTTGCATGTGTTTGTGTGCCTGTGTGTGCGTATGAGTGTGCATGTGTGCATGTAAGCATGTGTGTGCATGCATGTATGTGTGTGCATGTGTATGAGTGTGCGCATGTGCGTGTGTGTGCATGTGAGTATGAAAGTGCGTGCATGTTTGAAAGCATGTGTGTGCGTGCATGTGAATGTGTGTGTGCATGTGTGTATGAATGTGTGCATGTAAGCATGTGCATACGTGATGTGTGCATGTGTGTGCATGTATGAGTGTGTGCATATGTGTGCATATGCATGTGTGTATGAGTGTGTGTCTGCATGCATGTGTGTGCATGCTTGTGAGTATGAGTGCATGTGTGCGTGTGTGCATGTATGTGTGTGCACGCATGTGTGTGCATGTGTGCATGCATCAGTGTGTGCATGCGTGTATGTGTGTGCATGCATGTATGAGTGAGTGTGCATTGAGTTTGTACATTGTGCGTGTGCATGTGTGTGTGCATGCGTGTATGAGTGTGTGTGTGTGCCCGCATGTCCTCCAGCTGGAGCAAATCCAGCCTTCTCCATGCTACCAGCAGCTTCCTGGTGATGCCTCAGGATTCCCCGGAGGCTGAGGGAGTGGGTCCCCGAGGCTGGGCCTGCAGCTGTGAAATCCTCTGCAGCCAGACTTCCACCTGCATGCCCAGCCCTGCACCTCCCTGCATGGGGAGGAGAGAAGCCCCAGGCTGCCCGAGATGGACTCCCAGCTGCCCCGTCCCTCCCTCCTGGCCGCATTCACCCATCATGGGCCAGGACCTCTGGCTCTGTGCCTTGGGAGCCGCTGCACCCCTCACTCCCAGAGGGCTTGGCCCACGCCCACTTCAAGCTGCTGCCCAGGCCCATGGAGTGGGCAGCTCCATCTGAAGATGCAAGAAGGAGACAGGAGAGCAGCTGGAGGATGGGAGGGCTGGGAGGCCAGCCAGGTGAGGCCAGGAGAGGCTGATGGGAGGGAAGCTCGGGTCTGGATCACCTGGGTTCCTTGTTTAGAGCCAGAGGGCCGAGGAGAAGAGAGGACAGCTGCTTAGCCTGGGGGCTTTCTTGGTGATTCCTCTCCCTCCCGGGACACGAGGATAATGTGGCAGCTGCGTCACGGGTGCAGGACTCTCCTGGTCCCCCACCCAGCTGCCGGGAGGCAGGGTCCAGGAGGCCCAGGTAAGGCGGGGACGGCACCAGCCTCGAACCAGCCAAGATCCGCGAAGCACAGCCAGTCTGAGGGCTGCGGGGCGAGCGTGGCCAGGGCTTCCAGGGAGGCCTGGAGCCTACAGTCAGGGGTCCTGGGCTGCGGGGGGCTGGGGGAGAGGCCGAGGACCCCTCGAGCCCCAGCTGAGTCCAGGTTGGGTGAACCAAGCTTGCCCGGGAGAGGCCAAGGAGCCCTTGGGCCCCAGCCGAGTCCAGGTTGGGTGAGCCAAGCTCGCCCTGTGCAGAGACAGGAACGTCGGATTCTCACGTGGAGGATGCAGGTGACACTTTCCTTTTATCTTTTATTCGGTGCTTTATACTTGGAATCAGATGTGAGGTCGGCCAAAATTGGGCATTGTTGTGTGGAGAAGGTTCTACAAGTTGCCCAGTGCTGTGTCTGCACAGGGAGGCTCCTACAGGACGTGCAGGTGAAGGAGGAAAATACCTCCGGGGTCAGGAGCCGGGTGCAGTGGTGAGTTGAACTGCATTTGCCGAAAAGATACGTTCAAGCCTGAGCCCCAGGAACTGTGAACGTCACTTGATTCCGAAATGAGGCTTTTGCAGACGTAATTGAGGATGTCAAGATGAGATCATTCTGGAATTAGAGTGGGCCCTAAATCCAATGACAGGCATCCTTATAAGAGAAAGGAGAGGGGGCCTGAGACCTAGAGCGGTGGAGGAAGGCCGGGGAAGGCAGGCAGGGATGGGAGTGATGTGGCTGCAAGCCAAGGACAGCCAGCAGCGCCGGACACGAGGAGACAGGCATGGAGCGGCCCCTCCCTCCAAGCCTCTGGAGCAAGCGGCCCTGCTGACACTCCAGGATTGAGAGAGAATAAAATTCTGCCCCTCAGTTTGCAGCACTTTGTGCAGCAGCCTCAGGACACTGATACGGGTGACAAGAGATGGGGCGCAGGCTGGGCACCGTGGCTCACGCCTGTCATCTCAACGCTTTGGGAGGCTGAGGCAGGCAGATAACTTGAGGTCAGGAGTTCGAGACCAGCCTGGCTAACATGGTGAAACCCCGTCTCTACTAAAAATACAAAAATTACCTGAGCATGGTGGCGCGTGCCTGTAGTCCCAGTTACTTGGGAGGCTGAGGCAGGAGAATCGCTTGAACGTGGGAGGTGGAGGTTGCAGTGAGCTGAAATGGTCCATTGCACTCCAGCCTGGGCAATGGAGCAAGACTCCATCTCAAAAAAAAAAAAAAAAGGAAAAAAAAATGAGGCAGAGTGGAAAAACGTCAGTAACACTTACTGTTGGGAGCCGGGAGCAGTGGCTCACGCCTGTAATCCCAGCACTTTGGGAGGCTGAGGCAGGAGGACCGCCTGAGGCCAGGAGTTCAAGACCAGCCTGGGCAACAAAGTGAGACTCCATCCCTACAAAAAATCAACAAAATTGGCCAGGTGTGGTGGCACACGCCTGTAGTCCCAGCTACTGGGGAGGCTGCCTCAGGAAGACCACTTGACCCCAGGAGGTTGAGCAGGGAGCTATGATCACACCACTGCACTCCAGCCTGAGTGACAGAGCAAGACCCTGTCTCAAAAAAAAAAAGTTAGGGGACCTGAATAAGGAACGAGATTCCAGTTGCATCTCTCAGGCCACTCATGGGCTCAGGCATCCTCTGTTCCCTCTGGGAGCTGCCTATGCTGCAGCTGTATGGAGACAGGCTCTATAACAGGAAGCAGGAACCAGACTCACTGTTTAAGCAGAAGAGAATTTAAGAGAAGGAATTTGATTTTTTTTTCTTTTTTTTTCTTTTTTGTTTTTTTGAAACGGAGTCTCACTCTGTCGCCCAGGCTGGAGTGCAATGGCGTGATCTCGGCTCACTGCAACCTCCGCCTCCCGGGTTCAAGTGATTCTGCTGCCTCAGCCTCCCAAGTAGCTAAGATTACAGGCATGCACCACCACGCCCGGCTAATTTTTTGTATCTTTAGTAGAGACAGGGTTTCACCGTGTTGGCCAGGCTGGTCTCAAATTCCTGACCTCAGGTGATCTGCCTGCCTTGGCCTCCCAAAGTGCTGGGATTATAGGCATGAGCCACCGTGCCCGGCGTTGTTGTTTTTTGTTTGTTTTGGGTTTTTTTTGTATTTTCAGTAGAGACAGGATTTCACCATGTTAGCCAGGATGGTGTCGATCTCCTGACCTCGTGATCCACCCACCTCGGCCTCCCAAAGTGCTGGGATTACAGGCATGAGCCACTGTGCCTGGCCGGATTTGATCTTTTAAACATCACTGGAGGCCAGGCCCAGTGGCTCACACCTATAATTCCAGCACTTTGGGAAGCCAAGGCAGGCAGATCACCTGAGGTCAGGAATTTGAGACCAGCCTGGCCAACACGGTGCAACCCCATCTCTGCTAAAAATATAAAAATTAGCCTGGGATGGTTGTGGGCGCCTGTAATCCCAGCTACTCGGGAGGCTGAGGCAGGAGAATCACTTGAACCCCGGAGGCGGAGGTTGCAGTAAACCAAGATTGTGCCATTGCACTCCAGCCTGGGTGACAGAGCGAGACTCTGTCTCAAAATAATAATAATAATTACTAATAATAAACATCACTGAGGCCGGGTGCGATGGCTCACTCTTGTAATCCCAGCACTTTGGGAGGCTGAGGTGGGTGGATCACGAGGTCAGGAGATAGAGACCATCCTGGCTAATATGGTGAAACCCCGTCTCTACTAAAAATACAAAAAAAAATTAGCCGGGCGTGGTGGCGGGCGCCTGTGGTCCCAGCTACTCAGGAGGCTGAGGCAGGAGAATGGTGTGAACCCGGGAGGCGGAGCTTGCAGTGAGCCGAGATCGCGCCACTGCACTCCAGCCTGGGTGACAGAGCAAGACTCTGTCTCAATAATAATAATAAATAATAATAAACATCACTGGAAATTGGGATGGGCTGGAATCGAGCCCCCGGGAGCCACAGTGGAGCCCAGGGCGGAGCCGGCTCTGGGGTTGGGGGCAGGTGGAATGTGGGGCCCAGCATGGGCGTGGTTTTCCATCCTTGGGCCAATGACAGATTCGTTGCCGCTTCTGGTGGGCGGGGCTCTCTTTTTTGTTTTTTTTTTTTTCCTCACATGGTCTTGGATATGGTGGCCCTTTCTCCTCTGAAATCATGAGACTTCATATTGTGCTTTCAACTTAAATCCGACAAAATCTGTTTCTTTCCCCTCCGCAGTGGTGTGGAGGCAAAACTAAACCAAGAGTTTCGGCGTCTTCCCAGCCAGCAAGACGATTTGCGTCTGGATGATATTCCTGCCGGGGAGCTCACGTGCAGGAGGTCCATGAGGGTGGTGAGTAGGTGAATCTTCAGAAGTTAGTGGGTAAGTTTCATTTCTGATGAGAAGTATTGCTTAGAGCTTTAAATGAACAAAAAGCAATTTTCTTCAACAAACACTGGAGCCAATACAATTGTTGATAAAAACGGTTTTTGGGGTTTGTTTTTTTTTTTTTTGGACACAGGGCCTTCCTCTGTTGCCCAGGCTGGAGTGCAGTGGCAAGATCTTGGCTCACTACAGCCTGAAATTCCTGGGCTCAAATGATCCTCCTGCCTCAGCCTCCTGAGTAACTGGGACTACAGGTGCACGCCACCACATCTGGCTAATTTTTGTATTTTTTGTAGAGATGGGGTCTTGCTGTGTTGCCCAGGCTCTGCATGGCTTAAAACAATGTTTTTATAGAGATAGACTCACTATGTTGCCCAGGCTGGTCTTGAACGCTTTGGCTCCATCCATCCTCCTGCCTCAGCCTCCCAAGGTGCTGGGATTACAGGCGTGACCACCGCGCCCGGCCTAGAAGCCCCGTGTATCACCAGCTGTTGGTCTTGCATTGGTGTGGATCAGCTGCCTTGCTGCGCTCGTGCCCTGACACTGTCTGCAGGTGACCTTGGATGGTCTATGAAGACCACTGCATTGTCAGCAGACACTGCAACCCCGTCCCTTTCTTTCCGACCCTGACACTTTTTATTCATTTCTCTTTGTTTTTTGTTTCATTTTGGTGTTTTTGTTTTTGTTTGAGACAGAGTCTCACTCTTCTCACCCAGGCTGGAATACAGTGGCACAATCTTGGCTCACCGTAACCTCCGCTCCTCCGGGTTCAAGTGATTCTCCTGTTTCAGCCTCCCAAGTAGCTGGGATTACAGGCATGTGCCACCAAGCCCGGCTAATTTTCATATTTTTAGTAGAGGCGGGGTTTTACCATGTTGGCCAGGCTGGTCTCAAACCCTTGACCTCAGGTGATCTGCCTGCCTCGGCCTCCCGAGTAGCTGGGATGACAGGCGTGAGGCACTGCACCTGGCCTGTTTCTCTTCATGTATGTGCTGCGCGGGGCTGCATGCACTGAGCTGGGCAGGGGGAGGGGTGGCTGTCCCTACCCATCCCTCACTCACAGAAGGGGCTTCCCGCGGTCCACTGTTAAGTAGAATGTTTGCCTTGAGCTTGGGTGAGATCTGCCAAATTTGCTAAGAGTTTTATTGCAGTTGGTGGTTGAATTGATCAACCCAGAGAATCAAATACTTATCGATTAGATTATCACATGGTTGTTTATCTCTGCTCCGTTAACTGGCAAATTAGACGGTTAGATTTCCCGAGCGTTAAACCCACCTGCTTTAGACCTGTTTAGGTTTTGTTGTAATTCTGAGCACATTTTCAGAGTCAGCTTGTTAATGATTTTGGATGTTTGAGTCAATGTTCGTGAGTTAATTCGGCCTGAAGTTTTCCTGCTCTCTATTAGTCCAGGCTTGCTCTGCAGGCGACGCTCATCGAATCTAATCAGTCAGGACATTCGTCTCTTTTTTCTAGTCTCTGGAAGAGTTTGTTTGAAATGGGGATTATTTGTTCCTTGAAGATTTAGTATAATTGTCACATAAAACCATGCAAGATAGATATATACACAACTACGTACCCACAACAATTAAAAAATTAAAAAAATTGAAGTAATTGGCTGGGTGCAGTGGCTCACGCCTGTAATCCCAACACTTTGGAAGGCCGAGTGGGGGACGATTGCTTGAGCTGAGAAGTATGAGACCAGCCTGGGCAACATAGTGAGACCAGGTCTCTACCAAAAATATAAGTATTAGCTGGGCATGGCGGTGTGGCCCAGAGCTTCACGAGATGAGGCTCAGGGCACATGTGGTAGACATGGGGAGCAGACAGATCCCAGGCCTTCCCGGCAGAGCAGTGGGAAGAATACAGTGGCAGACCCCCTCAGCCTGTCCCTGTGGGGCACGGCTCTGCCCAGGGGCTGTCCAGAGGCTGTCAGACCCAGGAGAGGGTGGGTCACAGCGTTGAGATGACCCAGGGACAGGTACAGGACGCATCCGTGGGCCTGCATCCTCTATGAGCGGGGGGGGGGGGGGGGGCGACGTCAGTGAGATTCCTGTCCCTCATCAGGGTGGCCCCTTTGTCCCTGTGGCAGGGCCTGAGAACAGCTATCGTGTAGCAGGTGACATGGGTGATGGGCCTGGGGACGGCCATCGTGTAGCAGGTGACGTGGGTGAGGGTGCTGGGGATGGCCGTCGTGTAGCAGGTGGCGTGGTTGAAGGCCTGGGGATGGCCATCGTGTAGCAGGTGATGTGGGTGAAGGGCCTGGGGATGGCCGTCGGGTGGCAGGTGACGTGGGTAAGGGTGCTGGGGACAGCCATTGGGTAGCAGGTGATGTGGGTAAAGGGCCTGGGGACGGCCATCATGTAGCAGGTGATGTGGGTGAGGGTGCTGGGGACAGCCATCAGGTAGCAGGTGACATGGGTGAAGGGCCTGGGGACGGCCGTCGGGTAGCAGGTGACGTGGGTGAGGGTGCTGGGGACAGCCATCAGGTAGCAGGTGACATGGGTGAAGGGCCTGGGGATGGCCGTCGGGTAGCAGGTGACGTGGGTGAAGGGCCTGCAGACCCACTCCTGGCCCTGGCCCATGTCTCTGGGCCTCTGCATGGTTGGCACCCTGCCAGCTGGTCTCTGGGCGTCTGCATGGTTGGCACCCTGCCAGCTGGTCTCTGGGCGTCTGCATGGTTGGCACCCTGCCAGCTGGTCTCTGGGCCTCTGCATGGTTGGCACCCTGCCAGCTGGTCCTGGGCCTCTGCATGGTTGGCACCCTGCCAGCTGGTCTCTGGGCCTCTGCATGGTTGGCACACTGCCAGCTGCCGCAGCACCCACCCCAGCACCTGCCCAGCTCTGCCTCCAACTGCAGTGCTGCAAAAGGGACCTGCGCGTAGTGGGCTCTGTGCCGTTGTCCAGGCTGCATCCTGCTTTAGGCACGGGGCCCTCACCACAGTTCTGATCTGTCCCTGATCTCCCCCCGCACCCCACTGTCTGAATACAGAGGCCCCCTCCTCTCTACTGGGGAGCCCAGACATCTAGCCCTTGCCCTGTGTGGTTCTCTCCGGGTGAGGTGGGAGGGACCTGCCGGGAGAGACAACATCCCTGCTGCTTCACTCACGGTGTGAAGCCGGAAGGGACCAGACTCAGACCCCCTCCCGGGCCAGCCTCTCCGTGAAGCCCCTTTCTCCAGCAGGAGAGTGTAGCTGCCCCTCTGGGTGCTCAGGGGCCTTCTCAGCCTCACCTGACCCTCACCTTGGGGGTGGGGGGTGCAAGAGAAAGGAGAATGAAGACTTCCCCATCTCAGGTTGAGGATGCCTGGTGCCCCGTCACAGCCCAGCAGCCTCCCTGACCCAGCCCTAGTCCCAGACCTTCTGCGAGGCGGGCACAGGGCGGCCATATGGGAAGTCTCAGTGCTAAATGCTCCAATGCCCCAGGGCAAACAGTGGCCCAGCAACTAGGGATGTAAACCGTGCTTGGGTTTCCTCAGAAGCCTCCTGTGCCACACCCTGGAGATGCCCTGGGCACTGGGCATGGCTGGGCAGGGCTGCAGGTGGGCACTGGGCAGGGCTGGGCAGAGCTGGGCAGGTTAGATGGGTGGGTGGGTGGACGGACAGATGGACAGATGGACGAGTGGATAGATTCGTGGGTGGGTGGATGGATGGGTAGATCAATAGATAGGTGGATGGATGGATGGATGGTTGGATGGATGGATGGATGGATGGATTGATTAATTAGTGGATAGGTGGGTGGATGGATGGATGGATGAATTGATGGCTGGATGAGTGGATGGATTTAGTACGGGTAGATGGGTAGACAGATGGTAGATGGTTGAAATTTGGTAATGAGGCTGACCTGTTCTTTTAGTGGAGGGCTGGGCTGGGAGCTGGGCCCCCAAGAGTAGAGTCATCACTGAGAATATTTCCCCTGATCTTACCACCCCATTCATCATTTCCCTCCACCACCAAAGAATGTCTGGTCTGGAGCAGCCATTTCTACAGTGCAACTGTCCAGAGCAGATGCACCCACGTCAGGAAGCCCCCGGTCACTGCCCGCCAGCCGCACCCACACTCAGGAACACACTGGCCACTTTCTGGTTTGCCTTGCTAACAGTTTAACGAGACGATACTGCAAACTGGCTCCAGGACTTCCATCCCTAACCTCACCCCCATTCAAAGCACCTTCCATGCCTCCTCCTCCCAGTGTGAGGGAGGAAGGTGATAGGTCTGAAAAGGTGGAGGGGAGTGAGGACCATGTGCGATGGAGGAGCAGAGAAGGTGGGTGCTGGAAGGCGCAGGGAGCGGAGGGGCCAGGACGAGGAAGGAACTGGATTCTTGGGGAGCTGGGAGGAGCCTGGGGCTTAGAGGTGCATTTGCTGCAGGATCCAGGGCACATAGGTCTGGACTCACGTGTAGACGCCAATGCTGGGCCGATCACTGTAAAATCCCCAGCTCACTACTCCCGCCTGGAGCCAGGTACCCTTCTTCTTGCAGACCAGGGGGCTGCCTGAGTCACCCTGTGGAGCAGAGAAGGCCCAGCTTGACCAGAGACCCAGGACCCTGCACATCCAAGTCCAGCATCGGAGCCGCAGACAGGAAAAGAGATGGCAGGAGAGAGGCGCCAGGTCTCACCTTCCAGGTGCGGCGGCCCGTGCGGCCGGCACAGATCATGTCATCCTGGATGAACTTTCTGTCTCCAGCACCAGGAAAAGCATCGTAGGTCTGCCGCTCACAGTCTGCATTGCTCAGTGTGAGGACCTTCACCTGCTGCGGGCGGTAAGGAGGCGGCAGCATATCTGCAGAGACAAGCCACGGGTGGCGGGAGCAGCTCAGGAGGGGCCCCCAACCAGCACCATGGCAGGACCCCTCCCTGCCCCCAGCCTCAGCTCAGGACCTGGGATGCTCAGCCTACACAGCCTAAGGTGGAGTCAAAGGGGCTCCACCTCTAAAGCTGCAGGAACCCAGAAGGGAAATGCCAGGGTAGGGTACAGTGGCATAATCATAGCTCCCTGCAGCCTCCGCCTCCCAGGCTCCAGCGATGCTCAAGCAATCCTCCAGCCTCAGCCTTCCAAGTAGCTGGGACCACAGGCCTACACCACCATGCCCAGCTAATTTTAATTTTTTTAAGATGGAGTCTCACCCTGTCGCCCAGACTGGAGTACAATGGCACAATCTCTGCTTAGTGCAACCTCTGCCTCCTGGGCTCAAGCAGTTCTCCTGCCTCAGCCTCCTGAGTAGCTGAGATTACAAGCACCCACCACCACGCCCAGCTAATTTTTGTGTTTTTAGTAGAGTCAGGGTTTCACCATGTTGGCCAGGCTGGTCTTGAACTCCTGATCTCAAATGATCCACTGGCCTCAGCCTCCCAAAGTGCTGGGATTACAGGTGCGAGCCACCATGCCTGGCCAATATATATATTTTTTAATTTTTTGTGGAGATGGGGTCTCCCTGTGTTGGCCAGGCTGGTCTTGAACTCCTAGGCTCAAGTGATCCTCCTACCTTGGCCTCCCAAAGTGCTGAGATTACAGGTGTGAGTCACCGCACACACTCCCCCACCACCCTACCACCCCCATCCACCAATACCTTTTAAATTGGGAGCAAAGGGAGATGGGACCCTACACACACACTCTAGAAAAGAGAGGCGGGACCTATGCACACACTCTAGAAAAGGGAGGCAGGACCTACGCACACACTCTAGAAAAGGGAGGCGGGACCTACACACACACTCTAGAAAAGGAAGACAGGACCCTACACACACACACACTCTAGAAAAGGGAGGCAGGACCTATGCACACACTCTAGAAAAGGGAGGCAGGACCTACGCACACACTGTAGAAAAGGGAGACGGGACCCCCACACACTCTAGAAAAGGGAGGCGGGATGTACACACACACTCTAGAAAAGGGAGACGGGACCACACACACACACACACACACACGCTCTAGAAAAGGGAGACGGGACCACACACACACACACACGCTCTAGAAAAGGGAGACGGGACCACACACACACACACACACTCTAGAAAAGGGAGGCAGGACCTACGCACACACTCTAGAAAAGGGAGGCAGGACCTACGCACACACTCTAGAAAAGGGAGGCGGGATGTACACACACACTCTAGAAAAGGGAGACGGGACCACACACACACACACACACACACTCTAGAAAAGGGAGATGGGACCACACACACACACTCTCTTTCTCCCTAGAAAAGGGAGGCAGGACCTACGCACACACTCTAGAAAAGGGAGGCGGGATCTACGCGCTCTAGAACAGCACCAGGTATTGCCTTTCAAAGAACAGAGGCCCGAAGCAGGAAAGGAAGAAAGCTTCAGGGTCTCTGCAGCCTTCAGTGGAGGGATGGACAGATGGATAAATTCGTGCCCTCTTTGAACCCATTTTCTTTTCCACAAAATGAAGAAAATGTCTTGCAATATGTCTATGGGTAAGATACGTGTTCCACACACACACGCACAGCACAGTCAGTGGCTCCTGCCACCCACCCCAAAGGCTCATTTTCTTTGCTCCCTGTTTTATGAGCTTGAATTCCCCAGGGCAGCTCACCTGAACCCTGCACCCCAACCCTAGCAAGAGAAACCCCAGAATGTGCAAACCAAGGGCTTGTCTTTCATGAGCCTTCCCAGGACCCCCCCGCACGCCCGCCCCACGTCCCTCTGGTTCTCACCCAACAGGCCGACCATGCCCCAGCCTGTGTTCCAGCAGTTGTCACTGTCAGTGAACTCCAGGGACTATGACGGCAGGGCGACTGCCGCGAGAGTGTTTGTTGTTCTCACACTGGTGGCCAGCTTCAGCAGGGCGATGTCTGCCCCCAGGAAGAAGACAGAGTAGTTGGGTGGACGACGATCTGGCTGACATTCAGCAGCCCCCGGCCCCCGTACAGATACACATCCCTGGTGTGAATCCGGTAGGTGGACGGGTCGGTGTCCTTCCTGGGGGAGGACAGACCCAGGCTACTCAAGGGACCTGGTATGGGGCGGCCCCACTCCCACCTCCCCTTGGTGGGGTCCCCGGCCCAGGACTCACCGGAAAATGCAGTGAGCGGCGGTCAGCACCCACTGGGGGTGGATGAGGGAGCCCCCGCAGATGGGCACCCAGGAGGCCCAGTGGTAGCTATAGATCCTCAGGCTGACCTGCCACGACCACTTCCCCTGGGGGTGTTGTGGCCCCCCACAATGCCCACCAGGTCATTCTCGGGGACGGGAGCTGGGAACAACAGAAGGAGGTCAGGGAGCCCGGCCTCTGCCACCCGAGCCTCACCCCACGCCTGCCCTCGGGCAGGAGCCGGGCCGTGCACGTGTCCCCTGGATCCTGGGGACGGGGTGGCAGAGCCCCTGGGAAGGGAGGGCTGTGTGGGGTCGGGACTCACCTGGACTCCCAGTGCTACAGCTCCCCAGGGAGGAGACAGCCAGGAACAGCAGCAGCAGCAGCTGCGGGGAGAGGGCGTGGAGTGCGGGCTGGGGGCTCAGACCCGGGGTCAGGGGTGGAGGGCGTGGGGTGCGGGCTGGGGGCTCAGACCCGGGGTCAGGGGTGGTGGGCATGGGGTGCGGGCTGGGGGCTCAGACCCGGGGTCAGGGGTGGAGGGCGTGGGGTGGGGGCTGGGGGCTCAGACCCGGGGTCAGGGGTGGGGGCCAGGAGCCGCCCGCAGGCATCAGGGAGGGGACGGTGCCCTTACGGTGCCGGGACTCAGCTGCTCTCTCCCCCGGCCCCTTGGAGCCCCTTTATCCTCAGCCACAGGAGGAGGGCAGCGGGAGGGTGGGGCCCTGTGGTGGCCTCAGGTCTCTTCACCCTCTCCTCCACTCTCTCTCCCACCCACCCTCCAAGTCTCCACCCACCCCGCAGCCTGGGCTGGCAGGACAGGGGTAAGAGGAGAGGGTGAGGGCAGAGAGCGGCCGGGGCGGGGTTGGGACCCTCCAGCCTGCCTGTTCCTCCACGAGGACGTCACAGCATCACAGGGCTGGTTTGGACGGCAGGGCCCTTGGAAAAATCTCAGATCTGGAGCTCAGGAAGGAGCCCGAGGCAGCGGCAAGCCTCTGCCTCCCACCATGGGGTCCCCAGGACAGTTTCCAGCAGTTCATGAGCTGCAGCACCCCATGAAGGTGACGGGTAGCCCCGTGCGGAGGTGCGGCTCGCTCCCGGGACAGGGGCCACAGGCCCAGCAGATTGTCCGAGCGAGGTACCCACCATGGTGGTGCCCACCACAACTGGCCAAGCCCACTCTGGCCAGATGTCCTCCGGCTGGCTCAGCCTGGGGTCTGCACGTGGAGACACCTCCGTGTTGGGTGTGGTTGGGGTGAGGTCCTCCGTCCTCAGAGCGGCCTTCGGGACACAATTGAGTCAGGGTCTGGCTCTGTCGCCCAGGCTGGAGTGTAGTGGCATGATCACAGCTCACTGCAGCCTCCACTTCCTGGGCTCAAGCGATCCTCCCACTCAGCTCTCCCAACTAGCTGGGACCATAGGAGCACTATGCCCCAGAGACAGGAGAGAGACCCGTGCAGTGCTGACCAGAGGGGCCTAGGGGCAGAAATGCCGTCCTGGACATGCCATGGCTGCACCCTGGGTCTTGGGCAAGAGCTTCGGAGGTGTGGTGGCTCCGAAGCCGTGATTCTCCAAGGGAGCAGGGGGCTTCGGGGACAGAGCCAGGACCGGCAACCACAGAGGCCGCCGGAAAGGCAGTGAGGGAAGGGACGGAGAGGAGAGATGTAGGGAGGAGGGAGGGAGGACCCAGGAGGAGACTGGGACTTGGCTGTCCCGTGCTGGAGGATTCAGCGTGCCCACGTCCTGCAGCCTGGGCCGTCTGTCCCCAGCCTCGGTGAGAGCTGCTCCTCCTCTGGGGCCCCTCCACCAAGAGGTCACAGGCACCCTGAGAAAGGCCTGGAGCTCCAGGCCCATCCCCCCACCGGCGGGTGCTGGGACCCCAGCCGGAGCTAATGAAAGGGGGCTCAGGGGCTCACATCCTGCCCAGAGTGTAGGGAGCCTGACCCTCGTGCTCCCTGAGGCTGCATGGTCCCTACTCCTCCCTCCCTCTCTGGCCTGGGCCCCCACCTGCCCCCAAACTCTTCCTAAATCCTTTTCTCCAGTCTTAAGCCTTAAGCCCCTCCCCCATCTCTGTGTGCCCCCCACCCCCACCGCACACCTCGGGCTTCCCAAGTTGGAGGCACATGTAGTTGGGGTGGGGCAGTTGGCACTAAAAGCCAGAAGTTCCTCTGCCGGAGGTGAGGTCAGTGATCCCCCGGCCCCTCGCCTGTCAGGAGGATGGACAGACGATCCCATCTGATACTCACAGCCACCGCAGGGCGGCGGGGCCTGAGAGCATCAGGCCACCCAGGGGGACCCTCCCGCTGAGGCCCAGGGGCGGAGGCAGCCACTCTCCGCACCCCCTGCCTCGTCCATCTCAGAATGAAGCCGTCCTGCCCCAGCCTGGAGGCTGGCGGGGGAGCTGACGAGGCAGCCAACTACCCAGAGCTGGAGAGAGGGCGCCACGGTGTTTTCCCAGGCGTTTCTTCACTGAACTTTCTCAGCCGTTTCTCCTCATGCCCCTGATAACAGAAACCTGATCTGATGTGCAGTCTGGGGACATCCAGGTCCACCCGGGGTCAAGGGCCCTGTAGCCCCATGCAGGCCCCCCTGGGGTCCCAGGAAGCCTGGGCTGTGAGAAGAATCCGGAATCCTGGTGGGGCCAAGAGGGGATGCAGAGAGACCCCCGAGGAAGCTGTCCTCAGGCCCCTATTGTGGAGGAGACCCTGGGGGAGGGGGTGGTCAGTGGATTCCGGGGGGAAGTGGATCCCTTGCTTCCGAGGGGCCCAGGGAGCAGGAGGGGCTCAGCAGGGTGAAGGCCGGGCCTCCCTGCGGCTCCAGGAAGCCCATGCAGTGGGGTGCTCCCGTCTCCCCCAAAAGTGGGGGACAGAGAATGTTGTTCCCAGATAAGTGGGAGTGGCCACAGCTCACCAGGCAGGGGCTTTGGGACCACGGGGCCTCGTGGTGCGCAGGCTGTGGCTGTGGCTGTGACAGGACCACTGTGTCCCGTTCAGGGTCTTAGGGGCAGCTGCGGGGACCCACGCCCACAGTGGCTCCTCTGCCTGGAGAGGAAGGGTGAGGGAGCAGCTGCTCAGGGGCAGAGCTGGGGTCCGCCAAATTCCAGGGCAGCCAGCTCCACGGAGACCCCACAGTTCAGGGAGGCTATGTCCTCAGCTGACCCCGAGACTCCAGGAGGTCCGAGGAGGAGGCACGGCCGAGGGAGCAGGCTCAGGCTGCTGGCCCCGCAGTGCGGCTCCGGGTCTGAACTGGGGTGCAGCGCGGCTGGGTTTGATGTCACAGATTTGGGGGAATGAGGGAAATGAGCAAACAACTGTCCAAACCAGGGATGGGTGTTGGGGAGAGGACAGCTAGCTCATCCGTGGGCTCTGGGAACCCGGGCGGGGAGGCTGAGCTGCCCAGGGGCTGCCTCCGGGAAGCGGAGCCCTCCCCACTGGCCCCCAACCAAGCGTGAAGGTGCAGTCACTCGAGGCTGGCCCTGAGCCCTCCAGAACCTTGAGATGTGTACCAGGAAGTCCCCACCACGGCCCAGGACACATCAGAGAATCAGAGACTCAGAGGCTGCTGTTCACACAGTTTAATAGCATGGCGGACCCAGGCAGGAGGCAAGGTCCCTGGGTGCATCCTCCCTCGCCCACATCCACGGGACACCAGCTTCTGAGTCTCCCCTGCCGCTGTGTCCTCACCCCCAGGTCAGGGAAGGACGGGGTACTTCAGGGGCCAGGCGGGGTGGGCAGGAACAGGGCCTGGAGGCGGGAGGAGGAGCAGAGGGGAGGCCCGCTCCCCAGCAATCAAAGCCTCCTCAACGCTCTAGCGGGACGTGCTGGCGGACCCAGGATGAATAGGTCATTACCCAGGTGTAGACACCAGGGTAGTCCCCATGCCTGGAGGCCACGCCCCAGCTCAGCACGCCAACCTGGAGCCAGGTGTCCAGCCGGTAACAGACCGGGGGGTCCCAGCATCACCCTGTATGGGGAGGACAGTCAGGGGACAGCCCCATGGCAAAGCAGCTCCCACAGCCGACGCCGAGGGCAGAGGGCCGGGGTCTCACCTGGCAGGAACCCTGCCCCTTCCTCCCTGCACACGGCGTGGCAGCCTTGATGATGGTGACCTGGCCGTGGGCAGTGGGGCCTTTGTGATACATCCTCTCGCAAGCTCGGGTCCTCATGATGGGGACCTCGGCCTCTTGCAGGTCGGGGGCCGGGGGCAGCGGCGCTGTGGGGAGGGACTGGGTGAGCATGGCTGGTCCTGGTGGGCTCAGGCCGTCCGTCCATCTGCCAGGGAGCCTGGGCTGGCAGCCCCTTTTGGGCTCATGGTCCCGCTCAGCAGAAACAACACACTCAAGCTCCAACGGAAGCCAGAAGGGAATCACAGGGCTGCAGTGCTATAGAACGTGACGTTCCCAAAATTAAAGACGGGAGCTCCAACAAATAGGAGAAAAAGCCATCTAGAAAAGAAGCAACAGCCACACTGAAGCCGTGGGTCACACTGAGAGCTGTGCCTTCTGTCCCAACCTGCGATGGGTGTTGGGGAGAGGACAGCTAGCTCATCCTTGGGCTATGGGAACCCCGGGGGGTCGGAGGCTGAGCTGCTCAGGGTTCTGGCTTTTGGAAGATCTCGCTACTTTATTACCAGTCAAGAAAAAAAGTTGCAACATTCTGGGCCTGGAGACAGCTGGCGAGGCACCTGCAGCTGGGAAGGCCTCCTGGAAGGGAGCCTCAAACCCAGACCTTTTTTTTTTTTTTTTTTTTTTGCAGCAGGGTCTCGCTCTTGCCCAGGCTGGAGTGCAGTGGCATGATCATAGCTCTCTGCAGCCTTGACCTCCTGGGCTCAAGCGATCCTCCCACCTCAGCCTCCCCAGTCACTAGGAATACAGGTGCTCCCCACCATGCCCTGCTAATTTTTTTTTTTTCTTAGAGACAGGGTCTTGCTATGTTGCTCAGTCTGGCCTGGAACTCCTGCGCTCAAGTGATCCTCCTGTCTGGACCTCCCAAAGTGCTGGGATTATGAGCATGAACCAGCGCACCTGGCTGCCAGACCTCTTTAAAAGAATAAGCCAGAACTGGCTCTGGCGGGGTCTTGTGATTCTGGGGAGCAGCGAGGTGCAGTGGCCTGTCTTTGACAACCGCCGTAAAGAGGATTTTTGGGAAGAGAAACCACATCGTGAAATTCTCATCATCGTACGTAAGTCCCAGAGGAAAACACTCAGAGCCCCGGCTCTTCATAGGGACTGAGGGGCCGAGTCCAGCATACGATTCCCCTGCGGTTACCAAGGTCGGAACTACGAGTGGCCAATGACACAGGTCAGGTCAGCAACAGCAGGTCCGGGAGCCAGGGCTGAGGGGGGAGCCTCTCTGAGAAGCACGGCGTGGCTCCGTGACCCTGGGCACGCCCTTCCCCCGCCCTCCAGCCTCAGTTTCCCCACCTCAACGCCAGGCATGTGGACAAAGGGAGTTCTCAGAACAAGCACGGACTCTACAGTTGAACAGCCTGAGAGCACAGGGCCAGGAAGTGAAACAGGAGCCCACTGTCCCCCAAGGATCTTCCATCGGAAAAGTACAGACACAGATGTGCCTGGGCAGCGAGGCCAGACAGCCATGGGCTGAAGGCACGGCCCTGGGTACAAATCTTTGGCCAGCCCCTGGGAGTCCTGCCATCCAAATGTATCACTTGCTTTGACAACTGCAAACCGAGGCCAGGCGCAGTGGCTTATGCCTGTAATCCCAGCACTTTGAGAGGTCGAAGCAGGTGGATCACCTGAGGTCAGGAGTTCGAGACCAGCCTGGCCAACATGGCGAAACCCTGTCTCTACTAAAAATACAAAAAATTAGCCGGGTGTGGTGGTGCACACCTGTGGTCCCAGCTACTTGGGAGGCTGAGGCAGGAGAATCACTTGAACCTGGGGGACGGAGGTTGCAGTGAGCTGAGATCGCACCACTGCATTCCAGCCTGGGCAACAGAGTGAGACTCCGTCTCAAAAGAAAAAAAAAAGGACTGTCACCATGACCGGAGGGAGTTCCCTGTTCCTGGGAGAGGCCTCCGATCACTGAACCTGGGAGGTGAGGGACCAGGGTGGAGGACGCCAGTGGGCGCCAGTGTCCTGGCCACGACCTGTGAGTGCCTTCCCTCGCTGCTGGGCCCCACCCACGCTGGGGTTCACGGGACCACACCCAAACCAGTGACGGCCTGAACAGAGAGACTCCACCCCTGCCAAGACCCCTCAGGGGGACTCCCCACACTCCAATAACCACACACACTCAGGATGGTCCTGCCGCAGGCCCTGCCTCGGGAGGACAGGGCCCTGGTGACTGTCCTTTGGAAGACCCTGGGGCCCAATGTACAGAGAGGGTTCCCCGGGAGGCTGGGCTGTGTGGGCGCATATGATCAGCAGGCCCCTCAAACACCCGATGTGCAGGGAGAGTGCCCGGGAGGCTGGGCTGTGTGTGGGCCCATGTGATCAGGAGACCTCTCAAGGGGTTCATGTTGTGGTTTTGCAGTTGTGAAAGAATTGGGGAAATGAGGACTTTTTTATTTTTATTTTATTTTATTTTTTTGAGACGGGGTTTTGCTCTTGTTGCCCAGGCTGGAGTGCAATAGCATGATCTCGGCTCACTGCAACCTCCACCTCCTGGGTTCAAGCAATTCTCCTGCCTCAGCCTCCTGAGTAGCTGGGATTACAGGCACGGGCCACCACGCCTGTATAATTTTGTATTTTTGGTACAGACGGGGTTTCTGCATGTTGGCCAGGCTGGTCTCGAACTCCCGACCTCAGGTGATCTGCCCGCCTCAGCCTCCCTAAGTGCTGGGATGACAGGTGTGAGCCACTGTGCCCGGCCTCTTTTTTATTTTTTCATATTTATCTGGGTTTTTTAAACAGCATTATTGAGATTGAGTTCACAAAAACCTACAATTCACCCATTTAAAGGGTTCAACAGCTTGCGGCTGTCACCATTCCCAATTTTACAACATTTTTATCGCCCTGAAAAGCCCACACCCTTCTGGTGGCTGTCGCTTCCCATCCCTGTCACCCCCTCCCCCGGGCCCCACAAATCTTCCGTCCGCCTCTGCGGATCTCCCTGTTCTCTCGACCTGTGGCCGTGGTGCCCGGCTCCTCTCATGGAGTGGGCGGGAGAATTTCGGGCTCTTTCCCTGTGTGGTGCCCTCCCCCGCCCCAGGAAGCCGGCTCAGCCCCAGGACTTCCTGTCACCAAAGACCTCCTGGAGACACCTCGCCTGGCCTGTGAGGAGGCCTGGGTCACCCGTGCCCAAAGGGGCTCCGGTGGCTGCAACAGCCCACAACCGGGCTATTTACACACAGCAGGGATTCATTCCTGATGACCCCAGAGAATGGAGGTCCAAGGTCAGGGAGCCAGCGTGGCTGGGGTCTGGGGAGGACCCATCTCCTGGTTCATAAACGGTGCCTTATCTCTGGGTCCTCCAGTACTAGGAGGGATGAGTGAACTCTCTGGGGGTCCCTTCTCTAAGGGCATGAGTGCCCTGTTCGCCTCCCGAAGCACCCACCTCCTGATCCCATCACACTGGGAGTTAGGGCTTCAACATCTGGATTTGGGGGGAGCACAAATCTTCGGACCACAGCAGGGGTCTGAGCTGAGGGGCATGGCCTGCAGGAGTGGGGAAGGGGCTTTCTTTCTCCCATGCCCAGGGTGTAGGGGGGTGTCTGTGCACCCCTCCGTGACCCACCTCTTCCCACTGAATCTGGAGGGAGTGGGGTGTGGAGCTGGGGAGGAAATGACCTGAGAGGCCCCCGGGAGCTGACTCTGGGCAGAAGCTCCAGCTGTCTCCAAGATTTCTCCGCATCATGGGAGGGAGATCAGCTGTTGAGCCTTCAGATTTTGAATGGCCGCGTGGCTCCCAAAGTGACATTTTGGCACTGATGGGAGGGGACTGAAGCATGGGGGCAGGTCCTGCCAAGCAGAGCTCTGCCTGAGATTCTTGGGGCCTGCACAGGAGGGCAGCCCCAGGATGCCCGCAGGGAATGCCAGCTCTGTGGGGCTGACCTCCAACAGGCCGTGCACAGATGGTGATGGGGGAGGGAGTGGCTCTCCGGCCCTGACGTGGCCCCCCGCCTGCCTTTCTGGACACCCCTGCTCTGCCGGCTCAGCAGCCCCAGCACCCGCTTCTGAGCTCTGGGTTCAAACAGAGATTAATCAGAGCGTCGCTCAACTGCACCCCAGCCCCAGGACCCGGCCACCATGTTGCATCACCGCAGAGCCAAGGAGCCACAACCAACCCCACCCAGCATGAGGCCAATGCAGCCCAAGATAGGGGGACAGGACCCCACGGCCCGACTCAGGACAGACAGCAGACTCTTTCCACTAAAGCTATTTGTCCCAGAGGTTCCCAGGGGACAAGGGGCCGGTGTGGAGCCTGGAGTCAGGTAGAGACCAGCCAGGTTACAGATGGGGGCCCTGAGCTGCCCACCCCTCCCCATTGTGCTGTCCCCATCCCAGGGCCCTCTCCACCACCCCCAGGAACCTCTCCACTATTGCAGGACCCTCTCCACCACTCCAGGGCCCTCTCCACCACTCCAGGGCCCTCTCCACTATTCCAGGGCCCTCTCCACCACTCCAGGGCCCTCTCCACTATTCCAGGGCCCTCTCCACCACCCCAGGGCCCTCTCCACCACTCCAGGGCCCTCTCCACCACCCCAGGGCCCTCTCCACCACCCCAGGGCCCTCTCCACTATTCCAGGGCCCTCTCCACCACCCCAGGGCCCTCTCCACCACCCCAGGGCCCTCTCCACCACCCCAGGGCCCTCTCCACTATTCCAGGGCCCTCTCCACCACCCCAGGGCCCTCTCCACTATTCCAGGGCCCTCTCCACCACCCCAGGGCCCTCTCCACCACCCCAGGGCCCTCTCCACTATTCCAGGGCCCTCTCCACCACTCCAGGGCCCTCTCCACTATTCCAGGGCCCTCTCCACCACTCCAGGGCCCTCTCCACTATTCCAGGGCCCTCTCCACCACCCCAGGGCCCTCTCCACTATTCCAGGACCCTCTCCACCACCCCAGGGCCCTCTCCACTATTCCAGGACCCTCTACTTCCACCAGCACCCCCAAGAATCTCAGGCTCCGGGCACTCAGAGGCACCTCCCTGTGCCCCAGGCCAGGTGTCCAGGGTGACCAGCAGGACGTGTCACAGCCAGAAAATCCGGAGGCACCCAGGGGACCCCTGCTTCCCAGGCCCACGCAGCCCCTGTAGGAAGCATGTCTGGGGTTGGGACTCTGGGGTCACATTTGCAGAACGCAAACCAGAGAATCTTGACTTACGACTTTTGAAATCCAAAAGAGAGGAGTTTGTGCCAGAAAAGGAGGAGGAAGTCTAGAGTTGACTGGAAACACTGTCCGGGAGTCGAGGGGCCCAGAGCAGCGGGAGAAAGAACCGGGCCCCATGGGCACCGGGACCCCCACACTGTGCCACCTGCTCTCAGGGCCACATCTTGTGGGACCAGGAGGACCCTGGTGGTGGGTCAGGACCCGGGGGTTCTAGGAGGAGGTGGCTCTGGAAAGCAGAGGGAGGGAGAAGTCCGCCAGCCTGGGACTGACACTCCAATGTCAATGGCGCTGACAGACCTGGGCCGTGGAGGGGGGGACGGAAGGAAGCCGTCCCCTCCCAGCCCTGGGGCCCATCCCTCTTCTCCTGCCTGGCCTGAGAGTGCCAGGACACTCTGTGACCCCCAGCTGCTCCCACAGTCCAGACACACACCACAGACCCGGAGCGGTTTCCACACTGTTTAATGGAGTCAAGTCACAAGCAGCCGTCTAGGATTTCTGGGATTCTGTTTCCACTCCCGACTCATCTTTGAGGGCCCCTACCCGGCTCCCCGAGCCCCCTGCTGGCAGGGAAACACAGAGCCTTGAGAGACCGAGAGGAGCAGAAGGGTCTCGGGGCAGGGATCTGCGGGAGGGTGAGGCTGAGACGGGGGAGCAGCAGGGGTGTCCACAAGGAAGACGGGCCCTCCTGGATCATGCAGACCCCACTGCACCCCAGCTAGCGTCTGGGGAACGGCGGGACGTACTGGCGGATCCAGGACACGTAGCTCGTCACGCGGGTGTACATGCCGGGATAGCCGCGAAGGCCGCAGAGTTTGCCCCAGCTCACCACCTCCACCTGGACCCAGGTGCAATTCCGCCTGCACAGGAGGGGGCCCCCGTTGTCGCCCTGTGGGGAGAGATGGCGCTCAGCGAGGGCTCCCCATGTGCCTCCCCATGTGTCCCCCCTAGGAGGGGAGAGACAGGTGGGTCTGGGGTCTCACTGGCCAGGAGCCGTGGTTCCCGTCCCCGGCACACAGCATGTCGTCCTTGATGAGCCGCTCAAACCGCTCAGTGTGGTTGGAAGGAAAGCGGCGGCGACAGGTCTGGTTACAGAGGACGTTGCTCCTGACCTTCACCGTCGCCTCCCACAAGCTGAGGGGCCAGGGCAGTAGTTCTGCAAGGAGATGCGAGGTGAGGCGCAGGGGCCTGGCGGGGACAAGGCTGCAGCTTCTCGTTTTGTCCAGAGCTGAGGCATACAATTCGCTCAGAGCTGGGCCTTCCCTGGCCAGGGGGTGAGCCCCAAGGCTGCAGTCCTGGGCACAGGAGCCTGGAACCTCAGGACTCACTCTTAGAAATGACTAGGGGCCGGGCGCGGTGGCGCACACCTGAAACCCCAGCACTTTGGGAGGCCGAGGCGGGTGGATCACTTGAGCCCAGGAGTTCCAGACCAGCCTGGCCAACATGGTGAAACCCCATCTCTACTAAAATACAAAAATTAGCCGAGCATGGTGGCTGACGCCTATAATCCCAGCTACTCAGGAGACTGAGGTAGGAGAATCACTTGAACCCAGGAGGCGGAGGTTGCAGTGAGCCAAGATCACACCACTGCACTCCAGCCTGGATGACAGAGAGAGACTCTGTCTCAAATAAAATAAAATAAAATAAAATTAGCCAGGCGTGGTGGCACACACTGGTAGTCCCAGCTATTAAACGCTTGGAGGACTGAGGTGGGAGGATCGCTTGAGCCCAGGAGTTTGAGACCGGCCTGGGCAACACAGCGAAACCTCATCCCTACAAAAAGAAAAAAAAGCCCGGCGTGGTGGCTCGCGCCTGTGGTTCCAGCCACTCGGGAGGCTGAGGTGGGAGGATCACTTGATCCTGGGGGTTCGAGGCTGTAGTGAGCTGTGATTGCACTATTGCACTCCAGCCTGGGTGACAGAGCAAGACCCTGCCTCAAAAACAAGTTTTTAAATAAAAAATTTTTTAAAAAAGAAACTATTTGGGAAAAGCATGGGACCAGGACTCCCCCTGGACTGTGTTGTGGTGGGAATGAGACGGTTCGCTCCAGGTGCTGATGCTGCGGGGCCCAGGAGTTCCCGACCTCCCTTAGTTCACGGTTTCTCTGATGCAAAGGAACAGCAGGCAACTGAGGGTGACGCTGAGGATGGAGTTAACTCACAAAGTGCCTGTTGGGAGGTGGGCAGGGGCACCCCTACGCCATAACCCCAGAACTTGTCACTGTGACCTTATCTGGAAAAGGACCTTTGCAGATGGAATTAAGATGAGGTCAGTTAGATTAGAGACACCATAAATACCATAAATACAGCACCCAGTGTCCGTAGAGGAGGAAGGAGAGGGGAACCTGGAGAAACACGACCGCAAGCCCAGGGGCATGGGGAAGGCATGGAACGGACCCTCCCTCAGGGCCTCTGAAAGGAACCAACCCTGCCCACGCCTGGAGTGTGGACGTTCCGCCTGCAGAGCCGTGAGATAGTACATTCCTGCTGCTCTGAGCCACCTGGCCTGTGGCCATCCGTCTCGGCAGCGGCAGGAAGCCATCCAGGACGCGTCTGGAGCCCAGGCCTGCACCGACATTCCGGGTCATCTCTCCACATCCCACCCAAGTGGTCCTGCTCCTGACCTCCACGTCCAATGACACCCCAGCCGGTCACCCAGCAGGTCTTCCCCGAGGGCACGTCCCGGGAGGCAGACGGGAGCGAGACCGGGTGGATGAGCTCAGACAGCGGCACCGGGGCCTCCAGCTTCAGCAGGGCGATGTCCGCACCGCCCTGGGCAGACAGGCTCTCGTTGTACTGGGGGTGACGGACGATCTCAACCACCTTCGTCCGCTGGTCGTCCTCATAGAGCCTCAGCTGCCCCACCTGCACTCTAAACGCGCAAGCCTCCAACTCCTCCCTGGAGAGAGGAACGGGCACCTCTCAAAGTAAGGCCAGATGCTCAGGACCGGGGCTTTCCCTGAATCCTGGGAGGGGCCCCCGGCACACAGGACACCTGCCCGTCCCCACCCCCACTCCCACCCGCCGAGGGGACAGCAGGCTCCACTCATGGCCCAAGGCAGTGGGCGGCGGTCAGCACCCACTCTGGGTGGATGAGGGAGCCCCCACAGATGGGCTCCCACAGACCCTTCTTCATGCTGTAGAACCTCAGGCTGACCTGCCAGGGGTGCCTCCTGGCCGAGACGTCGCAGCCCCCAGTGATGCCCACCAGCTCACGCCCCGTGCCGGGCTCATGAGGGGGACGGACGAGGGTCTTCCCAGAGCTCAGGGGCACCAGGAGAGACCGGCAATCAGATGGTCCCCACCCACCCCAGGGCTGGCACTCTGAGCCCGGGGCAGGGCAAGGAGGGGGTCCTGGGCAGCAGGGGCATTGGGTGGGGCGGACTCGCCTGGGTTCCTGGGCACAGAGCCCATCAGGCAGGGGAGGGTCAGGAGCAGTAGCCACAGCATATGTGGGGAGAAAGCCGGGGCCTGGGGTGAGGCGATCTGAGCCCCAGCTGGGGTCTGGGAATGGAGAGGGGGGTTCGGAGTGGGCGGCATACTCGTGCCCCAGGTCTCTCTGCCTCCTCCCTGGCATCTCTGGGAGCCCATTTATCTCTCATACAGAGGAAGTGGGTGGGCGGGGCAGCCCCCTCCTGGGCACATTCAGAGTGCTGACAGCAGGTGGGGCCAGGCGCTGAGTTCCACTGGGCGGGACTGGGTCTGGGGCTCAGAAGTGCAGTGTGTGAACCAGGGCCACCTGACCTGCAGGGGCGGGGGGAGGTCTGAGAAATGGTCAACACCACGAAGAGAAGCAGCAGCGACATCCCAGCTGGGAGTGGGGGGGAGGGGGGAGGGAGGGAGGGAGGGAGGGAGGGAGGGACACACGTGTTAAAGGACAGCCGTTCCGTTCTCCGGCCAGGTCTCCTCCCTCACCCTCACCTGGGACACCCACCGTCCTTGGGAATGAAGGGTTCACTTCTCGGTGCCTGGAGCCTGTTCTCCT
Source organism: Homo sapiens (assembly GCF_000001405.40). Taxonomy (NCBI): domain Eukaryota; kingdom Metazoa; phylum Chordata; class Mammalia; order Primates; family Hominidae; genus Homo; species Homo sapiens. The sequence goes on from NC_000016.10 coordinate 1,289,608, forward strand.
CTTTGGCCCAAAACGTCCACCCCCCCGAAATAACCCCAAGTGCCCTTACCCCCGTGACGGCCTCGGCTGCAAGAACCAGCTCCAGGAGAGTGCAAGTCACCAGCCAGGGGGCAACAGACACAAGCCCAGGATGCAAGGAGCGGCCCCGGTCCCCGACCTCTCTCTGGACCTTCCGCTGCCCTGAGGTGCTGGGGTCGGGGCAAGAAAACATGACCCATTCTGGACTCGTCAGCAGCTCCAAGGAATGAGGACTTGACATCCCCTTTAGTCTGTTTCCAAGACCCCAAAGTGCCATGGTGTTTTGTGCTCACCCAAGGGAGAGGGTCATGAGGACCCAGGAGCCCTTCCCCACTGACCCCCCAGCACCAGTGTCCCCAGAACATCAGGATGCTGCTGGAGGTGACTGTCCCGGTGCCGGTTCCCCTGTGGAGACCCCCCTGGCTGCTCTCAGCCTCACCCAATGCCCTTCTTGGCCCTGCTGGACACAGAGCTGCAGACAGAGATGAAGGAGACAGCGGTAGCCGCAGGCATTACCCAATGCAACCCCCAGCCCCCGCCCCTGCCCACGTTGCATCACAGCCGACCCGAGGAGCCGCAGCTCCCAGAGGAAGACACGGTGGGGCCGATGCAGATGCAGCTGGAGATACAGCCTGGTCTCCCTCCTCTGGGTCAGGTCTCCGGCGCCCTCCCGCCGGCCTGCAGGGCTGCATTAGGATGGGGAGTTTGAGCTCAGTTAGAGACCAGCCCCAGAAACGCAGAGAGAGGGTGCAGCGCCGTCCACAGCCCTCTCCCCGCTCTCTCTCCTCCCCTGCCCGCACAGCCAGCAGCCTGGTCCAGCTCTCTGCGTCCCATCGCCAGGGTAGTATCCTCCAGGTCTGCGAGCGACAGCAAATGCACGCGGATCTGCAGCAATCTCAATTCTTGCCTCCTCAGAAGAAAAATTCAGCTGAGGGGCAGAAGGCAGAAGGAGAGACTGAGGCAAGTTTTAGAGCAGGAGTGAACGATTATTAAAAAGCTTTAGAGGCCGGGTGTGGTGGTTCATGCCTGTAATCCCAGCACTGTGAGAGGCCAAGGCGGGAAGACCACTTGAGGCCAGGAGTTCAAGACCAGCCTGGCCAATGTGGTAAAATCCTGTCTCTACTAAAAATACAAAAATTAGACGGGCGTGGTGGCGCATGCCTGTAATCCCAGCTACTCGGGAGGCTGAGGCAGGAGAATTGCTTGAACCCGGGAGGCGGAGGTTGCGGTGAGCCGAGATTGCGCCACTGCACTCCAGCCTGGGTAACGGAGTGAGAACCTATCTAAAAATAATAATAATAAATAAAAATAAGCAGCTTTAGAGCAGGAACAAAATGAAGGCAAGTACACTTGGAAAACGCCCAAGCAGGCAACTCGAAAGAGAAGTCTGCAGTTTGACCTTTGACTTGGGGCTGTTTGTTTTTTGAGACAGAGTCTTGTTCTGTCACCCAGGCTGGAGTGCAATGGCGGGATCTCAGCTCAGTGAAACCTCCACCTGCCGGATTCAAACGATTCAGGCATGCGCCACCACACCCAGCTATTTTTTGTATTTATAGCAGAGACAGGGTTTCACCATGTTGGCCAGACTGGTGTCAAACTCCTGACCTCGTGATCCGCCCACCTCGGCCTCCCAAAGTGCTGGGATTCCAGGCATGAGCCCTCGCGCCCAGCCTGACTTGGGTTCTTATAGGTTGGCATGCTTCCAGGGCCTCGCATCCCTTCTCCCGAGATTCCTCCCGTGAGTGGGCTGTCTGCGTGTGCCATGGCCTGCTGGCGCTCGGGAGGGGAGCGTGTGTGGTGCGTTTGCCGCAGTCGTGCGTGTGCTCACTTGAGGCGCTCTTCATGACCAGCCGCAGGTCCCTTGAAGGCCATAGACCAGTTAAACTCTGCCATTTTGCCTCTTAGTGTGCCTGCTCCAGCCCCCTCGCCCAGCTCCTGAGATCTTACCGGGAAGCTGCTGATCACCGGTTTCAGGTGTTTGCTGTCTATTGGGAGCCTGCCTTTCCCTGGTGCCAGCTGCAACAAGTATTATGTTACACAGGCAGTTAACAACCGCCTGACCATCGCCCGAAGGACGACTGATGCTCCCGGTGTGTGGGAGGGGAGCCCTCTCCTGCCCTGCCCGTGCCTGACCAGCTGCTGCTGTCATGGGCCCAGCAATCGTAAGTGACCAGCAGGACACGCTCCTGTGACGAACAGCCCCACCCGGTGAGTTTGTTTCCCACCCGAAATCTCCTTCCTCCTGAAACCTGGGTGGGCGCCGCTCAGCCCACTCGGTCTGGCTCTTGGTCCCTCTCGGTCCTTCTCTCTTGCTTCCTCCTTCACCGTGGGATACCCTGGCTCCCCCTTGGCCTTCCGCCACCACGGGAAGCTCCCGAGGCCTCCCCAGAAGCCAAGCAGATACTGATGCCGTGCCGTACAGCCTGCAGAACTACAAGCCTCTTTTCCCTCTCCTTTCCTCTTTTTTTTTTTTTTTTTTTTCAGATGGAGTCTCGCTCTGTCACCCATGCCGGAGTGCAGTGGCACGATCTCAGCTCGCTGCAACCTCTGCCTACTGGGTTCAAGTGATTCTCCTGCCTCAGCCTCCCAAGTAGTTGGGATTACAGCGCACGCCACCACACCTGGCTAATTTTGTATTTTTAGTAGAAACGAGGGTTTCACCATGTTGGTCAGGCTGGTCTCAAACTCCTGACCTCAAGTGATCTACCTGACTCGGCCTCCCAAAGTGCTGGGATTACAGGGGTGAGCCACCGCACCCAGCCTGACTTTCCTTTCTCCTCTCCTTTCCTCTCCCCTCTCCTTTCCTCTCCCCTCTCCTTTCCTCTCCCCTCTCCCCTCTACCGTCTCCTCTCTCCCCTCTCCTTTCCTCTCCCCTCTCCTCTCTCCACTCTCCTTTCCTCTCCCCTCTCCTTTCCTCTCCCCTCTCCTTTCCTCTCCCCTCTCCCCTCCCCTCTCCCCTCTCCTTTCCTCTCCCTTCTCCCCTCCTCCCTCTCCCCTCTCCCCCTCCCCCTCCCCCTCTCCCCTCTCTCCTCTCCCCTCTCCCCTCCCCCTCTCCCCTCTCCTTTCCTCTCCCCCCCCCCACTTCCCCCTCCCTCTCTCCTTTTCCCAGGCTATTGCTCTGTCGCCCAGTGGCCTGATCTCAGCTCACTCAACCTCCACCTCCCAGGCTCAAGCCATCCTGTCCTCAGCCTCCAGAATAGCTGGGACTACAGGCACATGCTATCACGCCCGGCTAATTTTCTTATTTTTAGCAAAGACAGGGTTTCACTGTGTCACCAAGGCTGGTCTTGAACTCCTCAGCTCAAGCAATTCTCCCACCTCAGCCTCCCAAAGTACTGGGATTACAGGTGTGAGTCACTGCCTGCACGGTGGGCTGGGTGTGGTGGCTCATGCCTGTAATCACAGCACTTCGGGAGGCTAAAGCGGGAGGATCACTTGAGGTCAGGAGTTCGAGACCAGCCTGGGTTACACAGTGAGACTCCATCTTTTTTTTTTTTTGAGACGGAGTCTCACTGTGCCCAGGCTGGAGTGCAATGGTGCCATCTCAGCTCACTGCAACCTCTGCCTCCCGGGTTCAATCAATTCTCCTGCCTCAGCCTCCCAAGTAGCTGGGACTACAAGCACCCGCCCCCATGCCCAGCTCATTTGTTTGTATATTTAGTAGAGACAGGGTTTTGCCATGTTGGTCAGGCTGGAGACCCTATCTCTTAAAAAAAAAAATTAAAAATTAGCCAGGCACGGTGGCACACACCCGTGGTCTTAGCTATTTGGGAGGCTAAGGTGGGAGAATGGCTTTGTTACAGGAAAGGGGTGCCAATCCAGACCCCAAGAGAGGGTTCTTGGATCTCTCACAAGAAAGAATTCAGGGCAAGTTCACAGAGTAAAGTGAAAGGAAGTTTATTAGGAAAGTAAAGGAGTAAAGAATGGCTACTCTGGCTGGGCACGGTGGTTCACACCGGTAATCCCAGTACTTTGGGAAGCTGAGGCAGGCAGGTCATGAGGTCAGGAGTTCGAGACCAGCCTGGCTAGTATAATGAAACCCTGGCTTTACTAAAAATACAAAAAATTAGCCGGGCATGGTGGTGGGTGCCTGTAAGCCCAGCTACTCAGCTCGGCTGAGGCAGGAGAATCACTTAAACCCAGGAGGCAGAGGTTGCAGTGAGCCAAGATCATGCCACCGCACTCCAGCCCAGGCAACAGAGCGAGACTCCATCTCGAAAAAAAAAAAAAGAATGGCTACTCCATAGACAAAGCAGCCCCGAGGACTGCTGGTTCTCCGTTTTTGTGGTTATTTCTTGATGATATGCTAAACAAGGGGTGGATTATTCATACCTCCCCTTTTTAGACCATATATGGTGACTTCCTGAGGTTGCCATGGCATCTGTAAACTGTCACGGCTGGTGGGAGTGTGGCAGTGAGGACGGCCAGAGGTCACTCTTGTCACCATCTTGGTTTTGGTGGGATTTGGACGGCTCCTTTGCTGCAACCTGTTTTATCAGCAAGGTCTTTATGACCTGTATCTTGTGCTGACCTCCTGTCTCACCCTGTGACTCAGAATGCCACAGCGGTCTGGGAATGCAGCCCCACAGGTCTCAGCTTCATTTTACGCAGCCCCATTCAAGATGGAGTTGCTCTGGTTCACACGCCTCTGACAACTTGAGCCCAGGAGGTTGAGGCTGCCATGAGGCTACACTCTATCTCAAAAAAAAAAAAAAAATTCCAGGAACATGAAGATAATGAGTGATGGTTACATTGTGCATCTTGTGGTAACATTTTAGGTAATTTATCAGCTAGTCTGAAACTACAGGGAAAGAAAGGCAAATTCCCTGAAACAGCTTCCCTCCTCGCACAGGCGCAGGGGCTTCACACGCCTCCTGCTCAGGTCTCTCTGGGCCTGATCCAGGTCACAGACCTCACGTTTCCCAGGCTCTCTGAGCCACATCCATGGGGTGGGCCTGGTGCACCTTCCAAACCTCACCCTGAGTATCTCTTCATCTGCCCGCTCATTTTTATCCTCTAAGACATCTGCAAAACAAAAATAAAATTATAAGCCCCCAACTGATGAAACAGACCCCTCCTCTCCTCCAAGGGGATTCGAAAGTGGCTCAAAACACTAGTTCAGGCCACGCTGGGAAGGGGGATTGGACATGCCTCATTACACCCTCCTCCCTTTGGGATTCAGGCCCCACTGACCAGCCTTAACATTAAAACAGATTTTTTTTTTTTTTTTTTTTTTTTTGAGAGGGAGTCTCGCTCTATTGCCCGGGCTACAGTGCAGTCACATGATCTCGGCTCACTGTAACATCCACCTCCCGGGTTCAAGTGATTCTCATGCCTTAGCCTCCTGAGTAGCTGGAATTACACGTGCCCACCATCATGCCTGGCTAATTTTTGTATTTTTAGTAGATATGGGGTCTCGCCATGTTGCCCAGGCTAGTCTCGAACTCCTGACCTCAAGTGATCTGCCCACCTTGGCCTCCCAAAGTGCTGAGATTATAGGCGTCAGCCACTATGTCCAGCCCCAAAATATATTTATTTGATATATTTTTAAATGGCCCTGCAAAGCTGCCTCTTGTGGGGGAAATTTACACTCTGCAGAGAATCGTCTTCCCTTAACAGGTCTCTTTTTTTTTTTTTTTTTTTGAGATGGAGTTTCACTCTTGTTGCCCAGGCTGGAGTGCAATGGCGCGATCTTGGCTCACTGCAACCTCTGCCTCCCAGGTTCAAGCAATTCTCCTGCCTCAGCCTCCGAAGTAGCTGGGATTACAGGCATGTGCCATCATGCCCAGCTGATTTTGTATTTTTAGTAGAGATGGGGTTTATCCATGTTTGTCAGGCTGGTCTCTAACTCCCAACCTCAGGTGATCCGCCTGCCTCAGCCTGCCAAAGTGCTGGGATTACAGGTGTGAGCCACCGTGCCCGGCCCTTACTAAGTATTTTCAGGAGAGTCTAGCACCTTTTAAGCTCTGGTAAGAGACATTTGCCATCTATTCTCTCTGAAGCCTGCTACCTGGATGCTTCATCTACATAACAAGAACCTTGGCTTCCACAATCCCCCCTGAATTTAGCCCCATTTTTTTCTGCAGACTTCAACTCTTTAGGCAAAACTTAAGTCTTTCAACCAACTACCAGCCCGGAAATCTTTGAATCCACCTATGACTGGGAAGCTCCCCTCAGACATTCCACCTTTCCAGACTGAACCAGCGTGCACCTTGCATGTATTGACTGATCTCTGCCTATAACTTTGGTCACCCTAAAATGTATAAAACCAAGCTGGAGGCCAGACGAGTGGCTCACACCTGTATCCCAGCACTTTGAGAGGCCGAGGCAGGCAGATCACTTGAGGTCAGGAGTTTGAGACCAGCCTGGCCAACATGGTGAAACCCCGTCTCTATTAAAAATACAAAAAAAGCTGGGCACAGTGGCTCACGCCGGTAATCCCAGCACTTTGGGAGGCTGAGGAGGGTGGATCACTTGAGGTCAGGAGTTCAAGACCAGCCTGGCCAATGTGGCAAAACCCCATCTCTACTAAAAATACAAAGATTAGCCAGGTGTGGTGGCAGGTGCAGGTAATCCCAGCTGCTTGGGAGGCTAAGGCAGGAGAATCGCTTGGACCTGGGAGGCAGACGTTGCAGTGAGCCGAGATTGCACCACTGCAATCCAGCCTGGGCAACAGAGAGCCAGACTCCATCTCAAAAAATAAAATAAAATAAAATAAATTGCCAGGCATGGTGGTAGGTGCTTGTAATCCCAGCTACTTGGGAGACTGAGGCAGGAGAATCACTTGAACATGGGAGGCAAAGGTTGCAGTTGTTAGAAACAAATGCTTGTTCCTTCATGCCAAAAAGAAGAACTAACACTCAGACCAAAAATTTTCTCACCAAGACAATTTACATTTTTTTTTTTTTTTTTTTTTGAGACAGAGTCTCGCTCTGTCACCCAGGCTGGAGTGCAGTGGTGTGATCTCGGCTCACTGCAGTCTCCACCTCCCGGGTTCAAGTGATTCTCCTGCCTCAGCCTCCTGAGTAGCAGGGATTACAGGTGCCCTCCACTACGCCCAGCTAATTTTTGTATTTTTACTACAGACGGGGTTTCACCATGTTGGTGAGGCTGGTCTCGAACTCCTGACCTCGTGATCCACCCGCCTCAGCCTCCCAAAGTGCTAGGATTACAGGTGTGAGCCACCATGCCCAGCCCCAAGACAATTTACTTCTATAGAAGGGTGCATCTCACGGATGGAGCAATGGCGAGAGCACACCTGGACAGGGGAGGGGAAGGGGTTCTTATCCCTGACGCCGGCAGCCCCTCCTGCTGTGTGGTTCCCCTATTGGCTAGGGTTGGACCACACAGTCTAAGCTAATTCCAATTGGCTATTTTAAAGAGAGCAGGGGTACGAGTCGGAGTGGCAGAGTGAGTAGTTTGGCAGGAAGGACAGTTATAGAACAGGTGACTCAGGATGTGTCAGGGCAGAGCAGGTGACAGGGTGACTCAGGGCAGAGCAGATGACCAGGGAAGAGATGTGAGCTACTGATTAGAACTGGTGGGAAAGTTGTTTACTGAAAGTAGAGGCAAGGGAGCAAAGAACCAGGAAGTTAAGCTTTAAAATGGAGAATCAAAGAATAAGAGAGCTGAACAAACTGACATGCTGATTCTTTGAAGAGAAACTCGGAGTTCACTATATTTAACACAGTGAGCTGATACAGTGCCACTGCATTCCAGCTGGCAACAGAGCAAGACTCTCTCTCCAGAAAAAAAAAAAAAACAGCTGTAGCCCAGACACCTTCACACATTCTCAGGACCTCCTAAGGCTGTGTCATGGCCAAATCCTTAACCCTGGCAAAATAAACTTCTAAATTGATTGAGACGTATCTCAAATACTTTTTGGCTTACATATCCTTTGTAATAAATCTGTAATAGTAAATAAAGCATTTCCCTGAGTCCTGTGAGCCACTCTAGCAAATTGTTGGGCTCAAGAGGTGGGTCCTGGGAATGGCCTATTTGTAGCCAGGTCAGACAGAAATCGTGGGTAACCTGTGGGTAACCACAGTCCAATGCCTGGCAGGTCAGCGTACCAATGCCAAGGGCTGTGGCAGGGAAGCGTTTTATTTTTATTATTTTTTTTAAGACAGAGTCTTGCTCTGTTGCCCAGGCTGGAGTACAGTGGCATGACCTCGGCTGACTGCAACCTCCACCTCCTGGGTTCAAGTGAGTCTGCTACCTCAGCCTCCTGAGTAGTTGGGATTACAGGTGCCCGCCACCACGCCCAGCTAATTTTTTTATTTTTACTAGAGATGGGGTTTCACCATGTTGGCCAGGATGGTCTCAATCTCTTGACCTCGTGGTCCACCCACCTCGGCCTCCCAAAGTGCTGGGATTATAGGCGTGAGCCACTGTGCCCGGCCTGAAATTCCTTATAGACGCATATCTCCCCCCACAAAAGATGGCTTTGCAGGGCCATTTCAAAATATAGCAAAGAAACATAATTCGGAGGCCAGGCACAGTGGCTCATGTCTGTGTCTTTTTAGTTTTTTGTAGAGATGGGATCTCACTGTGTTTCCCAGGCTGGTCTCAAACTCCTGGGCACAAATGATCCTCCCACCTGGGCCTCCCAAAGTGCTGGAATTATAGGTGTGAGCCACCGTGTCTAGCCTGAGAAAGGGGAACGCTTGTGTCCTAAAGATGGGTGTATTAATTTCCTGCCACTGCTGTAACAAATTACCACAAACATGGTAGTTTAAAACAGTGGAAATTATTTATGTGTTTAAGTCCTGTCTTTTCTTATTGTCATGATGGCTGTGCCACTCCCTGCTGCCTCCATGGCCACGCTGTCCCCTCCTGTTTGCGTCCCCTCTGTGGAACCCTCTTTTTTTTTTTCAGGTGAAGTTTCACTCTGTCACCCAGGCTGGAGTGCAATGGCGTGATCTCCACCTCCCGGGTTCAAGCGATTCTCAGGCCTCAGCCTCCGGAGTAGCTGGGATTACAGGCCACCACGCCTGGCTGATTTTTGTAGTTTTAGTAGAGACGGAGTTTCACCATGATGCCCAGGCTAGTTCCAAACTCCAGACCTCACGTGATTTGCCCGTCTTGGCCTCCCAAAGTGCTGGGATGATAGGCGTGAGCCCCCGCACCCGGTGAGCCCCTCTTATTAGAAAGATGCACAGGATCCCGGTGAACCCCTCTTATTAGAAAGATGCACAGGATACTGTTCAGAGCCCACCTGGATGATCTCCTCTCAGCATCCTTCACTTTTTCACATCATTGGCTACATGAGACCCAAAGGCTCCGGGAATTAGGACACGGACATATCTGTGGGGAGCCACCATTGAGCACGCCACCGTGGGGAGGGGACAAGCATGTACAGACACCCTGGAAGATAATTCAGCCACACTTAGTGAAATTAGGGGTACTCGTGTCCCCTCCTGGACAGACTGTGCCCAGAGAAAATTCTCACACAGAAGAAGATCAGGTACCATTCGAACAGGAGTGCATCCAGAGACGAGGTGGGAGGAAGCCACAGATGTTCACTCAGGGGTTCACTCAGCACCATCACTCGATTCCCAAAGCACGGTGCTGAGAGGAAGATGCCCCCGAACAAGAATCCTTGCCTCAGGCTCTGCTCCGGGGGAGCTGATGGGAGACCCAGACCTAGAGCAAACCCTGGGAAAAGTGCCCAGCTCACGCTGCATTCGAGTTCTGCCAGGGAGCACAGCAATGAAGGGTGTGATGGCCCCAAGTGGATTTCACAGCACTGGGGAATCCGAGAGGTTCCGTCCAATCGCCGGATCCTGGCCCAAGGAGCACGGGCCCTGGTTCTTTCCTCCAGGTCCCGAGGCCAGCAGGGTTTCTCCTTCGATGGTCCTTCTGTCTGTCCCCCAGGGCTCCCTCCTCCTCCCCCAGCTCCGCACAGCAGGCTGCCCCAGCTCCCTGCCCTCTTCACCGGGTCACCCCCCGCACCCGTCCCCCGGGGTGGGAGGACTACTGGACGGCCAGCGGCCAAACCTACGCATGTGACCTACAGCGTATTTCACCACGTCAGGTGAAACCTGAGAACCGCGGGGGCAAAGGTAGAACTTTTTTCTTTTTTCTTTTTTTTTTCCTTTCATGTCTAGTCCTGCAGAGATAACTTTTATTTTCTAAGTGAAATAATTTTTCCCTCTCAAGCTCTAAGTCTGTTTGATTCAGTCAATTGAATCCAGACATTTTCAGTCAACGGCCAGCAAGGTTCCGGCTGGTTCGTTCATTCATTCATTCATTCATTCATTGATTCATTCATTCATTGCACGGATAACTCACTAAGCACCCGCCACAGGTCAGGCACTGCTCCAGACACCAAGAATACGGCAGTGAACGCACAGGCAAATGTCCCTGCTCTCCTGGATCCGCAAGAGGGCACGACCCAGGGAACAGGTTTCAGAGCCAAATTACCCCAGCTTCCAAAAGGTTGAGAAATGCTGTGTAGCTAATGCCCCCCTGAAACGCCTGCACCTGTATACAGGTGCAGTGAACATGCCTGTGTACACCCGCTCCAGCGCACACACACTTACATAAGCGGGTGTAAAACGTGAGCGATTTCTGTAGCCCTGAAAGCCCGTCTAAGAAGCTGAAGTTTGTTTAAAAAAAAAAAAAATTTTAACAGTGCCAGGGTCGCGCGGGAGGCCGGGTGTGGTGGCTCACGCCTGTGATCCCAACACTTTGGGAGGCTGAGGCAGGCGGATCACCTGAGGTCAAGAGATGGAGACCAGCCCTGGCCAACATGGCAAAACCCCATCTCTACTAAAAATGCAAAAGATGAGCCAGGCCTGGTGGGCGCCTGTAATCCCAGCTACGTGGGAGGCTGAGGCACAAGAATCACTTGAACCCAGGAGGCAGAGATTGCAGTGAGCCGAGAACATGCCATTGCACTCCAGCCTGGTCCATAAGAGCGAAACTCAGTCTTAAAAAATAAAAAAAAGCATCAGTCTACCTTGCTAAGAAGCTGAAGTTTCACACGTCGGCTTCAGATGGCGGCTACAGCATCTGACCCACCGTCCACGCGCATGGGAATCCCAGGAGCCCAACCCCACCTGGCTGCAGCCCCATGTCAGGAGACCTGGTCCAACCCGCTGCCCCGCCTCCCCACGCCCTCCTGCTGGGTGGGGTGAGGGCTGAGAGCCCACACGCCCCGGTGTGCGACTCTGCAGAGGAGTGACTGCAGGTCTGCCTGCCCTGCCTCAAGCATCTTAGACACCAGTCAGTGCCCCACTGTCCTGGCCAAAGCGTGTCCTTCGTGCCCCAACACAAGCACAGCCCACTCTGCAGGCGCGGCTCTGGGCTCAGGCATCCGGTGTCCCTGGAGGGGTCTCCACAGGCTCAGGCAGAGCCCCTCCCGGGGGCGGCCCCACGGTGACACCCACTCCAGGGCCATGGCCGTGTCCCCTGAGGCACCAGCGTTTCACGGCAGGGCCAGCAGGGGGCGGCAGGCAGCCCAGGAGGCGGACGGACTCCCGGCAGCTCTGCCCGGCTGGCCGTCTGTGGAGCCCTGTTGACAAACCTCCCCTGGTCTCCTGCTCCAGCGTCCACCCCGCCGCAGGCCCCTCTGCTGACCCCTGCTGCCGTCGCTTGGGTCCCGGCACAGCCCTCTTGCCTCTGCCCGCCCCCTCCCGGGCCGCCTCCTCATGGGGCTTCACGCACCTGCCCAGCCGGGACAGCCAGGTCTGCACTCCACCGGGTCCCAGGCTCCGGGAGCCCAGCAGGACCCAACCTGAGCTCCCCCCTCGACCCTCGGCCACCCAGACCTGCGGACCCGGCATCCCCCAGCCACGCAAACGCTAGGCCAGGGGGTCACCCTGGACTCCCCCTGCCCTCCCACTCCCTGCAAGTCTGAGTCCCAGGTACCCCTCCATCCACCTCTCTGCGTGGCCCTGTCCACACCACCGAGCCCCCACACCCCAGATTTCTGCAGGAGTTCGGCTGAGAGGTTTCCCGCGAGGGTCCTGCCCCTCCCAGCTGCTCCACAGCTCTGATCCAAGCAGAATGCCAATCGCTTGTGTTATGAAGACCCTACTCTGGTGCCCCTCTGCCGGCAGGGGGGAGTCCGAATTCCTTGCTGGGCTCGATTCAGGCAGCCCCCACCCCTGAGCCCTCAGCCTGGCCATTCTGAACCACGCCCTGGCCCACTCTCTCTGACCTCACCCTTCACCGCTGCATCCCGGAAACTCCATGCCCACCTCAATGCCACCTCCTCTAGGAAGGCTGCCCGGACCTGTGAGGGTGTTGGGGCCTCTTTCACTGTCCTCACAATAGTGTGGCTCTGGCTCTGCAGCAACTCCCCCCTTGCTGACCATCTCCCCAGCGGCCTGTCAGCTCAGGACGGAGGTGGTGGCCGGAATGGATCCTCCTTTACCCCAGCACGGTGCTGGCCCAGCATGAACACACATTCAGGGAGCTTCTGCTGTCTTGAAAACAACAGAGAGTAAATATGAAGTTGGGTCGGGCACAGTGGCTCATATCTGTAATCCCAGCACTTTGGGAGGCCGAGGCGGGTGGATCACCTGAGGTTAGGAGTTCCAGACCAGCCTGGCCAACATGGTGAAACCCCGTCTTTACAAAAATACAAAAAGTAGCCGGGCATGATGGCAGGTGCCTGTCAACCCAGCTACTCGGGAGGCTGAGGCGGGAGAATCGCTTGAACCCAGGAGGCGGAGGTTGCAGTGAGCCAAGATTGCCTCACTGCACTCCAGCCTAGGCGAAAGAGCGAGACTCCATCTCAAAAAATAAAAAATAGGCCAGGCATGATGGCTCATGATAGCTCATGCCTGTAATCCCAGCACTTTGGGAGGCCAAGGCGGGTGGATCACCTGAGGTTAGGAGTTGGAGACCAACCTGGCCAACATGGTAAAAATACAAAATTAGCCAGGCGTGGTGGTGTGCGCCTGTAATCCCAGCTCCTCAGGAGGCTGAGGCAGGAGAATTGATTGTACCCAGGAGGAGGAGGTTGCAGTGGGCCGAGATTGCGCCGCTGCACTCCAGCCTGGGAACAGAGTGAGATTTTGTCTCAAAAAAAAAAAAAAAAAAACTAAAACAAACAATAATAAAAATGTTGAATTATAGAGTGGGCAGGGCACAGTGGCTCACGCTGCAATCCCAGCACTTTGGGAAGCTGAGGTGGGACGATCGCTTGAGCCCAGGAGTTACAGACCAGCCTGGACAACGTGGTAAAACCCAGTCTCTACAAAAGGTACAAAAATTAGCGGGGTGTGGATTAGTAGGGTGTGGTAGTTCACACCTGTAGTCCCAGCGACTTGGGAGGCTGTGGTGGGAGGATCGCTCGAGACTGGGGATGTCAAGGCTCCAGTGAGACAGGATTGCAGCACTGCGCTCTAGCCTGGGTGGCACAGTGAGACTCTGTCTCAAAATTAAATCAAATTACATTAAATTAGCCATGCATGGTGGCTCACACCTGTAATCCCAGCACTTTGGGAGGCCGAGGCAGGAGGGTCCCTTGGGCCCAGGAATTTGAGACCAGCCGGGGCAACACAGGGAGACCCTGTCTCTAAATGTATTATTTATTTATTTTTGAGACGGAGTCTCTCTCTGTCACCCAGGCTGGAGTGCAGTGGTGTGATCTCAGCTCACTGCAACCTCCACCCCCCCGGTTCAAGCAGTTCTCCTGCCTCAGCCTCCTGAGTAGCTGGGATTACAGGCGCCTGCCACCACACCTGGCTAATTTTTGTATTTTTAGTAGAGATGGGTTTTCACCATATTGGTCAGGCTAGTCTTGAACTCCTGACCTCAAGTGATCCGCCCACCTCGGCGTCCCAAAGTGCTGGGATTACAGGTTGTGAGTCACTGTGCCCGGCCAAGGGCTGCGATTTAGAGGAGGCCGGAAAGAGCCACCGGGCGGGTGAGGTGGGAGGGCGGGGCATGTGGGTGGGGCACTGCTCAGGGAAAGGCATGGAGGCAGGAAGCAGCCCAGGTGTGCAGGAGCCAGGCTTGGGCAGAGGGACGACGTGGAGGGAATACGGCATGGGCAGGCCACTCCTGCCCTATCCAAGGGCTCCTGGTCTTAGCAGCATCTATCAGAGGCAGAACAGGCTGCAGTCGGGGAGAGAGAGGAGGGTACCTGACCCGCCCACATGTACCAGGACAAGAATGCTGCACGCAGGGCCAGGTGGGAGGAGGAAAGGTCACGCCCCATGCACCCCGGTCTGTGGGCTTTTCCGTCTGTTTCAGAGGGTTGGGGGCCAAAAAGTCCTGGCTCCTGGCTGGACTCTCCCTGCATGGGTTTCCAGGGGCTGCCACGACTCCACCGGGCGCTCTCTTTATTCTCTGCAGTGCTCACGACGGTCATTCCAACTGTGCTGGCCACGACCAGGACTGGAGACCCATCCCTCACCCCAATCTGGTCCCGGCCTCTCTCTTCCGCGACAGAGGTGATCAATTTGGGGATTGGCAGTGACAGGCATCCAATGAGGCCCACCTCTTTGAGAGTGCAGAAAATCAAAGCTGTAGGTCACGGCACAGGGAAACAGAAACGGCCCCAGACTTTGCTCCTACCCCCACCATTCTTCTAGCGGATGGGGACCTGTGAGCCTGGTGACCACCACCAAGGAAGCGGCACAGTCAGGAGCGAGGGAGCGGGCTTTGCTCCTTCTCCCTACTGAGCCTCCCAGCCTGGGGAATTTGAGACTAGAAGACACCCCCTGCACTCTCTGGGGCCAGCCAGAGGCTGAGGGCCCAGGCCTCTACAGTTAGGGGGTTCCCCCAGGGAGCTCGGGAGGAGCCCTGCAGAGCACAGTAGGATCGGGGCACAGCTGGGTCACAGCCTCTGAGCAGTATCTTCTGAAACCCTCATCCTGGCTGGTTGAGCTGCAGGGGAGACCCCCAGAGAGTCGAGGGCGTGTCCTGAATTGGAGGAGGAAGTGAGGTACATCCGGGCTGGAGGGGCAGGAACCAGAGTCTTTTTTTGTTTGCTTGTTTTTTTTTTGTTGTTTTTTTTTGAGACGAGTCTCGCTCTGTCGCCCAGGCTGGAGTGCAGTGGCGAGATCTCCGCTCACTGCAAGCTCCGCCTCCTGGGTTCACGCCATTCTCCTGCCTCAGCCTCCCGAGTAGCTGCGACTACAGGCGCCCACCACCACATCCGGCTAATTTTTTGTATTTTTAGTAGAGACGGGGTTTCACCGTGTTAGTCAGGATGGTCTCGATCTCCTGACCTCATGATCTGCCTGCCTCGGCCTCCCAAAGTGCTGAGCCACCGCGCCCGGCCTTGTTTTGGTTTTTTTGAGACGGTGTCTCACTCTGTCACTCAGGCTAGAGTGCAATGGCATGATCTTGGCTCACTGCAACCTCTGCCTCCTGGGTTCAAGCGATTCTCCTGCCTCAGCCTCCCCAGTAGCTGGGATTACAGACGCCTGCCACCATGCTCAGCTAATTTTTGTATTTTTAGTAGAGATGGGGTTCCACCATGTTGGCCAGGCTGGTCTTGAACTCCTGACCTCAGGTGATCCACCTGCCTCAGCCTACCAAAGTGCTGGGATTACAGGCGTGAGCCACTGCGCCCGGCCCTCCAGAGCCATTTTCTTATTGATGTAGGGATTTTCTATATCCCAGATTTTTTTGTTATTTTTTTGAGACGAAGCTCATTCTGTCCCCCAGGCTGGAGTGCAGTGGTGCAATCTCAGCTCACCGCAACCTTCGCCTGCCGGGTTCAAGCGATTCTTGTGCCTCAGCCTCCCCAGGAGCTGGAGTGGTGTGCACAACCATACCCAGCTAACTTTAGTATTTTTTAGTAGAGACGGGGTTTCACCATGTTGTCCAGGCTGGTCTCGAACTTCTGACCTCAAGTGATCTGCCCACCTCAGCTTCCCAAAGTGCTGGGATTACAGGCGTGAGCCACCGCGCCCAGCCTATTATCCTGGATAATAACTCCTTCTCAGATATGTGAATTTTTTTTTCTTTTTATTTTTAAATGAAGTCTCGTTCTGTTGCCCAAGCTGGAGTGCAGTGACGCCATCTCGGCTCACTGCAACCTCTGCCTCCCGTGTTCAGGAGATTCTCCTGCCTCAGCCTTCGAAGTAGCTGGAATTACAGGCGTGCACCACCACACCCAACTAATTTTTGCATTTTTAGTAGAGACAGGGTTTCACCATGTTGGGCAGGCTGGTCTCAAACTCCTGAGCTCAAGCGATCTGCCCTACTCAGCCTCCCAAAGTCCTGGGATTACCAGCGTGAGCCACCGCGCCTGGCCCGAGGCTGACTTTTGAGCTGGTTTTTGTGCGTGCTCCGGGGTAAGGGTCCACCTTCACTCTACTGCAGAGGCCCTTATTCCTCTGGGGGAATCGGCCCTCAGTGAAGAGGCCTCTGCTCTCAAACCCCTGTGCAGAGCCTGGCCCCAGCAGGCCCCGGAGGGGGCACCCAGGGCACTGGAGGTCCCGCCCTACCGCAGGCAGCTCTGCATCACACTTCCTGCTCCCCTCCCAAGGGGACCAGGGCAAAGGTGGGCGCGTGCCTGGCACAGTCAGCCACAAGCCTTGCCCAGGATCTTATAGTTACTGATTCAAACCCCCCACCCTCTCCAAGCCTCAGTTTCTCCTTTGTACCCAGGGAGCTGGACCCAACAAGTCCCCTCTCCTTGAAAACGTGTGCCAGGTGCAGGCTGCTCAAAGGACACTTGTGGGCTGAGGATGCACAACTGAGGGAGCCTCTTCCCTCCCCCACCTGCTCCATGCCCCTCACCCCCACCTGCTCCATGACCCTCACCCCTACCTGCTCCATGTCCCTCACCCTCACCTGCCACAGCCTCCCCAAACCCCAGCCCCTCCTGGCACTACTTCCCACCAGGACAGGAATTCTCTAGATGCCTGAGCCATGTCTCCTCAGTCCCTCACCACACACACACAGGGAACCAGGGCCTTGTCTTACTTCTCCTGTTCCACAACCTTCTATGGCTCCCATGGCCCACAGGTTCAGGCCCAGGCCCTCCCCAGCCACACACCACATCCAGTCAGTCTCCCCAAGCCCCACTCATGACAAGCCCCCCACCTCACCAGCCCTGCCCTCTCTGTGCCTGAGGCTGCAGCGGGATCCACCGAGGCCCGTGGCTGTCTTGCTTTTCTTCAGCCACGGCTTTTACTGGCTGACGCCTCCCCACACAGCCCTGTGCTGGCATCTTCGCCAGAAAGATGGCGTTGGAACCTTAGCCCATGTCAGGAAGCCAAAGGGCCATATCCCTCTGCCAGGCTTGCCCAGGGGGCTGGTTAAGAATGCAGATTTCAGCTGGGCGTGGTGGTCCACACCTGTAATCCCAGCACTTTGGGAGGCCGAGGTGGGCGGATCACTTGAAGTCAGGAGTTTGAGACCAGCCTAGCCAACATGGTGAAACCCCGTCTCTATTAAAAATACAAAAATTAGCCGGGTGTGGTGGTGCACGCCTGTAATCCCAGCTACTCGGGAGGCTGAGGCAGGAGGATCGCTTGAACTCAGGAGGTGGAGGTTGCAGTAAGCCAAGATGGCGCCACTGCACTCTAGCCTGGGCAACACAGTGAGACTCCATCTCACAAAAAAAAGGAAAAAAAAAAAGCAGATTCCCAGGACCTCAAGGCTGGGGGCCAGGACAGCAGGTGTCTAGACAGGCCACGGAGGCTCTGAGCCTGGGAGTTGCAGCCAGGCCAGGCCCCCGCTGGTCTTGGTGGGACAGGGCTGTGCATGGCTTCCAGGGACTGGATTCTGGGGGAGGCTGCCCCTGCTGCCCTGGACCCACATCCCCACGGCTGCGCCTCCCAGGCAGGCAGACCCAGGGTGTGTGGCTGCCCCTCCTGCTGCAGGTGCCTGACAGGGAAATGCCCGCTGGGGACCCTGTGGGAGGTGGTGGGGGAATGAGTGAGGGAGGGAGGGAGTGAATGAGTGAAGGAGGGAATGAGTGAGTGAGGGAGGGAATTAATGCATGAGTGAGGGAGGGAATGAATGAATGAGGGAGGAAGGGAATGAGTGAGGGAGGGAATGAATGAGTGAGGGAGGGAATGAGTGAGGGAGGGAATGAATGAGGGAGGGAATGAATGAATGAGGGAGAGAGGGAGGGAATGAGGGAGGGAGGCAATGAGTGAGGGATGGAATAAATGAGTAAGGGAGGGAATGAGTGAGGGAGGGAGGGAATGAATGAATGAGGGAGGGAGTGAATGAATGAGTGAGGGAGGAAGTGAATGAGGGAGGAAGGGAATGAGTGAGGGATGGAATGAATAAGGGAGAGAATCAGTGAGGGAGGGAGGGAATGAATGAGTGAGGGAGGGAATGAGTGAGGGAGGCAGGGAATGAATGAGGGAGGGTGGGAATGAATGAGGGAGGGAATGAATGAATGAGGGAGGGAATGAATGAATGAGGGAGGGAGGGAATGAGGGAGGGAGGGAATGAATGAATGAGGGAGGGAATGAACGAATGAGGGAGGGAATGAATGAGGGAGGAATGAGTAAGTGAGGGAGGGAATGAGTTTGTGAGAGTGGGAATGAGTGAGGGAGGGAGGGAATGAATGAATGAGAGAGGAAATGAGTGAGGGAGGGAATGAGTGAGGGAAGGAATGAATGAGTGATGGAGGGAATGAATGAATCAGTGAGGGAGGGAATCAGTGAGGGAGGGAATGAGTGAGTGAGGGAGGGAGGGAATGAATGAGAGAGGGAATGAGTGAGGGAGGGAAGGAATGAATGAGGGTGGGAATGAATGAATGAGGGCGGGAATGAATGAATGAGGGCGGGAATGAGTGAGAGTGAGAATGAGTGAGTGAGGGAGGGAATGAATGAGTGAGGGAGGGAATGAGTGAGGGAGGGAATGAGTGAGTGAGGGAGGGAATGAGTGAGGGAGGGAATGAGTGAGTGAGGGAGGGAATGAGTGAGTGGGAATGAATGAGTAAGTGAGGGAGGGAATGAGTGAGTGAGGGTGGCAATGAATGAGTAAGTGAGGGAGGGAATGCGTGAGAGAGGGAAGGAATGATTGAGTGATGGAGGGATCGAATGAATGAGGGAGGGAGGGAATTAGTGAGGGAGGGAGGGAATTAGTGAGTGAGGGAGGGAATGACGGAGTAGGGGAGGGAATGAATGAATGAGTGAGGGAGGGAATGAATGAATGTGGTCACTCCCCGCGGTCCCCAAGCACCCGGACACCGTGACCTTGGCTGCGGCCCCGCCGTCGGCGAAATGCGGGCGGGGGGGCCGGGAGAGCCCGGGGGCCAGCACGGTCGCGCGTTGGCGAACGGACTGTCCCGCGCGCTCGCGGGTCTGGGGGCCTCCCGACCCGGTCCTGCTTGTTGCGTGGGCGGGAGGGGGGACCGGAAGCGCCCCTCCCCCACGGGCTCGCCCCGCCCCCGCCGCTCGCGGTCCCCCACGTCCCGCCCGCGCCCCGGCCCAGGGCCAGCCCCCGGTTTAGGGAGCATCCACACTTCTCCTCCCGTCGGTCATGCTCGCATTCGGCCTTTTGTACGGGGTCAGCTCATTGGGCGGATGAGAAGGTGTCCCCGCCTACCGCCCCGAACTGGCCAATTGCAAGGGGTTTCACAGGGCGCTGAACTCGCGGGAGCGTCACCGTCCTGCGACGCTTCAGAGGATCCTTAGGCCTCAGTGGTCTTTGACCCCCGGCCCCAGGACCTGACCCCAAGGAAACCTCCGGGACCTGTGGCTGGAGAGGTGACCGCCAGGCATCCGGGGAGCCTTTGGAGATCTCGGCTTCCTTTTTCCCCCGCTGCTTGCCGGCGTGTCCTCGGGTGGACGCGGGCAGCCCGAAGGGGAGTTTACAGACGCTCCCTCACATCGGGGACGCGGCTCCTTTAAGGGCGTAGGTGTCCAGGGCGCCGCCTGACTGGAAAGTCGCCCCCCGGCCGGGCTCCTGGGGCGGACCCGGGGCGCGGGCGCGCGGCGGCGGGGCGCGGGCAACGGGGAGCGCTCGGCGGCGCGGGAGGCGCTCGGGGCCGGGCGGCAGGAGCGGCGCGCGAGGCAGGCGTGCAGAGGGCAGCCCCGCGTTAGGCCCCGCCCCGCGCGCCCCGCCCGCGCCAGGGTCCTCGGAGCTGCTCTGGCTGCGCGCGGAGCGGGCTCCGGAGGGAAGTCCCGAGACAAAGGGAAGCGCCGCCGCCGCCGCCCCGCTCGGTCCTCCACCTGTCCGCTACGCTCGCCGGGGCTGCGGCCGCCCGAGGTGAGCGCGTGCGGGGGCCGGGCCGGGGCCGCGGGGCGGGGGTCGGGCCGAGGCCTCTACTCCTGTTGGGCCCGGGCCCCCGACTGCCCCGCGCCCCGCCCCGCCGAGCCGGGCCCCGCGCCGCGGCCGAGCTTTCCGGGGAGCCCGAGAGGCCCCGCGCTCGGCGCCGGCTCGGTCCGCGCTGCTGGCGCCGCTGGGCTGCGGCCCGAGCGGCCGGGCCGCCGCAGGCCTTCGGGGCCGGGGCTCCCCCACTTCGCCCCCGAGGTGCGCCTGGCGCGGGGCCGGGGCAGCCACCTGCAGCCGGGGCCCCGCGAGGCCGCGCCTTCCTCCTGCGCGGGGAGCGGCTTCCGGGGTCACGGTCGCCCCGCGGACGGATAGGATGGGCCGCGGGGGGAGAGTCTTGGATTGCAACATCGCTGGCTCGCGGGGGTGGGGGCCGGCGAGCGGGCTTGTTTTCGGTGCCTTAAAACCAAAACAAGTGTAAGTTTTCTTGTGCCTCTGAAGATGCTCCGCTGGCGCTTGCTGGGGCCCTGAACGTGAGCGCCTCGCTGGAGGGGGAGTTTTATTCTGTTTTGGACATCTCTTTTTATCGGTTGAATAGTAGTTGGTTCTGGTAGTTAACGTGCGTAGGAGGAATGTAAGGGAATGATTAGTTGGGCTTGTGATCGTGGCCTGTAGTCACGCTTGAATCGCAGAATGAAGTGGTTTTGTTTGTATAATTGGAAGTTACGCTTAGTTTCTCTGTTTGCAAAGTGCCTGTCTTTGGGGAGTTCGGTTTGTTTCCTTTTACAGGACCTACCCCAAGTGTTTCTTGCTCTTCAAGAAACGTTGCCTTTGGGTAGAGAACCTATGCAACGGAAGACGGGACGGATCCTCAGTTTGCCCTGATTGCTCATTCAGAGAGGTCCGTTCCCTAGGCCACTGGGTGATTGCTGGTGTGCGCTTGTATGGTGTCTCAGGGTTTGGGATCTTGCTTCAGAAACATTCTCGGGGCCTGGGGCAGATCAGGTGCGGCCAGGTAAGCGTCTCCCGACTGCAGGTGCTTGGGTCTTGCAGAAGGGAATACCTCCCCAAGCCTGGGAGAGTTTGCATTTGGGTGCAGGAGGGCCTTTAAAGGCTTCTTGTGCCAGCCTGTCGTGGCGACCACCCGTTGTGGAGATCAGTGCGGTGGAGTTGTGGGAGGTGAGTGCTTTGCTCACCCTCAGCCAGGAAGTTGCTCTGAAGTCGGTGCTGTCAACCAGCAGAGCAAGGCGGTGATCCGAGAAGCTAAAGCTCAGCCGGTTGCGGGCGCCCAGCAGGAGGACAGAAGGCAGACTTTCGGGCCGCTCCTGGAGTGCCCGGCCCTGTCCCCGTTTCTGCAGTGTCTGGGCCTTGCCTGGCTCTAATAGATGAGGGTTGTTTTTGTCTTTGCATCATAAAAGTTTCTTGCTCTGAAGCGTTTAGTAACTACTAGCCGTTCACTAAGTGCCTATCTGTGAATTTGGAAGGGCAAATTCGATTTTCAGCGGAATTTTGAACGCTTGATCTGTGTTGTGATTACATTGTAACAGATTGGCCGCTTTCTCCAGAAGGCCAGTAGGAGGGGGTGCAGGGGGAGGGGCCTGGCTTCTGTCTGGGACACGGTGGGTGTGCACCTGTGGCTCCTTGCCCTGGCGGTGCAGTGCCTGTGAGACCACCCCGTGGTGCTGAGTGCTTTGGGGCAGGGGACACAGCAGCAGCAGCCAGGTCTTGGCAGGAGGTCTCGCAGGACCACCCCTCACGACTTCTCACACCTGAGACAGCAATAGCTAGGTGCTGGGACGGGGGCCTCTAGGCGGCTCTGTCCAGTCCTCAGCAGGAGGGCTGCCTGTGGCAGGGTCCCAGGCCCGTCTGGCCTCTCTGTGGCCTGGCCTTGCCTGGCTGTGAGGATAGCCTTGCCCATGGTCCTTCAGTGTCTGGAGCACTGGCCTGAGGCTTCAGAGACTTGCCTGATGCCTGGCCTCGCTCAGACCCCGGGCACCTGGGAGGTCGTGCCTCCTTGAAATGGCCACTCGCCAGGCTGCTTTGCACCGCACCGGGCACAGGCTGCGGCCACTCAGGAAGCCCATCCTGGGGCTGGGGAAGCGAGAGCTGTGAGTCCTCAAGTCGCAGCTGGGCTGCTCCACGTGGGAGTGGAGGGTGGAGGAACGTGTGGAGTTTCGGAGTCCAGCCCAGTGCGGAGACAGCCTTGAAACCGTGGTTGGCGGGCGCTCCACTCCGCTCTGGGCTCGAACCCTGCCTGACCATAGCTGTGCCCCCCACTTTCTCCCTGTCTGGCCCCTGGCTCCCCCCCCCTCACTTAGAGGAGGGCACGGGGAAGGGCAAACGGTCCAGAGGGCGGGCGGCCTGCGGGCTCCTCTGCATCATGTGAGGAGGGCGTGGGGAAGGACATCCCGGTGGGGCCCGGTCTGGGGCTGCCTCCAGCCCGGGCTGCCTGTCTTGGACTTAGTCGTGGACCTGGAGGCCAGTGCCCGGCTGGCCCCTGTCACCCTCTCGCTGTGACGCCAGCGCCTGCTGACTGGAGGACCCAGGTTCCTTCGCCTGCTTTTTCTCAGGCTGCCCTGAGGATCTGTGTTTGGTGAAAAGGAGCCAAATTCACCTGCAGGGCAGGCGGCTCTAGCAGCTTCAGAAGCCTGGTGCCCTGGCGACACTGGACCTGCCTTGGCTTCTTTGATCCCAACCCCACCCCCGATTTCTGCTCTGCTGACTGGGGAAGTCATCGTGCCACCCAGAACCTGAGTGCGGGCCTCTCAGAGCTCCTTCGTCCGTGGGTCTGCCGGGGACTGGGCCTTGTCTCCCTAACGAGTGCCAGGTGAGGCTGCGGCGGCTCCGACGCAGGTGGAGCTGCTGACCTGGCCCCTTTCTGCGGCTGCGAGGTGTGTGAGGTTCGTGGGCCTCCACAGGTGTGGGAGCCATCCAGGTCCCCAGGGCCCTTGTGGCTATTCTAGGACAGCCCAAGCCGTAGTAGGGACGGCCCCCCACAGCTTAGAAGACCTGGCTCAGTCCCCCAGCTTTGTAGAGGTGGCTCTTGTTTGGTGTTGAGATATCAGACTTGGGGGTAGTAGCTTCAGTGTTCCCATGGACTTTGAAAACCAGCACACACTTAGGTTTGAATTCTTGGGCAAGTTTTGTATCTTGAGCGCTGTTTTTCGTGGGTAAAGGTGGCCACCAGTAGGGTGACAGTTGAGGGTGGCATTGAGGCTGCTGGCCCTGTCTGCCTGGTGTCCCCAGTGACAGTGCTGGCCGACAGGCTCCCGCCGAGAACGCAAAGGCGAAGGTGCCAAGCCCCCGAGGTCCCGTGCAGATGTGTGGAGCTGGAATCTGGCGTGTGTGCCGCTGCCTCTGATCAGGGACCTGGTCCCCTACCCCATGCTCCTGCCCTGCCCTGCAGGACCCGTCTGTCCCCTGAAGCCACAGGGACGTGGTAGTGGCTGCACGGTCTGGGAAGGGTGTCCCCGTGGAGGGCTCCTCTCTCAGTGAGGCTGAGCCTCTGCCCTGTGGTACTTGTTCTGCTCTGTCTTCAACATGGTGAAACCCTATCTCTACTAAAAATACAAAAATTAGCTGGGCGTGGTGGCACACGCCTGTAGTCTCAGCTACTCGGGAGGCTGAGGCAGGAGAATTGCTTGAACTCAGGAGGCGGAGGTTGCAGTGAGCCGAGATCGTGCCACTGCATTCCAGCCTGAGCAATAGAATGAGACTCTGTCTCAAAAAAAAAAAAAAAAAAAAAAAAAAAGAATAACAGGTGTCCCCTGGCCCAGCCTGAGTCTCAGTTCTGAGCGCCTGATACTAAGGCAGGGACCCAGCACCCCACATCCATCTGGGGCCCCAGCCCTGCCTAGTCCCCACCTGATGGTATGGTGAGGACCCTGCCATGTCAGCCACCACAGGGTGGCAGCTACCCCCCAGCCGCAGCGGCCCAGCCTCTGAACATCTGTCTCCTCACCTTCGAGCAGAGGCCGCAGCATGTGTCGCAGACCAGGGCTGGGTTGGGGCCATGGGGAGGGGTCCTACCTGCCCCCGCCTCCCGGTGATCTGGGCGCCGCTCACAAGGCCTCCCCTGGTAGACCCCCGGGGTCGGACGACGGCTTGCAAGAAGAGAGTCCCTGCTGGGCCAGGCCACCGTATGTTAGGAGCAAGCCTGCCTGCTGCGGGCCACGTGCGCGTGCTGGGGTGGCAGGAGCCCGCTCGCCTCTCCTGACCCCGTGCTCTGCCTCCTGTGTTCCAGGGACTTTGAACATGTCGGGGATCGCCCTCAGCAGACTCGCCCAGGAGAGGAAAGCATGGAGGAAAGACCACCCATTTGTAAGGAGGGCTTCATTTCTGTGTGCAGTGCCGCGGACAGGCTCCCTCGGCTGAAACCGCGCCCTCCCTACTGGGAGGGAGCTGGTCGCGTGCCTGGGCTGGGCCGGTGGGACTCGCAGGCCGGTTCTTGGTGGTTTTGCTCAAACTAGATGCCGCCACGCTGATATGCTTTTGTGGTTGTTTTCTTTTCTCTCAGGGTTTCGTGGCTGTCCCAACAAAAAATCCCGATGGCACGATGAACCTCATGAACTGGGAGTGCGCCATTCCAGGAAAGAAAGGGGTAAGGGGCGCTGCCGGCCTCCTGCCTGTCGGGGCTCAGCAGATGCGTGCGGCAGTGCCATGGGGATACTCCGCTCAGATCCCTGCCGTCCGTGACGGCCACCCTTGTCACAGGCCGCGGTCAACAGCTCAGATCCCCAGCTGTGGCCTGGCCCCCGCCCCGTGAGGACTTGAGCTCAGAAGGTGGTGCTGGCAAGGTTGGGGTGACAGCTGTGTCCCTACCGAGGGCATTTCTGGTTGAGAAGGAAGCAGGCTGGGCCTGGCCGGGCACAGGGCTGAGCTGTGGCAGAGGGGAAGGGGCTCTGATGTGTGTTGGGAGCAGGCCTGAGGGGCGGGCAGCCTTTGCGTGCTGGAACCCGGGATTCTGCTGTGTCCTTCCAGGTGTGGCTCAGGTCGCGGGAGCTGGGTTTGCAGGAGAGCCACCCCGGCCTAAAACCGTCTACTGGAGAACCTCCTGGGGCACAGGGACTGGCGGCAGCCACCTAGGATGCCTGCTTGGGGCCCCGTGTGTCTGTGGCAAGCAGGGCGGCCCATGTGCCTGTCCTCTTTGCCCGGCTCACATGAAGTGCTTGGCCAGGGACTCCAGGCCGGCTTGCACATAAGGTTCATGCTCGTGGACTCTGAAGGAAGGAGAGATCCCTGAGGTGTTGGTCCTGCCCGAGGCCTTGTTCCCTCCGGCCCATGCCAGCCTCTGGGTTTCGCTCTGAAACTCACAGCAGCTCCGGCCCCCTGAGCTGAGCAGTCCCAGCAGGACTCAGCTTTGCCCGAGACAGGATGTGGCTTGGATTTGTCACTTGTCTGAGGCTCTGCTGAGAACGTCCCTTGCCCTTCACATTACGGCGAGGCAGGTGCGCGCGCGGCCCCAAGGAAGACGGGAGTGGTGTCGGGTTGTGGGGTGGCAAAGGCGCCTCATCCAGGCGGGACCTGGGGCAGGGGCTTGCAGAACACCCTGGGGTGAGGGCACGGGTGTGCTCTTGGCGCTGCCGGCCCCAGTGTGCGGCACTCGTTGCCCCCCAGCCCAGCCCCCGACCCCCGTCTCCTCCTCTCCTTTCCAGGAGGGCCTTTCCGACTCACTCTCTGGGCATGGCAGAGGTCCTGACCGCCCCCTTGGTGGGGCTGGTCCAGGCTTCAGGCTGGTATGGGAGCCGCCTCTGTCGGGCCTCTGGCCCCCGGTGTCCTCGCAGTCCTGGAGGTTGTGTCCTAGAAGCGATCCCCTTCCTCCTGGGCCGGCCTGCGGCAGGCAAGCAGCCCATCTCACCACGGTTTATTTCCCCACAGACTCCGTGGGAAGGAGGCTTGTTTAAACTACGGATGCTTTTCAAAGATGATTATCCATCTTCGCCACCAAAATGTAAGTAGCTCCCTGTTCAGTGTCCTGGAAGTCGGCCTGTTCCTGCGGGGATTGGAGTCCTCTCCAAAGAGGCCCGTGGCTGTGGCCGTGGCGCCCTGGTCCGGGCGATCCATGGAGCTGGGAGGGAGTGAGATCACAGATTTGGAGGTCGGCTTTGATCCCTGATCCCCGCCTCAGGCTGCAGATGCGAGTCTGTTTCCAGCTCCACGGGTGGGCGGTGCACGTAATAGACTTAGTCTCTCATCCCAGCTAATTGGCTGGGAAGCTCCAGAGTCCTTTGCAGGGAGAGGCTGTGAGATCCAGGCTGGAGCTCCTGGGCTAGGAGTGCCTGGACCCTCAGTGATTGTTGGCGATGAAGACAGGATTTGGTGCCCACAAGACCCCAGCCCTGGATGGGATGGACGTGCAGAAGCGCCACCACTCCGAGTCTCACTGGAGGGTTTATCTTGCCCCACCTCACTGCTCTTCCTGTGGGCTCTCGCAGTCTCTCCCACCCGGGGCTGCGTCTGCAGCCGGGCAGGCATAGAGCAGGGGAGCAGCAGAGAAGGCGCGAGAAGAAAGGGCTGAGGCCAGGTTCGACTTTGAGCCTACAGCTAAGTTAGTGATCTCAGTCAGTTCAGCAAAACTCAGGAGAGGGAGGAGAGGGCCGCCACGTCCCTGCCGTCCCATAGCTGGAAATCGGCAGGCCCTTTCTGTGGTGAGTTCCACGCATTAACACGTGCCCAGCACCTAGACAGCGCCTGGCCACGGTGAGGCGAGAGTGCTGTGTAAAAGCTTCCACTGCAATTGTCACTCAAGACACACAAGTGTTTTCCACAGTGGCAGTGACCAGAGGAGCTTGAGGACTGCTGACAGCACCAGCTGGTCGAGACTTGCTTCATTTTTGGATTGTCCTTTGCTGTTTGATTTTTTTTTTAAACCATGAGCAGGTATTACTTAAGATGACTTATTTTAATTAAGAAAAATATAAGAATGAGACACAGTAGCTGCTTTCATTGATTCTGTTCAACCGTTGATTGGAATTCCAAGCAAATGCAGCAAGACAAGAAAAAGAAGTCACAACGGAAGAGGTGGGGAGGAAGGCCAGGACAACAGCTCAGTAAAGCTGAGGTGCAAGGCTGGGCACGGTGGCTCACACCTGGAATCCCAGCACTTTTGGAGGCCGAGGTGGGAGGATCACCTGAGGTGAAGACCAGCCTGGACAACATGGTGAAACCCTGTCTCTACTAAAAAAAACAAACAAACAAACAAAAATTAGCGGGTGTGGTGGTGGGTGCCTTTAATCCCAGCTGCTCGGGAGGCTGAGGCAGGAGAAGTGCTTGAATCCAGGAGGCGGGTCCAGTGAGCCGAGATCGCGCCACTACACTCCAGCCTGGGCAGCAGGGCAAGACCCTGTCTCAAAAAAAAAAAAAGAAAAGAAAAGTAGCACAGGACCTGGTAAAGGAAACAAAGCTAAATAATAAATATAAAAATGAAGTCGAGATTGAGGTACACAAATCTGCTTTTATATCATTTCAGCGAGCAAGGTTTTAAAACTGCCATTTATAGTAGCATGAAATACGTTGGAATAAATGCAATAAAAGATTGGTTCAGGACCTCTGTACCGAAAACTGTAGAATATTGCAAGGGAAACCAAGGCCGGCCTGAGCGGTAGCTGAGCTCTGCCGTGTGTGTGGAGGGGAACACACGACATTGTACAGACAGCCCTTCTCTCCAGGCTCGTCTGCAGATTCCATGTGATCCCAGTTGGAGTCAAGCACATCTTGTTGGAAACTGTCCCATGGACCCAGGAAATGCAGAAACGTGGAGGCCTTGGCTTCTTGGTGGGGTGGCGAGACCCAGGCTGAGGCTCCGTGGGTGCAGAGCACACCCACCCACCCCCCACTAGACCTGCCACGGGACACGGTGATGGAGACTGCAGGCTTGCTGAGAAGACAGGCAGGCAGACCCGCGGACAGAACGAGGAGTCCGGAGGCCACGCATGTGGTGGTTTGGGCTGTGACACCTGAGGGATATTCCAGCAGGAGAGACGAGCTCTGCCTCCCACCATAGAGAAACAGCTTCCAGATGGCTTGTGGTGCCCAAGCAGGACAGCGTGGAGAGGAAGACCCGGGATGGTGTCCGTGAGCCCTGGGCAGGCAGGGATCTCTTCACCAGGGATGCAGTGAAGTGCTGGCCGGAGGGAGATTGACGAGTTGACTAAGTTGAAATTAAGAATCTCTCTTTATCATAAAGACTGCAGTTGGCGCCGGGCAGGAGGGCACACTACAGTGTATGTACGTACCTCAGCCCTCACCCTGAATCTACCAAGAGCTCCTGGGAATCAGTAAGAAGGCTGCCATGACGTCCAGCGTGTCCCTCACAGGAAAGGCCTCCACCCAGCCAGCAAATGCGGCAGGGATGCCTGGCTTTGCCAAAGAGTGAAAGCCTCCCCAGTGGGATCTGCCGTAGCGCACAGGGGAGCAGACGGAGCCGCGGCGCAGGGCAGCGGGAGCCTCAGCCACCGCTGGAGAGAGCGGATGTTCTGAACGTTTCCCCTGGACGCTGCCTGCCACACCAGTGGAAGCTGAGCTCATGCTGTAGGACCTGGCTGTTCACTTGAGTCAGTCGAGATTCACAGAAGCACATACATGTGTCCACCAGAGGCACAGATGGGTGCCGGTGTCACCCCCACTTGCCCCAGCCCAGACGTCCTAGGATGACAGGTAGGGAAGAGTGAAGAGGCCACATGATGCCTGGCGGACAGTCCAGACAGGAGGGCACCCCCTTTGTGTTCCTTCTTTGAAGCGCGGGAGCGGCCAAGCCGGAGGCCATGAGGAAGTAGGAGGCAGCCTCTACCTTGGGAGGGACAGGTGGACCTGGCAGTGCTGGCATCCAGCATCTGTGCCTTTCTGCGGGTAAGTTGTGATCGGCAGAAGAAACGAGATTGAGAATCAGATTAAATTGAAATTAGGCAATTTTTGTTTTTGCCAAAAGATTCCCTTAGAAGAGGAAAAGGTCGGGCCGGGCGCGTTGGCTCACACCTGTGATCCCAGCACTTTGGGAGGCCAAGGCAAGTGAATCACTTAAGGTCAGGAGTTTGAGACCAGCCTGACCAACAGTGGAGGAACCCCGGTTCTAATAAAATAGAAAAATTGGCCAAGCTTGATGGCGGGTGCCTGTAACCTCAGCTACTCTGGAGGCCAAGGTGAGGCGGGAGAATCACTTGAGCCCGGGAGGTGAAGGCTGCAGTGAGCCGAGATCCAGCCTGGGCACCACAGTGAAACTCCATCTCAAAAAATTAAAAAAGCAAAAAGTCAAGCCCCAAGCAGAAGAGCCCTGTAAGACGTATCGCTTGAGGAACTTCTGCGAAGCAGTCGCCAGGAAGCAGCCTGGGCCGAAAGGGGCGCTCAGCGGTCACCAGCAGGCGCAGCGTAGCACCACGGAGTGGCTGCCGTGCACCTCACCCGGTGGCTGGAATCCGCCAGCGACGCAGCCTGCGTGAGCAGCCTGGAAGCAGCACGGCTTGAGGGCCAACACCGTCACCCCACATTCCACAGCAGCGCGCTCACGCGTGTTCGCACTCAGGACAGCCACGCAGCTGCTGGTGTCGCCCGTGTGCTCCTGCGGTGTGGGATGGTCGCGGTGTGGGACGGTCTGCGGTGGTGTCTTCGCGTTCCCCAGGGAGTGTGCCCTGTGCATCTCCATGGTACCTGAAGTCCAGGAAGCTGCCTGCGGATGTTGCAGTTGGGATTACGGGGCAGATGCAGTGGTCGGTAGGAGCGAGTGTTCGGGGAAGCTGTAGGTGTTCGTGGCGCGTTGGCTTTCTGGTAATTCCTCCGGCTGCACTAGACATGCCGCACTGTGTGTCCTTCCGTAGCATTGAGAGAGAAGAGGGAGGATGCCCAGGTAAAAGATGGGAAATAGCCTAGAATATCAACTGTGATGGTCCCTGGTGGGGCTAATGGTGGCAAACTTTTCTGCTTTTTTGTAAAGAAATAACACAGGGTCCTAAAAGCCCGTATATCCTGGAAGCAGAGGGTCTGCGTCGGAACAGCCGACTCTGGAAGGGCGTTGGCTATGTCCCTGGACGTCTCCTGCAGCTCCTCCCATCTCCCCTGAGTCTGGCCCAGCTGGAAAGGATGTGGGGGCCACAGGTTAAGTGGCCACCCTGGGGCCTGTGTTCCCAGACTGCCTGGCTGTGCTGGGAGTTCTGTCCTGGGAGAGACACAGCTTCGTCTCGGCTGCGGCCGTGTCCCCAAGGCTCTGTTCCCTGTGTGCAAAGGTGGATATGTCTTCCTTTAGTCTCCTCATGGCCACAATTTAATTTTTTTGAAAAGTTTTTGGCCAAATAACCTGGCTACCAACCCGGGGCCCCAGTGTTGGGAGGAGGGTGATGTGGGGAAGGACGTGACTCTGGGACAGTGCCTGCCTCCAAAAAGTGCTTCCTTTCTTCCTCTTCCTCCAGGTAAATTCGAACCACCATTATTTCACCCGAATGTGTACCCTTCGGGGACAGTGTGCCTGTCCATCTTAGAGGAGGACAAGGACTGGAGGCCAGCCATCACAATCAAACAGGTACGGGGCCTCCGCCTCTGGCACCGGCAGGGCTGCCTTAGTCTCCCCTCCGGACACGTGGGTCTGTGGTCATTCTCTGTGGCTGAGGCCGAGTCTCACGGTGTCTCCCTTTCAAACTGCTCACACCCGTCTTGTGTTTTTGTCTCTGGCACAGATCCTATTAGGAATACAGGAACTTCTAAATGAACCAAATATCCAAGACCCAGCTCAAGCAGAGGCCTACACGATTTACTGGTTAGTAGCAGCCCTGGCCCCGCTGGTGGCAGCTCCTCCCCGTCCCAGCCAAGGCCGCCTGGCAGGACGGGAGTGGAGGACACAGGCTCACCCTACGGACAGCCAGGGTCCACGCCTCTGTGGGGAAGGTCGGGGGGCATAAACCCTGTGGGCAGCAGGCACCGTTGCACACCGTCTGCGGTGGGCATGGATGGCGCCGGAGCCGTGTCCCGGGGAGGGAGCAGGCCAGGTGACGGGCTGTCTTGGGCCACTGCCCCAGTGAGTTGTGGCCAGCTAGGAGGGGAAGGACCCTGGGCGTGGGTGCCAGAGGAGGCCATGCTGAGAGGCCTCTCCACCGGCTCAGCCTCCCATGGACCCCAGCCTCCCGCGCCGCCCTTGCTGCTTGTCCCCATCCCCTCTACAACTTGGTTCCTTCTGTGGGGGGGCCCAGCCCAGCAGGGCTCAGTGACGTGATGCTGTCACACGGACCCTGGGCTTCCACCCTGTCCCTGTGAGGTGCTGCTGTGGCTAGAAGGGTCCCCGTGGGCCTGGGGTCCTGTCTGCACCGAGGAGGGCCTGGTGTGAGTTAGGATGCAGACGACAGCCAAACAGTGCTGGGGAAAGCAGGGAGGACCCTGCCCTGAGCAGAGGCCATGCGCCCGCCTGTCCTGTTCCCTCTGCAGCTGTTCTGGGCAGGTCCATAAGAAGGTGGGTTGGGGCCTCCGACCCCCCACTGCTCCGCCTGCAGCGTTGAGAAACCCAGCCCCATCTCACCACGGGTCCCCACACCTCTGAGGGGGTCTCAGGGCCCCCAATGGCCAGGGACCCAGAAGGCTCACCTGCAGCCACCCCACACATCCCTGCCACTGTGGGCATCAGAGGCCCTCTCCCTCCAGGGTGCATCTCCTGGTCAGGAGGGGGGAGGCTGAGGGGTCCCGGTTGCCTTAGGCCCGGCCTGCACAGGTCGTGAGGAAAAGCACCTGGTTTCGGCCGGGCGCAGTGGCTCACGCTTGTAATCCCAGCACTTTGGGAGGCCGAGGTGGGTGAATCATGCGGTCAGGAGTTCGAGACCAGCCTGGCCAACATGGCGAAACCCTCGTCCCTACTAAAAATACAAAAAATTAGTTGGGCGTAGTGGTGGGTGCCTCTAATCCCAGCTACCTGGGAGGCTGAGACAGGAGAATCACTTGAACCCGGGAGGCGGAAGTTGCAGTGAGCCGAGATCCTGCCACTGCTCTCCAGCCTGGCGACGGAGGAATGCTGTCTCAAAAAAAAAAAAAGCACGTGGTTTTGGAGAGATGTGTTTCTCCCTGGATGCGGGCCCAGCCCAGGTGTCTGCAAGGTGCCCTCCCTGGTGGCCGAGGGTGGCACAGAGGCCCCAGGCAGGGAGCAAGTATCACAGCAGCCACCCCAGGCTCAGCCTGGCTCCCCTGCATGGTGGTGCACACCTGTAGTCCCAGCTATTTGGGAGGCTGAGGTGGGAGGACTGCTTGAGCCCAGGAGGTTGATGCGCAGTGAGTTGAGATTGCAGCACCGCAATCCAGCCTGCTTGACAAAGCGAGACCCTGTCTCAAAAAAAAAAAAAAACTCATAGCCGCTCAGTCAGCCAAGCCATTGCTGGAAGTGGCTCGTGGGACGTGGCGTGACCTGGGTTTGTGTGCTGGCCTGCTGTGCCCTAGGAGTCCGTGAAATGCATTCCCTTGGACAGGAAGCCACAGTGCTCGTGGGTGTCCACATGGCCCTTGAGGCAGAAAATGTTTTCTTTTTTTTTTTTTTTTTTTTTTTTAAACAGAGTCTCACTCTGTCGCCCAGGCTGGAGTGCAGTGGTGTGATCTCAGCTCACTACAACCTCTGCCTCCTGGGTTCAAGTGATTCTCCTGCCTCAGCCTCCCAAGTAGCTGGGATTACAGGCACCCACCACCACACCTGACTAATTTTTGTATTTTTAGTAAAGACAGTGTTTCACCACGTTGGCCAGGCTGGTCTCGAACTTCTGACCTCAGGTGATCCACCCGCCTCGCCTCCCAAAGTGCCGGGATTATAGGCATGAGCCACCGTGCCTGGAAAATGATTTCTAGGCCAAGTGTGGTGGCCCAACACCTGTAATCTCAACACTTTGGGAGGCCAAGGTGGGCTGATTGCTTGAACTCAGGAGTTCATGACTAGACTGGGCAACATAGCGAGACCCTATCTCTACAAAAAATTAAAAAATTTGCCAGGGGTGGTGGCTCATGCCTGTAATCCCAGCACTTTGCAAGGCCACTGTGGGACGTTACCTGAGCCCAGGAGTTGGAGACCAGCCTGGGCCACATGGCAAGACCTGCTCTCTTTAAAAAAAAAAAAAAAAAAAAAATTAAGCCGGGGATGATGGTGCATGCCTGTAGTCCCAGCTATTTGGGAGGCTGAGGTGGGAGGACTGCTTGAGCCCAGGTGGTTGATGCTGCAGTGAGCCAAGATTGCAGCCTGGGTGACAAAGTGAGACCCTGTCTCAAAAAAAAAAAAAAAAGCATGCCGGGCGCGGTGGCTCACGCCTGTAATCCCAGCACTTTGGGAGGCCAAGGTGGGCAGATCACGAGGTCAGGAGATTGAGACCATCCTGGCTAACACGGTGAAACCCCATCTCTAGTAAAAATAAAAAAAATTAGCCGGGCGTGGTGGCGCACACCTGTAACCCCAGCTACTCGGGAGGCTGAGGCAGGAGAATGGCTTGAACCTGGGAGGCGGAGCTTACAGTGAGCCGAGATCACGCCACTGCACTCCAGCCTGGGCAACAGAGCCAGACTCTGTCTCAAAAAAACAAAACAAAAGGCAAATGTTTTCCTGCCTAGCCCTTAGATGGTCTGCCATCCCCAGCATGGTGTGGGCGTGAGCTCTGTCTGGCCTGCACCCCATTTGCCGACCATCTCCAGAGCTGGGCTGTGGCTCCCATCTGCGGCGTGGGCTGGGCAGGGTTGCAGTCCCCCGCCCCGTGTGACTCTCCCCAGCGTCTCCTGGGCTTGGTGCCTGCTGGGCTGCACTGTACACTTGCGTGCACGTAAACAAACGTTCTTTCTCCTACACACATCCGCTTGAAAAGCACCCTTTGTGAAGCATGTGTGCGGGTTTCAGATCGTTTTTCCTGGGTTTCCTGGAGGCCTTGGACCGTGTTCCTGCCCTGGCAGGTGCCTTTTCTCGGGGCCTCTGCTTGGTCAAGGAAGAGCTGGGACGTGTAGCCACCGCCTCTGGTTCCTTCCACGCCCACCCAGCTGAGCTGCTCTGCCCTGGGGCCGGCTGGTGGCCCAAGGAGGGCGCTGGGGTCTGGGCTGCGGTCCAGGCCCTTGGCGTGGGTGGGGGTGGCACCGGCGCTGCTGCCGTCCTGGGCTGTTCCACCATGCAGAGTGAGGCTCAGTGTCTCAGACCAGGTCCAATCCTGGCGAGACTGGCAGGACTGCGACCCCAGGAGCCACCTCCATAAATGTCATGGTGTTCCCCCATCCTCAGGGTCACACTGCACCCTGTGACCCATCAGCCCCTAGGTGCAGCCTCGGCCGCCCTCCCGCCCACCTGTTTTGCCCGGGCAGTGTGTGCCATGCCACTCTCCTGGGCAGCTGCTTGCAGGCTGAGCCTCACTCTACCCAGCTCCAGACCTGTTCGCTGATGCCCCTGCACTGCCCAGCTCGGGCACAACGCCTTCTCAACCAGGCCTGCCTTCCCACACCTTTGCCCCTGCGGCTGAGAGCCTCATGGAAAAACCCTCCAGAAATTGGTGTCTATTTTTGGGAATTAACAAAAACAGTGGCAAGCAGTCAGTGTTTTCAGTTTATTAGGACTGTCCCCAGACCTACAGAAAAGAGAAGCTGCTGATTACTAGTTAGGACCAGACTTGGCATCGGCAACGATGTTGCAGGCCCTGGCGTGGGCCCTCTGGGCCTGAGCCCTCCTCGCAGCCCTGCGGGACCCCTCTGTCCCCCTTGAACACCACGTTCACCCAGCGTGGGTTCCTCTCCTCCCTGCCCTTCTGCCCCCGTCAGACCACGGGACAGTCTCAGCCACGTCAGAGCCAGCATGGGCTCCCCACCACGCAGGCCTCCCTGCTTCTCCGGGCTTCTGCTTCTGTTACTATGACGAGCTCCACACTGCCCTCCCCCAGGAGGTCCCATCCTGCAGCCTGGTCTGCCCAGCTGGCTCCGGGGCGAGCGTGAGGGCCAGGCAGCTCAGCCCTCTAACACGTCTCTTCTCTTTTGACCTCCTCAGCCAAAACAGAGTGGAGTACGAGAAAAGGGTCCGAGCACAAGCCAAGAAGTTTGCGCCCTCATAAGCAGCGACCTTGTGGCATCGTCAAAAGGAAGGGATTGGTTTGGCAAGAACTTGTTTACAACATTTTTGCAAATCTAAAGTTGCTCCATACAATGACTAGTCACCTGGGGGGGTTGGGCGGGCGCCATCTTCCATTGCCGCCGCGGGTGTGCGGTCTCGATTCGCTGAATTGCCCGTTTCCATACAGGGTCTCTTCCTTCGGTCTTTTGTATTTTTGATTGTTATGTAAAACTCGCTTTTATTTTAATATTGATGTCAGTATTTCAACTGCTGTAAAATTATAAACTTTTATACTTGGGTAAGTCCCCCAGGGGCGAGTTCCTCGCTCTGGGATGCAGGCATGCTTCTCACCGTGCAGAGCTGCACTTGGCCTCAGCTGGCTGTATGGAAATGCACCCTCCCTCCTGCCGCTCCTCTCTAGAACCTTCTAGAACCTGGGCTGTGCTGCTTTTGAGCCTCAGACCCCAGGTCAGCATCTCGGTTCTGCGCCACTTCCTTTGTGTTTATATGGCGTTTTGTCTGTGTTGCTGTTTAGAGTAAATAAACTGTTTATATAAAGGTTTTGGTTGCATTATTATCATTGAAAGTGAGAGGAGGCGGCCTCCCAGTGCCCGGCCCTCCCCACCCACCTGCAGCCCCACCGCGGGCCAGGACCAGGCTCTCCATCTGCTTCGGATGCACGCAGGCTGTGAGGCTCTGTCTTGCCCTGGATCTTTGTAAACAGGGCTGTGTACAAAGTGCTGCTGAGGTTTCTGTGCTCCCCGCATCTGCGGGCTGTAGAGCGCTGGGCAGCTAAGATCTGCATAGGTCGGGATTGGCATCGAGACCCTGGCAACTGCACCGGTGCCAGCTGTCTTGGGGGCCACAAGGCCAGGTCCAGACCAGGGCTGGGGGCTGCCTGAGGACTCCTATCCGGGCAGCCTGCTGGCGGGGGTTCCCCTCTTCAGTGGCCAGGTCACAGGGATGGAGCTGCGCTGTGCATAGGGTGCCACCTCAGGTGTCTGTCCCTTGTGTCCTCAGGAGGCAGCCTTGCTACCACCCGTGGCAAACGCCAGGTGCTTTTTCTGGGAGAGCCCACAGCCGTGGCCCTCCAGGGCTTCCCCGACCCTTAGCGCCAGGTAGAGGGCCCTGGGCAGCCTGTGTCTGGAATTCTTCGTCCTGAGGCCACCTGAGTGTGGTCTGTCCTGGGGAGGCTGTGCGCCTCAGCAGCCGTCCTGACGCTGAGCCCTCTGCAAAGGTTGGGCCGGCCAGGCCTCTTGGGGCTGCCTGAGCCACTGCAGGAAGTGGCCTGGCTGGGAAGTTGGGTGCCGGTCACCTCCCAGCAGGAAGGCACAGTGGACAGAGATGGGAAGCCCTGGGGGACACAGCCCGGTGCTCCCAGCCCTCCAACCTCTGGCTCCCAACCCAGTCTCCCCATCCTAGCGAGCTTGGCCCTCCTCAGTTTCGTTTCAAGCCTTGGGGCTGGAGCTGGCCCTGCTGCCCTGGCACCCCCCGGTGGCTGGAGCTGGGTCCCCGTGGCCCAAGTGCAGGGTCCCAAGAGGGCAGGGCGGGGCTCCCCAAAGGAGCAAAGAATGCAGGGAGGGCGGTCCAGGGCCCTGGGAAGGGGAGCTCGGCACCCTCCAGGTCCGTGTGGGACTCCAGCCGCTGTTGGCTGGGAATCGAAGTTAGAGGTGACTTCCAAAGGCCCCCCGAGCCGGCAGTGCCCCCCACCACCCCTCCAGCGACTCTGCGGTGCCAGTGCCTTGTTGGCTTTTCCGGCTACGCACCCTGCAGTCACTGAGCTCTCGGTCTGACGTCTGATGTTTGTGGTTTGTTTATAACACGGGGCCTTACCTGGGGAATTCAGCTGGTTTGAATATTTGTAGCCCGCTCCCAGAATGTCTTATTTTGTAATGACTGAACTACATTTAGTAATAGTTACACATGTATATGGTTAATACATATGGAAATTCAATATATTTTGTAGTTAACGTATTCTGAAGTAACGGATGTTTCTCGCCAATCGTAGTGACTTCAGCTAACGAAATGTTCTTTTGTAGTACCACGGTCCTCGGCCTAACGAAGGACGTGAACCTTGTAAGAGGAGAGCTCTGAAACGCGGTCACCTTTGTTTAGTGGAAGGGAAAGTGTGTTCCCGGCATGAGGTGCCTCGGAATTAGTAAAGAATTGTGGGCAATGGATTAACCACTGTATCTAAGAATCCACCATTAAAGCATTTGCACAGACTGCGGCCTGCCGGGTGTGTCCTTTCCTGCCCTGTCCCTGGCTCCCCTGGGCTTTGGGGGTGGGAGCCCACTGGGGCCACAGGGCGTCCCCCGACCCCAAGGCCCAGCCCTACCCCCCAGGGCTTTGTTCTGGTCCTGCTTCCAGCCCCACGTCAGCCCCTCCGGGTGACATCCCCTCTAGCCAGCCTCGGGGTCTCTTCACCTGCACCTCCCTGGCCTGCTCTACGGGTCTCCTCCCTGGGACTCAAGGCTGCTCTTGCTGTCCCTGGCAGGGGACCTCCTTGGGGAGCAGGGACCCCAGGTGTCCAGAGAGCTCTCCTCACAGGGCCCATCCAGGGCTGGCTGGAGCCACCAGGTAGGAGTCTGGTGCACAGGTGCAGGGACCCCAGCCCCCTGCGGGACGGGCTAGCCAGGCCTGAGCTGGCGCCGGGGGAGACCTCCCTTGGCTTTGGCAGTCGGGCTAGCCACAGGTGCCCTCCGTCTCTCAGGTCCCTTGGGACCTGGGTCTGGCTGGGCCGGAGGAGGCTAGGAGACTTGGCCACCATGCTGGCCGCTGCCCGCAGGAATGCAGGCTCCTGGCCAGGCTGCTGGTCCCCAGGTCGCCTCACCTTCCTGGACCTGAGGCCTGGCCCCGCCATCACTCACTGGGATCCGCTGATGGGAAGCCTTCCTCATGATTACCATGACGACAAGTTGCCAGGTTGGAGGGCCTTGCACTGATTCGGACTGGCTGGAGCTGGTTTGAGCCAGCTCCAGCAGGGAGGGGCCTGGGAGTGCTGGGTTTGGGATCCATCCCCAGCCGACCCTGATTCTGGGTCTGGGAGTGTCCTGAAGCACCTGCTCAGGAGACACAGCCTGAGATCCCCAGGCACCACCTGGTCTGAGGAAGCCATTGGGCCCAGTTGGGGTGGGGGCTCCTGGCTTTGGCCCATTGGGTGGGAAGGGGCTGGGGCAACTGGTCCCATCCACCCTGCCTGTCTCTGGCCCAGCCTGGTCCAAAGGCTTCTGCACCTGCCAGGAGATCGGCTTATCCGGCTCTTAGGAAGAAATAGGAACAGGCACAAGAAAACCACCGAGCACGTGTGGCTTGGGCTCTTCCTTCCCTGGGCCTCTGCCCTTCCTCCAGGATGCCCTCCGCCGAATAAGGCAAGTTCCCACTCCTCGATGCGGGCTGTGCCTTATTTATTTATTTAGAGATGGAGTCTCACTCTCTCGCCCAGGCTGGAGAGCAGTGGCATGATCTCGGCTCACTGCAACCTCCGCCTCCCGGGTTCAAGCAGTTCTCCTGCCTCGGCCTCCCGAGCCTGGGCTGTGCGTTTAAGGAGGGACTCTGAGGCCGGGCGCGGTGGCTCACGCCTGTAATCTCAGCACTTTGGGAGGCCGAGTTGGGAGGATCACCTGAGGTCAGGAGTTCAAGACCAGCCTGGCCGACATGGCAAATGCCCATCTCCATTAAAGATACAAAAATTAGGCCGGGCGCGGTGGCTCATGCCTGTAATCCTAGCACCTTGGGAGGCTGATGCGGATGGATCACAAGGTCAGGAGTTCAAGACCAGCCTGACCAATATAGTGAAACCCTGTCTCTACTAAAAATACAAAAATTAGCCCTTTGAGGAAGACGTGGTGGTAGGTGCTGTGAATCGCTGATCCGCACGCTCCTGCTCCTGACTCACCACTGTCCGCTCTCGCCAAGGAACAAGCTGGTCAGGAAGCCACGCAGCAGCTATGGCTTTATTATTATTTTTTAAAAATTTATTTATTTTTTGAGACGAAGTCTAACACTGTCGCCCGGGCTGGTGTGTGGTGGGGCGATCTCGGCTCGCTGCGGCCTCCACCTCCCGGGTTCAAGCGATTCTTCTGCCTCAGCCTCCCGAGTGCCTGGGACTACAGGCACACGCCACCACACCTGGCTAATTTTTGTATTTTTAGTGGAGACGAGGTTTCACTATGTTGGCCAGGCTGGTCTCGAACTCCTGACCTCGTGATTCGCCCACCTCGGCCTCCTAAAGTGCTGGGATTACAGGTGTGAGCCACCACGCCCGGCCTAAAAAATTCTTTTGGCTTTTAAGGATACCAGAAAAACACCCAAGGAGCCGGAGATGGCAATTCACCAAAATTCACCAAATTCACCAAAATTCACCAAATTCGCCAAATTCACCAAATTCACCAAAATTCACCAAATCTGAATCACTCTAACGAGCTACAGCATAAAATCACTTGAAAAGGTGTGTGCTGACTTG
Organism: Homo sapiens; assembly: GCF_000001405.40. Taxonomy (NCBI): domain Eukaryota; kingdom Metazoa; phylum Chordata; class Mammalia; order Primates; family Hominidae; genus Homo; species Homo sapiens. The sequence goes on from NC_000016.10 coordinate 1,329,258, forward strand.
ATCAGAGGCACAAAGGAAAAGAATCTCAAAGTGAAAGGACCGGTTTGAATCCTACCAACACTTTGAGAATCACTACAAGAAAAACTCCAGATGAGGCCAGGTTACAGCTCACGCCGGTAATCCCAGCACTTTGGGAGGCCGAGGCGGGCAGATCACGAGGTCAGGAGATTGAGACCATCCTGGCTAACAGTGAAACCCCATCTCGACTAAAAATACAAACAAATTAGCTGGGCATGGTGGCAGGTGCCTGTAGTCCCAGCTACTTGGGAGGCTGAAGCAGGAGAATGGCGTGAACCTGGGAGGCAGAGCTTGCAGTGAGCCAATACCGCGCCACTGCAGTCCAGTCTGGGCGACGGAGCAAGACTCCATCTCAAAAAAAAACTTATAAAAAAAAAAACTCCAGATGAGCATCCATAAGCAACTCATTGACTTGCACAGTCCTTCTGAGATTGTTAAGCAGATTACTTCCATCAGTATTGAGCCAGGAGTTGAAGTGGAAGTCACCATTGCAGATGCTTAAGTCAACTATTTTAATAAATTGATTACCAGTTGAAAAAAAAAAACAAAAAAATACAAAAATCAGCTGGGCATGGTGGCGGGCGCCTGTAGTCCCAGCTACTCGGGAGGCTGAGGCAGGAGAATCACTTGAACCCAGGAGGCAGAGGTTACAGCCGAAATCACACCACTGCTCTCCAGCCTGGGCAACAGGGCAAGACTCCATCTCAAAAAAAAAAAAGAAAAGGAGGGACTCTGAAGCCCCCAGAGCTGGGAGGAGTCGCCTCCCAACCCCAGCTCTGCACAGAAGGATGCACACTGAGGGCCTGGCCTCTCCCTGCTGGGCCCCTAACCACAGTGAGCACAGAAGCCCATCTCGCTGGGAAGGGGCCTCTGACACCCCCACCCTCAGGCTGGTGGGAGGCGGGGCCAGGGGACAGGGTGCCATCCTCCCTGCCATCCAAGCCTCACCGCAGCAGGGGCTGTCCTGCCTGCAGGGCTCTGGCACACCAATGGCCTTTGTTTGGGGGCTTGGTAGGACCCTGTCTTGGGCCCACTTCTTTGTCCCTGCCCTGCCCTGGACCCCTCACAGATGCTGCTACTAGCACGGAGGCCTGAGAGAACTCCAGCGTGACACTGGGTGGTCACCTCCAGCCGGCCCCACCTGTGCACGCGTGGCAGCAGGACTCCCGGAGCTTCTGGTGTGGGATCTGGAGACCAGCATCTCAGGCATGAGGCCAGACTTGGGCTGAGGCCCTCCCACCCAGAGCCCCTCTCTTGATGGGGCAAGGAACAGGTTCTGGCAGTCTTCAGGGTCCTCCAGCTCCGGGGCAGGCAGGGTCCCTGGCCAGAGTCCCTGGGCTCTGACCCCACGAGCTCTCCAAGGACCCTGCCCTTCCTTGCTTGGGTCCTCAGAGGGAAGTTGGGGGCAGATTCTGGGAGGCTGTGCCTGCAATTTCTAGGGCTGCCACCAGAGGGTGGTAGCACTGGGCCCTGCGCTGTGCTCATGAGCGTGGAACAGGAGGGGCTGTCTAACTCTGCCATGGCCTCACCTGTGTGCTTCAGCGGCTTTGGCGCCTGCGTATCCAGAGCCTGGTGTTTTTACCTGCCCCCCCATCTCCGCCCCCCGCCACCGGCCCGGCCCTAAGGAGGAAAAGCTACTCTCCCTGCCTGCCAGACCCTTTCCAGCACAAAGTCCTGAGAATGTGAAAAGAGCCAGGCTTGAAAAATGGCTTTTCTCAGCTTTGCACAAGCAGCCCTGGTGCCCCAGCAGCCTCCTCAAGCTCTGACCCCGTCTGGGCAGGGGGTCTCGTGTCCCGACACATCGGTGGGAGGTGTTCCTGCACCTGCGCCATCCCCTCACTGTCCCCGGAGCACGGCAGCTGTCTGCACTCCGGTCCGAAGGCAGAGACGCCAGGGTAGCCCCTTCAGAGTGAGGCCTGGGGCTCAGGGTGGGGAGGGTGGGCGGCCCACTCTCCTGCCCTCTCTCTTAGTGGGAGGGGACTCACGCGAGGATGGGCTTCCAGCCCCAAGCTATGGAAAGGTAAATTGGGTCACTGGAGGGGCCGGAGTTCTGGCTGGGTGGCTGCAGTTCCCATCCCCACCAACTGGGACTGAGGCTGACCTGCTGTGAGTTGAGACTGGCTCACTGAGGTCCCCCAGCTGCACCCAAGGTGGGTGCTGCTGTTGTCCCCATTTTACAGAAGAGGGAAACTGAGGCCCGGGCAGTGGAGGGTCGCCCTGGGGCAGGGGTGAGCAGGGTGCTGGGACTTTGATCCAGGTCAGCCTGTCTTCAGCCTCAGAACAAGTTGGAGAATGAAGGCCTTGGTCACTGAGTGGGGTGTCGCTCGGATCGTTCATTCCTCGACTCCTCACCAAATGTTTGTGGAGGGGACAGTCCTAGTGACCGTCCTCTCCTGGGGAAACGGAGGCCCAGGGCTGGTTTGGGACTCAACCTATCACTATGTGGCCCTGGAAAAGCCCTTTCCCGTCTCCGGACTCCAGTCTCCCTACCTAGAAAAGAGTGGGGAGAGGTCTCCAAGGGTGCTCCCGCACCCAACGGACTGCAGTGTTGGTTTCAGGGTTGGTGCTCTCGTAGGGGCCGGAGCAGCGGCTGCCCCTCCCAACTTCCTGTTTACCGTAGCTGCAGAGCCTGTCCCTTCACTTAAAGCCAGTGTGATCACCATGGCAACCGGCCTGTGTTTGTTCCAACAGGTGGGCAGAACCTGGTGCAAGACCGCAGAGGCAGGGGCGTCACTCCCAGACCCGGTCTCCAGACCCACCAGCCCCTCAGGAGAACACTGCTACAGAGTGGGGCTGAGGGCCCAGGCCCCCTCCCCTGCTTCCCCCACCGCGTCCCTGTCCCAGCCAGTCCCTGCATTTCCTGCAAGCTCCCTGCCCTCCCCCACCGGCCTGGCTGTGCTGGGTCAGGATCCGGCAGAGCCTGGGCCGAGCGTCCCGAAGGAGAGCCCACCCAGGGGTCCTGCCCCCGATCCTGCACAGACAGGTGTGGGGCGGGCATGGATTTGAGTGAGTTGGGATCCAGAAGCCAAGACAGTTGTTGGCAGACGGGCCCCCTCCCTTTGAAGAGCTGTGTTCTGGAAGCCTGTCTGGCCTTGGGCTGCCCAGGTGCCCTTCGGGTGAAAACTCCAAAGTCTGACCACCCCCCACCCCTTGTCCCCAAAGGGCTGCGAGTGTCCAGCTGTATTCGACCAAGGGCAGGTGCGACCGGGGGGCCGCTGCGCCCTCGGCAAGTCTGAGAGCCTCAGGCCCCCGACAGGACCATGCTTAGCACGGACTTCTCAAAGTGTGGTCCCTGGACTGGCGGCAGCAGACTGGAGCTGGGAAGTGCAGGCGCTGGCTGGCGTGGGGACCACACCTGTGATCTCAGCGCCTTAGGAGGCCGGGGAAGGGGGATCCCTTGAGCCTGGGAGTTTGAGACCAGCCTGGGCAACATAGGGAGACCCCCATCTCCACAAAAGAAACCAAAAAACATTAGCCGGCGGGTGGTCCCAGCTACTGGGGAGGCTGAAGCGGGAGGACCACTTGAGCCGGAGAGTTCGAGGTTGCAGCGAGTGGAGATGGTGCCACTGCGCTCCAACCTGGTTGAGAGCTATTTTTGAGAGCTTTTTCGAGACTCTGTCTGAAAAAAAAAGGGAAAAAACGCAGATCGCGCCCCCACCCAGACTTCGGGACCAGCGGGTTGGGGACAGGACCCATCAATGCCTTAACAAACCCTGCAGGAGACCGCGGGCCCGCTGGGGTTCCAGGACAGCGCAGCGGAGGAAGAGCGGGGAGCCACCCGGGAGGGGCTGGCGGGGTCCAGTGCAGACCCCAGGGGCTCCGGGGGCTCTGGCCGGCTGTGACCCCACAAGCGCCAACTGGGCCCTCACCAGAGCCCCAGGGACGATCGCCCCACAGACCGTCCGCGTGGGCGTGGGGCGTCCCGAGTGGATCCCTGCAGGACGCATCCCCGCCCCGAGAAGAGAGCGGCGGGGCCCGCGAGGTGTCCCTGAGTCAGGCCCTTCCAGAAAGGTCTGCACCGCTGCTGGTCTTCGTGACCGTGGCTTCCCTGGGGTCCGCGGAGGAGACCCCGCCGACCACCCCCTTCTAGACCCCACGCGCCACGGGGAGGGCGCGCGCGGCCAGGCGGGGTCCCGAGGCAGCCAAGCCCGCTCCCCGTCCCGCAGCCACCTGTGGGTTGACTCACAGCCCCGCATCCCGGGGGAGGGGGCTCCGGCCCGGCTCAAGGCACGGAGACCCCGGCCGGGTCCCCTAAGGCGCCGTGGACGCGGGGGGCGGGGCGAGCGCGGTCAGGCCCCGCCCCGGTCAGGCCCGGCCCCGCCCCCAGTCAGACCCCGCCCCCGCAGCGGCGTCCGCCCAGCAGTTGCTCAGTCGTCGGCGCGCGCGGCTGGGAGCGGTAGCTGTGCCTCGGCGTCCCCGAGCTGGTGCCGAGCGCAGCGCCCCAGGAGCCCCCCCATCCCCGCGCCGGCCCACGGTAAGTGCCGCGGGCTGCGGCCAGTGCTGTTGGGCCGCCGTCTGGGCTCGGCCCCGCGCCCCAACCCGGACGGACCGACGGCCGCCGCCCCCTTGGTCCGGGTCCCCCAGGAGGCACGGGGGTGGCCTCCGAGGCGGGGGGCGGTGGGAAGGTCTCGACGTCCCCTCGGCCCTGGGGAAACTGAGGCCGCGCATGCTTGGAGGGGCGGGGTCTCGGGGGCATTTCCCCTCCGAACGCGCAGGAGAGGGTGCGGCGGTGGGGTCCGCACTGCGGAGCGGACGGGGAGGGTATCCGGGCGCTGGCGACGGCCTCCCCCGCACTTGAGCCGCCAAGCGAGGCTTCGACCCCCGCGCCTCCCTCCCCGGGGGAGCAGACGGGCCCGGGGCCTCCCAGCACCCCTCCCGGGCGGGCTGCACCCCCCAGCGTCCTCGTCCCTTCCCTCCTCCCGCAGGTCCTCGTAAGGCCCTTTAGTCCCCCCGAAATCCCTGCGAGTGCAAAGCGGCCCCTCCTTCAGCCCCACTCGGCAAAGGGCTGTGGGCTCTTGCCTGGGCCGGGGTCTCCGGGGGAGGAGTTTAAAGTGACACACTAGACCCGCCCCCAGACTCACCCCGGACCGCCCGCCCCCTCCGAGGGGAGAGACCCCCATAGAACTGGGGGTGTGGCTCCTGCGGGCGCCCGGGGCCCCGGGAAAGGGGGTGCCGCGAGGCGGGGCAGGGAGGGGGTCGGTGAGCAGAGGGAGGAGGGAGCGCTGCGCAGACACGGGCGAGGGGAGGAAGAAGGCGCCTCGGGCTCCGGTCTCCTGCGCTCCTGCTGGGCGCCAGCGGCTGGACCTTGGCAGCCGTCTGAGGCTTCGGGGAGCCCAAGGCCACCGGCAGCGCTTGTTAGAATGCAGATTCCCGGGGTTCGACTGGAATGAGACCCCGGGGAGCAGCGTTTGCAGCGGGCCCGCCAGGTGACCTGCACCTGGGCACCGCCATCGGCTTCGCAGGGGCCATCTGGAGGAGTCGGTGAGACCAGGGAGAGATTCCTGCGGGAAACCCCCAGGGCCTGGTGAAGGGGAGTCGGGGGGCTGAGGGAGGAAGAGCAGGGAAGCTGGAGAGAAGACCAAGAGGGCAGCGTGGAGAGCCAGCCTGTGGGGCAGATGTCCTGCCACCTCCCGCCCCAGGCACACACCCAGGGCACCATCAGCTAACCCCCTGCCCCAAATGTGGTAAGAAGGGCGCCCCCAACACGTTGAAGGCGTTTGTTCCTAGACAGCCTGCACTGGGGAGGAAGGCTGACCCAGCCTCTGCTCCGCTGCCCCCAGACTCAGCTGCCTCACTGCCCCCAACCCTGAGCCCCCAAATGGCCTGGCAGGAGACAGCTTGGCTTAAGAGTCCCAGGTTCACATCTGGGCTCTGGGCAAGTCGCCCCCACCCTGGGCTGTGAAATGAGATGTGCCATCCTCCTTGCAAAATGTCATTCCCCATTCAGCCCAGGCCTGGGGGACAGCCAGGGAGCAAGGTGGGATGGGCAGGTGTGGCTCAGCCCCAGTGCCACAAGGCAGGAGCTCCTTGGCGGTCCTCCCTCTGCTCACTGGACAGATGGGAGTGTGGTTCTGGTCCTGGCATCAGGCATGAGCAGAGTATGGGGGGGTTCATCCTGCCTCATGCTACTGTCCCAGGGTGAGAGACTGGGAAGGAGTTACATCACGTCTGGGCCCACGGGAAAGACGGGGGGTCCCCTGCACCTGGCTCACTCCTGCCCCGTAAGTGCTGAGAGCCACCCAGGCAGCCAGTGCTTCCTGTACTGGTCACAGACAGATGCATATGCCCACCATTCACAGCAGCTCCGGCCTCTGTGGCAGGTGGCTCCCAGGGCCCACGCAGTTGGCTGCAGCCAGGCTATCAGCTGCCCAGGAAGCCTGGGGTTTCCAGGGGAACCAAAGGGGTTTCTGCGCACCCAGGATGAGCCAAGTCTTCTGTACACCTGTGCCAAGACGCCATTATTGCACCCATCCTAGCAACGGGCAGTGGGAGGGGCAGGAGCTGCAGTTGGGGTCAGGGGGGCTGGCCTAGCTGGTTGCCCCAGGAGCTTAGCACTGGGGACACCAAAGAGACCTTGACTGCCGTCCCCAGCCCACTTGCTGGCTCTGGGACCTTGGGCGGGCTCCCAGCCCTGCGCCTCCGTTTGCCCATCTGAGATGCAGGGAGCAAAGGGCACCCCTCTCGGGCCGCTCTGGGGATGAGGAGGTGAATGTGGAGAGGAAAATGCAGGGAGGGTACCGAGCCCCCTTTTTCTGCCTGGAACATCTTGTTATCACAAAGACACCCCCTCCCCAACCCCGCAGTTCAGGCCACTTGGCTCCTGCGTCACATTTGTCTCCAGGACTGCGAGCCCCCATCGCCCCTGTCACACGCACATGCCGCGGCGGTTGCCCTGGCAACAGCTCCAGCAGCGGCTGCTCCACTGGCTTCGGGGGACAGCAGGGGGAGCAGCCTCTTCCACCCAGCAAGGGAGGGGAAGGGGGCTTGTGACTCCCAGGCCCCTGAGGATTTCACGACTGGCTGTGGGGGTGACAGCTTCCAGAAGCACTGTACCCAGCCTACCAAGCCCCCCCATCTTTTGGGGGGGAGGCTCACAGGGGAAGGCACTGATAGGTTTGAAGGAGGTGAGTCCCCCCCGCAAGCATTGCCTCTCACAGGGTGGGAGACGCAAACCCTCCTTCCTGTCCTCAGCTCTAGGGTCTGGTCCCGTAAGAGCCTGCACCCAGGGCTCGGGGGCTGGCAGGGACCCTGGAATCAAGACGAGATATCCGGGAATGGTGTCTGAGCTGGTGTGGGTATAGCTTGGGGCTGGTGACCCTGAACCCCCACAGACACAGCAGGGGCCCGGGAGCTGGCTCGACAAAGTCCGTTTGGAACCCACCACTGGCATGGTGTGCTCAGGCCCCCACGCTGCCCACTGAGCTTATGAGTCTAGTGCCACTGTGGGGAGCTGGCCTGGCATGCAGGGCCAACTGTCCGTGAGAGCCTGAGTGGGCGGTAGAACCTGCTGGTCTTCGTTTCCTCTCCTGTCCCGTGAGAATGACTATGCCCTTTGCGAGGGCCAGTGTGCCCAGCCCGGAGGCACCCTCCGCAGGTGGATGAGGGAGCACTGGCAAGGGAAGGGACCCAGACAGCAAGGCCAGGACCCCGGGGGGCTGGGGGAGCGCGGTGTCCTAGAAATCAGAGGCCGGCAAGGCTGGGACAGGAACCCAAGAGTGGGTACCTCTCTTGTGGTGGGGCAGAGGTGGCCTGGCTCTGGGACAGTTTCCATGGAGCGGGGAGGAGACCTCCCTGGGGCTGCTGGGGGGCAGAGGCAGTGCAGAGGTGGAGGGTCTGCACCTGCACCCATGCAGAGGAAGAGGGTCTCAGGAGGCTACGGTGTCTTAGCCATCATCCTACCCCTGTTGAAGGGGGTGTGCAGGGCAGGACCACCCGGCCTTCCTCCCTGACACAGGTGGGCTGGGCGGTGCTGGCTCATGCCTGTAATCCCAGCACTTTGGGAGGCCGAGGCTGGTGGATCACCTGAGGTCAGGAGTTCAAGACCAGCCTGGCCAACATAGCGAAACCCCGTCTCCACTGAAAGTACAAAAAAATCAGCTGGGCTTGGTGGCGGGCGCCTGTAATCCCAGTTACTTGGGAGGCTGAGGCAGGAGAATCGCTTGAACCTGGAAGGCGGAGGTTGCGGTGAGCGGAGACTGCGCCACTGCAACTCACTTGAACCTGGAGGTGGAGGCTGCAGTGAGCTGAGATCATGCCACTGCTCTCCAGCCTGGACTCCATCTCAACAAAACAAAACAAAAAGTGGGTGGGGCCTTCCAGGGGGCTTCCGGGTCTGCCTGGGCCCAGGCTCCGGGCCTTGGCAGAGGGCAGCTCTGTCCCAGCGGTGACATCTGGGCTGCTGCTGCTGCTGCTGCTCCAAGCAGGAGGCTGACAGGTTGGCTCAGTTGTCATGGCAACATGAGGGGAACTGACGCTGGATGGACTGGGAGGGAACTGTAGCCCCTACACCCGGCATTTTCCAGCGGGGCCCGGCTCGCTTCATGTTCTCGTTTGTACCAACTATGGGGAGCAGGCCCTGCTTTGTGGGGACACTGCCCCCCACCTTCTACTGTCCACCTCAGGTTTGCTGACCAGCTCCTGGGGTGAGGAGGGGGCATTGACCCCCGCTGTGCTTGGTGAGCGAGGACCCCCAGGCAGTCCCCTCCAGGGCCTCCTGGCCACATGGGCATCCTCCACCCAGGATGTCAGGGTTCTGGCGAGTTTTTACCTCCTACATAGGAGAGCTGGGTACCTGGCATCCGTCCTGGCCCCAGAGTCGGCACGGGGGCTGGGGGAGCTGAGTGCTGTGGCCCAGATCTTGGTCCTCTTGATGCAGCCCCAGGAAACAGGCGCCTCCTGCTGTGCTGTCGCGGGGAGGGGTGTGGGGGGCGAGTGTGGCAACCGCCTCCCTCGCCAGTGAGACCCCATAAGTCCCTGATGGACCCCCAGCTCTGGGTGGGCACCAGCCCCGCCTTTGACAGCATTTGCTACCTCCTCCCTGAAGCCGCCCTGCAGGGGGCGCAGGGACTTAGCCGGTCACCCAGCAGGTGTGGGGACAGGAGCCCTCACCGCCTGACCAGGTGCCCAGCGCCATCCAGGCTGTGGGTGAGCTCCCAGGCCTCTGCCCCACCTCTTCCCGCCCCACCCCCCCACCCCCCCGCCTGCTGTGGTGCACGGAGGGTTGAGTGGACGACCTGAGGCTGCGGGCTGTGCTCTCTGCTGTAGGTCACCCGCCATGTCGACCTTGCTGGACATTAAGAGCAGCGTGCTCAGGCAGGTGCAGGTGTGCCCGTCCTTCCGCCGCAGGACTGAGCAGGACCCAGGGAGTGCCAGCGCCGACCCGCAGGAGCCTGCCACGGGGGCCTGGTGGGTGCCGAGGGGCCCAGCCCCACACGCCCACAGGGCCATTTCCCGCCAGACTTCACACATGGCCGCCCCTGCCCCAGCACCCCTGGGCGGGAAGGAGGGTCTGCAGTTAGCTGTGCCACACTGTGGATGTCACATGGCCCTTCCTGCCCCTGGAGTCGAGGGTCCCAGGCAGGGGCCAGCGTGCTGAGAGCTGTGAGCTGACCCGGCTCTTTCTCCAGGAAACCCGGGGATGGCGTGGAGTTCTTTGCCCACATGCGCCTCATGCTGAAGAAGGGGGAAGGCAGACAGGGCTTGCCGTGCCTCGAGGTAAGGGTGCCACCCCCAGGGCCCGATACCACAGCCCAGCATGGGGCTCCCCCTTTGCTCCTCCCCGCTCCCTCCTGCCCTCGCTCCCACCTCCTGGGGCACCACCTGTCTTCCCTGCTGCAGGCCTGGGGCTCTCCCTGCCGTCAGAGCCCTCACCCTGGGCCCCACACACAGGTCCCCCTGCGCAGTGGCTCGCCAGCACCCCCGGAGCCTGTGGATCCCAGCCTCGGCCTGAGAGCCCTGGCCCCAGAGGAGGTAAAGGTGGGGGTCGGAACCAGGGGCAGTCGTCTGCAGCGGCTGCTCCCTCAGCCGTTTAGAGGCACCTACTGTGTGCACAGGGTCTGGTGATGGCAGAGAGCCAGGGTGAGTGGGTGGGTGAGTGAGGAGCGGAGGGGCTCCTGGTGCAAAGAGGCAGAGGTGGGGCCTGGGCTCAGGCAGACAGGAGGTGCTGCTGAGGGCTGGGGGCCTGGGACGCGGCACTGTGGCCGCCCTTCCCCCACCTGCAGGTGGAGATGCTCTACGAGGAGGCCCTGTACACGGTGCTTTACCGCGCGGGTACCATGGGCCCTGACCAGGTGGACGACGAGGAGGCCCTGCTCAGCTATCTCCAGCAGGTCAGCCCACCCTGACCCCGACCCAGACCCTGACAGCTTCCCCACCTCAACCCCTTCCCCACCCACTGACACCATCATCACCCAAACAGTATGCAGAATCTCCCCGATCCGTGCACAGCACACAGAGACGGCTGCAGGTGCACACACACACACGCACACAGGCTGCAGGTGCACACAGACACACGCACACAGGCTGCAGGTGCACACAGACACACACACAGGCTGCAGGTGCACACAGACACACGCACACAGGCTGCAGGTGCACACAGACACACGCACACAGGCTGCAGGTGCACACAGACACGCACACAGGCTGCAGGTGCACACAGACACGCACACAGGCTGCAGGTGCACACAGACGCACGCACACACACAGGCTGCAGGTGCATACAGATGCACACGCACACAGGCTGCAGGTGCACACAGACACACGCACACAGGCTGTAGGTGCACACAGACACGCACACACACAGGCTGCAGGTGCACACAGACACAGGCACACAGGCTGCAGGTGCACACAGATGCACAGGCACACAGGCTGCAGGTGCACACAGACACACGCACACAGGCTGCAGGTGCACACAGACACACGCACACAGGCTGCAGGTGCACACAGACACACACACAGGTTGCAGGTGCACACAGACGCATACGCACACAGGCTGCAGGTGCACACAGACACACACACAGGCTGCAGGTGCGCACAGATGCCCAGGCACACAGGCTGCAGGTGCACACAGACACACGCACACAGGCTGCAGGTGCACACAGACACGCACACAGGTTGCAGGTGCACACAGATGCACGCACATAGGCTGCAGGTGTACACAGACATGCACACAGGTTGCAGGTGCACACAGATGCACACGCACACAGGCTGCAGGTGTACACAGACACACGCACACAGGCTGCAGGTGCACACAGACACGCACACACACACACAGGCTGCAGGTGCACACAGACACACACAGGCTGCATGTCTACACAGACACACACACATACATGCACATAGGCTGACAGACGCACCTCGAAGGACGCTCCCGGCTTCCACCTGCATGTGCTCTGAACTCCCCTGTCCTCCCGTGGCCCCCATTCCCACGCATGCACTTGCGTGGCCCTCATCACACCCACCATCTCTGGGCATGCCCAGGCCCCTTGGCACAAACCCTCTGCCGCTGCCTCCCAGGCTTCCCCCAACCCTGCACCCGTGAGGACTGAGGTTGGGTGTCTGTGACGGGCTGAGCCCGAGGTCCCAGCACAGTGGCCAGCCTCGCTTCAGGGGTTGCCTAGGCCCTGCCAACCCAGCCACCCTCCACAGGTGTTTGGCACCAGCCTTGAGGAGCACACTGAGGCCATCGAGCGAGTGAGGAAGGCCAAGGTGAGGCCGCCACTGCCTGGGCAGGCACTGACCAGCACGTGCCTGCGTGGCGGGGGCACGGGGCAAGGCCCTGTCACCTCCATGCTAAGTAGGGCATCTGGGGGGCAGCTCAGCCTCACCAGGCCCCCCACGCCCCTCTGTCCACAGGCCCCCACGTATGCCCTGAAAGTCTCTGTCATGCGTGCCAAGAACCTTCTGGCCAAGGACCCCAACGGTGAGTGGGGACCCAGCAGACCTCGGCTGCGCCGAGGCCTGGCGGCCATGGAGGGCCAGAGGGCGTGGGGCCAGGGCTGAGACGCCTGCCGTGCCCAGGCTTCAGCGACCCATACTGCATGCTGGGCATCCTGCCTGCCTCGGACGCCACGCGGGAGCCCCGTGCACAGAAGGAGCAGCGCTTCGGCTTCCGCAAGGGCAGCAAGCGCGGTGGACCCCTGCCTGCCAAGTGCATCCAGGTCACCGAGGTGAAGAGCAGCACCCTGAACCCCGTCTGGAAGGAGCACTTCCTCTTGTGAGGCCCTCGCCCGTCTGGGTGCGGGAGGGGGGCTCTGCCTGGGGTCCAGAGCTGGGCTGTGCCTGGAGGGTGGTGGCTCGCAGCAGCTCCCGGTCTCTTTGGGGCCGTGTGCCCACTTTCCAGAGGAGAAAACTGAGGCCCAGAGATGGGCGTTGTGCCACCGGGGCCACACGGCTGGCAACACCTGGCGGGATCAGGATTTGGACCTGAACAGCCTGTCTGGAGAGCGGGTGCTTGTGGCCTGGTCCCTGCTGCTTCTGGACTCCCTGACCCCGGCCTGGGCAGAGCCTCGCCGGGGACCCTCATGGGCATCTCTGTTCTCCTTGTAGCGAGATTGAGGATGTGAGCACGGACCAGCTGCACCTGGACATCTGGTACAGGCCCCTGCGCCATGCAGGGCGGCGGGGATGCACACCTTTTGCGGGGGAGCAGGACGGACTCAGGGCCCGGCTGCGGGCTCCAGACAAGCCAGGTCCTCCCCTGTCCCCACCAGGGATCATGACGACGATGTATCCCTGGTAGAAGCGTGCAGGAAGCTGAATGAAGTCATCGGCCTGAAGGGCATGGGCAGGTATGACTGCTGGGACCTTTCTACCCATCACCCGTGCCCTCAGCTTGGTCATGGGGCCCGGCGGGCAGTGGCTCCCCAGGAGCCATCAGCGTGATGCTCACCACCTGTGGTGGCCAGGTACTTCAAACAGATCGTCAAGTCAGCCCGCGCAAACGGGACAGCAGGACCCACCGAGGACCACACCGATGACTTCCTGGGGTGCCTCAACATACCTGTCCGGGTGAGTGGGTGTGGGGTGGGGCTGGTGACACTTAGAGAAGGGCCTGGGGAGTGTCCCAGCCTTCAAGGGGCAGGGCACTGCCTGGAGAAGCTCCTGCTTTTGGGCCTCCACTGAGTGCGCTTGTCACCCTCATTCCCCGGAGAAGGGAAGCCCAGGCCATGTGGTCTCTCCAGGGTCTCACAGAGTCAGTGTGGAAGGGGAGGGGGAGGAGTCTGGTGGGCCTGACCCCCATGCTACCCCCAGGAGGTGCCTGTGGCTGGCGTCGACCGCTGGTTCAAGCTGGAGCCACGCTCCAGTGCCTCGCGTGTGCAGGGACACTGCCACCTGGTTCTCAAGCTGATCACTACGCAGGTGGGGAAAGTGGGCGTCCCCGTCCTCCACCCCCGTCCTTGGGGCGGGGGCAGAGCTGGTGACTGGGTGGGCTCTGCGTTGCAGAGGGATACGGCCATGAGCCAGCGCGGGCGATCCGGCTTCCTGTCCCACCTGCTGCTGCTCAGCCATCTGCTGCGGTTGGAGCACTCAGCAGAGGAGGTAGTGGGTGCGCCTAGGATTGGAACAGCCCGGCAGGGGGCCTGAGGAGGGGATGTGGGGCTGTCCCGCCTCCACCCACGACAGACCTCCTCCCCCAGCCCAACTCCAGCAGCTGGCGAGGAGAGCTCAGCACACCAGCCGCCACCATCCTCTGCCTGCACGGAGCCCAGAGCAACCTGTCACCCTTGCAGCTGGCCGTGCTGTGAGTGGGTGGAGCTACGAGTGGGCGGGGAATGTGGGCGGGCGTGAGCGAGTGGGGCATCGGGGGCCATGCGGTGAGTGGATGTCGTGGCTGGGAGGGTGGGGCAGGGAAAGGGGCGGTGCTGAGTAGGTGGGGCTGCGCTGATTGGGCGGGAAGGGAAGGGGGCGGTGCTACGGGTAGGTGAGGCAGCGAAAGGGGCGGTGCCATGAGTAGGTACGGCAGCGCTAATTGGAGGGCAGGGAAAGGGGCAGTGCTATGAGTAGGCGCGGCAGTGCTGATTGGGTGGGGCAGAGAAAGGGGTAGTGCTGTAGGCGGTGCTGAGTGGGCATGGCAGGGGCGGGGTTCATACCCTTTGACCATGGGCCGGGCCCCACAGGCACTGGCAGGTCAGCAGCCGCCACCATCAAACCTGCACGCTGGACTACAGCTACCTGCTGGGGCTGCTGGAGGACATGCAGGCACACTGGGAAGAGGCTCCTTCACTGCCCCAGGAGCAGGTGGGTGCAGCCGGGACCTTCTTGCCAGCCATGGCGAAGGGAGTGCTGGGGACTGGGGTCGCTCAGTGCCGGTCGGCGAGGGGCAGAGTCCTGCCCGCGTGGGGGTCAAAGACAAATGGACAAACTGTATGACGTGGGCGAGAGCCAGCGCTCTGCAGAAAGGAGACGGGAGACTCGTGGGAGTCACCTCGGGGGGCGGCCAGGACTTAGGACAGGGCTGGGGAAAGCCGCCAAGGTGGCGCCCATCTGAGCGACAGGAGGGAGCGGCCCTGGCAGGACGGACGTGGGAACTGCAGGGGCACAGGCCCTACGTGAGCTGCGTGGGTGGAAACCGAGGCTGGGACAGGCCGTCTGGGACAGGCCGACTGGGCCTGTGGAGGGTGCTGCTCAGAGCAGAGCTGGGCTGACCATGCCCGGGGAAGGGTGTTGCGGGCCAAGGCAGGGAGGATGTTTCTCCTCATCAGTGGCCGGTCGGGGCTGCTGGCACTGAAGGGCCCTGTCCCCACAGGAGGAGAGCCTGGCTGATAGCCTTTCCGCCTTCTCTGAGTTCGGGCTGCAGCTGCTGCGCCAGCTCCGAGACTACTTCCCTGCCACCAACAGCACCGCTGTCCACCGCCTGGAGCTGCTGCTGAAGTGGGTGCAGCGCCGCGTGTCAGCGTGGGTGGGGGCGGCTGGCAGGGCAGGCCCCACGTCAGCGTGCTGCCCCCACCCAGGTGTCTGGGCAAGCTGCAGCTCTTCCAACCCTCCTTTGAGATCTGCCCCTTCGAGTCGGAGCTGAACATGGACATTGCTGCGGCCCTGAAGGTGTGTTCCAAAGCCCAGTGGAGGCCGGCTGCTAAGCCCTCCCTTCCCCTTCCCTGCCTTCCCGTCCCCTGCACCTCTGCACCACGGTCTCTTGCCCACCTCTTCCTCTTCCCTGCAATCCACCATGCTGTCTTGGTGGTGTCTGTTGCAGAGAGGCAACCGTGAGTGGTACGACAGGATCCTGAATGACAAGAGTCCCCGAGAGCAGGTGCAGTTGTGGGGGACCCTGGCCATGAGGGGTACGGGCAGCCGAGAGGTGGGTACGAGCTAGGCTTCCTTGCAGCCAGGACCACAGCGCCTGCCTGGGCTGGTTGTGCTGGCTGACGCCGTCTATGATGACCTTCAGTTCTGCTACAGTGTGTACGCCAGCCTCTTCCACAGGTGGGCCTGGCCCCTCAGTGCTGTCCTGGGGCTGGGGTCGGAGCCAACAGGGCCTGCAGGTGGGGCGCAGGTGGATGAGGTGTGTCCCTTGCTCTGCAGCATCCTCAATGTGGACGTCTTCACCCTGACCTTCCGGCAGCTGGAGCGTCTGGTGAGGAGGGTCCCTGACCCCGGGTGCCTGCCAGGCATGGGGAAGTGGGCAGATGCCCTTGGCTAGGACGGTCCTGGGATTCCTTGCTGCTGGAGGCCTGATCCTGCTGTCCCGGACAGGTGGCTGAGGAGGCGTGGGTGCTGACGGAGGAGCTGAGCCCCAAGATGACCCTGGAGGTGGCCTCGGGGCTCTTTGAGCTCTACCTGACCCTGGCTGACCTCCAGCGCTTCTGGGATAGCATCCCTGGCCGGTGGGTGCCCCGTCCCTATCTCTTGCAGACAGACTTTGGGACCAGGGCCCCAGGACCTGTGAGGGGGACGGTCCTGGAGCTGTGAGCCTGGAACGTGCTGGTTAAGGTGTCTGAGTCAGGGCCGAGCCCTCACAACCCTCCCACCACAGGGACAGCCGCTCTCTGGCCCTGGCTGGCATCCACGCCCCCTTCCTGCCTGCTGTGAAGCTCTGGTTCCAAGTGCTGAGGGACCAGGCCAAGTGGAGGCTTCAGGGAGCCGTGGACATGGACACGGTGACAGCTGCCCTGGCCTGAGGACACTGGGGCTGGTCCAGGCCCCCAGCCTCCCCCGCCTCCCCAGCAACCCCAGCCTCCCCAGCAACCCCCAGCCTCCTCCGCCTCCCCAGCCTCCCCCTCAACCCCAGCCTCCCCGGCCTCCTCCGCAACCCCAGCCTCCCCAGCAACCCCAGCCTCCCCAGCAACCCCAGCCTCCTCAGCAACCCCAGCCTCCCCCGCAACCCCAGCCTCCTCAGCAACCCCAGCCTCCCCCACAACCCCAGCCTCCCCGGCCTCCTCCGCAACCCCAGCCTCCCCCACAACCCCCGCCTCCCCCACCTCCCCAGCCTCCCCTGCCTCCCCAGCAAACCCAGCCTCCCCTGCCTCCCTAGCTGGAGCCCGTGGACGCCTCCTCCAGGCACAGCAGCTCCGCAGCCACTGCTGGTCTCTGCCTCAGCCACATCCAGGAGTTGTGGGTGCGCCTGGCGTGGCCTGACCCTGCCCAGGCTCAGGGGCTGGGCACCCAGCTTGGCCAGGTGTGTGGGTGGGCCCTGGGGGTGAGGGGAACGGGTGGGAGAGGAGATGGGGCAGGGGAGGGCTCCATGGCTCCCCACCGCCATCCCCTCCTCAGGACGTGTGTGAGGCCACCCTCTTCTATACGGAGCTGCTTCGGAAGAAGGTGGACACTCAGCCAGGGGCGGCCGGTGAAGCAGTGAGCGAGGCGGTGAGTGACCAGCTGGGGAGGGGAGCCGGCAGGAGGTGGGGGGCCATCACCAGGCCCCGGACCCATCGTTGCCTGGCCACACCTCCTCCAGCTCTGCGTGGTCCTCAACAATGTGGAGCTCGTGCGCAAGGCTGCTGGGCAGGCCTTGAAGGGCCTGGCATGGCCAGAGGGGGCCACGGGGCCCGAGGGGGTGCTCCCCCGCCCTCTGCTCAGCTGCACACAGGCCCTGGACGATGATCTGCAACGGGAGGCCCACACGGTGACAGCGCACCTGACCTCTAAGGTGGGTGGGGCCTGGAGACCAAGGCGTGGAGGCAGTCCCTGGTGCCCCCTGCCCGTGCTGAGCACTGCTCCTGCCCTCAGATGGTGGGCGACATCCGCAAGTATGTACAGCACATCAGTCTCTCGCCTGACTCCATCCAGAACGATGAGGTGAGTGCCGGGGCGAGGGGCCGTGGAGGACTGTGTGTACTGGGGGTAGGGCAGAGGTGCGGGGTAAGCCTGGCCTGACCACCCCTGCCCGCAGGCCGTGGCCCCGCTCATGAAGTACCTGGATGAGAAGCTGGCCCTGCTGAACGCCTCGCTGGTGAAGGGGAACCTGAGCAGGTGCGGGCGGGTGGGGTGGGATGGGCTGGGCTGGCCCGTGGTCACTGAGGCCGCCCTGCAGGGTGCCGGAGGCCCTGTGGGAGCTACTCCTCCAGGCCATTCTGCAGGTGGGGCCAGCGGGGCAGGTGGGGCTGGCCCGTGGTCACTGATGCTGCCCTGCAGGGTGCTGGAGGCCCTGTGGGAGCTACTCCTCCAGGCCATTCTGCAGGCGCTGGGTGCAAACCGTGACGTCTCTGCTGATTTCTACAGCCGCTTCCATTTCACGCTGGAGGTAGAGCTCTGTGAAGGAGTCCTCCCCGCCGGCCCCCGCCTCAGGGCTGCTCTGATCCCTCCCTTTGTCCCCACTGGCCTGCCTGGTCTCCTGTGGCTGGAGAGCAGCCACTCCAGGGCTGTCCACAGCGCCTCCTCCCGTTAATGCCGAGGTGTGGCCTCTGGTGATGGCCTTTCCCCACGCTTCCTGGGAGCTTCCGATGCCCGCCAGGGTGTGAGAAAGGGCTCTGCCCTTGGCTGCTGAGCCCCCAGTGCTGCCTGGGCCCCTTTGTGCTGGGGGTCTCTACCTGTCCCCAGCACAAGCCAGGCTCCCTGACACCTCTGCCTTCTTTCCCTGCCCCAGGCCCTGGTCAGTTTTTTCCACGCAGAGGGTCAGGGTTTGCCCCTGGAGAGCCTGAGGGATGGAAGCTACAAGGTGAGGTGGGACCCTCTGTGGGGCGGGGGTGTGGATGAGGGGACTGAGTTCAAACTGCAGCCCCACACGGGCTGTGTCCTTGAGCATGAGGTGGCCCCACGGGCAGTCAGGTCTCCAAGTGCCAGCGCTGACCACCAGCACCCAGGGGCCCCTCCTGATGCGCTTCCCCCTGCAGAGGCTGAAGGAGGAGCTGCGGCTGCACAAATGTTCCACCCGCGAGTGCATCGAGCAGTTCTACCTGGACAAGCTCAAACAGGTAGGGAGGCGCCAGGGACAGGGTGCTGCCTCCGAGGCTCCCAGAGCCCAGCTGCGCTCACCCGCCTTTCCGCAGAGGACCCTGGAGCAGAACCGGTTTGGACGCCTGAGCGTCCGTTGCCATTACGAGGCGGCTGAGCAGCGGCTGGCCGTGGAGGTGCTGCACGCCGCGGACCTGCTCCCCCTGGACGCCAACGGTGAGTTGCAGCGGGGACGGGTCGGGTGGTGGTGGGATGGGGGCAGGGGGGCTCACGACTGTGCTCCTGCAGGCTTAAGTGACCCCTTTGTGATCGTGGAGCTGGGCCCACCGCATCTCTTTCCACTGGTCCGCAGCCAGAGGACCCAGGTGAAGACCCGGACGCTGCACCCTGTATACGACGAACTCTTCTACTTGTGAGTGTCCTAAGCCCCAGCCCCAGCCCCAGGCTCCAGGCTGCCGGAGCGAGACTCCCGACTGGCCTCTGTCCGCAGTTCCGTGCCTGCCGAGGCGTGCCGCCGCCGCGCGGCCTGTGTGTTGTTCACCGTCATGGACCACGACTGGCTGTCCACCAACGACTTCGCTGGGGAGGCGGCCCTCGGCCTAGGTGGCGTCACTGGTGTCGCCCGGCCCCAGGTGGGCGGGGGTGCAAGGGCTGGGCAGCCTGTCACCCTGCACCTGTGCCGGCCCAGAGCCCAGGGTGAGTGAGCATCTGGGTGGAGGCAGGGGCAGCGGGCCTGACCCCGGCCCCCACACACCTGCCCGCGCTGCTTGCAGTGAGATCTGCGCTGAGGAGGCTGGAAGGCCGCACCAGCAAGGAGGCGCAGGAGTTCGTGAAGAAACTCAAGGAGCTGGAGAAGTGCATGGAGGCGGACCCCTGAGTCCATCAGCTGCCAGCCCCGGCCCTGGCCCCCACCCCAAGTTCCCTGAAGCATCCTCCAGCTCACTGTGGCCAGCTTTGTGCAACCAGGGCCCACGGCGCCCCTCCTGTGCTGTGACGTGTGTGTCGTGGCTGGCCCCGCGGCGCCTACCGCCCTGGCCGTGTCTGTCTGGTGTGTGCTGTGAACCCCTGCACCCAACCCCACATCTGGGTGGCCAACTTGGCAGGACTTGGCCAGCAGCTGCCCAGGACACAGTGCAGGCCAGAGCGGGCTTGACCACCTGGTGGGCCTCCCTGCCCGCTTCCTTGGGCTCCCCGGCCCTGGGTGGGCGGTGGGCAGCTGGTCTCCAGGGACTCAGTGAGTGGCTGTGCTCTCTGCACAACGGGCAATGTGCAGACGCATTTTTGGTAATCACAGCTGGGGAGTGAAAAGGGTGCCACTGGCACCACTGGGTGGATGGTCCAGAGCCTCCACCCACAGAGGGGATGCAAAGGGCAGGTGAGTCAAGAACCGCATAGGTCTCCAGTCCCCACGGGGCTCCCAGGCCGGGGAAAGGTTCCCCTGAGGTCACTCTGAGGCCAGGGACGTCACCCAAGGCTGGTGGTCAGTGTGAAGGGCTCCGTGCCAACTGGTCAGCTGTCCTTCACGCACATATCCGTGGCCACCTGAGACCTGCTCCACGACCCTTCCAGGCAGAGCCGAGAGTTCGCCCCAACCCTTCCCCAGGCCCAGTGTGAAAAACAGACTCACAAGGGGCTTCTTGGCCTGCAGCTTCATTTGCGAGAGCGCCGAGGCAGGACACAGAGCACAGCTGTGCTGGAAGTGTGGGGAGAACCCGGACAGCTCAGTCCTGCCAGCAGCCGCAAAGAGCCGAGGCTGCCAGGCCCATTTATGTCCCTCATGTCTCTAGATTTTCTCGTCACCCAGCCTCAAAAATATATGTGTCTGCAACCCTCAGTCTCTCTGCCGTTTCTTGATTCCTTTCCAAACCTCAGCCGGGGCCCTGGCCTCAGCCCCCCGTCCCTGCGTCTGCTCCTCTTCACAGCAGCTGCTGCTGGCTCCTCCGCGCTCGGCGCCAGGCCCTGGGTCCTCAGACGCATCACTGTCATCAGTGTCCGAGGGCAGCCTGGGAGAGGAGGGGGAGCACGTTCCCAAATGACGTCCTCCCTGGCTAGCTGGAGTCAACGTCATCCACAAAAAGCCCCCAGCCGAGGACAGATTCCTCTTCCTCCCTGTGCTCTCCACACCCAAACCTCTCCAGTGGGACATGCACTGCAGGTTTTCTAGTCAGAAGACCATCGGGGTGTTGTTTACAACACCACCCCCAGGCAGCAGGAAGGGCTCAGGCCAGAGGTAGAAGAGAGCCCTGGGTCTGAGTGATCATGAAATTAAGCCCAAGGACCTACCGGGTGCTGGCCACAGGCCTGTTGGGGTTTCCAAACTCTCTCCCTGAATCCACATCGAAGGGATCTGAGCCGAGAGAGGAAAGTGGCCTCTAAGTGAGCTCAGAGCAGGACCAGGCCTCCCACCCCCCAGGCTTTGGAGGGCCTTGGTTCCCACCCCGCCAAGGCTCACCGATCTCCTCCTCCTGGGGGCTCTCCTTGGCATTGGCCAAGAACTCCTGCTCCGCCTGCAGCACCTCCTCCGGGCTGCCGCAGGCCGCGTACTTGTCCAGGAGCTGGCGGTTCAGGTCCAAGAAGCCCTTGCCCCATTTAAACTTCCGCAGCAAAATGACAGCAAGGTCTGGAAAGCCTGACGGTGTGAGAAACAGGAAACCCAAAGAAGTCGACGGTCCCCTCAAGTGCCTCCTGATCACCCTGCTGCCGGATGGCGGCGCTCTCCCAAGTAACCGCAGGGTCCCCAGCAAACATCAGCTCACAGTCCTGAGAACCCGTGCTGCCCCCAGCCTGCACCTCCCTTGCTACAGTCCACACCTCTGCAACCGACCAAGTCCCCCTCCTTTGCTGCGAAACAAACATTCCCACCAAGACTGCCCCACGCCTCATCAGGGCCTCTTTAGATCAGCAATTCAGTAAGGAGGACGTGGAGGATAAGGAGGATTCTCTGGGCAGTGGTGCCCTGATAATGAATGGCACCCCACACACCGGCCCTGATAGAACAGCGATCCCATTCTGCCTCTACTGCAACTCCACAGGCCGAAAACCTGAAGTGACAGTTGGGGCTGGAACCGTGGTCTGTCTGAACTGTTCCCCTGTCCGTCCCTTATGCTCCTCCTGGGGTCTGTCGGCAGGAAACATGATGCTGGGAGCATAGCAGGAACAGCAGGCCGCCGGGTCACACTGCTGTGGGGCCCCTGGACTCACCTACGATGCAGAAGGTGGCAGCAAACGCTTCCACGCAGGAAAGTCTGTAGGGCCGGCCATAGTTCACGGGGTTGGCGGCCACCAGGTAGGGCAACAGGCGCAAGTGGCTCCCTCGCATCTTCCCAAACGGTGTCTCGTCCAGCCTGGCCCAGGAGCAGTCGATGACGGCGACCCCAGACTGCGCCACCAGCTGTCTGCCAGGGACAGCATGGGATAAGTTCAGGAGCCAGCACTACCCAAGGTGGAGCATGCCCCGGAGAATGGCCTAGCTAAGGGATTCAGGGACATCATTCCGCCATCCCCAAACACCCTCAAACGGACTTCACGAGCAAGCTTTTGAGGCAGCTGCTTGGGGCACCTGGAGCATGTGTTTATTCACTCAACAAACGTTTATTACCCCAAAACCTCCTTTATCCCAGGCTCTGCGCTACGCAACGGAGGCAAACTAGACAGACGTTCCCTGCCCACGTGGGTGTGGATGTGGGTGCGACATACAAGTGCCACTAAACCATCCCTGAAGGGAACCACGCGCTGGAAATGAAGACGACCTCGGGCAGGCCTCCCGCGCCTACCTGTCTGCGGGGGACGCGTACTGCTTGCCCACGGGGCTCAGCACCAGACCGCCGAATCTGTGGCCCAGGCGCAGGCAGCGCACCAGCCCCAGGCGGGCCAGCTTGCGGCCCGTGCAGCGCCGGGGGTCGCAGTGGCCCAACTCCCACATGGCCAGCGTGCAGGGCAGCGCCGCCGGGCCCGGGCCGCCCTCGCCGTCAGCCGCCCCTGGCTCCACGGAAGCTGCACGAGAGAGAGAAGGGCACTCGGCCTCAGCGTGGGACCCCCGGGCAGGCCCTCAAACCCTGACCCGCTCTCCCCATCACGCCTCGCTCACCCTGCAGCGCGGCGCCGACCTCCTCGGCGAAGGCCTCCAGGGAGCGCGTCGGGAGGTGCCGAGGGCGGCCGCCTTCCGCCCCCGGCCCGCGCGCTGCCCTCCTGCGGCCCATGGCGCGGACCTGGGGTGCCGGGGACTCCCCACCCCACGGCCGCGCCCCTCGGCCTCCCAATGGGCTGTGCGGCTGCCAGCGCTTGCGCCGGACGCCACTTCCGGTCCCCGTGGTCACGTGACCGTCACTTCACGTGACCGCGCGGCGGCCGCTGCGGCGCGATGGCGGCGGGGCTGGCGCGGCTCCTGTTGCTCCTCGGGCTCTCGGCCGGCGGTGAGTGGCCCGGCCGTCCGCGTCCCCAGGCCCCGCGCGCGCTCTGCACCCCGGCCTCCCCGCTCACGGTCTCGCTCCCCGTAGGGCCCGCGCCGGCAGGTGCAGCGAAGATGAAGGTGGTGGAGGAGCCCAACGCGTTTGGGTGAGCAGCCTCGCGGGCTGGCGGCTCGAGCGGGGGACGGCCCGGGCCCGTTCCCCGCTGACCTTGCCGCTTCCCGTAGGGTGAACAACCCGTTCTTGCCTCAGGCCAGTCGCCTCCAGGCCAAGAGGGATCCTTCACCCGTGTCTGGTGAGTGAGGAGCGCTGTTGGCCGGCGCGGGGGTGGCCGCGGGGAGCAGCAACAGTGGAGGATGGATGAGTGACCCTGAGAGTTACGGCCCGGAGTCTAAAGCATTGGTTTGTCAGCCTTCTAAAATTAATGTGGAAGTACGAGAGAATATACCAGAACGTTCTTGTAGCGAATTAAATTATCTCCAGACTTAGTCCTTCCTTTCCTTTCCGAGAGGTAACTGCTGTTAATAGTCTGGTGACTTTGCAGACGCGTTTCTGTGCTTTTACGTGCGTGTCTATGCAACTGGAAAACGTATAGTTTTTGTAATCTAATCGCTTTTTTAAAAAATCATGCTGCGCGAGTATTTGGCTGATTTGTCGTTGTCACTCGCTGTATCTCTCGGGACGCTTCATGGTGATGATATAGGTCTTCGTTCTTTCTCTTGGTGCTCAGCACGCGATAGGATGGCACTGCACTCCCCGATTGTATTTAGGTTCTTGCCATTTTTTTGGCCATTAGAAATAGTTCTGTGGAGAACATGCTGTGTAGGTGCTTTGGTTTGCCCTCAGGTGAGCGGTTTCCCAGTGCAGGATTCCAGAAGTGGAATTGGTGGGTCATGAGTATATATATCATTTAAACGCTGAATGAGTATTAAATATAATAGACAAAAATCCAAGAATTTTTTTTTTTTTTTTTTTGAGACAAGAGTCTCGCTCTGTCGCCCAGGCTGGAGTGCAGTGGCACGATCTCGGCTCACTGCAACCTCCGCCTCCCAGGTTCAAGCGATCCTCATGCCTCAGCCTCCCGAGTAGCTGGGATCACAGGCATGCATCACCATCACGCCCAGCAAATTTTTGTATTTTTAGTAGAGATAGGGTTTATTTCACCGTATTGACCAGGCGGGTCTCGAACTCCTGACCTCAAGTGATCCGCCCATCTCGGCCTCCAAAAGTGCTGGGATTATAGGCGTGAGCCACCGCGCCCAGCTTTAGTAATTTTATTATCGAATACCTTTATGTGTTAGGGTCTGTGCTGGGGTTGCAGAAACGAACACAGATATACCAATGCTTGTCCTCATGGAGCTGACAGTCTAATGGGGAGGGATGGAGGAACAGGCACTGAGCCTGTAGAATTAGATAAAATACATAGAATGGCCAATGATGAAAAATGCCATGTAGATGTGTGAAGCAGAGGAGGGAGTGTGTGTATGTGTGTTAGAGTATTGTTTGGGGGATCGCTTTTTTTATTTTTTAGAGACGGGGTCTTGCTCTCTCACTCGGGCTGGAGTGCAGTAGTGCAATCATAGCTCACTGCATCCTTGAACTCCTGGGCTGAAGCAATCCACCAACCTCAGCTTCCTGAGTAGCTGGGACTACAGGTGCACGCCACCATGCCCGGCAAATGTTAAGTGTTCTTGTAGAGATGGAAGTCTCACTATGTTGCCCAGGCTGGCCCCAAACTCCCAGCGTCAAGCAATCCTCCTGTCTTGGTGGGGATTGCTTTAAATAGGGTGCTGAGGAAAAGTCTAAGAAGTGACATTTCAGCCAAAAGCTAAAGGAGAAAAGGGAGTAAAGCTGTGGCTATTTGGGGAAAGGGATCCAGGAAAGGGAGTGGCCAAAGGCCTTGAGCAGGACAGCCAGGGCCAGAGGGGATTCAGCTGGGGTAGCCACAGATCAGAGATAAAGGGGATCAGATGGTGCCGCACCGTGTTGGTAGGTTTGGTGGACTTTGACTCCAAACACATCTTTTTAAGTTTTTTGTTGTGTGGCTGGGCGTGATGGCGCACCTGGGGTTAGGCTCACTTCCCTGCGGCTCAGAAGCCATGGGATGGTGGCTTCCCAGGGCCTGAAGTGCTGGAGTCGGGCCACCACCTATCCCAAGAAGCTGGGGAGGAGGCAGGCCACTGTGTAACAGCGCAGTTCCCGACCGAACCCCTTCCAGTAGGAGAGAGGCAGCCTTGGCTAATGGGACCACGTCTTTTTGGAGGTGAGAGTCCTGGAAAGAAAACAGAATATGCTGGTCGTGGTGGTGCGTGCATGTTGCTCGGGAGCCTGAGGTGTGACGATCGCTTGAGGTCAGGAGTTCGAGACCAGCCTGGCCAACATGGTGAAACCCCGTCTCTACTAAAAAAAACCACAAAAACAAAAGTTAGCCGGGCATAGTGGTATCCTCCTGTAATCCCAGCTGCTTGGGAGGCCGAGGCTGGAGAATTGCTTGAATCCAGGAGGCGGAGGCTGCGGTGAGCTGAGATCATGCCCCTGCACTCCAGCCTGGGTGACAGAGCAAGACTTCGTCTCAAAAAAAAAAAAAAAAAAAAAAAACCCATAAAAATTTAGAAAAGAATACCTCTTCTAGTTTTCCCACCCCCATCCCCACATCAGGGCCAGTCAGGTTCACATGTGCATTTGGTTCATTATGTGTCTTTAGTGTTTTAATTTGGAACAGTTCTCTTCCCACCTTTGGATGTAAGTGGCACATTTGTTTCCCAGTTTCCTGATCTTTTTGTTTTGTTGATGGTGTTTTTCTCCAGACCATTTTTTCCTGCGCCTGTGGGGTCAGGCGTGGATAGTCCCCCGCGTCTGTAGGGCTGGGCGTGGATACTCCCCCGCGTCTGTAGGGCCGGGCGTGGATTGTCTCCCACGTCTGTGGGGTGGGGCCGGGCGTGGAAAGTCCCCCGCGTCTGTGGGGTGGGGCCTGGATACTCCCCCGCATCTGCGGGGTGGGGCGTGGATCGTCTCCCGCATGTGCGGGGTCGGGTGTGGATGGTCTGCCGCGTCTGCGGGGTCGGGTGTGGATGGTCTCCCGCGTCTGCGGGGTCGGGTGTGGATGGTCTCCCGCCTCTGCGGGGTCGGGTGTGGATGGTCTCCCGCGTCTGTGGGGTCGGGTGTGGATCGTCTCCCGCGTCTGTGGGGTCGGGTGTGGATCCTCTCCTGCGTCTGTGGGGTCGGGTGTGGATATTCTACTTGTTTTTTCTGTCTTTGATGTAGCGCTCCTTCAACATCAACGTGTGAGGCGGATTGTGTGCAGTGGGTAGGAGAGTGTGGTCTGTGGAATGAGCTGAGCAGAAAGATAATCAGGCTGAGAAACTCAGGGGCGTGGTGATTGTGGCCTAGGGCTCAGAAGGTCCCCGCAGAAGAGTGTCTGCCAAGGAGAAGGAAGGGGTGGGCTTGCCAGGGCCGAGGCTGGTGGGGCTGGGCTGGGCAGTGGGCAGCTCCATGGCCTCCACCAGATGAGTCGGGAGCCTCGTCCCTTGACAGCAGGAGGAGCAGAGGTTGGTAGGTCTGTGATTTGGAGACAGTGTCCCGCTGTGGCATGGAGAGGGAATGGGGCACGGTCAGTGTGGTGGTCCTGCCAGCGCCCAGCAGAGTCCAGCATAGCCCAGCACACTGTCCAGGAGGGAGCTCTGCCTCGGTGGCGGTGGGAGGGAGCGGCCAGCTGGGCAGGACTCTGGGGCCTTGGCAGGGTCCTGGATCTGGGGAGGGGGCGGGGGAGGAGTAGAGTGGCCCCGGGATCCTGGCTAGAGAAGCCATGGCAAGTGCGGCTCCCAGCATGTGAGTTGCAGGGGTCAGGCTGGGAGCTTGCTTTCGGCTGGGGCCGGGCTGGGTCTGCCAGGCAGTCCCTGGTGCTTGGAGAGGGTCACGGTGGGCACAGGACTCACCAGGGGGTGCGTGAGGCCGGAGGGTGAGGGTGAGGTCCCCGGTGAAGTTCTTGGTGGCGTGTGGGGGTTGTGGAGGTTGGGAGGGTACTGGGACCAGGTGTGGGGCCGGGCCAGGGAGCAGCGTGGGAGGGAGGACCACCCTTGAGAAGGGATTGTCACCAAGAGACGCAGCCCTAGGGGGAGTGCTGCCCACCGAAGCCTGACCGGGGCAGAGGGGAAACGGAGTCCAGGCTCAGCCAAGCTGATGGGCCTTGAGCTGTGGCCTCGGGTGCAGGGACAGCTGGCAGTAAGGCCACCTGGGCCCGCGGGAGCCAAGGGCACCGGCGAGTGTCCTGGCCATGCAGGCCGTGAACACGGAGCCTGCAGGGGACGTGCGGGTGAAGCAGGAGCAGAGGAGAAGCCTCCCGGCAGGGGTGGTGGCATTTGGGGGTGGTGGTATTTGGGGGTAGAGACTCCCGCTCAGGTATGGCTGTGTCTGGCCCAAGAGGCGTGGAGGGGCCAGCCCCCACCTGTCTCAGGAGGACAGGCTGCTGAAACCTGAGGGCCAGGCGGAGGGGAGGGGCCGTGGCCGGGGTTCTGGTGTGGGCCAGCAGCAGAGGACCTGGGGTACTGGGCACTGCCAGTTGGGGGCTTGTGGTACCATCCCCTGCGGGAGGCTGCACCTCAGCCAGTAGGAGTCCACTGAAGCTGTGGACAGCACCCAGGCAGAGGCCTCCTCCCAGCTGGGGAGCCAGGCCAGGCCCCGCTGCCCTCACACAGTCCTGTTTAGACGGATGGCCCTGCAGGTGCAGAGCTAAGCCCGGCGCCCACGCCCCTCCTGGGGTGTCTCCAAGCAGTGTCTGCCTGGGGCAAGCCTGGGAACGTGAGTTCCCAGGACACAGGAGCTTGACCAGCCACCCTCCCAGCGGGAGTGTGAGAGCGGGAATCTGCGGGCGGGGGTCTGCGGGCGGGAGTGTGCGGGCGAGAGTGTGCGGGCGGGGGTCTGCGGGCGGGAGTGTGCGGGTGGCGGTCTGCGGGCAGGAGTCTGAGTGGCAGATGGGTGAGGGACACATCAGGGTCTCTGGGATGGCTCCAAAGGCTTCCCTATGTGCCTGTTGGGCAGGGCCCTAGGGCCAGACTGGAGGGACCAAGCCCAAGCACCCCAGGCTGTGGGACAGCAGGTGTGACAGGGCTGAGGTAGAGCCCCCAGCGGTCAGGCTGGGAGGACAGTGGGTGAGCCTGGGAGTAGGGGCCACCCAGATGGTATTTGACAAGGAAGGACCAGGACCTTTCTATATCCACAGCCCCTGTCCCCTGAGCAGGGCAGCCTGGCCATCTTGGTCTCCATCTGTCTTGGGAGGGGACAGCCCCAGGGGTGAGTGGAATGTCAGGGAACAGAAGGCCAGGCCGGGCCAGCACCCCAGAGGTCTCAGTGGCATTAGCCTCTGCCCTCCGGGGGCGGGGGCCAGGCTGAGGGTGGCCCCAGTGTGGCATCTGGCTCCTGGGCTGGCCAGATTCCCAGGGAACAGTCACCCAGCACCTCGTGTGTATTTCGACTTTATTATTATTATTATTATTATTATTAGAGCCGAGTGTCGCTGTGTCGCCCAGGCTGGAGTGCTGTGTCGCCCAGGCTGGAGTGCAGTGGCGCGATCTCGGCTCAGTGCCAGCTCCGCCTCCCGGGTTCACGCCATTCTCCTGCCTCAGCCTCCTGAGTAGCTGGGACTACAGGCGCCCGCCACCATGCCCGGCTAATTTTTTGTGTTTTTAACAGAGACGGGGTTTCACCGTGTTAGCCAGGACGGTCTCGATCTCCTGACCTCGTGATCTGCCCGCCTCGGCCTCCCACAGTGCTGGGATGACAGTCATGAGCCACCGCGCCTGGCCTCGACTTTATTATTAATACGGTAAAACTACAGAGAGTTTGAAACATCAGTCTGGGGCGTCCTCCTCTAACCAGTGCACTTGCTGCTGCAGCGCAGGCCCTTCAGGGGACGGGGATGGGGGCCAGTCCCCTCCCTGCCTCCACGGCCCAAGCCCCAGCCTTCCCCACAGTCCTGGAGGATGGCCCGTGGCTGACAGTCTCGGTGGGCGCTGTGTTAAGGTGGCGTCCCCAGCCAGGTCCCGACTCCCCAGCTTAAAGAACAGGGTGGCTGCTGTGGCTTGACTCACGAGTTGCCACTGGCCTTGATGTGTACACGCCCTTGCTCTAGCACTGCCTGGGGCTGGCCTGGCTGGAGGGTAGGGACGCTGCACGCCTTCCCTCTTCCCCCAGGCGCTGGTGACACTGCCCTGCAACCGTCAGCACCATCATCTCCACAACTTGCTCTGTCCCCTTCAAACCCTGACTCCCAGCTGCCCCGCTCCCCCAGCCCCGGCACCCACCATTCTGCTGTCTCTGAACTTGGCTATTCATAGACGTCACATAGGTGACTCATAACTGTGTGCGACCTTTTGTGTCTGACCAACTCCTCTTGGCACAGTGTCCCCAAGGTCCCCCAGGCTGGAGGCTCTCAGTGCTTCCTTTTTATATGGCTGAGGACTGTTCCACTGCAAGGACAGACCACGTTGTTGTTTACCCGTCATCTGTCCATGGACACTGGAGTGGCTTCCACCCTCTGCCTGGGAATAGGCTGCTGTGAACTTGGGTGTAAATATTTGAGTCTCTGCTTCCAATTTCTGAGAGTAGCTTTGCTGGATCTTATTAGAATTCCATGTTTAGCTTTTTGAGGAACCACCAAACTGTTTGCATAGTGGCTGCACCGTTTCCCATTCCAGCCAGCATTGCACGAGGGGTCCAGTTTCTCCACATTTTCACCAACACTGTTTTTTGCTAACAGCCATCCTAGTGGGTGTGAAGCGGTACCTTAGGGTTGTTTTAATTTGCATTTCCCTAATGATCAGTCATGTGGGATCTTTTCAGTTGCTTATGGTGTTTGTCCTTTTTTTTTTTTGAGATGGAGTCTCACTCTGTGGCCCAGACTGGAGTACAGTGGCGCCATCTTGGCTCACTGCAAGCTCTGCCTCCCAGGCTCAGGCGATTCTCCTGCCTCAGCCTCTCAAGTAGCTGGGATTACAGGCGTGAGCCACCACACCTGGCTCATTTTTATTTAGTAGAGACGGGGTTTCACCATGTTGGCCAGGCTGGTCTCAAACTCCTGACCTCATGATCCGCCTGCCTCGGCCTCCCGAAGTGCTGGGATTCCCGGCTTCTCTGCCCATTTTTAACTTGAGTTTATTGTTGGGCTGTAGTTCTGTGTTCTGGATGTGAGTCTCTTACATACGTGGTTTGCCAGTGTTTATTTTCTCCCATTCTGTGGGTTGTCTTTTCACTCCCTTGATGGGTTTGTTTTTTTTTCCATATAGAGTCTAACTCTGTAGCCCAGGCTGGAGTGCAGTAGCACGATCTTGGCTCACGGCAACCTCTCCACCTCCCAGGCTCAAGGAATTCTCCTGCCTCAGCCTCCCGAGTAGCTGGGACTGCAGGCATCCGCCATCACGCCTGGCTAATTTTTTTGTACTTTATTAGAGATCAGGTTTCACCATGTTGGCCAGGATGGTCTCGATCTCCTGACTTCGTGATCCGTCTGCCTCGGCCTCCCAAAGCACTGGGATTACAGGCGTGAGACCCTGCGCCCGGCCTCTATGCCAGTCTTTATGCCAGTATCACACTGTTTTGATCATAACAGCTTTGAAGTAATTTTTGGAATCAGTATGTACGAGTCTCTCAACTCTGTCTTTAAGATTTGTTCGATGATTTGGGGTCCTCTGAGACTCCCTATGAACTTTAGGATGTGTTTTTCTATTTCTGCAAAAACTGTCATTGGGGTTTTGATGGGGTTGCATTGAATCTGCAGATCACTCTGGGTGGTATTGTCATCTTAAAAATATTGAATCCATCAGGCTGGGCGCTGGGGCTCACGCCTGTAATCCCAGTACTTTAGGAGGCTGAGGCAGGTGGATCACCTGAGGTCAGGAGTTTGAGACCATCCTGGCCAACATGGAGAAACCCCGTCTCTACAAAAATACAAAAATTAGCCAGCCGTGATGGCAGGCACCGGTAATCCTAGCTACTGGGGAGACTGAGGCGGGAAAATCGGTTGAACCCAGTGGTGGAGATTGTAGTGAGCCAAGATCGTGCCACTGCAATCCAGCCTGGCGACAATGCTAGACTCCGTCTCAAAAAAAAAAAAGTGGCGTATGGATGTCTCATGTCAGCTTTATGTAGTGGGTGGCACTGTTTGTGCGTGGATAATTGTGGTGTCTTGGCACATTGACCCTTTTATCAATGTATAACATCTTTGTCTCTTAAAATAGTTTCAGCCACTTCAGCTCTCTTTTGCCTGTTTATATGAATACTTTTCCATACCTTCACTTTCAACCTGTTTATGTCTTTAAATCTGAAGTTAGTCTTTCAGGCCGGGCATAGTGGCTCACACCTGTAATCCCAGCACTTGGGAGGCCAAGGTGGACGGATCACTTCAGGTCCACAGTTGCAGACCAGCCTGGCCAACACAGTGAAACCCCGCCTCTGCTGAAGATACAAAAATTAGCTGGGCGTGGTGGCGGGCACGTGGGATCCCAGCTACTCGGGAGGCTGAGGCAGGGGAATCACTTGAACCCAGGAGGCGGAGGTTGCAGTGAGCCGAGATCGCGCCACTGCATTTCACCTTGGGTGACAGAGTGAGACTGTCTCCAAAAGAAAAAAAAGAATCTAATGCCTGATGAGCTGAGGTGGAACAGTTTCATCCCCAAACCACCCATCCCCACCCCCGGCTGGTAGAAAAACTGCCTTCCATGAAACCAGTCCCTGGTGCCAAAAAGATTGGGGACCACTGGTTTAAGTCCTGTAGCTTTACAGACCATAGCTAGAAAGGCAACTGGTATTAATTCACCCTGCACGAGGACCTCCGTCTGCCTCCGCTGAGCTGCTGTCTGCTCACTTCCCCGGGTGGCA
Source organism: Homo sapiens (assembly GCF_000001405.40). Taxonomy (NCBI): domain Eukaryota; kingdom Metazoa; phylum Chordata; class Mammalia; order Primates; family Hominidae; genus Homo; species Homo sapiens. Next base: position 1,360,883 of record NC_000016.10, read on the forward strand.
CACCGGCCTGCATGTAACCAACTCCTGAAGCTTTTATCTGGGAATGTCCTCTTTTTTGGGGGGTGGGGAAGACAGGGTCTTGCTCTGTCACGCAGGCTGGAGTGCAGTGGTACGATCTCAGCTCACTGCACTCTCCACCTCCTGGGTTCAAGAGATTCTCCTGCCTCAGCCTCCTGAGTAGCTGGGATTACAGGTGCGCGCCACTACACTCAGCTCATTTTTTCTGTGTGCTTTTTGTGTAGACACGGGGTTCTCACAGTGTTGCCCAGGCTGGTGTCATACTCCTGGCCTCAAGCAATCTTCCCGCCTTGGCCTCCCAAAGTGCTGGGATTACAGGCATGAGCCACGATAGCAAGCCTTAACTCTAATTTTTGAAGGGCTATTTTTAGAATTCTCGGTTTTGTCAGTTTCTTCCATTGAATGGTACCTGTTTTCCTGTTTCTTTGAACGTCTTGTGCTTTTTGTTGAAAACTGGTCCTTGGCCGGGCGCGGTGGCTCAAACCTGTAATCCCAGCACTTTGGGAGGCCGAGGTGGGTGGATCACGAGGTCAGGAGATCGAGACCATCCTGGCTAACGCGGTGAAACCCCGTCTCTACTAAAAATACAAAAAATTAGCCGGGCATGGTGGCGGGCGCCTGTAGTCCCAGCTACTTGGGAGGCTGAGGCAGGAGAATGGCGTGAACATGGGAGGCGGAGCTTGAAGTGAGCCAAGATCATGCCACTGCACTCCAGCCTGGGTGACAGAGTGAGACTCCATCTCAAAAAAAAAGAAAACTGGTCCTTTGAAAACAGACTCTGCCAGTCTTTGCAGACAGGTTCTGTGCTTGGACCCTGGGGATCAGTGTGAGGTCTCTTCCAGGACCCGTGCATCTCTTCCGACTCTCGGGCAAGTGCTTCAGCCTGGTGGAGTCCACGTGAGTGCAGGGTGGGTGCGAGGGTGGGCTGGGGCGCAGCCTGCGGACCCCCCTCATGCCATCTGTGTCCCCAGGTACAAGTATGAGTTCTGCCCGTTCCACAACGTGACCCAGCACGAGCAGACCTTCCGCTGGAACGCCTACAGTGGGATCCTCGGGTGAGTGGGGCCGGGGCAGGGATCCCAAAGCAGCAGCGCAGCTCCCCACCCGGCCTCACGTGCCGTGCCCGTGTCTCCCCAGCATCTGGCACGAGTGGGAGATCGCCAACAACACCTTCACGGGCATGTGGATGAGGGACGGTGACGCCTGCCGTTCCCGGAGCCGGCAGAGCAAGGTGGGGCCTCAGACGGGAGCCCGGGAAGAGGGGCCCCAGTCTCCCCAACCCACCTACCCACGTTCCCTCCCCAGGTGGAGCTGGCGTGTGGAAAAAGCAACCGGCTGGCCCATGTGTCCGAGCCGAGCACCTGCGTCTACGCGCTGACGTTCGAGACCCCCCTCGTCTGCCACCCCCACGCCTTGCTAGGTAGGGGTGCGGGACGCAGTTGAGCCCAGTGGGGTCAGCCGCGCACGCAGCCCTGCTGGAGGCCCTGTAGTGCTGGGGGCCAGGGTTGGGACATGGGGTGCAGCTGAGCCTGGCTTCTCTTGGGTCCTCAGTGTACCCAACCCTGCCAGAGGCCCTGCAGCGGCAGTGGGACCAGGTAGAGCAGGACCTGGCCGATGAGCTGATCACCCCCCAGGTAAGCGTGCGCTCGGGGTGGCCCCTGGTGGGCCTGGCTGGGAGCTGGGTGCTGCCCCTGCATCCTCCACCTTCAGGGCCATGAGAAGTTGCTGAGGACACTTTTTGAGGATGCTGGCTACTTAAAGACCCCAGAAGAAAATGAACCCACCCAGCTGGAGGGAGGTCCTGACAGCTTGGGGTTTGAGACCCTGGAAAACTGCAGGAAGGTACCGTATTGGGGGGAGGTGGTGGCACGCAGTAGCCCTCCAGCACCTGGGCTTTCCCTTGAACTCTTTTTGTGGTTGGTAGGCTCATAAAGAACTCTCAAAGGAGATCAAAAGGCTGAAAGGTTTGCTCACCCAGCACGGCATCCCCTACACGAGGCCCACAGGTGAGTCACCTGTGGGGAGAGGGCCAGGCTCACCATCACACTCGCCACCTGTGGGTCCAGGTGAGGACTGGCCACCTGGTGTTTTGGCAGAAACTTCCAACTTGGAGCACTTGGGCCACGAGACGCCCAGAGCCAAGTCTCCAGAGCAGCTGCGGGGTGACCCAGGACTGCGTGGGAGTTTGTGACCTTGTGGTGGGAGAGCAGAGGTGGACGCGGCCGAGAGCCCTACAGAGAAGCTGGCTGGTAGGACCCGCAGGGACCAGCTGACCAGGCTTGTGCTCAGAGAAGCAGACAAAACAAAGATTCAAGGTTTTAATTAATTCCCATACTGATAAAAATAACTCCATGAATTCTGTAAACCATTGCATAAATGCTATAGTGTAAAAAAATTTAAACAAGTGTTAACTTTAAACAGTTCGCTACAAGTAAATGATTATAAATACTACCTTCTGGGTTAAGAAAATTCCATTCAAATAACATTCTCATGTAAATACTCAAACATACAGATTGAGGCTTCCAGAAATTAATCCACTTGAGGCGTCCACGCGGAACAAGGTCTGCTGACCACAGTTACACACGTCGTGACACCACTGTATCACGGCGAATGTCGAACACTAGAGTTACAGACGACAGGCAACAAGAACATGCAGAGCCGGCCGCCAGCCAGCTCCTACGCCCCGTGCCCGCCATGGCCACAGGGGGGAGCTGCTGGGCGCGCCTCCACCTCAGCCTCCACGGGGCACCTTCCAGCCACTGCTGTGCCTCAGCCACCTAGGAGCCATCCCTGAGGCCATGGCCACCAAGACAGGTGAGGGAGGCCCCAGGGCACACAGCCCCAGGATCTTGCCCCCATTTCCAACCCTGGCAGCGCTGCCAGCCATTCTTTGGTCTTCCCACTGCTCACCTGTCCTCAGAGCCAGTACTGATCTAGGGGAGCAGGTGCCACCTCCATCTCCCAGCTGTCCCCCCACCCCTGGGGCTCCCCAGCTCTACCACCCCGGAAGCTGAGCCCTGGAGACACCCTGAGGGGCGGGCGCCACCTCCTTCCCAGAAAGAGCAGAGCAGCTGGCAGACTAGAGCTCAGCTGCTCCTGACCACTGACAACCGGGAGATGTCTCGGCAGACACCACTTATCCCAGAAAAGACCAGAGGCTCCAAATGGGAACCAAGTGCATAAATACAAATAAAAACAGAGTTTACACATCGATGACAGTAGCACAAAATATACGTAATTTCTAGATACTGAGCTAATAAATCACTGTAGTTAAAAACAAAATAGATTCACTGAAACCAAGTCGATAGTTACCTTGGAGTAGTGGACTAGCTGCAGAATGTCACGGACCCACTTCCTTTAAAACAACAGAATGTTGCTATCAGTTTGTCTTACGTTAAAACAGTTCTTAAACCACCTACTATATTAAATACATTCTAATTTGGTCACTGATGATAAAGATTTTTACCTAGACGTTTTGCACTTAAAAAATGCTATTAAAAGTCTTTGGCAAAGCCACGGTCGGGGAGAAACACGTCGGTGCCGCTTCCCACTCGTGTGCCCTCACCACCCACGTGGCCCGCGGAGAGCCAGGTCGCCGTAAACCACAGATGCCTGTTCCTGCTCAACTCCTAGGGACAGTCCCAGCCCTGAGCAGAAGGGTCAGGTCATCGCGGGGATGCGTTCTCAGTCACGTTTCTGCTGCGGCCGAAACCACACTGTCGCTCCAGGGGCAGACGGGACAGGGGACCACAGCAGAGCCGGGACCTGGGGGGGGTCGCTTCCCCCGTGTGCTCCAGGCCACTGAGAGGCTGTGGCCGGGTCCTCTCCTGTGACCTCACTGGCCACATGGATGAGCTCCGATGATAACTGGCAGCGCGGGTCAGGTGACTGCCACATACACCCGGCACCCCGGACCCTGGCGCACACACGGCCCGAGCATCTCCCACACGAGCAGGACCAGGGTGGTCACGGGTGCTGGGGAGGCAACCACTCTCCCAGTTCACTGCCTGACCCCTGCCAGGACGCCCAGCGACATCTCCAAGGAGCTACAAAGCACCATTGCCTAGGACAGCTCTGAGTAATCAGAAAACAGCTTTTTTTTTTTTTTTTTGAGCCAGAGTCTCGCTCTGTCACCCGGGCTGGAGTGCGGTGGCGCGATCTCGGCTCACTGCAACCTCTGCCTCCCAGGTTCAAGCGATTCTCCTGCCTCAGCCTCCCGAGTAGCTGGGACTACAGGTGCCCGCTCTCACGCCAGGCCAATTTTTGTATTTTTACTAAGACGGGGTTGCACCATGTTGGCCAGGCTGGTCTTGAACTCCTGACCTTAGGTGATCCACCCGCCTCCCAAAGTGCTGGGATCACAGGCATGAGCCACCGCACCCAGCCAGAAGACAGCTGCTTAAAAAAGTAATTCTAAAAGCTCTGACGTCGGATCCCCTCTGCTGCGTTTTTTGTTAGTATCAAACTGTCTTTCAGAGGGTTAAGGGAGAAAACAAAACCCATGATGCTCCTTCACTTGCTCTCCGAGGCGCAGGCGCACAGAAACAGCGGCCACGGACCACAGAAATGCAGGACGGAGCTCTCCTGCTCCCACGCCACGAGGCTGGAACATCAGCCCCAGTGCCTGGTGCACACACAGGCTCAGGAAAACTAGCTCCTTCCATCAAGTTAAAAACATCTCAATCCATAATCACTCTGCTTATAAATACTATTTGCACTTAATTGGAAAATGTAAAAATCCTAGGTCTTACTACTAGATAAACACTCATTTCATAAGTACTAGTTTCAGAATATGAAATCTAATATATTTAGCATACTATGAATTGACAATAAACTGATATGAAATATTTAAGTTCACAGTACACATATAAAGCTTCATATTATCGCATATTAAAAAAAAACAGAAAGCAGCTTAGAGCAATTTATAACCTCTAACTAAATTCCTCGGTTTACAAAGTGCTTTGAAAGACCCCAGCTCCCAGTGGCCTAGTCACAGTAGTGTCAGGACCACAAACTGCTGTGATCACAGCGCCGCGTGGATCCCGGAGGCACCAGGCCCCTCAGGGACAGGCAGGCGGGTTCTGTGGGTTTGCATTTAAGGTTTTTGAGGAAAATACCTTGAAACCGTCGGTAGGACTAGATAGGTGACAACGTGTGACAGGAAAGGCTGTCAGGCCAAGCGCAGGCGGGGCTCCCAGCCTCATGATAACGTGTAACAGGAAGGGCTCCCAGCCTCGGTCCTCACGTCGGTGGCACCAGAAGCGAGTGACGACATGTCCGTGGTCAGGAGGAGCGCTGGAGCCAGGGTGCCCAGCAGGAGGTGGCTGTCCCCGCTGAGGTCACCACTGCAGGGGCTGGCCCTTGCAGTAGGGGCACTCAGGTGCGGTGGCCGCACACGGCTCACAGAGGATGTGGTGCTGACAGGGCCGCAGGACAGCACCGTGGGCCCGCTCCCGGCAGGCCACACACTGCTTGGCGCGGAGCTGGAAGATCACCTGCAGGGCCAGAACAATGACGGGCTCAGGAGGCCCCTGCCCAGGCTGGGCCAGCTGGGGAGCCGGAGGGCCTTCCGGGCAGGACTCAGCATCTCAGGCCGCCCGGCCACCAGCTACAGAGACAGGGTCAGGGAGACGCCCCAGCCAGGGCCACCTCAGGGAGAAGGCAGCTGCGGGGTCAGGGGGTATGCTCTGTCTTAAGAGCCCTGGGCAGAGGACAGCCTCCTGGGGCCACCACAGACACGGCAGTGGCCAGACAGGCCAGGCCCCTGAGGGCAGCTGGGTGCCCAGGATGTGGGCTACGCAGGACCCTCTGTCCTATAGCAGCGAGTCCAAGAGCCCACCCTTAGCAGGCGAGGTGAGGAGGGGCACGCCGAAGTGGAGGGGTCATGTGTGAGGGTCACAGCTGTGAACAGGGAGGGATGGGGCCACGGGGAGCAGTGTGGCATTCGCTGACAAGAGGGAGGGGTGAAAGGGCAAGGGCCAGCCTGACAGGAAAGGCGGCTCCCAGGGAGACAGGCAAGGAGGCCACAGGGGGCTGTGCTGGGGTGGGGCACCGTCTCCTCCTCCCTAGGCCCGGAGCAGACCCTGGGGCAGGGGAGGAAGGGGACACCGCACCAGCCAGGGCCCTCCCCAGACAGGGACAGCAGCCCTGCAGGCAGGCTGGCCCCTCACCCTGCCCAGAGCAGGACTCACGCCGTCCACCGCCTCCAGGTCCAGGCGCAGCTGACTCTGCAGCGAGTGCAGCTTCGGCAGGGGAATGGTGCCGATGTCCCCACAGCCCCGCAGCCCCGGCAGTGTGGAGGCTACGCCCAGGCCCTCCAGCTCCTCCTGCAGCTGCTTCACCTGTGCCTCCACCTCCTCCTTCTTCTGCAGCGCCAGCTGCCGGTCGCTATCGGCCACACGGGCACGCTCCTTGGCCTCCTGCGCCTCTCGCTGCCAGGCATCGCAGACCTGAAACCCAGGGCCCGTCTCAGCACCCCCCACCTCACCTGTGCCACCTGCAGACCCTCTTGCCTGTGTCACCAGCGATCCTCCCCTCCCCTCCCCAGCATCAGCTGTGGCCCCCTCACCTGAGACCCCTGCGGCCCTCCCTCCCTCCCTCCCTCCCTCCCTCCCCCTCCCGTCTCACCCCCCACACGCTCACCTGAGTCACCTGCGGCCCTCCCTCCCTCCCCTCCCATCTCACCCCCACACGCTCACCTGAGTCCCCTGCGGCCCTCCCTCCCCCTCACCTGTCTGGCCCCCCCACACACTCACCTGCTTCACCTGCTGCCAGGACTCCTCCCACTGCCGGATCTTCCTCTTGGCCTCGTCCAGCTGCCGCCTGACCCGGGCCAGCTCAGCTCCGTTTGGACTTGCACTCGAAGAGGATGGGGGGCCGGCACTCAGGATGGGGGAGGGGCTGGGGGAGAAGCTGCCGGAAACAAAGTCCCAGATGCTCCCGGGGACACCGTTCAAACCTGAGTGTGAAACGGTCGATGACGGCCCAGCCCTGCTGTGCTCGCGGCCTGGTGGGATTGGTGGGTGCTATGCCCCAGGCCCCACCGCTACGTGGGCACCCTCTGGGGCTCACCTGCCCTGGCAGCAGGGGTGCAGCCACGCCTGCCCCTTGCCCCACTCCTGGACCCCACCAGGCTCAGGAAGAGGCGCTGACAGTGACACCTGCCCCGGCCGGTCTCCCCACCAGATCTACGCCTTCCTGGCCACCTGAGGAGTCTAAACAGAGAGGAATTAAATTCAAGTTCCTGGGACCACACCATGAGGTGGGAGGGGCAGTGGTTCTCAGACTCCACTCCCAGGAACCCCTCACACACTGAGACTCTCAAAGACCCCACAGAGCTGTGTCCATGTGGTGACTGCCAATGTCTATGCAGCTTTAGAGACTATGACTGAAATAGTTTAAATGTTACTTAAAAAAAACAGGCCGGGCGCGGTGGCTCACGCCTGTAATCCCAGCACTTTGGGAGGCCGAGGCGGGTGGATCATGAGGTCAGGAGATCGAGACCATCCTGGCTAACAAGGTGAAACCCCGTCTCTACTAAAAATACAAAAAATTAGCCAGGCGTGGTGGCGGGCGCCTGTAGTCCCAGCTACTCGGGAGGCTGAGGCAGGAGAATGGCGTGAACCCGGGAAGCGGAGCTTGCAGTGAGCCGAGATTGCGCCACTGCAGTCCGCAGTCCGGCCTGGGCGACAGAATGAGACTCCGTCTCAAAAAAAAAAAAAAAAAAAAAAAAAAACAGGCCTGTCATCCCAGCACTTTGGGAGGTCGAGGCCAGCAGATCACTTGAGGTCAGGAGTTTGAGACCAGTATGGCCAACATGGTGAAACTCCATCTCTACTAAAAATACAAAAATTAGCCTGGCGTGGTAGCAGGTACCTGTGATCCCAGCTACTCGGGAGGCTGAGACATGACAATCATTTTAACCCGGAAGGCAGAGGCTGCAGTGAGCCAAGATTGCTGGAGCCTGGACGACAGAGTGAAACTTTGTTTTAAAAAAATAAAAACTTTTAAAATTTTGTATTTTTTTGTAGACTCAGGAGTCTCACTATGGTGCCTAGCCTGGTCTTGAACCCCTGGCCTCAAGTGACCACCCACCTCGACCTCCCAAAGTGCTGGGATTACAGGCTTGAGCCACTATGTTGGCCCAAAGTATTAGTTTTTTTTTTTTTTTTTTTTTTTTTTTTGAAATGGAGTCTAGCTCTATCGCCAGGCTGGATTGGAGTGCAGTGGCACAATCTCAGCTCACTGCGACCTCCGACTCCCGGGTTCAAGCGATTCTCCTGCCTTAGCCTCCCAAGTAGCTGGGATTACAGGCATGTGCCACCACGCCCGCCTAATTTTTGTATTTTTAGTAGAGACGGGGTTTCACCATGTTGGCCAGGATGGTCTCGATATCCTGACGTCGTGATCCGCCCACCTCGGCGCCCCAAGTGCTGGGATGACAGGCGTGAGCCACCACGCCGGGCCTTTTTCTCTTTTTTTTTTTTGAGATGGAGTTTCACTCTTGTTGCCCAGGCTGGAGCATAATGGCACAATCTCAGCTCACTGCAAACTCCACCTCCCAGGTTCAAGCAATTCTCCTGCCTCAGCCTCCCCAGTAGCTGGGGTTACAGGCATGCACCACCACACCCGGCTAATTTTGTATTTTTAGTAGAGATGGGGTTTCTCCATGTTGGTCAGGCTGGTCTTGAACTCCCAATCTCAGGTGATCCGCCTGCCTCAGCCTCCCAAAGTGCTGGGATTACAGGTGTGAGCCACTGCACCCGACCAAGTGTTAGTTCTTTTACAACGTAACAAATAGCCGGGCACGGTGGCTCACTGTCATCCCACACTTTGGGAAGCCAAGGCAGGCAGATCACGAGGTCAGGAGTTTGAGACCGGCCCGGCCAGCGTGATGAAACGCCATCTCTACTAAAAATACAAAAACTAGCTGGGCGTGGTGGCGCCCGCCTGTAGTCCCAGCTACTTGGGTGGCTGAGGCAGGAGAATTGCTTGAACCTGGGAGGCGGAGGTTGCGGCGAGCCGAGATCGTACCATTGCAGTCCAACCTGGGCGACAGAGCGAGACTCGGTCTGCGGCGTGGGGGAACCTGTGAGCAGCAGGTCATGTGGTTTGCCACCACAGATAGGGCACAAGGTTCCGTGTGAGGCCCCTCAGTCAGGACGGCATCTGGGAGGGAGCCCCACGGAGGCTTCACGGCAACGCCAGCATGGAGGGAGCCGGCACTCACCTAGGGGGCTGTAGGATGAGGCTGCAGAGCCCAGTGTGCCCGGCTCTGAACGCAGGGGTGGCGGCTGCTGGGGAGGCGTCATGGCTGAGGAGCCCACCGGCCCTGGGAGGGGCTGGGACAGCGAACCGAGCGGCGAGGTGGACGCAGAGGATGGCGAGTGTAGCGATGGTGCTCTGGGCAGGGAGCCGGGGATGGCGACAGGTGCAGAGCCGGCCAGCGACCTGGGACCTGGCGGGGGCGGACCAGTCAGCGAAGGGAGTACCGCCAGGCCTCTGCCCAAACATCTGCCATGGGCGGCAGCCGTGGAAGACGGACCCTGCAGGTGGTGGTGGTGGGGATATGGGGGGTGGGAATATAGGGGCCAGGCCAGCCACCACCATCTATGTGTTTGGAGCCACAGCGCCCCCGGTGGCCATGTCCAACACAGCTGGGCAAGCCATGGGCTCAAAGGGATTCCAACCAGAGGTGGGGAGACGGGGGTTTAACATGGGCCCCCCCCAAAGAGGCCGGACACCCACCAGGCCCTGCCGGCCAACTAAGCCATTGGCACGGTCCTCCCAGCACTTGTCCAGGCCCCCTGAAATGGTTTACTTTCTTTTAAAAGAAAGAAAAGATACACTTTTAGGCTGAATGAAAAGATGTTGTATACGATGTTAAGATACATTTGTATGGGGCCGGGCGCACTGGCTCACGCCTGTAATCCCAGCACTTTGGGAGGCCAAGGCGGGCAGATCACGGGGTCAGGAGATGGAGACCATCCTGGCTAACATGGTGAAACCCCGTCTCTATTAAAAATACAAAAAATTAGCTGGGCGTGGTGGCGGGCACCTGTAGTCCCAGCTACTCCGGAGGCTGAGGCAGGAGAATGGCGTGAACCCGGGAGGTGGAGCTTGCAGTGAGCGGAGATCGCGCCACTGCACTCCAGCCTGGGCGACAGAGCGAGGCTCTGTCTCAAAAAAAAAAAAAAAAAAAAAGATACATTTGTATGGATGTCAATCTTTTGTCTACAATGTGAATACATTTATCCTTCGGGGACCATCAAGACTTTCAGGAAAGGCCCCGCCTGTCTCTGCGCGGCCACTTTGCTGGGACAAAGGTCAACTGAAGAAGTGGGCAGGCCCGAGGCAGGAGAGATGCTGAGGAGTCCATGTGCAGGGGAGGGAAAGGGAGAGGCAGTCAGGGAGAGGAGGAGGAGGTACCGCCAGAAGGGGATCCTCCCGCTCCGAAAACCAGACACCGGGTCTTGCCCTGTGGTCCAGGCAGGAGTGCAGTGGTGCAACCTCAGCTCACTGCAGCCTTGACCTCCCCGGGCTCAAGCGATCCTCCGGCCACAGCACTTGGCTGTTCAGCGGCTGGAGGAGCAGGGCCCCAGGTCCTCCCCACCCTCACCTGCTGCTCCCAGGTCGTGGCCGTCTTGCTCTTCCAGGTCCTTCTCTAGGGATGCAATATTCACATTGCTAAGATGCAGGTCTAACGCAGAACCTGTCAACAGAGCCCCCCATCATCCACAGCCCACCCAGCGCTGCAGAGCTCAGGAAGCCTAGCTGAGGAGGACGACCGTCCCACCTGGGCTTAGAGTGAGACCAAGGGCAGAAGGCGTGGGAGTTGCTGGGGCAGCCAGGGAAGGACACCCCCAGCCCGTCCTCGCAGCCCCCCACAGGCAGTGTGAGGCTTGGCTGTTCCTCCGGCAAAACGAGCGTGCTCAGGTGGGACGCCCCGCACCACAGACCAGCAGCTGGGTCCTCGCCTCTGACACGCTGCTGCTGCCCCTCAGAGTTTAAATACCTAAGTGTGTGTTAGCATCTGTCCACGTGTGCACATTCGACTGTTTAAAAAACTTTCCAGGGCCGGGTGCGGTGGCTCACACCTGTAATCCCAGCACTTTGGGAGGCCGAGGTGGGCAGATCACAAGGTCAGGAGATCGAGACCATCCTGGCTAACACGGTGAAACCCCGTCTCAACCAAAAAAAAAAAAATACAAAAAATTAGCCAGGCGTGGTGGCGGGTGCCTGTAGTCCCAGCTACTCGGGAGGCTGAGGCGGAAGAATGGTGTGAACCCCAGAGGCGGAGCTTGCAGTGAGCCGAGATCGTGCCACTGCCCTCCAGCCTGGACGACAGAGCAAGATTCCATCTCAAAAAAAACAAAAACAAAAACAAAAAAAAAACTTTCTGTGAGGGTGATTTCAAGGAGCAGGTGTTCACGTGCAATTTCATGCCAAGCACCAAGACCTCAATTCCCAAGGCTCAAGACTGAGTGGGAAGGACCCGCCTCAGAGTGGCCTCACCCAGCCAGCCCTGCCTTCCAAGGCTGTCCCCACACATCCCTGCAGGCCGTGGGGCTGCCCTCCTGCACGGGCCCTTCCCTCCCAAGTCCCCACCCCCAACCCCGAATGGCAAGCAGGGACCCCACTGCCCCTTCCTAGAATTAGGAAGCCATCATGAGGAGGCTGAGCTCAGGCCACCAGCCCCTGAAGCCACAGCGTGTCTCAAACTCCCGCAGCCACTGCACAGAAGTTGGGTTGGGGGTGAGGGGTGACCAGAGGATCTGGGATCTGAGAGCCCACGTGCCACCTGGGGCAGACCAGAGGACCGCAGCGGCTGCAGGAGCTCTGGGATACACCCTGTGGGCCGGCGCCGCCTCCCCAGCCCAGCCCAGTGTTGTGGCCAACACCGCACAGAGACCTCAGCAGCGTGGGGCACACCGCACAGGGACTGCCGGCCTACACTGCACAGAGACCTCAGCAGCGTGGAGCACACCACACAGGGACTGCCGGCCAACACCGCACAGAGACCTCAGCAGCGTGGGGCACACCACACAGGGACTGCCGGCCAACACCGCACAGAGACCTCAGCAGCGTGGGGCACACCACACAGGGACTGCCGGCCAACACCGCAGAGACCTCAGCAGCGTGGAGCACACCACACAGGGACTGCCGGCCTACACCGCACAGAGACCTCAGCAGCATGGAACACACCACACAGGGACTGCCGGCCAACACCGCACAGAGACCTCAGCAGCATGGAACACACCGCACAGGGACTGCCGGCCAACACCGCACAGAGACCTCAGCAGCATGGAACACACCGCACAGGGACTGCCGGCCAACACCGCACAGAGACCTCAGCAGCGTGGAGCACACCGCACAGGGACTGCCGGCCAACACCGCACAGAGACCTCAGCAGCGTGGAGCACACCACACAGGGACTGCCGGCCAACACCGCACAGAGACCTCAGCAGCGTGGGGCACACCACACAGGGACTGCCGGCCAACACCGCACAGAGACCTCAGCAGCGTGGGGCACACCACACAGGGACTGCCGGCCAACACCGCACAGAGACCTCAGCAGCGTGGGGCACACCGCACAGGGACTGCCGGCCAACACCGCACAGAGACCTCAGCAGCGTGGAGCACACCGCACAGGGACTGCCGGCCAACACCGCACAGAGACCTCAGCAGCGTGGAGCACACCGCACAGGGACTGCCGGCCAACACCGCACAGAGACCTCAGCAGCGTGGAGCACACCGCACAGGGACTGCCGGCCAACACCGCACAGAGACCTCAGCAGCGTGGAGCACACCGCACAGGGACTGCCGGCCAACACCGCACAGAGACCTCAGCAGCGTGGGGCACACCGCACAGGGACTGCCGGCCTACACCGCACAGAGACCTCAGCAGCGTGGAGCACACCACACAGGGACTGCCGGCCAACACCGCACAGAGACCTCAGCAGCATGGAACACACCGCACAGGGACTGCCGGCCAACACCGCACAGAGACCTCAGCAGCGTGGAGCACACCGCACAGGGACTGCCGGCCAACACCGCACAGAGACCTCAGCAGCGTGGAGCACACCGCACAGGGACTGCCGGCCAACACCGCACAGAGACCTCAGCAGCGTGGAGCACACCGCACAGGGACTGCCGGCCAACACCGCACAGAGACCTCAGCAGCGTGGAGCACACCACACAGGGACTGCCGGCCAACACCGCACAGAGACCTCAGCAGCGTGGGGCACACCACACAGGGACTGCCGGCCAACACCGCACAGAGACCTCAGCAGCGTGGGGCACACCACACAGGGACTGTTGCGCAGGCGCCCTCCCCGCTGCCCACCTTTGGCATCCACTCTCCCATGTGCGCTGTGTGGGGTCTCTCCTGGGGGGCCCTGCCCTGTCGTCCCTGCTGGCTGCAAGTTCTTGGACCCTCACTGATGCCTGGTACTGGACAGTGTGCTGCTGAGGCCTGCTCTGAGACAGGCAAAGCCACCCCTGCCTGTCCCTGAAGGGCCCTAGACCCCCTTCCTCCTGTCCTCACCTGGGACCGATGGTCCCTCCATGGCCCCAGGCAACCGCACCCCGGGGAAACCTGTCAGACCCGACCGTGGGGGTCGGCGCGCCGGGAACCTCCACAGCCTGGCCAGCCCCTGCCTGGTGCTCGGTTCAGACAAGCTGGGGCCCAGCAGAAGCAAAGAGGCGGTCACTGCCCCACCTACCCGACATCGAGTCCCGCCCTCGCAGACCTCCTGCAGCCTCACTCCCCACAACCCACCCCACCCAGCAGGGAGCTGGCTGAGCCAGGCAGGGCTGACTCGTCAGGACTTGGTGGCCATGTCAGGGTGACAGCAGGTTCACCACACAGGGGGCATCCCAAAAAACAGCTGGAGAAACAAGGACTCGGCAGCCAAGGGGCCGCAGAGGGACAAAACCCCACTCTGCCGGGGAAGACAGCTGGGGCCTTTCCAGACATTTTCAGCATAATCAGCAGGAAAGGCAGGAGGGTGACTTCTGAAGAAGAACGCTGCCCTAGCCGCACATGAGATTTGTCGGGAACACAGCTGTGGGGCACGTGGCCTGCACCTCACCCCTCTGCCCAGGCCTCCGCTTCTCCTCCCTGGAAGCAGCTGGCACCAGTCAGCGCCACGGGGACCATGGGAGCAACCACAGGGTGGCGGGTGGCCCCTCGCCCGAGGCCTGGCGCTCGGCGGTCACACCCCCCGAGCCCCCCAGGGCAGCCGGAGTATCCTCGTGCCGCGGTGGTGGCCCCAGCGGAGCACAGGCAGAGGCTGGCGTGGACGTGGCGCAGCTGGCAGGTCCGGGCCTCTGAACTTCACCCCGAATCTGGCCGCGCTCAGCAGCCACACTGTGTGGAGACCGTGCTCCACCACCCAGAGCGGCAGGCGGGAGAGAAGCCTGGCTCGGGAGTGGACGGTGGACTCCAGAGGCCGCAAGGCAGAGGCCACCCCCACCCCACTCCACCGCACAGCACGACCCAGACTCAACCCTCGTCCACACGCCAGCCGTGAGGGAATTTCCGGGGCGTGGAGGCCGGGCTGTGGCGCCACCTGGCAACACTGTCCTTCCCCATCCCGTCACAGAGGCAGCAGGGCCCAGGGCAGAGAACCTGAACCCCTGGGGCGTCCGGGACGGCACACGGCGCATGCGGGAGTGGCCTCCACTCCCACGGAGACACCGTTCCAATGAAGCTTTTAGGGACTTTCGAAGGTCTTATCCAGAAACTAGAGTAACAGGTTGGGGGTCGGGGCAGCCAGGCCAAGACCCCCTGGGGACCAGGAACCCACAGTAGCATCCGAAAATGCCTCAGCCCTCAAGGATGCTCATCGGCGGAGCCAAAGGCAGGCCTTGGGCCAGCCGCACCCAGAGCCATTCACTCCTCTCCTTCCCATTCACAGGACGGTGGCGTCCCTGAGCGGACATCCACCCTGGCCTGCAGGGTGGGCCAGCCCTCCCGGTCGCTGTCATCCACTTGACGTTCTCAGGCCATGGCTGAAGAGGGCAAGACCTCAAAGCCTGACTGAAGTCGTGCTGAGCAGCAGAGCCGAGACACTGCAGGCAGTGGCAGAGGACCACGCACTGAGCGGCCTTGGACAGGTGGCTCCAAGGCTGAAAGTGAGATCTGTGGCGGGCAGGGCCTCTTCCCTCCTCCCTCCAGGGCTGGGGCGCTCCTCCTCCCTCACTCCAAGGCTGGGGCACGCTCCTCCCTCCTCCCTCCAGGGCTGGGGCGCTCCTCCTCCCTCAGTCCAAGGCTGGGGCATGCTCCTCCCTCCTCCCTCACTCCAAGGCTGGGGCATGCTCCTCCCTCCTCCCTCCAGGGCTGGGGCGCTCCTCCTCCCTCTCTCCAGGGCTGGGGCACGCTCCTCCTCCACTCTCCCTCCTCCCTCCAGGGCTGGGGCACTCCTCTTCCCTCCTCCCTCACTCTAGGGCTGGGGTGCTCCTCTTCCCTCCTCCCTCCAGGGCTGGGGCACTCCTCCTCCCTCCTCTGAGGGCTTGGGGATGCTCCTCCTCCCTCTTTCCAGGGCTGGCACACTCCTCCTCCCTCCAGGGCTGGGGTGCACTCCTCCTCCTGGCGTCCATCCTCCTTCATGGCTGGCAGCTGCGTGGCTCCAGTGTCTGCCTCTGCTCTGGGGGCCACCTCTTCCGAGTGTCTGTCCAAGTTTCTTCTTATAGGGAGACTGGTCACTGGCTCAGGGTCCCACCCTACCGGCCTCATTTTAACCTGGTTATGAGGACCCTGCAGTAGCACCCTGCGATCTGTAGCAGGGGGATACATTCCAAGACCCCCCCATGGACGCCTGATGCTGCGGATAGCACGGAACCCCTATATACCAAGCTTTTTCCTATACGAACGTCCTCATTTGCACGTCAGGCCCAGTAAGAGATTAACAAGATTAACTGGTAACATAGATTTCAGCACCGCACAGTAATAAAAGTTACCTGCGCAAATGCTGTACACTGCTGTCCTGAACCCAGACCTCGCACCAGCAAATGAGGCAGTGGACAGCGAACCCTGGGATAAGAGGACCTGCTGTGTTTCCCTGCAACGCCACGTACCTAGGTGCGACGCCTGGGGTTCAGGTGCATCTTCCCCCGCCACACCCAGCCCCCCCAACCGAGATAGAGTCTTGCTCTGTCACCCAGGCTGGAGTGCAATGGCGCGATCTCAGCTCACTGCAACCTCCGCCTCCCAGGTTCAAGCTATTCTCCTGCCTCAGCCTCCTGAGCAGCTGGGACTACAGGTGCCCTCCACCACCCCCAGCTAATTTTGCATTTTTAGTAGAGACAGGTTTTCTCTATGTTGGTCAGGCTGGTCATGAACTCCCCACCTCAGGTGATCTGCTTGCCTCATCTCCCAAAGTGCTGGGATTACAGGTGCAAGCCACCATGCCCAGCCTCAAATGCAACTTTCAGGGGACACAATTCAACCCAGGACATGGGGGCCCACCTGCAGATGCCCCTGTTGGTCCTGCCCGTCCTCCCCAGGCCCCTCAGGACTCTGTATCAACAGATCTGGCCCCTGCTGTGCACAGCCCTCCCTCCCTGAGTCCTCCCTCAGAAAGGAGACCCCCCCTCTGCCTCCACTCCCCCTGCAGCTGTTTTCTGGGGCCTCCTCACCACTCACTCTGCCCACCGCTGCCCCGGGCCCTTCCCTCCAGCCCTGCGCCTGTGCCCTGAACTGCCTCTTGTCATAGGCACCAGCTTCCCTCCCAGGCCCACCCTCCTCCCTGAGGGCTGGCAGCCTCTCCTGTGGCCTGGACCCGCCCAACACAGTGGCTCTGCAGCCCCGAGCCCAGATGTCCAGCAGGGGCCAAAGCCCTTCCTCCTCCCTGGCAAAGGATCCCTTGCTTGTTCCCATGGCCCCACTGCAGGCCCTTCCCAGACACCACGTGTGCAGGGGCTGCTGGAAGCTGGCACTGCAGGATCCCTTCCTCATGGGCTGCTCGCTCAACCCACACCCCCTGAGGCCCATGCCCAGCCTGCCTTCATGCATTGCAATAGTAACCTTCCTACCAAGAAAAGCCTCATTGCATCCTGAATCCTGACCTGCAAGAAAGGAGGAAGCTTGTGCCCTTGCGCGTGCCGGTCACCGCTTCCCAATGGGTCCTTTGCCGGGCTCCTAACCTGCTGTGCCACTGCAGGCTCAGCCTGGCTGTGCCTTCCATTCAGTAAGATCAGCCACACCAGTCCCCAGAAAGCTGCTCGGCCTCCAAGCCCTGCATGGAATGCCCCCCACTACATCCTTGCAGGTGTCAGCCTGAACCATGTCAGGGCCCTGGACAGACTCACTGAGGACAGGCACCGACCCCCCAACCCGCAGGCCTGCCCACAGCCCCCTCATGCTCCCATACGGGGGCTTGATGACGGGCAGGGCCAAGCGGTTTGCCCATAGTCAGGTCAGCCAGGCTCGGGAACCTGGACCTGCCCTCTGCACCCAAGTCCCAGGATCAGGATATGGCAGCCCCTTCAGAGCTCACCGCCCCTCACACCTGGCAGAGATCCAGAAACTCCTCATGAAAATCAAAGACGCAAAGAAGTTGGGGGACAGGAACGGAGGCGCCTTTTCTCCCCTTGGAGTGGGGTGATCCCACCAGGCTCCGTGCTAAGTCGGCAGAAGCTTCACCCACCAGCTGCAGAGTGCGCAGCATGTGGAGGGGCTAAGCTGCCTTCAATGCTCACCCGACAAACTACGGCTCGCACTCAACTCAGAGGGCGTCAGCCACCACCTACCTCAGCCAAGTCACCTGTGCTGAAGCCCGGGAAGCTGCCTGGAGAGGGGACGTTCAGGGAGCGTGTGGGTGCCCCCGAGAGACTCCGGCCCCGCTTCAAAGCCAAGTGCCCCTCATCCAAAGAGAGCACCGGAGAGGGTCCTGGAGGCTCCACCACCCCTAGGGTGCTATCTAGGGCTCACTCCCAGAAATCAAGGGGGGAGACGGCTGCTGCACCGTCCTGGCCCACTTTCTCACCCGCAGCTTCTCCCCCACCTCACCTCACTGTTTCAAGGTTAGACCCAGATCTTCTGAAACATTCTCAAAGAAAGAGCTGACCCTTGTGCAGAGGCAAAATCTAGGTGAGGCTGGTCACCTAAGCGAGTACAGCTGGGTCAGGCCAGGCTGCCTCAGCCCCGGGCGTTAGGAAACCACCGGCCCCGCTGAGTCACCGCGACACAGCCCGGCTCTGCCGTGACACAGCACATTCAAGGCGCCGCGGTCCCCCGGGGTCAGGGACACGCGAGGACAAGCTACAGACTGCTCGGAACTCAGGACAGGGCGGGGGAGCCGCCGACGCCAGGGAAATTCCCGTACCACGCGGGCTGAGTGCAGGCGGGCCAGGCCAGGACGCAGGGGTCGGCCCTCCCCCGCCCCGTTCCCCTGCCCTCTCCTGCCCCGCTCCGCTCCGCTCTCCTGCCCCGCTCCCCTGCCCTCCCTCGGGGCACCGACCCCGCCTAGCTAGGGGACGCAGGCGGCCCGAGCCCGCGCTGGGAAGCGGCGAGCGCCCGGCAGAGGCAGGTTCCGAGAAGGCGACGCCTTCGCCTCGCTCCGGGCCTCTGAGAAGCCCGGGCCCACCCCGCGGCTGTCACACCCGGCTCCGTGACGCGGGGGACGCACCTGGCGGGGGGCGCACCTAAGGGAGGGCCCGCTCCTGACCGCCGAGTAACGAGACCCGCACCTTGGCGGCGCACGGCTGCCACGCGCTGGGGCCGCCGCCAATGCTGACTCACGGTCCGCGGCCGCCCCGCGCCGCCGCCGGGGATTCAAACCCGGCCCGCGCCCCGCCCCCTCCGCGCTGGCCCCGCCCCGCAACGTGACTCGGCCCCGCCCCCGTCGCACTGGCCACGCCCCCCGCGCTGCCCTCCCCCAACCTTCCCCCCGACTCGGGCGCACCCGGTCCCCGCGGCTCCTGGCTACGAGCTGGGCGGGCAAGTGGGCGCGGGCAGCGGGGGCCAGAGGTCTTCAGGCAGAAAGCCCCAGAGCTGCCCCGCTGCCCGGCTCCTCCTGCCCTGCCCACCTGCACCTGCAGCTGCTCCGGGCGGACTCAGGTGAAACACGGTCGACCCAACAGGGGCGCTCGCGGGGCGGGGCGGCGTGAGCTGGGGCCGCTGCCTGCCCTGCAGGACCCTCCTCCCTCCCAAGTCCGCGTGCCTGCCCAGCCCCATCTAAACGCGGGGTACGGAGCTCGCAGGTCTCTCTTAATCTGAAACCTGTTCCTATGAAGTGTAAGATGAAGGAAAATGGAACCTATCAGATGGGTCTGAAATGATCCCACTAAAAATCCCTTAAATACAGAATCCGCTCATTTCTTCTATTCCGTGCTCCAGTCACAGTACACCTACAACCTGAAGGAAACTGTACTATTAACACAAGGAAAAAACGACCCAGTCTACACACCAGCTTTGTCCAAAACCCTCTACAACAGCTAATAAAATACACACGCAGCCAGGCGGGCCTACACCTGGGGCCAGACAGTCCCGGGAGCCATGGGCAGGGAGTCCCTGAGCCTGGGGCGCAGGAGTGCCCTGGGGTCAGCGGGCAGGACACTGCCTCCAGTGCCTGTGGCTAGTGCAGGGATGTAACTTTACAGCGATGTCTCAGACATGGACAGAGGAAAAAAGTGAGGCTGGCACTGGGTGGCAAAGCTCACAATTTCAGCCGCAGCAGCAGCAACAATACATTGCCTCTAACTAAGGCAGTGTCGATCCTGAAAAAAAAAAAAAATCCATCTCTTCACCTCTGAGTAGCTGGTTCAGGATTTTTTTTTTTTTTTTTTTGAGAACAAGTCTCGCTCTGTCACCCAGGCTGGAGTGCAGTGGCACGATCTCAGCTCACTACAACCTCCGCCTTTGCGGTCCAAGCAATTCTCGTGCCTCAACCACCTGAGTAGCTGGGATTACAGGAGCAAGCCACCACACCCAGCTAATTTTTGTATTTTTGGTAGAGATGGGGTTTCACCATGTTGGTCAGGCTAGTCTTGAACTCCTGACCTCAGGTGATCCACCCGCCCTGGCCTCCCAAAGTGCTGGGATTACAGGCGTGAGCCACTGCTCACGGCTCAGGAAATATTTAAGTAAATGAAAGAGTGTGCTTCAAGATCGCGAGTGACATACTAAAACAGGTCAAAAACGTACCTCAGATACGAAAGAATGGTTGGAAAAATGACTACAAATGTGCTAACTCCAGTCCATCTGAAGGTCAGCTACGCGGATGCAGCCACGCCTCTGTCAAGCACACAGGCACCTGGGTCGACTTTCCACCCGAGTGAGCACAGTCCAAGATGGTCTCTCTTGTTTGGGATTTAATTTTCCTAAATATTTTTCTGCTATGCTCAAATTCTAGCATTACTACTTTTAGGTTGGGGAAGAGAAACTTTATTTAAAAAGAATGTGTGCTTATTTGTTTAAAAGAAAAAAATAAGTGACCGGGTGTGGTGGCTCACGCCTGTAATCCCAGCATCTTGGGAGGCTGAGGTGGGCGGATCACCTGAGGTCAGGAGTTTGAGACCAGCCTGGCCAACATGGCAAAACCCCGTCTCTATTAAAAATACAAAAATTAGCCGGGCATGATGGCACACACCTGTAATCCCAGCTACTCCGGAGGCTGAGGAGGGAGAATCGCTTGAACCCGGAAGGCAGAGGTGGCAGTGAGGCAAGATTGTGCCATTGCACTCCAGCCTGCACAACAGAGCAAGAAAAAAAAAGAACCTGCTCAGAGGCCAGACCCTCATGGAGCTTTAGCCACTGTGTAGACTTCATCCCTGACCTCTGAGTTTCTGAAGGGGATGTGTGAATTTGAGGGTGTGATTTAGTAAGATCCAGGGCCCTGGATTATGCAACCCATGTATGATAGTGATCTCAAATTAAAACTAGCATGTTCTCACCGGGCCCGGTGGTGCCTGCCTGTGGTCTCAGCTCTACTTGAGAGGCTGATGCAGAAGCATCTCTGGAGCACAGGAGTTGGAGGCTGCAGCGAGCTGACTGTACCACTGCACTCCTGCCTGGGTGACAGGGCAAGACCCTGTCTTAAAAAATAAAACCCCAAAATGAACAAAAACAAACTCAGGGAAGGCCGTCACCTGTGGTGATCTCCAAGTGCTCTGTCCCTGGGCTGGGATGGAATGGGATGGGGGTGGGCACCCCAGCATATTCAACTCATGAGACCTCTCTGTTCAAGAGGAACAACATGTACGCCCTAGTTTCAAACTGAAAACACATGTGGGCTTGTTTCTGCCTGAGAGAAAGCTTAACACAGCACACAGCACTCCCACCCATGGAGTATTCACAGTTTTAAAAACCTACCCTTTACGGTGAAGCCCTAACAGGAGACATCCCACACCACATGCTTCCTCCTCCATAGAGGCTCCGAGAGAAGATGACTTCCAAAACAGGCCGGAGGGCGGAAGTTTGAGTCCTGTCCTGAAACCAGGTGAGCCCTCCATGGCAAGGCAGAAATGAGGAGCCCTTCCCTGGGCAGGGCAGCCCCATACTCCCAGCCAGTGAGGACGAAACAAACGCAAACACTGCTTGCGCCTGTGCCCCTGCCCCCGCCCCGACCAAGCCCCACCACTGGGCGCTGGGTCCATCCAGGATTCCCACTCTCCCCATGGCCTCCTGAGGGAGGGACTGGCCCTGGATTCTGGAGGGTTCTCCGGCAGGTGCACAACAGAGCCCACATAGGAACACCAGGGCTGCGAGGGGGAGATGCACACGGCCACAAAAGTTCCCAGTATTTGTGAAAGAGACCCTTTAAAAAATGCAGGTCGGGCACAATGGTTCACACCTGTAATCCCAGCACTTTGGGAGGCCGAGTTGGGAGGATCACCTGAGGTTGGGAGTTCAAGACCAGCCTGGCCAACGTGGTGAAACCTCATCTCTACTAAAAACACAAAAAACGGCCAGGTGTGGTGGCAGGCGCCTATAGTCCCAGCTACTCAGGAGGCTGAGGCAGGAGAATCACTTGAACCCAGGAGGTGGAGGTTGCAGTGAGCCAAGATTGTGCCACTGCCCTCCAGTCTGGGTGACAGAGCGAGACTCTGTCTCAAAAAAAACACACACACACATGCCGGGCACAGTGGCTCACACCTGCAACCCCAGCACTTTGGGAGGCCCAGGCGGGCAGATCACGAGGTCAGGAGATCAAGACCAGGCTGGCCAATATGGTAAAACCCGATCTCTACTAAAAATACAAAAAAAAAAAAAAAAAAATTAGCCGGGCGTAGTGGCAGGTGCCTGTAATCCCAGCTACTCTGGAGGCTGAGACAGGAGATTGGCGTGAAGTCGGGAGGCAGAGGTTGCAGTGAGCCAAGATCACGCCACTGCACTCCAGCCTGGGCAACAAGAGAGAAACTCCGTCTCAAAAAAAAAAAAAAAACAAAATCAAAACAAAACAAAACCCACACACACACAAAAGAAAAATGTAAAGGCCTGGGCTCAACCCCAAGCAGATGCAGGGATGGGACGGCCCAGCAGCAACACAGGCCAAGAGCTGTGCCCAGAAGATGCACCTGGTTGCAGAGGTGCTGAGAGCGGGGCCCTGGGTGCTTGGGGGACTGAGGACCGTCCTGGGGCCTCAGGAGCTGCACCTGGCTTTCCTCGCAGACACCACTCAGGATGGGACTGGTCTAGTGTCCTGCCGATGTGTGGTCTGTGGCCTAAGTGGCCGCTGGGAAGAGTCTCTCTCTCCTCGGCCTCCTTGGCCGGCATCGTCTAGGAGTTGCTGGGGGCTTGCAGCTGGGCCTGAGCAGTTCCGTGTGGGGCAACCACCAACGACCAGAAGCTGCGGCTCTCGGGCAAGAGTCATTGCGGGTCTGGCCGCCGGGCCGCCGCCCACATTGACGCGGGTCCTGATGGTGCTGGGGTCCCACTCCAAGTCCCCAGAGTGTGTCCAGGCAGGGACTGCAGCGAGGGCCCCCACCACGTGGCTCCAGCAGCCCTGTCCTCCTGATCCCATGCCCAGCTCCCCCGCCACACCCTGCACAGCAGAGGATGTAGGAGAGGAAGGGGTGGGCTCCAGGGCTGCAGCAGCAGAGGCCAGACCCGGGCTGAGCTGAGCAGGGCCCGGCCTCACTGTACCCCCAACCCCATCCCATTCCACCCCAGCCCAGGGACAGAGAACTTGGAGACCACCACAGGTGGCCTTCCCTGAGTCCCTCACTGTCACTGTCAGGACAGAGAGGCAGGTTTGGGTCCCTTGGGCGCTGGTGGCCATGGAACATGGGGCTTCAGCACATCCCATCACTCACCAAGCGTCTCTGCAAGCAAAGCCCTGCACGGGTGTGGCCAGGTGTCCCCCACCACCCCAACACGGTGGGTGTCCCCCACCACCCCAACACGGCAGGTGTCCCCACCACCCCAACACGGCCTTTCCCCAGGGGCTGAAAGGGACCAAGGACACACACAGCCCAGCTCCTGGCACTGTCTTGCCCCCAGCTCTGCCTGCTGCCCACTCCGGGCTTCTGGAAGAATCTGCCCCCCAGGGTCTGGGCTCCCAGCCAGGCCCCCACGGGTCCCCACAGCCCAGCACCATCACGTGTCTCAGTGCCCAGTGACTCCCTCCAACTAAAGGCCTCCCAAAGCTGCCAGCCCAGGTGCTCACAGCTGTGCCCCCGACTCCAAGCCTTCACTGGACTCCCCACCCCATCACTGTCCCCCACCCTCAGTGCCCTCACTGGCCCACAACCCCTACTTTCAATTTTTTTTTTGAGATGGTCTCACTCTCTCACCCAGGCTGGAGTACAGTGGTGTAATCACAGCTCACTGCAGCCTCGACCTCCTGGGTTCAAGGGATCCTCCCACCTCAGCCTCCCAAGTAGCTGGGACCACAGGTGCGCACCACCATGCTTGGCTAATTATTTTATTTTTAGTAGAGTCGGGGTCTCACTATGTTGCCCAGGCTGGTCTTCAACTTCTGGGCTCAAGTGATCCTCCTGCCTCGGCCTCCCACAGCGCTGGGAGCACAGGCGGCCAACTCCCACAACTCCCATCATCTGTCAACAACCTCCCCGTTCTCAGTCCCTGAGCCGGACGGCGCCTGCTCTGCCTGGCTCCTGGGAGGCTCCTCGTCCCCAGCGCCTGCGGCACCCAGGCCAGGAGCCTCTCTGAGTCAGGGCTTGTTTCCACAACCACACGTGCAACACAACCAAAGTGACAGATGACTGAAAATACGCGTCTGGCTTCTCTACAAAAATGACGATTCTGTAACATGTCCTGAAATAGAAGCGCTGTCCCTGAAAAGCTACAGCATGAACACAGAAGGAGGTCAGGGAGAAAGGAGGACGGTGCTGGACTTACCGAGGACGGCCTCCACAGTGCTGCTGGCGGGGCCGAGCGGGAGGGCACGGGCGGGGGGCGCGGGCAGCGCAGTGGGGGAGGAGCTGCCGGAGCCGGCGCTGGACGCCAGGCTGGACGCCACGCTGGAGCTCACGCTGGGGGCCGGCGGGTGGACCGCTGCAAACACGGCCAGGTGGTTCTGTTCAAAGACATAAACACCGTGAGCGCGCACCCCCTGCGTGGAGGAGGCAGCGCCACGTCGGCACCCTGCAGAAAGCACCGCGGGACGGCGGCCAACTTCTACGCCCTGGCGAGGCCCAGGGAGAGCTTCCCAGACCCGGAGGGACTCTGACCGCACCGAGGAGAAACACCAGGACGGCAGGGCAGCGGGCTACGGTGCACTTGGGACAGGCACAGACACCTCTGGGGAGTGTCTCGTGAGCTTTTCTGCAGAAAACGTTTCAGGAGTAGACATTTGCCAGTAAAAATCAATCTGGCACGTGCAGAAAGATGTGTCAGCGGCCAGGAGCCCGCCAGCCCGAGGGGCAAGCCGTGCAGCCTGCCTGCCCTTCTCCCCACACCTCCTGGGTGCCCCCGCCCCGGCTCTCGCCCAGGACTGGCTCCTGAGCACCTTGGGGGGCCCCCAGAGAAATGTCCTCCCAGGGACTTAAAAAGAGATCCAGCACCACTTCCAAAACATCCATAGCGTGGTCCTGTGACCTCGTCACCAGGGAAAGTAAAACACAGGGCAATTCACATGATCTGTATTTGGTGGATAATAGATCAAAAGAAAAAGAGCAACACACAGAGCAGTGCTGAATAAAAACCCAGTAACGGGGAGGGTGCTGCTCACAAGAAAACACCCGACACAAAAGACCCAGAGCCACCTACGAGGTCACTGCAAAACCAAGCATCAAAAGCTGGATTAGAATGAGTTTCTGGCTGGGCACAGTGGCTCATGCCTGTAATCCCAGCACTTTGGGAGGCCAAGGTGGGCAGATTACTGGAGGTCAGGAGTTCGAGACCAGCCTGGCCAACATGGCGAAACCCTGTCTCTACTAAAAATACAAAAAAAATTAGCCAAGGCCGGGCGCGGTGGCTCACACCTGTAATCGCAGCACTTTGGGAGGCCGAGGTGGGCAGATCACCTGAGATCAGGAGTTCGAGACCAGGCTGCCCAACATGGAGAAACCCCATCTCTACTAAAAATACAAAAAATTAGCCGGGCGTGGTGGTGGGCGCCTGTAATCCCAGCTACTTGGGAGGCTGAGGTAGGAGAATTGCTTGAATCCGGGAGGCAGTGGTTGTGGTGAGCCGAGATCGCACCAATGCACTGCAGCCCAGGCAACAGAGAGACTCTGTTTCCAAAAAAAATGAATTGCATCCTGAAATATTACAATTCAAATGGTATGATATCTGGGTTTTGCTGCAAAGTAATGCAGAAAAAGTTAACCTTGGGAGGTGTGATTTTACTAGTTTGTCTCCTTAAGTAAAACTGTCCATAATGAAGAAATTTTAATGTGCATTTCCTAAAGATCAGAAATCCCCGACAAGAACGCGCCTGGCTCCTGGCTTCTGTGACCTAAGGGTCCTGCTGCCTGCCCTGGCTTCCTTCTGGATACCAGATTTGCCCCTCAGCCCACGGCCCAGGAGGTGCACAGAGCCCCCCGTGACTGACTCTGAAAACAGTCCCCTCCAGCTGCAAAGTCTGGAGACAGCCACCAGAGCTCCCTGCCCAGGTGCGAGAAGGGGCCTGCCCCCTCGTCCATAATCCACTTCCTCTCCCTGGCCCAGAGACCACTTTTCCTCAAGCCATGAAAAAACGGACCACAGTCCACCCCGTGAGCATCAGGGACGGCGGTAACTCCTGCACCCTACACCGCAGACCCTCCCAGCCATGCAGCACCGGGGACCCTCCCAGCAATGCAGCACCGGGGACCCTCCCAGCCATGCAGCACCGGGGACCCTCCCAGCCATGCAGCACCGGGGACCCTCCCAGCCATGCAACACCGGGGACACTCCCAGCCATGCAACACCGGGGACACTCCCAGCCATGCATGGTGCTGCCAATACCCCCTATCAATCCCCCATGGTGAGCCTGGTGACAGGGTTGCTGGAAGCCTCATGTTCTCCAGCAAGCAGCCCAGAAACACTATGGGTGATTCGAGACCTGGTGCCATCTCAGTGGCAACCCGCCCCCTATCCCTTGCACTTCCTGTCCCTGCTTCAGACCCTCAGTGTGGCCCCAGGAAGGCTGAGAAGGACCTCTTGACAGACGTTCTGGTGACCAGACATCCAGGAGCAACGCACACCTGGGAGCTCCTTGTACCCCGATGGCTTGGATCGGGGAGGGAGCCGACCTTCTCTACCAGCAAAGGACAGGGCCACCTGGGCTGTGGGGCTGAGGAGGCAGGCACCAGCAAGGGGTGAGTGACGTGGGGCGGTCTGCTGAGCTCACCGCATCCAGCAGCTATCACTCAGAACCAAAAGCTCAGGATGGCAACGCACGGCCCTCCGGGGACGTGGACACTGCACAGCCGCACGGCTGCCCGGCCCTCCGGGGACGTGGACACTGCACCGCCGCACGGCTGCCCGGCCTGCGGAAGCCCTCCCCCACCCCCGCCTCATCCCATCTCTTGGCAGCCCACCCTGTGTCCCGGGGTCTGCCCAGGTCCGTGCTCTGGGGCACGGTCCCTACACACAAGCTGCCCCTGCTCAGTCAGGCTGAGGTTCCCCATGTCCTGACCCACCAGTAGCCTAGAGGCCACCGCCCGGGTCACAGTCACCCCTGTGGATGTCCTCTCAGCTCCATGACCCCTGTGGGCGTCTCAGTCCTTGCCTGAACCCAACTCCAGAGCATCACCCAGGCCCAGAGGCCACCTCCCATGTAAGGGAGAGCTGAGGGACTGTTGCCTGGAAGGGCCCCGGGCCCACCAAGAAGCCGTGGACGACGCTGGGGTTTGCAGAGCAGGCCTGCCCCGCCCTGGGTCGGACAGGGAGTCTGTGCCCCGCACCTGTGTCTGCATAGAGCCCAAGAATGCAGAAAGCCAGGAGGCACCACAGTGCAGGTGCCACGTTTGCCCCCAAAGCAGCACTGATCTGAGGGCTGGGCACGGGCTGACCCTCGGCTGGGACAGGCAGCCTCAGGCTCCCAAAGCGCTGCCCGGCCCAGGGTGAATGCAGCACCCTCAGAAGCCAAGGCCGCCTCCTTCCCGCCTGTCTGCAGGAGGGGACTCCACCCCGGAGGCCTTCCCCAGCCTACTGGAGGCCATAAACCAACAGGGACCAGAGAGGAAGCCTCAGCCCTGAGTGACCCCCCAGACCCCATGCTGACCCTGCCCGGGAGCTGGCCAGGGTGATGCGCACACTGTGACTTCAGCCCAAACGATCACCTGAAAATCATCAACATCCATGTCACTCCTTGTACCCCAAGGCACAATGGCCACAGATGACGGGCCTGGTGTGGGAGTCCATCCACATGAGGGATGGGCACAGTGAGAGGGGTCAGACGAGAGCTCCGTGAGGATCCCGCACCTTCACTAACACCGGCACCGTTCTCCCCGTGGGGACGCCACACCTCCGCTACCACCAGCACCGTTCACACCATGAGGACACCGCACCTCCGCTAACACCAGCACCGTTCGCCCCGTGGGGACAGCACACCCCAAGCTACCACCAGCACTGCCTGCCTGGTTTTTCTTCTCTGTATTATAGTGAAATATAATATAAAATTTGCTACAGTGGCCATGGTTTGGTGTAGTACGTGGCATGAATTCCATCCACACCGCTGTGCAGCCATCACCGCGTCCACCTCCAGAACTCCTCATCTTCCAGCCGGAAGCTCTGACCCCGTGAACACTTGCCCCCTCCCCCGGCCCCGGCCCCGGCCCCCACCATGCCACCTGCTGTCTGTGAATGTGACTCCACTAGAGACCTCCTGTGAGTGGAATCACGCAGGTTTTGCCTTTCGGTAACTGGCTCATTTCAGTCAGCACAGTGTCTTTGTTATGGACCAAACGTGTCCCCCCCAAATTCCTACGTGGAAGCCTTGACCCCCGGTGTGACTAAATTTGGAGATAGGGCCTGTGAGGAGTAATTAAGGTGAAATGAGTTCTTACTCCAGGCGTGGAGGCTCACACCTGTAATCCCAACACTTTGGGAGGTCAAAGCAGGAGGATTGCTTGAGCCTAGGAGTTCGAGAACAGGCTGGGCAACCCCATTTCTAAAAAAATACAAAAATTAGCCAAGCCTGGTGGTGTATGCCTGGGGTCCCAGCAACTCAGAAGGCTGAAGTGGGAGGACTGCTTCAAGCCTGGGAGTCCCGGGCTGCAGTGAGCTGGGACTTGGCCACTGCACTACACCTGGGTGACACAGCCAGACCCTGCCTCAAAAAATTTAAGAATCTGTAAAAACACAACAGCAACAATGAAATGAGGTGTGGGGGCAGGGCCCTACGCAGCCACTGTCCTCAGGAAGAGACCCCAGGGATGCCCACGCACAGAGGGGTGACCCCAGAGGACACGGAGGAGGCAGCATCTGCACCCGGGGGGCCTCAGGAGCCAGCTCTGGACAGCTCAAGCTCGGACTCAGCCCCCAGAACTGAGAGAGTCAAGTGCTGCTGCTTGGGGATTGGTTTTGGTTTGGTTTGAGACAGGGCCTCACTCTGTCGCCCAGGCTGGAGTGCTTGGCTCACTGCAACCTCCACCTCCTGGGCTCCAGCAATTCTCTTGCCTCAGCCTCCCAAAGTACTGGAACCACAGGTGTGAGCTACTGTGCCCAACTAAAACTACCTCATTCATTCATTCATTCATTCATTCAGAGACAGAGTCTCACAGTGTCACCCAGGATGCAGTGCAGTGGCACGATCTCGGCTCACTGCAATCTCCACCTCCCGGCTTCAAGCAATTCTCCTGCCTCAGCTTCCCGAGTAGCTGGGACTACAGGCACGTGCCACCATGCCTGGCTAATATTTTGTATTTTTAGTACAGATGGGGTTTCACCATGTTGGCCAGGCTGGTCCCGGACTCCTGACCTCGTGATCCGCCCACCTTGGCCTCTCAAAGTGCTGAGATTACAGGTGTGAGCCACCGTGCCCGGCAAGTTCTGCTGTTGGAACGGCCCCATCTGCATCCTTCCCTCGCAGCCCAAAAAAGTAACACAGATGGGCTCCAAAGGGCCCCTCTTATTTCCCCGAGCACGATGTTGTGGCTTTGTTTCCAAGGTATAACACGAACGTTTCAAACAGACAAACACGGGGGTACCAGGAAAGAGCTAATTCTACAACAAGCGGACGTCAACCAGATGGCTTTGCGAGCCGAGAGTGGGCGGGACCAAGGATGCATGAGCGCTGCCCTAACGCGATGCCACGGGTCAGGCACGAGGGCGGGAAGCCTCAGCCCTAACGCGACATCAGGCACGAGGGTGGGAAACCTTGGGGGCCTGTACCTGCTTGCTGTCTTGCTCGCTGCCCCTAGGGCCACCCTCGGCCGGCGAGTCTCTCCGCTTGGCCTGCAACATAAAAAACAGTCATATGTGGAAAAAGCAGGGAGGAAATGTAAATTAAAAACATACAATTCAGGCTGGGCACAGTGGCAGCACTTTGGGAGGCTGAGGCGGGCGGATCATCTGAGCTCAGGAGTTCGAGACCAGCCTGGCCAACATGGTGAAAACCTGTCTCTACTAAAAACACAAAAAATAGCCAGGCGTGGTGGCACATGCCTGTAGTTTCAGCTCCTCGAGAGGCTGAGGCAAGAAAATCGCTTGAACCCAGGAGGTGGAGGTTGCAGTGAGCCGAGATGGCACCATTGCACTCCAGCCTGGGCAACAAGAGTGAAACTCCGTCTCAAAAAATAGAATAAAAAATTTAAAAAAGGATATCGCTTGAACCCAGGAGGTGGAGGCTGCAGTGAGCCAAGGTCATACCACCGCACTGCAGGCTGGGTGATAGAGTGAGACTCTGTCTCCAAAAAAAAATACACACACACACACACACACACACACACACACACAATATATATGTACCTATTCAGCAGTACTCTTGGTCCCTTAAAGATACACACACACACACACACACACACACACACACACACACACACACATAAGCTCTGCTCAGAATTTAGACGAATGCTATTTTTGGTTTTGTTTTGTTTTGAGACAGGATCTCGCTCTGTCTCCCAGGCTGGAGTGCAGTGGCATGACCTCCCTGGCTAAAGCAATCCTCCTGTCTCAGCCTCCCAAGAAGCTGTGAGCACAGGCATTTGCCAGTGGACCCAGTTAATTTTTCAAAGCTTTCTGTAGAGACAGGGTCTTGTTATGTTGCCTAGGCGGGTCTCGAACTCCTGACCTCGAGCGATTGTCCCACCTCAGCCTCCCAAAGTGCCTGGTTTACAGGCGTGAGCCACTGCAACTGGCCAAAGATGCCAAATCTCGAAGGTCTCATGAAACAGAAGAGATGCCTGAACCTGCTGGCTCCCTGTCGGTTCTCCTGAGTTCCATTTCTTTTCTTTTCATTTTTTTTCTGAGACAAAGTCTCACTCTGTCATCCAGGCTGGAGTGCAGTGGCGCGATCTCAGCTCACTGCAAGCTCCACCTCCCGGGTTCAAGCAATTCTCCTGCCTCAGCCTCTGGAGTAGCTGGGATTACAGGCGCACGCCACCACGCCCGGCTAATTTGTGTATTTTTAGTAGAGATGGGGTTTCACCATGTTCATCAGGCCGGTCTCGAACTCCTGACCTCAGGTGATCCACCCGCCTTGGCCTCCCAAAGTGCTGGGATTACAGGCGTGAGCCACCGCGCCCGGCCCTGAGTTCCATTTCTTACATTTGAACGTGGCTCTCTGACCTTGGGTTGGTCCGTGTGAAGGCAGGGTGCCAGCTCTGCACTCCCTGAACCAACCATGGCATCAAACCCCAAACCGAGCCATTCACCTAAGGCAGAGGCTCAGGTGAAACTGTTAAGAAATATATGAAGGGAGTCAGAGTGTGCCACCCCAAAACATGCCACTCTTTGACAAAAAGATTATTTTGAGTTGAAGGCAGCTGAGAAACAGTAGATGCAGGAGCAGCTCTCTGCTTCCTTCCTGCCTCGAAGCCGGGCGTGAATTCCCTCTGTGAAGGTGTCCTCTCCCCTCTCCACACCAGGAGGAGAGACTGCAGATTGAGGCTGCATAACCAACCTCACTGAAGTTGCTCTTACCTTCCGCCAGTCTCCCCCATAGCCTTACCTTCCTAGAAGCCCAACCCCCTCTTCCCCCCTCTTTTTTTGTTTGAGATGGGGTCTTATTCTGTCACCCAGACTGAAGTGAAATGACGGGACCTCACCTCACCACAACCTCCGTCTCCTGGGTTCAAGTGATTCTCCCGCCTCAGCCTCCTGAGTAGCTGGGATTACAGGCACCCACCACCACACCTGGTTAATTTTTGTATTTTTAGTAGAGATGGAGTTTCACCATGTTGGCCAGGCTGGTCTTGAACTCCTGACCTCAGGTGATCCACCCGCCTCAGCCTCCCAAAGTGCTGGGATGACAGGCGTGAGCCACTGCCCCCAGCCTAGTGGCAAGGATTTTTCTAGACTCTTCTAGAAGAGCCACGAACTCCACAGACTGCCCACGACCACATTGCTGAAAACTCATATCCATCCACATCCCTAAGAGTTCAATTAAACCAAAGGACACTGGGCATTGTCCTGGGAAGGCCGTTCACTTACATTTCCCGGCTGGCCGCTGCCCGTGGAGGAAGGACTCGTGAGGTGGAGGTCGTGACAGCCCCATTCATTCACCATCCCCAGGCTCTCTGCAAGGACAGGGGAGCAGCAGACTCTGAGGGCCGCTGGTGGGCGACAGTGACACGCAGAAGTCTCCGCACCACACGTCAGGGCCGAGTGTGCGCAGCCTCGTCACAATCATCCCTCAGGGGTGCGGCAGAGGACGGCTGGGCAGTGGTGGGGACACTCAGGGCAACAG
The DNA here is from genome assembly GCF_000001405.40 of Homo sapiens. NCBI lineage: Eukaryota > Metazoa > Chordata > Mammalia > Primates > Hominidae > Homo > Homo sapiens. Next base: position 1,393,147 of record NC_000016.10, read on the forward strand.
GACCCTCTGGTCTTAGACCAGTTTTTCATGTTTTTAACACTAAAAGCAATGTTTAAAACGTGAACAAGAATAGCTGCCCTCCCCACTAAAATAAAAAACAAAGGAAAATTTGAGCTTGTGACCACACACACAAAACCTGGAACCCAAATCCTAGGGCTGGGAGGAGGAGGCCGTGTGGGTTCCCACTGAACCCAAACCCCAGGGCTGCGAGGAGGAAACCCACTGCAGCGTGGAGGAGGCCGCATGGGTTCCCACTGAGTCCAAACCCCAGGGCTGCCAGGAAACCCACTGCAGCGTGGAGGAGGCCGCGTGGGTTCCCACTGAACCCAAACCCCAGGGCTGCCAGAAGGAAACCCACTGCAGCGTGGAGGAGGCCGCGTGGGTTCCCACTGGGGCTTGTTTCTGCTGCTGGGAACTTATTAGGGACCACATAATCGCCAAAGCTAAGCCCTCATCCCCTGGACAGCAAACGGGCTCTGGAAAGCACAGGGTCACCCTGAGCAACCCTGCTTGAGGGTCTCTGCTGTCTCCCCGAGCTGGGGCGGACAGACCCCCTCTCTCCACAAGGGAGGTGGTGCTCCTGGGTGGGTGCCTGGCAAGATGGCAGTCTCGGAGCAAGGCCCAGGCAGTGGGTGGCAGAAGGACCCAGCTTGGATGCCCAGGAGGCAGGTGGAGGTGCCAGCCAGCCCACACCAGGACTCAGCCTCCAGGCTCAGGGCCCCAGCGTGCCTGAAGACAGGGTCCCTGCAGATTCCACCAGGCCTGGCCCACGCCGGCGTGGAGGGAGCCCAGCCTCACATGGCACAAACACCCCAGGGAGCCTCCACGGGCATGTCAGGGACCCCCAGCCCCCAACCACGGTGCTGAGCTCCTGCCCGCCTTCCAGGTCCTCGTGGGCAGCTCCGGGTCATCGGTAACTCCAGTGAGGGCCTGCAGAGCCGCGGAACCTGCTAAGGTGAACCTGCCACAGGGACGGTTACTCACTCTCAACGTGTGCAAAGGCACAGAAGGGGCCGCGCGGGCAGTACCCGGTTTGGCGCATGTCGTTGCATTTTGTAGATTTGTAGATCTGGGGAAAAAAGTGAAATAAAGAGGTTGGATTGGAAATGGGATTCTGTGGAAAGACCACAGCTGGCATCATCCCAAGGGAGAGGATTAAGCTCCAAATCGTAACAAGACACCCCTGAAAAGGGGGGCGTGGGCCCTGCCCTCCTCCACGTGTGCCCTTGGTCCCCACATCCCTCCTCTCTGCAGAGCCGACCCACAGGGAACACGCACACATGTGGGGCCATTCCCGCAGCATCTGCCCTCCCATCACAGGCAAAGTCATTTCCCCGCTTGATATTTTCTGAAAGATGCACCAAATTCAGAGTCTGGTATGCAGCAGGTGCCTAATAAGTGCCTATTAAAAGGAACACGTGTGTCTGTTCCCTGATCAGACCCACTGACCCTTCACCTAGGGTGACAGCCCCTCTCATGAGGTCAACAACACTTAAGACCCGGCAAGGGACAGACCAGCCTGGAAGCCCCCAGTCGGCCTTGGGAGGCCTGGCCCAGCCCCTCCTGCTCCGTAGCTCTCCGTAAAGGACACGGCACCTGGCACGCCAGGCCTCCAGTGCCCACACCTGCCTGGGTCCCAGCAGGAAGCCTCTCTCCTGACCTCCGGCCTGGCCCCACCCCCCCATGGCCCTTCCACCACGTCGGGCACCCGGTGGGGTCCCGTTTGCTTGTTCATTTTGTTTGTTTTTTGAGAGAGAGTCTCGCTCTGTCACCCAGGCTGGAGTGCAGTCGCAAGATCTCGGCTCACTGCAACGTCCACCTCCCGAGTTCAAGTGATTCTCTTGCCTCAGCCTCCCAAGTAGCTGGGATTACAAGCATGTGCCACCACACCTGGCTAATTTTTGTAGTTTTAGTAGAGATGGGGTTTCGCCATGTTGGCCAGGCTGGTCTCAAACTCCTGACCTCGGCCCCACAAAGTGCCGGGATTACAGGCGTGAACCACCGTGCCCGGTCTGTTCATTTTTTTTTTTTTTTTTTTTGAGCCAGAGTCTGGCTCTGTCGCCCAGGCTGGAGTACAATGGTGCCATCTTGGCCCACTGCAACCTCTGCCTCCTGGATTCAAGCAATTCTCCTGCCTCAGCCTCCTGAGTAGCTGTGACTACAGCCATGAGCCACCAAACCTGGCTAATTTTTGTATTTTTAGTAGAGACGGGTTCACCATGTTGGCCAGGCTGGTCTCGAACTCCTGACCTCAGGTGATCTGCCTGCCTCGGCCTCCCAAAGTGCTGGGATTACAGGCGTGAGCCACTGTGCCTGGCCTGTTTGTTTTTAATACAAATCTGAGTATGGTCCCTTGGCAACTACACGGCTGGGTGTGAACACAGCCTCCCTGTACCGTCCATACCCTGCACCTTCTAGTGGAGGCACAGGCCTGGCTCCATCTCAGGCTGCCCCTTCCGCCCCAGGAACCTCCTGCCTCGGAAGAGTCCTTGTTTACCTGGGGCGGGGCCCAGGCGGGAGGGTTTATCTCCCTCAGGATTTATGGTGCGGCTGTGGCCCACGTGGTGCCAGCTCCACTCAGCTGGGTACCAGAGACTGGGGTCTGCAACCAGGCCTGCGTGACTGAACACAGAAAACGCCCCGGACACCGGACTCCCGACAGGCCCCTGGTGACACCATTGAGTGTGTGGTCACCGACACCCAGAAAGCATGATGCGCGTCTGTGACAACATGAGTCAAGAAACGACGGGAAGCAGCGCCTGGTCCTTCCCAGCCCCTGCACGCCTCCCCCTTGGCTGAGGATTTTACTTTTTTTAGATAGAGTCTTGCTCTATCCCCCAGGCTGGAGTGCAGTGGCGCACTCTTGGCTCACTGCAACCTCAGCCTCCCAGGTTCAAGTGATCCTCGCGCCTCAGCCTCCAAGTAGCTGAGACTATAGGCGCGCACCACTACACCTGGCTAATTTTTGTATTTTTAGTAGAGACAGGGTTTCACCATGTTGACCAGGCTGGTTTCGAACCCCTGACCTCAAGTGATGTGCCCACCTCAGCCTTCCAAAGTGCTGGGATTACAGTGTGAGCCACCGTGCCTGGCCTGAACATGTGTTTTGTTTTGTTTTTTTTCCTTGAGATGGAGTCTCGCTCTGTCCTCCAAGCTGGAGTGCAGTGGCGTGATCTCGGCTCACTCTAAGCTCTGCCTCCCGGGTTCAAGCGATCCTCACGTCTCAGCCTCCCAAGTTCAAGTGCTCCTCGCGTCTCAGCCTCCCGAGTAGCTAGGACTACAGGCGCGCACCACCACACCCAGCTAATTTTGGTATTTTTAGTACAGACATGTTGACCAGGCTGGTTTCGAACCCCTGACCTCAAGTGATTTGCCCGCCTCTGCCTCCCAAAGTGCTGAGATTACAGTGTGAGCCACCGTGCCTGGCCTGAATATATATATTTTTTTCTTTTTCTTTTTTTTCCTGAGGCAGAGTCTTGCTCTGTTGCCCAGGCCAGAGTGCAGTGGCACGATCTCAGCTCACTGCAAGCTCCGCCTCCTGGGTTCACGCCATTCTCCTGCCTCAGCCTCCTGAGTAGCTGGGACTACAGACGCCCGCCACCACGCCTGGCTGATTTTTTGCATTTTTAGTAGAAACGGGGTTTTGCCAGGATGGTCTTGATCTCTTGATCTCGTTATCCAGCTGCCTCAGCCTCCCAAAGTGCTGGGATTACAGGCGTGAGCTACTGCACCCAGACCTGAATATGTATGTTTTTAATTGACATTTTCTCTCTGCTTTTTTCCCACATGACTCTTTCTTCTGTTACAGGCCAAGTGGAGAGACTCGCTGGCTGAGGGCAGCCCGAAGGCCAGCAAGCAAGACAAGCAAGCAGGTACAGCCCTCATGCCTCCACCCCCAGGCTTCCCGACCTGTGCCAGCCCTCGGCCAAAGTTAATCACTGTTCCTTCTGTGTGATAACCACGCTGTGAACCCCACAGCTTCTCTGGGACCTTCCAGCGACCCCTACGCCTGGGGGGTTGGAGGGACGTACCTCGGGATGGAACTGCTGCTCCGTGCGGGAGTGGCAATACTGGCAGCCGTCGCCGCCATCGCAGCGTGAGGGTTCCCCCCACTCATCCCCGTGCTTCACACTGGGGCAGGGCGTGGACCTGGGGATGAGGAGGTGTCAGGGGGACACAGAGGACTTGGCTCCCCGCCCCCCACCCCCGTGCTTCACGCTGGGGCAGGGCGTGGACCTGGGGATGAGGAGGTGTCAGGAGGACACAGAGGACTTGGCTCCCTGCCCCCCACCCCCGTGCTTCACGCTGGGGCAGGGCGTGGACCTGGGGATGAGGAGGTGTCAGGAGGACACAGAGGACTTGGCTCCCCCACCCCGACCCCCGTGCTTCACGCTGGGGCAGGGCATGGACCTGGGGATGAGGAGGTGTCAGGGGGACACAGAGGACTTGGCTCCCCCACCCCGACCCCCGTGCTTCACGCTGGGGCAGGGCGTGGACCTGGGGATGAGGAGGTGTCAGGGGGACACAGAGGACTTGGCTCCCCCACCCCGACCCCCGTGCTTCACGCTGGGGCAGGGCATGGACCTGGGGATGAGGAGGTGTCAGGGGGACACAGAGGACTTGGCTCCCCCACCCCGACCCCCGTGCTTCACGCTGGGGCAGGGCGTGGACCTGGGGATGAGGAGGTGTCAGGGGGACACAGGAAAACATGGTTCCTCGTGTGCCCAGGGGTGTCTGCCTCCCACCAGGAGGGGCCTCGGGCATGGGGCCCTGGAGTGACAGGCAACGCAGCTCTGCGCTCACGGACACGCAGGCCCGGCCAGTGCCAGGATGGGGTCAGGAGCCCCGGGGCTGTTCTTCACAGAATTTAACTTGAGTCTCAGTCAGAGCCACCCTCACGGACGTGGAGAACGCAGGGGAGAAGCAGCCGAACCTCCTGGGGACAGTGAGGCCGGGCGCCCAGACAGCACGGGGCTGTCTCCTCGCCAACTTTCTATAAAATGGAAGCGAGAGTTTTGATCCCACAATTTAAAACTCCGCACCAATTTCAAATTACCTATGTTCCTACTGCAGTGAGCTGAGACTGCACCACCGCACTCCAGCCTGGGCCACAGAGTGAGACTCTGTCTCATAAAAAAACAAAATCCTCTACTCTTCGTGGAATCTCTAGCTGCTTTATTGTAACTGATTTGTATTTATGGGACACATTAAGTGCCTGTTGAAAAAATAATTTTTATTTTCTTTCCATGACGGGCGATGACAAAATCTCAGACACTAATTTGTGGTTTGTTCTACAGCCGTTCAGGTCCTTTACTCGGAAGCTGCTCAGAGGGAGACTGAACGTGGCATAACAACAAGGAGTGGGGCGTCCTTCCCAAAGGAAGCACAGGTGCTCTCCGGGGCATGCGAGGCAGCACCAGGTCATTCAAAAGAGGCGAGGGTGGCTCTCTGCTCAAAGGAAGAGCTGGACACAGACAGGGCCTCAGGGAGGCCAAGGCCATGGCCCAGGCATCCAGACACCCTGTGGGGTCTGCACCCCCCCACCCCCCTCTCAGGTGCAAACTGCAGACAGGAGGCAAGCCAGGCCAGGCACAACCAGAAGGCCGGGCTGGAGCAAGGAGGAGAAAGGGGCTTCAGAGGCAAGCAGGCTGCGAGGTGCCAAACCCACAAGCCAGACCCAGGGGACAGCTGGGGCTCAGGCGGTGGAGGAAGGTCCTGTGTGCACCCTGGGCAGGGCGACCCTTGGGTTGTTGGCCCTGGGACTCAGCCTAAGGACCCGGCGTCCCAGCTGCCAGCTGTGAAGACAAGATTGAGCCCAGGTGACGACAGTGCCTGAGCCCCTGGCAGCTTGGGTGAGGAGACAGCATGCAGCCCACAGGCTGGAGAGCGTGGCTGCAACCAGAGGCACGGGTGGGGCACACGGGGGTCCCAGCTGGGCTTGGGGTCCCTCCTGCAGTGCTCCGTCCCCTTGCCTGGCAGAGGGGCCCCGGTAGGGGACTGCATGGGAGACACTGAGCGTAGGTGGGGAGGCCCATCCCCAGGACAGACGCGTGGGCCTCCATGGCACCTCCCACAGCCACTGTGCTTGGAGATGCCCTCCCCTCCCGGGGATGATGGTGCCACAAGGGCAGCCCTCCCATTAGAACCCCGGGGTGGGCAACGCGAGCCACGGGCCGGGAAGGACGCCCACCAGCCGGAGTCCTCTGAGCACGGTCCCGCAGGCTCACCTGTACTGGAACCGCCGGGGGTTGCGCCGCCTGTCCCGGCTATTGTGGTAGTGTGGGCACGCATAGCCCTGGCGGCACAGGCGTGGCGGCTTCGGGCACTGCTCCGTCTTGTAGCTGCCCAGCACGAAGTTGGCATCTGAAAAATGGGCCACACGGTGCCTGAGCAGCGCGACTGGAAGCAATGCTGGGCAGAGGAGACCAAAGGTGGAAGGACCTGGCTGTCCCCCAAATGGAAGGGGCTGCAGGAGGACTTGGGGAGCGCAGACACACGCCACGGCACACGCTGATGTCAAAGGACTCGCGCTCCATGAGGGAAGCCGGGCCAGAAGGCCACGTGGTGTGATTCTGTTTATGTGAAAATGCCCAGAACTAGGGAACCCACAGAGACGGAGTGGAGCCGAGACCACCAGGGCTGGGAGGGAGTCCTGCTGTGGGTGTGCGGCTTCCTTGCTGGGGGATGAAAATGTTCTCCAACTAGAGAGAGGTGATGTGTGCACAGCTTTTGAGAATATGCTAAAATCCAGAGACATGCACACCCCGAAATGCCGCATGGTGAGCCTCATGCGCACCACAGCCTCTGGGTGACAAGCACACATCAGTGTGGGTTCACTGTTGGTAAAGAGCGTACCTCGCAGTGCAGGAGGTGCACGGCAGGGGAGGCTGAGGGGGCAGGGGGTGTTTGGGAAATCTATTTTTCTACTCAGTTTTGCTGTGAACCGGAAACCGCTCTAAAAAATAAAGCCTATTTTTAGAAGTCATTCACTGGGCCGGACGTGGTGGCTCACGCCTGTTATCCCAGCACTTTGGGAGGCCGAGGTGGGTGGATCACAAGGTCAGGAGTTCAAGACTTGCCTGGCCAACACAGTGAAACCCCGTCTCTACTAAAAATAAAAAATTAGCCGGGCATACTGGTGCCTGCCTGTAATCCCAGCTACTCAGGAGGCTGAGGCAGGAGAATTGCTTGAACCTGGCAGGCGGAGGTTGCAGTGAGCTGAGATTGTGCCACTGCACTCCAGCCTGGGTGACAGAGCGAGACTCCATCTCAAAAAAAAAAAAAAAAAAAAAAAAAAAAAAAAAAAAAATCGCTGCCATACGCAATGTCCAGAATACACAAATTCACAGAGATGGGATGCAGGCCAGTGAGTGCAGGGACCAGGGAGGGGATGGGGAGGAACTGCTCATAAGCAGGGGGGTTCCTTCTGCAGGGATGGAATGTTCTGGAACTAGAGAGAGGTGGCAGCTGCACAACACTGCAGACGTGCTAAATGCCACTGGACTGTACACTTAAAAATGGTGCATTTTATGTTGTGTGTATTTTACATTTTTTTTTTTGAAACGGAGTCTCACTCTGTCACCCACACTGGAGTGCAGTGGCGTGATCTTGGCTCACTGCAACCTTCACCCCCCGAGTTCAAGAGATTCTCCAGCCTCAGCCTCCCAAGTAGCTGGGATTACAGGCGCCCACCACCACAACCGGCTAATTTTTTGTATTTTTAGCAGAGACATGGTTTCACCATGTTGGCCAGGCTGGCCTCAAACTCCTGACCTCAAGTGATCTGCCCGCCTCGGCCTCCCAAAGTGCTGAGATTACAGGCGTGAGCCAGTGCTCCCAGCCTTACCACGTTTTTTTTCAAATCAAAATCTCCCCTGCATATAACCTCATCTGTGTGCCAGCCAGGAATGCAGGTCCCCCAGCCCCGAGGGACAGCCCCCTGGTCCATATGTTTCTGGCCAAGCTCAGGGATTTGAAAGCTGCTGTCTAGAGCACCACCCCAGAGAGGCGCAGGGCTGGGGGCTCTGCTGGGCATCCTGGTGGGTGCCTGGTGGGCTGGGGGCTCTGCTGAGCATCCTGGTGGGTGCCTGGTGGGCGCCCCGGCTCTGGGACAGGACGCCTCACGAGTTCCGGTGGGAGTTGTGCTACCTCCTCGGCCACTTGGTCAATGGCTGGCCCCACTGAGATGCCAGTTGCCGCAGAGATTCAGAGCAGGTGCGGGGGAAGGCGCCTGGGCCCAAATCCCACTCGGCACCCACCCCCTGTTGGGGAGGGCTTGGTATTGGACTCCACGAGCCTCGGTTTCCCCATCTGATCACCTTGCACGTAAACTGAAAGGCACAGGGAACCAAGTGGCCCGAGCTGTTCTCGCGCTGTGCCCGCCCCCCCCACCACCGCCCTCAGCTGCGGCCGTGGAGTTACCTTGCCACCGGGGGTCCTCGCTCAGGATCTTCTCAATCATGGCCTGGCTGGCCAAGACCCCAGGCTGCAGATCCGGGACCCCTTCCCCGCCGCCCAGCTGGCCGTTCTGCAAGGCTTCCTGGGCCTGCAGCTCCCTGCAAGCCGAGGACACAGTGGTCACAGCTCTGCATCTGGAGCCTCCAAAGCTGAAACGAGGTCACTGGAGGGCACGCTCCCCTCCCACCACTGCACAGAGAGGCTGCTGCCGAAGGGTTCAGGACGGAGTCTCAGTGTGTGGCGCTCCGCTGTCCTGGCCCGCAGTCCTCATCCAAATCCCAACCACTTCATTTTGTTTGCTTTGTCTTGTTTGAGACAGGGTCTGGCTCTGTCCCCCAGGCTGGAGTGCAGTGACGCAATCACAGCTCATTGCAGTCTCCATCTCCCGGGCTCAAGCGATCCTCCCACCTTGGCCTCCCAGAGCACTGGGATTACATGTATGGGCCACTATGCTCAGCCCCACCCAAGTAAGAGCGGAGTTTTGTGTGGGCAGGATTCGCTTTTCTGCAGCCCCAGACCATGTGCTGAGTTCGTTCTCCTGGAAAGCAGCAGTGCCTCACGGCCTCAACCCCAGTGAGCTGCCCTCCGGACCCAGAAGAGAAACACACAGTGAGAAGAGCTGAAGGACTGTCTGCCCCAGACTGTGTGCTGAGTTCGTTCTCCTGGAAAGCAGCAGTGCCTCACAGCCTCAACCCCAGTGAGCTGCCCTCCGGGCCCAGAAGAGAAACACACAGTGAGAAGAGCTGAAGGACTGTCTCATTAGAAATAACATCCAGAGGCCAGGTGCAGCGGCTCACGTCTGTAATCCCAGAATTTCAGGAGGCCGAGGCGGGCAGATCATGAGGTCAGGAGATGGAGACCATCCTGGCTAACACAGTAAAACCCTGTCTCTACTAAAAATACAACAAAATAACCCAGGCATGGTGGTGTGCGCCTGTAGTCCCAGCTACTCGGGAGGCTGAGGCACGAGAATGGCGTGAACCCAGGAGGTAGACGTTGCAGTGAGCCAAGATCACGCCACTGCACTCCAGCCTGGGTAACAGAGCGAGATTCCATCTCAAAAAACAAAAAAAGAAAAGAAAAGAAAGAAATAACATCCAGAGGCCAGGCGCAGTGGCTCACTGTAATCCCAGCACTTTGGGAAGCCAACGTGGGTGGATCACAAGGTCAGGAAATCGAGACCATCCTGACTAACATGGTGAAACCCCATCTCTACTAAACATACAAAAAAAAAAAAAATTAGCTGGGCGTGGTGGTGGTCACCTGTAGTCCCAGCTACTCGGGCAGCGGAGGCAGGAGAATGGTGTGAACCCAGGAGGCAGGGCTTGCAGTGAGCTGAGATCGCGCCGCTGCACTCCAGCCTGGGTGACAGAACGAGAATCCGTCTCAAAAAAAGCAAAAAAAGGACTAACATCCAGACTCAGAAAGAAATTCTGGAGGAGAGAGATTTGGGCCAGCAGAGCCTGCAGCAGCAGGGAGGCGAGCCACTTGCCGAGTTCCTGCTCATCCAGCAGAGCCCACAGCAGCAGGCAGGCCAAGTGCCCACTCGTGGATGCCCACTCACCTGACGTCACACACGGGCGGCCGCAGGTCCAGGGGGCCGTGCGCGAAGGCACAGTGCAGCCCATTCTTCACGCAGTGGCCACGTGCGTCTGTCTCGTGGATGCAGGTTCCTGTTTTGTAGTAACGCAGGTGGTACTTGCGTTCTGTGTCCCCCGTCGTCCGGTGCAGGTAGGGACACCTGGGGAGCAGAGAGGCACGCAATGCCTGGTTATCATGGACCCAGAGGCAGCCCTAAGCTCCCTGGGTCCACGCCCTGTCAGCACGTGGCAAGCAGTGAATTCCCTTCCCTTCTTCCAGATTCCTGTTCTAATCAGAAGGACGGACACACTGGACGCAGCACCTGTCCCCAAATGTGGAACCGCCCAGGTACACAGACCACCGCAAACCCCCAGTCAACCAGTCAAACACAGTAAGAAACACAGACCATCGCAAACCCCCAGTCAGCCAAACACAGCAGGAAACACAATGCTGAATTTCCACAAAGCTCATCCTTCCTAATGTTCCAAATAAACCTTTAAACCTGTGTGGGAATGAGAGTTCATGCCCTGCACGCAGGCTGCGTCACCTTCCTTACCCGTCGCAGTCACAAAGTGGGGGCCCCTCCTGCCCAGCGTCCTGCTGCTTTCAGGGACCCCAGGAGGGAGGTAGGGGAGGGAACAAGCACAGGGCCCTGGACGCGGCTTGGGGGACACGAGGGGGATGGGCAGAAGAGGCGGCAGATGGCGTGGTGGGGAACACAGGTGAGGTAGCATCACCATCCCATGGGCCACCTGCAGGCCCAGAGCCATGCTCCTGGGGAGTCACAGGCAGCTCCTGAAGCACGATGGGGTGCAGTGGAGAGGGGAAGCAGCTGCCAAGGCTCAAGTCATAGGCAGGCAGCAGCGACGGAGACAAGGAGACGACACAAACCGCTCTGGCATTCCTGGGCGCCTCCAGGTAGGTCACTCCAGAAGGAGGCAAAGGGACGCACAGAGGACCCTGAGTCATCAATGGTGTCGAGCCCTGGCTGGTCACAGAATCACCCTGAGTGGCCCAAGGGCCAAGGCAGAGGATGACATGGGCCGTCACTGCAGGCCCCCAAATGTAAGGACTGAAACCTTCACCTCCAGCTCCAACTGGGGAGCTCCGTGAGGGCCCCGCCCACCTCACTGTGCACAGGGCTGCAGCCTGGGCACTAGGAGCTCCAGCCAGGGATGGCTGGGGACCAAGAGCGATTCAGCAACACCAGGTCTAGCCCCATCCTCTAAGGTCAGGAAACAGAGACACAGAGTTCAGAGAGGCCGACCCAGGCTCCGCTGGGCACCTGTGATGTGCCAGACACTGAAAGCTGAGGGTCGACAGAGGCAGAAGAAGGGGTGCCTGGCTGGCTCTCAGGGTCCCCAGGAGCCAGCCAAGCAAAAGTCAAATTACAACGCTACCTTGGTACCCAGCGATCCTGCTCCTAAGTACACATCCAAAAAACCTGGAGGCAGGGTCTTCAGGAGACACCTGCACACCCATGTTCACAGCAGCGTCATTCGCAAGAGCCAAGAGGCAGAAACCACCCAAGTGGGCGCCAATGGAGTCAATAAGGAAAGCGCGGGCTTCCATCCACACAACATGGTTAATGCGGGCTTCCATCCACGTGACGGGGTACACGCAGGCTTCCGTCCACAAGACAGGGTAAACGTGGGCTTCTATCCACACAATGGGGTAAACGCGGGCTTCCAGCCACACAGTGGGGTATTTTTCAGACTTAGAAGGAAGGACTGGCACACTGGCTGACATCTGTAATCCCAGCACTTTGGGGGGCAGAGACAGGAGGATTGCTTGAGGCTAGGGGTTCAAGACTAGCCTGGGCAACATGGTGAGTCCCCATCTCTACAACAAATTTAAAAATTAGCCCGGCGTGGTGGTGGACACCTGTGGTCCCAGCTACTTGGGAGGCTGAGGAGGGAGGATCGCTTAAAGCCCAAAAGGCCAAGGCTGCAGTGAGTCGTGATTGTGCCACCACACTTCAGCATGGGCAACAGAGCAAGACCCTGTCTCAAAAAAAAAAAAAAAAAAAAAAAAAAAAAGGAGGCGAGGAAGGAAGGGAGGGAGGGAGAGGAAAGAAAGACAGGGAGGGAGGGAGGGAGAAAGGAAGGAAGGCAGGCAGCCAGCCAGGCAGCTGGGTACAGTGGCTCACGCCTGTGATCCCAGAACTTTGGAAGGCCAAGGCGGGTGGATCACGAGCTCAAGAGTTCAAGACCAGCCTGGCTGGTCTACTAAAAATACAAAATTTAGCCGGGCATGATAGCAGGCGCTTATAATCCCAGCTACTCGGGAGGCTGAGGCAGGGAATTACTTGAACCCGGGAGGCGGGGGTTGCAGTGAACCGAGATCGCGCCACTGTACTCCAGGCTGGGTGACAAGGGCAAAACTCCATCTCAAAAAAAAAAAAGAAACTGGAAAAAGTTTTAAGAAAATGCCTTACTCTTACGGACACCTAGGAGGTGAGAGGGAATACCTAAGAGAAAGCACAGAGCCATTGCTCACGGATGCCCAAGGAGGGGACGCACGAGCCCCCGGGGGTCGGGTGACAAACACGGTTCTCAAACTCATCCGAGACAATCAGTGAGCAGAGCCACGTGATTACACCCAGCACATGGGCACCGCTCTGCCTCACGCTCCAATGCCCTGGACCCACCGAGACCAGAGGATAGGAGGCAGCCAGATCCTGGAGTGCAAGAAGCTGCCCTTCCCTCAGGAAGCTCTCACCTGAACCCAAGGAGGGTCCACCAGACCCCCTTAACACATTCTCGAGACTGCGAGCCACATGCATCAAAATCACCTAGGAGGCCCGTGGCCCATGTGGTCCCCCCAGCTGGTGTGGACGAGGCCCGTGGATCTGCACTGCCGGCTGGTTCCCAGGGAACGTGCGAGAACCACCGGGCTTAGGAGACAGGCAGTGTACACGACTCCCTTCCAGCTTAAGGACGCAGGCATAGGTGGGGGGCCCAGAGCACAGCACTGAAACAGCTGGGGGTGATGGGAGGAACAGGCGTACTCCCATGCCGGGCTATATTGCTAATTTTTTTTTTTTTTGAGACAGAGTCTCACTGTTGCCCAGGCCGGAGTGCAGTGGCACAATCTCAGCTCACTGCAACCTCTGCCTCCTGCGTTTAAGCGATTCTCCTGCCTCAGCCTCCCGAGTAACTGGGATTACAGGCACCTGCCACCATGCCTGGCTAATTTTTGTATATTTAGTAGAGACAGGGTTTCACCATGTTGACCAGGCTGGTCTTGAACTCCTGACATCAGGTGATCCGCCTGCCTTGGCATCCCAAAGTGCTGGGATTACAGGCGTGAGCCACCGCGCCCGGCCTAATTTTTTTGTAGAGACAGAATCTTGCTGTTTCCCAGGCTGGTCCCAAACTCCTGGGCTCAAGCGATCCACTTGCCTAGGCCTCCTGAAGTATTTGGACTGCAGGTATGAGCCACTGCACCCGGATGCCTCTGAGTTTTAAAGACTGCTCGCACGTCCCAGGCCGGCCGTGGGCTTTCCTCTTGCTCCCAAAGCCCAAGCTCATCATGAGATCAGTTTAAACAGCAAATTCTACACACCCTGAAGTGAGTGGAACTTTCACCTACGCCTTAGGTCCTAAGGCATTCAACATTTTAAAATTAAATATTGCAAGAGGATCTTTTAATAGAAAGATCAGACTCCTGGCCGGGCACAGTGGCTCACGCCTGTCATTCCAGAACTTTGGGAGGCTGAGGCAGGTGGACCACCTGAGGTCAGGAGTTAAGAGATCAGCCTGGCCAACATGGTGAAACCCCATCTCTACTAAAAATACACACATACACAAAAATTAGTTGGGCATGGTGGCGCACGCCTGTAATCCCAGCTACTCGGGAGGTTGAGGCAGGAGAATCACTTGAACCCGGGAGGTGGATGCTGCAGTGAGCCGAGATCGTGTCACTGCACTCCAGCCTGGGTGACAGAGGGAGACTCGATCTCAAAAAAAAGAAAGAAAGAAAAAAAAAAGATCAGACTCCAGACCCGCCAGATACAAGCAGCAACAGTTAATCTTAGAAATGGATACTTGGAAAAGTTTCTCCTCCCACCAGTTACTCACAGAATGCACAGTGGAGACCCAGCTAGGCACACCCCGGACCCATCCAGACAGGAGTTCTGCACCTGCCGGACGACAGAGGCCTGGGGAGGCGCACAGGGCAAGCGGGAAGTGTCAGGTCTGTCAGGTGACACCGCCAAACAGAGCTCTGGAAAGAAGACAGAGGCCGGGCGCAGTGGCTCATTCCTGTAATCCCAGCACTTTGGGAGGAGAGGTGGGTGGATTACTTGAGCCCAGGAGTTCGAAACCAGCAAGACCCCACCCCTACAAAAAATACAAAAATTCAGCTGGGCGTGGTGGTGTGCGCCTATGGTCCCAGCTACTTTGGAGGCTGAGGTGGGAGGATCACTTGAGCTCAGGAGGTTGAGGTTGCACTGAGCCAAGATCACACCACTGCACTCCAGCCTGGGCGACAGAGTGAGGCCCTGTCAAAAAAAAAAAAAAAAGGACAAACCTGTGTCTGTGTGTCAATCTGGAAAAGTGGCACCACAGGAATGGGGCAAGCCTGTTTTTTCTGAGAACGAGACCCAGGGTGGCTGCAGGGCCACAGTGCAGGAGCGCTCTTCTGGACAGGGGTGGGCTGGCAGATGGCCACTCGTTCTGTGGCTACACAGCTGCAGGCCACGTGTATTTTTTTTTCCCAATGAAAATGGGCCTAGAGGCTGGGCATGGTGCCTCAGGCCTGTAATCTCAGGACTCTGGGAAGCCTAGGCATATGGATCGCTTGGGTACTCCGGAGGCTGAGGCACGAGGATCAGCTGAGTCCAGGAGGCAGAGGTTGCAGTGAGCCAAGATCGAGCCACGGCACTCCAGCCTGGGAGACAGAGCCAGACCCTGGCTCAAAAGAAAAACAAAAAAAAGATGGACCCTGGAGAGGCCCGGGGTCCCGCGGGGCGCCTTTTCTATTTCTTTACCGCAATCTGTTTAAAGAGAAAAGCAAGCGCCTGCCCCTCAGCTACACCCCCGGGGCCTCAAGGCCACGCCCACATGGGAGCTGCCCCCCCCCCCAACGACCAGGACGGTTCCCACGGGGGCGGGGCTTCACACGTGACCCGGGACAGCCAATCGCGGGCGCGCAGCGGAGGGGCGTGTCGCGCGGAACAAAAGGCCTTTCCCGAGCGGGGCGGGGCGGGGCCGAGATCACGCTGATGCCCACAGGACCGGCACGGCGTGGGGTGCAACAAGGGGCAGCCACCCACCTAGGAAAGGGTGCACAGTGGGGGCACCCACGGGGGCAGGCACCGGAGGGGGTGCCCACAGAGGATAGAGGACGCCGAGAAGTGACCTGGGGAGCCATAGGATGAGGAAGAGAGAAGAGATGACAGCAGGGGCTGTAGGAGGTCACCCTCCACGGAGGGAGGGGTGACGGCAGAGGCGTCCGCAGGAGCTGGTACCGGTGGGGCTGCCCCCAGGGGGGGCTGACAGAGGCAGCAACTGAGCAGGCAGGGGTGGAGCGAGGTGCCAGCCTGCCGTGGAAAGGAGACGCCAGCAGCGGGGGGCCCTCCTGGGGTCCCAGTCCTGCTCTGCCCCACAGCTCAGCCCCAGCACCTCCAGCCACAACCAAGAGCAACGCCTGATACGGGCTAAGGGTCTCTGCTCTCTGATACACATTCATGTGTAAAATAACAGGTTGGTAGTATCAACACCCAAAATAGAAATTTCTTTTTTTTTTTTTTTGAGTCTTGCTCTGTCGCCAAGGCTGGAGTGCAGTGGCGCGATCTCGGCTCACTGCAACCTCCGCCTCCCACGTTCACGCCATTCTCCTGCCTCAGCCTCCCAAGTAGCTGGGACTACAGGTGCCCGCCACCATGCCCAGCTAATTTTTCTGTATTTTTAGTAGAGACGGGGTTTCACCATGTAGGATGGTCTCGATCTCCCGACCTCGTGATCTGCCCGCCTCGGCCTCCCAAAGTGCTGGGATTACAGGCGTGAGCCACCGCGCCCAGCCAAAATAGAAATTTTAAAAACCAATGAACTAAAGAAAAGGAAGGCCCTGTCCTTATTCTGAACGTTCCTTTATTTACAAATTCCGAGGCAACCCTTAATGAGAACCAGAACGGGTACTTCAATAGGACAAACTGGCTATTCCCTTTGTTCAGCGATGAGAAAGTCCCACTCCCGTGGAATGAAGGATAATTATGGAGGAGAGATCTCAGGGGAGGCAGCCTGTCAGACACTTCCTAAAGGGCCGGTCGAAGCAAGTCATTCACACGCTACAAACAAAATCTTAAATAAAATAAGGAAATTTCCTTACTATGTGTGCATATACCCAGGTATCCAAAACAAAACACCAAACAGGCATCTTAGCCCCACTTACCACCCTCAATTATAAACTGTAAGCCATTCAGACAGCAGGCTAATATTTTTGTAATGATGTTATGGAACTGCTACTTGAGCACAGCTTGAAGTGACCACCTAGAGGCAGGCGCTTACTACAGCACTGTCCATCCCTGTAAGAACTGGATACCACCCTGTGCCTAGCAGTGAGGCTGAGTCCACACCAAGACACCCAGACTCCGCAACAAAAACTTATGAGGCCGGGCGCGGTGGCTCATGTCTGTAATCCCAGCACTTTTGGAGGCCAAGGCTAGCGGATCACCTGAGGTCAGGAGTTCAAGACCAGCCTGGCCAACATGGTGAAACCCATCTCTACTAAAAACACAAAAATTAGCCAGGCATGGTGGCACACGCCTGTAATCCCAGCTACTCAGGAGGCTGAGGTACAATAATTGCTTGAACCCAGGAGGCAGAGGATACAGGAGCCCAGATCGCACCACTTCACTCCAGTCTGGTAGATAAAGCGAGAGCGAGACTCCATCTCCAAAAAAAGAAACAGTTATGAAAAGATGCTTTCTCGCCGGGTGCAGGGCTGCACACCTGTAATCCCAGCACTTTGGGAGGCTAAGGTGGGAGGACTGCTTAAGTCCGGGAGGTCGAGGCTGCAGTGGGCTGTAATGGCACCACTGCACTCCAGCCTGGGTGACAAAGCAAGACCCTGTCTCAGAAAAAAAAAAAAAAGAGAGAAAAAGATGCTTTATCTTTATGCATTAAAAGCATCACCTGGCCAGGCACGGTGGCCCATGCCTGTAATCCCAGCACTTTGGGAGGCCGAGGCGGGTGGATCACCTGAGGTCAGGAGTTCGAGACCAGCCTGACCAACATGGAGAAACCCCATCTCTACTAAAAATACAAAATTAACCGGGCGTGGTGGCACATGCCTGTAATCCCAGCTACTTGGGAGGCTGAGGCAGGAGAATCGCTTGAACCCGGGAGGTAGAGGTTGCGGTGAGCCGAGATCACGCCACTGCACTCCAGCCTGGGTGACATAGAGTGCTGCCAATCAGTGCCCTGTATTCAACACTGGAGTGGGGTCAGACAGGCTGGGTGCTCGTCTTCACACTTCCAGGACCCCCACACCAGAGTTAAGCAGCAGTGGCCCTACTTGCAACTCAGGATCCCAGGTCTGGGCAGATAAGGGGCTTGACCAAGGGAAATCAGGGGCTGAGCCCAGACATCAACTAGACAAATACCTGCCTTTGAAAGCCCCATTTGCGGAAAACAGTGGCTTAAAAACCAATTCAATTATGCACTTTCAGAACCGCCTTGAAGTACATCACCATCCTAACCAAAATGGGCTGACTACATTATTTCAAGTTTAGGCATCAACCTGCCTTAACAACACTATGGCCGGGTGTGGTGGTTTGCACCTATAATCCCTGCACGTTGGAGAGGCCAAGGTGGGAAGATCGCTTGAGGCCGGGTAACACAGCGAGACTCCATCTCTACAAAAAAATTAAAAATGAGCCGAGGTGTGTGGTGGCTCACACCTGTAATCCTAGCACTCTGGGAGGCTGCGGTGGGAGGATCTCTTGGGTCCAGGAGTTTGAGACTGAGACCAGCCTGGACAATGTAGCAAAACCCCTTCTCTACTAAAAATACAAAAACAATTAGCCAGGCGTGGTGTAGAGAGTCTATAGCTCCAGAGGCTGAAGTGGGAGAATCACTTGAGCCCAGGAGGTAGAGGCTGCAATGAGCTGAGATCGTACCACTGCACTCCAGCCTGGGCAACCAGAGTGAGACTCGGTCTCAAAAACAAAATAATAAATAAAATAAAATAAATTAGCCAGGAGTGATAGAGCACTCCTGTGGTCCCAGCTGCTCAGGAGGCTGAGGCAGGAAGATGGTTTGAGCCCTGGAGGTTCAAGTTGCAGTGAGCCGTGTTCATGCCCCTGCACTCCAGCCCAGGGCACAGAGCAAGACCCTGTCTCAAAAAACAAAAACAGCCGGGCGCGGTGGCTCATGCCTGTAATCCCAGCACTTTGGGACGCCGAGGCGGGCAGATCACGAGGTCAGAAGTTCAAGACCAGCCTGACCAACATGTAGAAATCCCGTCTCTACTAAAAATACAAAAATTAGCTGGGCGTGGTGGCACGCGCCTGTAATCCCAGCTACTCGGGAGGCTGAGGCAGGAGAATCGCTTGAACCTGGGAGGCGGAGGTTGCAGTGAGCTGAGATGGCGCCACTGCACTCCAGCCTGGGTGACAGAGACTTCGTCTCAAAACAAAAACAAAACAAACACTATTTAACTAATGTACAATTAAAAACATTTCAGTATTTAAAGTTTCTAGCGTCCTTAAAAAAAATTTTTTTTAATTTATCGCCTAGGCTAAGCACTGTTGAAAAAATAAAGGAAAACAGACTTCACAAGGATCTCCGTGCTGAAAGCAGCCTTCAACAGGAAGGTCCCTGGAGAATCAGCTCCTTCCAAAAGATCAGGGGATGAAGACTTCAAGACCGCAACTGCTGCTGTCTCACCCCTAGGCAGGAATGGACCACCCTCCGCCCTCCACCCTCCGCCAGCAGCCCACAGGAAGCAAGTAGAACCTGATACCACCTCCCGCCAGTCTGTGAATATATAATCTGACTTGTATTTTCCCTGTTTTCCCATTTTGCATACTTCAGAATAAAGACATCTGTTCATAACACTATTAGGAACCTTGTAAAAAAAGAAAAAAATCAACCAAAACAAAACCTTGATTTCTTAACTTTAAAAGTGCTACATAGGGGCCAGGCGTGGTGGCTCACGCCTGTAATCCCAGCACTTTGGGAGGCCAAGGAGGGAGAATCACCTGAGGTCAGGAGTTCGAGACCAGCCTCGCCAACATGGCGAAACCTCAACTCTATTAAAAATACAAAAACTTAGCTAGGCGTGGTGGCGGGTGCCTGTAATCCCAGCTATTCAGGAGGCTGAGGCAGGTCACTTAAACCTGCACAAGGCAGAGGTTGCCGTGAGCCAAGATCAAGTCACTGCACTCCAACCTGGGTGACAGAGCGAGACTCAGTCTCGATGCTACATAAATGAGCCTGCACATAAAAACTTTACTGTCTTAAAATTAAAATAAATACGTAAACATCAAGAGACGAAACATCCCAGATATATTCTACAGCGTGAATATTCTAACAAGCTCTCTGTGTGGAAAGCAACCGACCACTACAAAACGCTTCAAAACCTGGCCGGGCGCAGTGGATCATGCCTGGAATCCCAGTACTTTGGGAGGCCAAGGAGGGAGGATCGCTGTGCCCAGGAGGTTGAGACCAGACCAGGCTACAGCAAGAACCCTGTCTCTATAGAAACACAAAACAAGGCACTTGGCCAGAGGTTGGTTCTCATGCAGGAACTGTGTCAAATCAGAGTGGGAAACAGCTAGGCACAGTGGCTCACACCTGGAATCCCAGCACTTTGGGAGGCTGAAGCAGGAGGATTGCTTGAGCCCAGAAGTTCAAGACCAGCCTGGGCAATGTAGTGAGACCCCATCCCTACAAAAACTATGCAAAATTAGCTGGCATGGCATGAGCCTGTAGTCCCAGCTACTTGGGAGGCTGAGAAGGGAAGATCACTTGAGCCTAGGAGTTGGTGGCTGCAGTGAGCCGTATCCTATCATTGCACTCCAGCCCCAGCGACAGAGCAAGACCCTGTCTCAAAAAAAAAAAAAAAAAAAAAAAAAAAAAAAAAAAAAAAGTGGGGCCGGGTACGGTGGCTCATGCCTGTCATCCCAGCACTTTGGGAGGCCGAGGTGGGTGGATCACCTGAGGTTGGGAGTTCGAGACAAGCCTAACCAACATGGAGAAACCCTGTCTCTACTAAAAATAAAAAATTAGCTGGGCATGGTGGCACATGCCTGTAATCCCAGCTACTCCGGAGGCTGAGGCAGGAGAATCACTTGAACCTGGGAGGTAGAGGCTGCAGTGAGCCGAGATCATGCCATTGCACTCCAGCCAGAGCAACAAGAGTGAAACTCCGTCTCAAAAAAC
This sequence comes from Homo sapiens, assembly GCF_000001405.40. NCBI lineage: Eukaryota > Metazoa > Chordata > Mammalia > Primates > Hominidae > Homo > Homo sapiens. Next base: position 1,413,576 of record NC_000016.10, read on the forward strand.
AAACAAAAAAAAGTGGGAGGTGAAGCAAAATTGGTTTGAGTCACACAAGGGTTACCCCTAAAACACACATAATCCCTCGGGAACTGGCCTGAGAATAGGAAATGCCGCCCCAGCATCCCTGGTCACTAGAAAATTTCAGCGTATAATTACGACTCCCTCTGCAGGGGCCAGGTATGGACACTAAGGCGTCCGCTGAGGGTCCCGGCCGCATCCCCGGGTGGAGGCCCCCCACCTCCGCCCAGGCAGCGGCGCCCCCTCGCGGCCGCTTACTCGTCGCCGTCGGGGCACACGCCGGTGGCTTCGTTGTACTTGGAGCAGTACACGTCGGGGCTGTAGTTGAAGGTGCCGTCGCGCCTGCGGAGGGGCCTGCGGCGCCGCTGGTTGAGGAAGTGCCAGTGGAAGCAGGTGAACGGCCGGTGCTGCGCGCACTTGTGCTGTGAAAACAGGGGGCACTGCTCCGTCCTGAACTCCTTCAGGTACCTACAAACACAGACAGCGCCGCGGCTCGCTTCCGGCAGCACCTCCAGGGACTCGGACTCGTGGGCGGCGGGACCCACCGGCCTCAGGAGCCTCAACCCAGGGTCGACCCGTACTCACATTCCCGGCGGGCCCCAGGCGCTGCGCCCACCCCCATCCCGACTCCAGACGCGACCCTCACCCGACCTCGTAGCCCAGGCGCTGACCCTGGTCCCCAAGCCCAAGCGCCACCCCGGACCCTGGGCGACCCGCTGTGACCTCACGGTCGGCAGCCGGAGCAGAGGGTCCCGGTCCCCGAGCCCAGGCGCAACCCCCAACCCCGGGGCGTTCCTCCCTCCCCAGAGGCGCGTGGACCCCGGAACCAGGTGCCATCCCAGACCATGGGCGCCGCGCTCCGACCTCAGGCGGAGGCCGCCGAGAGCAGAGGGTCGTGGCCCCCCCAGCCCAGGCGCTGCGCGGAGGCCGGGGGGCGCGGGGGCGGCGGAGGCGGCGCGAGCCCCGGCGGGAGGCTCCGAGCTGCACCGGGCGCGGGCGGGGGGCCGCAGGCCGGACGGGCGCTGACCTGTAGTGGGTCGGCTTCTCAGTCTGCGGGGGGGACCCGCTCAGCGCCGCTGCCGCCGCTTTCGAAACCGACGGCATTTTCAGTCAAAACAATGCAGCGCGCATGCGCCGCGCCGGCGCCCCCGCCCCCGGATATCCCCGCGCGCCCCCGCGGCCACGCCCCCCGCGGCCCCGCCCCCAGCCCGCAGACCCCGGCCCCGCCCCAGCCCCGCGCCCCCCGCAGCCCCGCCCCCGGCCCGCAGACCCCGCCCCAGCCCCGCGCCCCGCCCTGCCCTGCCCTGCCCTGCCCTGCCCTGCCCTGCCCTGCCCTGCCCTGCAGCCCCCGGCCCGGGACGCTGGTCCTGCCCGGGGCCGCGCGTGGGACCCGCGATGGTCGCCCCTGCTGTGACATGACCCGACATAACCGTGTATTTTACATGAATTAATCACAAGAGTTGTATCTCAATAGAGCTGCTCTTCCACAAACGAACCAAGAGGCTGATGTCAGGGGGAGCCAGGCACCGGGCGGAAGGGCCAAGGGGTCCTGGCCTTTGTAGAAAGGAATTTGTTCCATTTCGAACCTTGACCTCAAAAACTTATACTCAGAGATTTATCTACAAAGGTAATTATCACAGTTATTTTGCAAACACTTGAGGTCCCCCTTCCCCCAACAGCGCAGTAGCTGAGAAAAGGGAAAACTCTAAGTGCTCTGCGTGATTTGAAACAGTGCTTCCGAAGAATTTTTAGTGGTAGGAGGCCGGGCGCGGTGTCTCACGCCTGTAATCCCAGCACTTTGGGAGGCCGAGGCCGGCGGATCAGCTGAGTTCGGGAGTTTGACAACAGCTTGGCCAACAGTGAAACCCCGTCTCTACTAAACATACAAAAATATTAGTGGGGTGTGGTGGCTTGCGCCTGTAATTCCTGCTACTCCGGAGGCTGAGGCAGGAGAATGGCGTGAACCCGGGAGGCGGAGGTTTAGTAGTGAGCCGAGATTGCGCCACTGCACTCCAGCCTGGGTGACAGAGTAACACCCTGTCTCAAAAAATAAAAAAGAAATTTTTAGTGATATGAAAAATGTGCCCATTGGCCGGGCGCGGTGGCTCACGCCTATAATCCCTGCACTTTGAGAGGCCGAGGTGGGCGGATCACGAGGTCAGAAGATCGAGACCATCCTGGCTAACACGGTGAAACCCCGTCTCTACTAAAAATACAAAAAAAAAAAAAAAAATTACCCGGGCGTGGTGGTGGGCACCTGTAGTCCCAGCTACTCAGGAGGCTAAGGCAGGAGAATCACTTGAACCCAGGAGGCGGAGCTTGCAGTGAGCCGAGATCGCGCCACTGCACTCCAGCCTGGGCAACAGAGCGAGACTCCGTCTCAAAAAAAAAAAAAAAAAAAAAAAAAAAAAACGAAAAGAAAAATGGGCCCATTTAGGTTGAAAGCAAATCACTTCCTACAGATTTGTTCCAAGTATCTCAGGGTTTTTTTTAATATTAATACTGTAAAACAACAAAAACTATCATTTGCTGGTAGGATAAATTTCTTCATAGGTTCACATTTTCTTTTTCTTTTGGCGGGGGGCGGGGGGAGGAAGGAGTTTTGCTCTTGTTGCCCAGAGTGGAGTGCAATGGCACGATCTCGGCTCACTGTTGCAACCTCCGCCTCCTAGGTTCAAGGAATTCTCCTACCTCAGCCTCCTGAGTAGCTGCGATTACAGGCATGCACCACCGCGCCCAGCTAATTTATTTTTCGTAGAGACGGGGTTTCTCCACATTAGTTAGGCTGATCTCGAACTCCCGACCTCAGGTGATCCACCTGCCTCAGCCTCCCAAAGTGCTGGGATTACAGGCGTGAGCTACCGCGCCAGCCAGGATCACATTTTCTTAATGAATTATCTCTACAAACATTACATTTAAATCTTAAAATGATAATGAAGAACATATTTTCAAGTGAAGTCAAGCAGGAAAATGAAGTCAAGCAGGAAGGGCAGGGCCTGCAAATTCTTCAGAGACGAATAAACAGATCTTGAAGACTCCCAAGGTGCTAGGAATGGAAAGGGAGTCTAGGGTGACGCCCAGGTCTCTCGCTTGCAAGGATACAGAGCAAGGGAGAAGAAACAGGTTTGGGGGAGATGAATTCCATTTTGGAGTTTAAGGAGCCTGTGAGCTGTCCAGCAGAGGTGTCTAGGGAGCCTGCTAAAGCTAGGAAACAGATTTGGAGCCTTAGGGTTTAGGAATTTGGGGATCTTTGCTGTAAAGGTATGAGTGAAGACACCTGCTGTTCCTCCACACCCTGGGGGCATCTTCCTTGAAGAAATCAAAGGAAACTGATGTAAGACTTAAGGATTGAAAGTATCATGTTTTTTCATGCTTTGGAAGAAATGTTCTTTAAAGTCTAGGGTGGTACCTGAGTTATATAGACAGTTCATCAGCTTAGACGTGACCATTTGGTTAACACCTTCCTTGAAAGAATTTTTTGTTTTTGTTTTTGAGATGGTTTGGTTAACATCTTCCTTGAAAGAATTTTTTTTTTTTTTTTTTTTTCTGAGACAGAGTCTCACTCTGTCGCCCAGCCTGGAGTGCAGTGGCATGATCTCAGCTCACTGCAAGCTCCACCTCCCGGGTTCAAGCCATTCTCCTGCCTCAGCCTCCTGAGTAGCTGGGACTACAGGCGCCCGCCACCACGCCTGGCTAATTTTTTCTATTTTTAGTAGAGACGGGGTTTCACCATGTTAGCCAGGATGGTCTCGATCTCCTGACCTTATGATCCGCCCGCCTCGGCCTCCCAAGGTGCTGGGATTACAGGCATGAGCCACTGCGCCCGTTCAAGAATTTTTGTTTTAAAACAATTTCCGGCTGGGTGCAGTGGCTCACACCTGTAATCCTAACACTTTGGGAGGCCAAGGTGGGTGGATTACCTGAGGTCAGGAGTTCAAGACCAGCCTGGCCAACATGGTGAAACCCCGTTTCTACTGAAAATACAAAAAAAAATTGCTGGGCGCAGTGGTGCACGCCTGTAATCCCAGCTACTCAGGAGGCTGAGGCAGGAGAATTGCTTGAACCCGGGAGGCAGAGGTTGCTGTGAGCCGCGATCGTGCCACCACACTCAAGCCTGGGTGACAGAGCGAGACTCCGTCTCAAAAAAAAAACAAAAAAACAAAAAACAATTTCCACCTCCTGCCCAGCCATTTGTCATCTTAGGAATCGCTGCAGCTGCGTCTGTTCTAGCATGCTTACAATGGTCTCCCTCTCAAATGCTTATCTGGGGAGGTCAGTGTGCCATGTACCCTGGGGAAAATAAAAGCTACAGCCCAGTTGGGAAAACAAGACAAACACACTACAAAAATAGTTAAATACAACTGGGCGCAGTGGCTCCTGCCTGTAATCCCAGCACTTTGGGAGGCCGAGGTGGGCAGATTGCCTAAGGTCAGGAGTTCAAGCCTGGCCAACATGGTGAAACCCTGTCTCTACTAAAAATAGAAAAATTAGCCGGGCATGGTGGTGCACGCCTGTAATCCCAGCTACTCAGGAGGCTGGGGCGGGAGAATTGCTTGAACCCCGGAGGCGGAGGTTGCAGTGAGCCAAGACTGTACCATTGCACTCCAGCCTGGGCAACAGAGCAAGACTCCATCTCAAAAAATAATAATAAATACTAACTGTACTGAATTAACTGTTCACCTATCAACCTGCTCTGTTGCCATCCTTTGAAAACTCCAGGAGTAGGGAAGATCCGCCCACCATCCCCAGCTGGCCTTGGGTCTGTCTACGGCACAGGTGTGAGGTCAGCAACTGGAAAAGCCCTCCCAGATCGCTGCCCTGGAGGCACTTGGGATCTGCTGCATGTCTCTGAAACATGTATAGGTATATATGTATGAAAACAATTGACCGGGCGCAGTGGCTCATGCCTATAATCCCAGAACTTTGGGAGGCCAAGGCGGGCAGATCACTTGAGGTCAGGAATCTGAGACCAGCCTGGCCAACATGGCGAAACCCCGTCTCTACTAAAAATACAAAAATTAGACGGGTGTGGCGGTGCGTGCCTGTAATCCCAGCTACCCTGGAGGCTGAGGCAGGAGAGTCGCTTGAACCCAGGAGGTGGAGGTTGCAGTGAGCCAAGATGGAGCCACTGTACTCTAGCCTAGGTGACAGAGCAAGACTCAATCTCAAAAAAAAAAAGAGAAAACAATCTGGGGCCGGGCGCGGTGGCTCCCATCTGTAATCCCAGCACTGTGAGAGGCCGAGGAGGAGAGATCACTTGAAGTCAGGAGTTTGAGACCAGCCTGGCCAACATGCCAAAAGCCCGTCTCTACTGAAAATTTAAAAATTATCCGGGTGTGGTGGCACAAGCCTGTAGTTCTAGCTACTCGGGAGGCTGAGGCAGAAGAACTGCTTGAACCCAGGAGACAAGAGGTTGCAGTGAGCCAAAATTGTGCCACTGCACTCCAGTCTGGGAGACAGAGTGAGACCCTGTCTCAAAAATAAAAACAAAACAAAACAAAACAAAAAAACAAAAAACAATCACTTAGGTAACCCAAAATAGTGCCCATCATTTGTGAAAAGAAATACTCACTAGTTGTATTCTACTCAGAAAATGGTTGCCTTGCTTAAAAAGTTTTGCAGAAAACTGCAAAAGTTCCTCATTTCTGGTACTATTCGGTAATATATATGTAGGTTTCTTTCCTCAGTTCCCACTCTGGAAAAAAAAAAAAAAAGGAAAACGAAACTTTTTTTTTTTTTTTGAGACGGAGTCTCGCTTTGTCGTGCAGGCTGGAGTGCAGTGGCGCGATCTCGACTCACTGCAAGCTTCGCCTCCAGGGTTCACGCCATTCTCCTGCCTCAGCCTCCGGAGTAGCTGGGACTCCAGGGGCCCGCCACCACGCCCGGCTAATTTTTTGTATTTTTTAGTAGACACAGGGTTTCACCGTGTTGGCCAGGATGGTCTCGATCTCCTGACCTCGTGATCCGCCCGCCTCAGCCTCCCAAAGTGCTGGGATTACAGGCGTCAGCCACCGCGCCCGACCGGAAAAGGAAACTTTTAAAAATAGCTGCTGGTGCAACTAACTTACGTGCTCTGGTAAACAAGAAGAGATTAAAATAAAAAACAATAGCTGCCCAAATACCCCCTTTTTAAAAACTAGATGCAAAAAAAGGGAATCATCTAATCCCATATTATAAAATTAAAATTTATTTTCATTTGTTGTTGTGTAAAACTCACATGTGGAAGTGTTCCTTGCACAGGCCGCAGCATGCAATACAGTTTCACACTTCTGCCAGATATTCTATCTCAGAAAGCAAATTACCTGCAAACTAACACTGGATGACAAGTGTCACCAGAAGTGCTTTGGAAACATGATTATGTTATACAAAGACTTGGCAAATCCAACAGCATACAGTGCAACTGAAACCTTCCCCAAGGATCTGAGAAGTCTTGCCGATGGAATCCTTGGACATCAAGAGCCAGGCGAGGAGCAGTTTCCGATCTGCTGAGATTCTGCTCCGCCTTCACGCGAATCAGCATAGCCAAGTGCCCCATCCACCAGCCAAGTCCTTCAGTGCTGAGGACGCACGCATAGCCAGGACAGTCACGGGCAAACGTGACATCAAATCCGAAGGGCGGCTGTCGGCTCCCTTCCTGCCAGCCCCAGCGGGCACCCCGTCAAGTTCTCGCTCTGTAGGCAGCTGGAGTCTCAGGCTCCTCAGAACGATCACTGGGCTCTGGCACCTCTCCCCACACCTGTCTCAACCACTGGTCCGCCTCGCTCTCCTCCCTCAGGTAGCACCAGATGATCAGCGCCACGAGGAAGCAGCTGAGGGGCAGCACCTTCCACCAGGGCCGCTGATGTCCCTTTCCCATGGTATGGCCCACCGACCAGCGGTGAGGGTTGGCTTTGCTGGAGGAAAACTCAATGGGGCGGTCAGGGTCGTCCTCTTCCTCGGCGGCAGGGTGGGCCCGATCCCGGGAACCGGGCAACGGATGAAGGCTTCGGGAAGCCCAGCCTATGAGCCTCAGCGCCCGGACGGCCCTGGAAGAGAGAGAGCAGTAAGCGCTCCGCCCGCCCGCCGGTGTCTGCCCTCGGCCCTCCGAGACCTTGAGGAGCTCACCCGGCCGCCGGGGCACACAAGACACGATTCATTGCTGCCTTGACTCCTCGACTGACGCCTTGGCGCGCCGTGATAGCGTCACTTCCGTCGCCGGAAACCGGAAACCGGGCGCCATACCAGGCCTCCGCTCACGACTACAGAACGTGGTCCCAGTAGCGCAGCGGAAATGACGTTCGGCTGCGAAGAGCTCTTTCCGTCGCAGGCCCGGAGTGCGCGATGGCATGCCGGGAAATGTAGTTCTCCGTCCCTTTCGAATAGGACCGACACCCCGGTCCCTGGCCCCGAAGAGAGGCGGGCGCCGCGGGGGCGGACGTTGTCCTCAGAGAGTTGTCTGAGTTTGCCTCGGAGCAGTTCTGAACCGTCATGAAGGTGCGCGGGGCCTGGTTGGGGATCCGCGCCCTCAGCCCTGCCCGCCTGCCCTGGGCTGGGCGCCCGCACCTCTCTGCCGGCTTCCCCGAAGGCCGTGGCACCGCCCTATTTTTTTTTTTTTTTTTTTTCCGTTTAGTTCTTTTCGTGAGACAGGGACTCTCTCTGTCGCCCAGGCTGGAGTGCAGTGGCGCGATCTCACGTCACTGCGGCCTCTGAAACCGCCTTTGCAAAAATTATCACTGAGGAAATGACAGTGGAAGAGATGAGACCTAAGGGGCTCCGTCGTGCTTCCCACCCTTAAGCTGTCCTGGTTCATTCCTGGGCGTGGGCAGAGCTAACTTTGGGAAGGATTTCAGTTCATGGTTTCACTCTGAATCAAAGTCAACAGCCCTTTCCAGAAAAAACCCCCGTCTTGCCTGAAGACCAGTCTGCCTTTGCAGGACTAATAAATCAGCTGCAAAATTAGAAATTGGCCGGGCGCCGTGGCTCACGCCTGTAATCCCAGCACTTTGGGAGGCCGAGGCGGGCAGATCATGAGGTCAGGAGATCGAGACCATCCTGGCTAATACGATGAAACCCTGTCTCTACTAAAAATACAAAAAATTAGCCGGGCGTGGTGGCGGGCGCCTGTAGTCCCAGCTACTCGGGAGGCTGAGGCAGGAGAATCGCTTGAACCTGGGAGGCAGAGGTTGCAGTGAGCCGAGATGGAGCCACTGTACTCCAGCCTGGGCGACAGAGCGAGGCTCAGTCTGAAAAAAAAAAAGAGTCTGAACCTCCCCAAATTGCTCCTGGGGATAACATCACTATTGTAAAATCTAAGATCAGGCCGGGTGTGGTGGCTCACGCCTGTAATCCCAGCACTTTGGGAGGCCAAGTCGGGTGGATCACGAGGTCAGGAGTTTGAGACCAGCCTGGCCAGTATGGTGAAACCCTGTCTCTACTAAAAATACAAAAAGTAGCCTGGGGTGGTGGCGCTCGCTTGTAGTTCCAGCTACTTGGGAAGCTGAAGGAGAAGAATCGCTTGTACCCTGGAGGTGGAAGTTGCAGTGAGCCAAGATCATGCCATTGTGCTCCAGCCTGGGTGACGGAGCAAGACTCTGTCTCAAAAAGCACAACAACAACAAAAACCTAAGCTCAAAGATCAGTGCCTGAAATATTTAGCAGAGCGTGCACTGGATGGATCAGCTGGTACCACCCAGACCGGTCATCTGGCCCAACCGGTTCTGCCATGCCCGCCAGGAACAGAAGAGTCTGAACGTGAGTCCATCTCCAACCTGACCAACCAGCACTCCCCACTTCCCAAGCCTCTACCCTCCAAATTATCTTTAAAAATTCCTATCCCCAAATGCTCCGGCTGACTGATTTGAGTAATAATAGAACTCCTGTGTCCCGCACAGCCAGCTCTGCGTGAATTACTCCTTCTCTATTGCACTCCCCCTGTCTTGATAAATTGGCTCTCTCTAGGCAGCAGGCAAGTTGAACCCATTCGGCACTTAGACCTCTGCCTCCCGGGCTCAAGTGATTCTCCCACCTCAGCTTCCTGACTGGCTGGGACCACAGGCGCCCACCACCAAGCCTGGCTAATTTTTGTATTTTTAGTAGAGACGGGGTTTCACCATGTTAGCCAGGCTAGTCTCGAACTCCTGACCTCAGGTGATCCGCCGGCCTTGGCTTCTAAAAGTGCTGGGATTATAGGCGTGAGCCACCACGCCCAGCCTTTATTTATTTACTTATTTATTTATTGAGGAGGAGTTTCATTCTCATCGCCAGGGTTGGAGTGCAATGGTGGGATCTAGGCTCACTGCAACTTCTGCCTCCCGGGTTCAAGCGATTCTCCGGCCTCAGCCTCCCAAGTAGCTGGGATTACATGTGGGCACCACCACACCCAACTAATTTTTTTGTGTTTTTAGTAGAGATGGGTTTTCCCCATGTTGGCCAGGCTGGTCTCAAACTCCTGACCTCAGGTGATCTGCCCACCTTGGCCTCCCAACGTGCTGGGAGGTGAGCCACTGCACTCCGCTAATTTTTTTGTATTTTTAGTAAAGACGGGGTTTCGCCATATTGCCCAGGCTGGCCTCGAACTCCTGGCATCAAGTGATCCACCCACCTCAGCCTCTCAGAGTGCTGGGATTATAGGCGTGAGCCACCATGCCCCTCTCTGTTTTAGGAGAGACTCTAATTCCCCTAAGTTGGGCCTCTACCCTACTCCCGTTCTTTATTTTTTATTTTATGTTTTTGAGACGGAGTCTTGCTCTGTCGCCCAGGCTGGAGTGCAGTGGCGCGATCTCAGCTCACTGTAAGCTCCACTTCCCGGGTTCATGCCATTCTCCTGCCTCAGCCTCCCGAGTAGTGGGACCACAGGTGCCTGCCACCACGCCTGGCTAATTTTTTTTGTATTTTTCAGTAGCGACGGGGTTTCACCGTGTTAGCCAGGCTAATTTTTTTTGTATTTTTTAGTAGCGACGGGGTTTCACCGTGTTAGCCAGGATGGTCTCGATCTCCTGACCTTGTGATCCGCCCACCTCGGCCTCCCAACGTGCTGGGATTACAGGTGTGAGCCACTGTGCCCCGGCCCCACTCCCATTCTTTACCGGAGACCTGCCACTTACCCAGAGTCGTCCAATCAGGGCTGCAGAGTCTTCTATTTCCTTTGGGTCTGGGGTCCCCTGAGTATTGTCCCTTCAGGGTTCACCAGAAAGATGTTACAGGACCCCAACACTTTCCCAAAGTTAGCCTTTGGGAAGGGGGCTTCCACACGACAGTCTCTTCTGTGGTTCCCCAGAAATATGTTACAGGAAAGGGGTCCTGATCCAGACCCCAAGAGAGGGTTCTTGGATCTCACGCAAGAAAGAAGTCACGTCAAGTCCATAGAGTAAAGTGAAAGCAAGTTTATTAGGCAAGTAAAGGAGTAAAAGAATGGCTACTCCAGGGCATGGTGGTGCGCGCCTGTAATCCCAGCTACTCCGGAGGCTGAGGCAGGAGAATCACTTGAACCTGGGAGGCGGAGGTTGCAGTGAGCCTAGATCGCACCATTAAACTCCAGCCTGGGCAACTCCATCTCAAAAAAAAAAAAAAAAAAGAATGGCTACTCCATAGACAGAGCAGCCTCACCAGTGCCTGAAAAGCCCGAACCTTGGCGCCTTTGGGGAGACTGATGTGTGTAATGACTCGTCTCCTGAGTGGCGGGGCCTGCCTCAAGTCAATTAAAGTCTTTCTTTACTGCAATGCTGTGGTCTCAGTGAATTGATTTTGTCTGTGCAGCAGGCGGGACGAAACCTTCCGGCGGCTGCATTAACCCCTCACCATGAAGGCTTGACAAGGAGCACCCCAAAGCAACGGGACCCCCCCGTTTTTTGTTTGAGACAAAGTCTTGTTCAAAAGACCAGGCTGGAGTGCAGAGGCGCCGTCATAGCTCACTGCAGCCTCGACCTCCTGGGCTCCCACCATCCTCCCACCTCAGCCTCTCAAGTAGCTGGGACTACAGGTGGGTGCCGTCATGCCTGGGTAATTTTTTTTTTTTTTGAGATGGAGTCTTGCTCTGTTGCCCAGGCTGGAGTGCAGTGGCGCAATCTGGGCTCACTGCAAGCTCTGCCTCCTGGGTTCAAGTGATTCTTCCTGCCTCAGCCTCCCAAGTAGCTGGGATTACAGGCACCCACCACCATGCCCAGCTAATTTTTGTATTTTTAGCAGAGACAGGGTTTCACCATAGTGGCCAGGCTGGTCTCGACCTCCTGACCTCGTGATCCTCCCGCCTTGGCCTCCCAAAGTGCTGGGATTACAGGCGTGAGTCACTGTGCCAGGCCTAATTTTTTTTTTTTTTAAATTTAGAAAATAAGGCCAGGCATGGTGGTTCACACCTGTAATCACAGCACTTTGGGAGGCCAAGGTGGGCAGATCACCTGAGGTCAGGAGTTCAAGACCAGCCTGGCCAACATGGTGAAACCCCGTCTCTACTGAAAATACAAACATTCGCCAGGCGTGGTGGCGCATGCCTGTAGTCCCAGCTACTAGGGAGGCTGAGGTGGGAGAACTGCTTGAACACGGGAGGTGGAGGTTGCAGTGAGCCAAGATCGCACCACTGCACTCCAGCCTAAGCGACAGAGCAAGACACTGTCTCAGGAAAAAAAAAAAAAAAAAAAGAAAACATGTCATTTCTGTGTGTGTGTGTGTTTCCATCTTTTAAAAATTTATTTTATTTATCTTTTTTGCAATGGAGTCTCGCTCTTGTCACCCAGGCTGGAGTGCAGTGGTGCAATCTCAACTCACTGCAACCTCTGCTTCCCGGGTTCAAGTGATTCTCCCACCTCAGCCTCCCGAGTAGCTGGGATTGCTGGCACCCACCACCATGCCCGGCTAATTTTTTTATTTTTAGTAGAGACATAGTTTCACCATGTTGGCCAGGCTGGTCTCGAACTCCTGACCTCAAGTGACCTGCCTGCCTCAGCTTCCCAAAGTGCTGGGATTACAGGCATGAGCCACCACACCCAATACATCTTTTTATTTTTTATTTTTGCAATATGTCTATGTAACAAAAACGTGTCATTTCTTATGCCCAGAGTTTGAGAGGAATTCACATTCATTCCCGTAGAGAGGTTAGTTGGAAGCCTGGACGTGCCTCCAATGAATGGGGAAAGGTGAAGTGCTTCTTTCCTCTCAGGATGGCCCTGGAGCTAGAAGGCCTGCTCCTGACTTCCGGTGCAGGTCACCCCTCCTGTCGCCCGGGTGGTGGCGGGGACCTCGGCCCATCTGCTGCACTGTGTGTGGCCGGATGGCCCTGGACAAGCCCCTTCCCCTGAGCCAGAATCTGCTCGCCTCTGGAGCACCGGCTCCTGCACGTGCTTCCCAGCAGAAGAAGCGCCAGATCTGGGACCAGTTCTGTTCCCCCAGGAACTCTTGGCATCAAGGCCAGGAAGGGGGGCTGGAGGTGTCCTGAGCTCAGCAACACCTGGGCGGCCTGGCCCCAGACTGTGTTTGGGGCTGCTGTGTCAACAGAGGCACCTGTTTGCCCAGGTCCTCCTCAACGGGCCCTGCCCCACCTGTTCTACCCCAGAACCCCACCTGGAATCACTGCCAAACCAGTCCCCCTGTAGGGACCTGGGAGCACCCACTGTTGTGGGAGGAGGGGGCTCAAAGTGTGGTTGGGGAGGACTGGTCAGCCTCATCCTGGTGTGCAGCCCAGGGGGGCTTCCTGAAGGAGGTGGAAATCGAAGGGCCCTCTGGTTAGCCATGGAGCCTTTGGGTTGGGCTGGTGCACCTTCCTGGTTGTTGTGGTTTTGGGCAGTTGCGCACAAGCTGCCCCAGGACAGCAGAGTCAGGGGCAGAGCTGGAAGGTACAGGCAGGGGCTGAGGCTTCACTCGGGGGGCGGGCCAGCCTCTGAGGGGCCAGGCCACCAAGTTAATCTCAGTCTCAAACAGAAATGAGACACCTGGGAAGAGTGTGAAATGGGCATCCCCCGTCCCACTCAGCCCACTGTGAGGACTGGAAGACGCCACCCCGGGTTCAGCAGTGCCCCAAATTCACGTCCCCTCAGAACACAAGAACTTGACCTTGTCTGGAAACAGGGTCTTTGCCAATGTCATTAGTTAAGACGAGGCCCTTCTGGACCAGGGTGGGCCCTAAATCTAACGACACTTCTACTAACGACTAAATCTACTATCTCTTCTAACGACTAAATCTAATGTAACACTTTGGAGGAGCTGGGACTCCAGGCGTGAGCGCACCGCCGGCTCCCGTGGTGCCCATCTGCCCCCAGTGGCCATTGACTGGTGGGCGTTGACTCCCTCCCGCCCCCCGAATGCTGTGTGTCTGCTTGACCCCGGGTGGGAAAAGCCACAGCCGGATGTGCCGGGGCGCCTGTGTCCCCGGGGCCCTGCTCTCCTTGGTGAGTCCATGTGGAGCTGGCACTGGCCCTGCCCAGAAAGCTGCTGTCATCCTCCCCCTCCCCCAGGGACGTAAACCAACACCTCGGCCTTCATTATCTCAAAGCACACAGAGAAATTTCGTGGGAGGCCTAATGTCCCGCTAATGGGCGGCGGAGGCTGCAGCCCTCGTGTGCCTAATGGCGGGTGACTAGCCGCAGAGCCTCTTGAGAGCTGGCATATTGGAGCTATTGATTTTCTCCAGGAAGATCAATCTGGGGTCCGTGGGCACAGCAGGCATGCTGCACTCGGAAGGGCAGCGCCTTCCTCCCAGGCCTGAGGCCCCACAGCAAGGGTGGGAGCCGGCGGGGCTGTGGGCCGGGAGCTCGGTTGGGCCCGATGCTGCCCCCCGACGAGAGGCGCGCTGGCCGCAGATGCTGGAAGACGCCCGGGCCCAGCCCCACTGCCGGGGCCTCCTGTGCTCCTCGGCCTGGCCCCGGCCGCCCCCCCCACCCCAGGCAGGACACAGGCAGGCAGTGGTGTGGGACGTGCATTTCTCCACCATCCCAGATGCCCCAGAGGCTGCTGCCCCACCCAGCCTCACCAGAAACCGCAGTCACCTCCTCCTGAAGGCCTCCTGAGTCTCAGAACTCAGGGGTAGGGGGCTAATTAGCGAGGAGCTAATTCATCCACCCGTCCCCCAGGGGGTCCCCATATCCCACCCTCGCCCCTCCGGCCACCCCTGGGTTCCCCTTCGCTGCCTGCTTGGACCGGTGCAGTGGCACTGTCACCCCTGAGCCTCAGGCCAGCTCCCCGGGTGTCCATGACAGTCCCACACTGCTCTGCCCCAGCACCTCCTCCCAAATGCCTGTCTGCTCCGGTTTGCGCCCACTCTAGAATTTTCCATTCCAGACTAGGGTTTTCTCTGTGGTCTCCTGTCAGGCAGAGACGAGCATCCAGACAGCTCCGGGACAGGTGGGGTCACGGGCGGGGTCACAGGCAGGCCCCCAGCACCCGAGTCAGAGGACAGCGGGAAAACCCAGGGCCCTGGGGCGGGAGAAGCGTGCGGCCTTGCTGGGGAAGCAGGTCACCCCTCTGAGGCTTTCTCTCCAGGGGCGGGGGAAGCGCCGAGGTTCAGGCAGCCACGGCTCACCCCCCTCCAGCATCCAGAGGCTCCCGCGTCCCGGCTCCTGGCCGCTGCCTCCAGCTCCAAAGCCAGCAGCGTGGCCTCTTCCATCCTCTCAGCCTCCTGCCTCCCTCCAACAAGGATCCACCAGGTGACCGCCTGTCTCCAGGTCCTTCGCTTAGCCACGCCCGCCGTCCCTCAGCTGTGTCGGTGCTGGGGGTTCGGGCGCGGACGTCCTGGGGCCATCACAGGGCCGGTGTTTCCAGGCTGTCCGCTCCGCGGGAACCCCTTCCGCTTCCCGAGGGCAATGCCCGCCGAGCCCCCGCACACGCCTCCTTCACGAGGGGCTGGGTCTCATTTCCTCACCCTTGGCGTCCAGGACAGTGACCAGCACCGACGAGGCCGAGCTGAGGTCCACCTGCGCCCGAAGCCTGGGCTGGCCATTTCCTGCCGCCCGCGCCTTTCAGGACAGAACACAGGGGCCCAGAGGCCCTTCTGGGTCCTCCACTGGAGTTCCCTCGGGGCCCCGGCTGACCCCATCCCTGCTGAGACCCGCAAGATGGAGGCCTGCAGTGCCCAGACCCCAGGCCGGGTTGGCTCCCGCCCTTCCCTCCGCAGGCCCCGGCCATTCCACAGCATGCGGCAGAGGGCGCCGCAGCCACTGCCAGGAGCGGCAGAACCCCCACCCTCTGCAGGTCCGGCCCCGGGGTTCTGAGCCACGAGGGCGGGCGCACCCAGGGCCCCCGGCCGGAAGCTCCCCGGGTCGGGAGGGCCAGGGGCTGTATCTGGTCAGAGATGGGGGCCTAGGGCCCTGAACCCCAGGCAGCCGCAGGTCCTCAGCCACAGCTGGATCAGAGGGGAGCTGGTGAGGCTGGCAAAGCCCCCCACAGCCAGGGCCTGGCCAAGCATCCTCAGACCCTGGAGTCTCAGGGCGGCCCCCATGAAGCCAGGGACAGAGGCCCCTACATGGTTTGGACACTCAGGGCTGAATACGGCCAGATGCACCTCACCTGGGGCATGGGCTCCCTGGGCTGTGGGCTCCCTGGGCTATGGGGTCACCTGGCTGTGGGTCACTGGGCTATGGGGTCACCTGGCTGTGGGGTCGCTGGGCTGTGGGCTCACTGGGCTATGGGGTCACCTGGGCTGTGAGCTCACCGGGGCGTCGGCTCGGCTTCTGCCTGTGAAGGAGCAGTAAGGAGAAGCCGTAACTGGTGGCTGTGCCGATGCTGTCCCTGTCCCCACTCCCAGCAGCCTTTCCTGGGACCTGCAGGTGACCCCACCCCTCACCATGAGACCCATGTGGAGGCCGCCGGCCTGCCCTCTGCAGAATCTTACTCTTAAGTTTGAACTTTTCGTTTCCTGTCCCTTCCCTGGAAGCTGGGGGTCCTGACTGCAGCCCCGGACACTGGGTGATTGCATTGACTGCCTGAGGCCCCCTGGGATCTCCTGCCCTCCGGGTGCCCAAGAAATCAAGGCGGGGCCAGAGGTCCCCAGGTGCAGACAAGGGCTGGGCCTGTGTCCAAATCTCTGTGTGTTGGATGTCACTGGGTGAGAGGAGCTGGTCTCCCATCTGACTGGGGGACGCCTGGAGCGTAGGGGTGAGGACCGGGGTGGGGGGTAGCATCCAGAACCCTCCTGGCCCCTGGAAGGTGAAGGCCCAGGAGCTGGGGGCTCGGGACAGGGGGTGCTGGGGCCAGGCCAGGCTGGGGGCTGCTGTCCCGTCCTCAGAGCCAGAGTCCCTGGGAAGGACACTGTGGAGTCCTCCCAACCTGGGCCACTTGGGGCTGCTCTGGGGAGTACAGTGCCAAGCGGGGGCACACCTGGCGAATGCCAAGGTCAGGGACAGTCACATGCGGGTGGCGCCTGTGCGACCTGAGCCATGTCCCCACAATGCGTGTCTACCTTGAGTCTCCGAATGGGACCTCATTTGGAAACGGGCACCCTGCAAGTGTAACTGGTGAAGCTGAGGGCACACTGGGTGGGCGTTGGCCCTAAATTCAGGGACGGGGTCCCCCTAGGAGGGCAGAGGACACACACAGGGAAGACCCCGTGAGGACAGAGGCAGAGACTGGGGAGACGCAACCACGAGGCAAGGAGCCACTCCTGGAGGCCCTGGACCAGGACCTCTGGCCTCCTGACCTGTGTTCCAGGCTGCCTGAGTTGTGGTCATTGTCACAGCAGTCCAAGGAAGCTAACATGGCCCCCACAGTGGACCAGCTGGGGCCACCCAGGAAGAGCCAGGGAGTCGGTGGGAGCGGCAGAAGCCCTTGGGGACGCTTCTGGGGGAGGCTTTCCTGGGAGCAGTAGGTGAAGGGAGGGTTCCCAGCCCCCCATTTCCCACCCCAGGGGTGGCTGCAGCTGAGGAAGGAAGGCCCCTGGGAAGAAGCCTGGGGAAGAAGGGGGTTCCGCCATTAAGGATCAATTGCAAACACCTCTGAGCTCTGGGCAGGTGGGCGGCAGCAGCCCAGCAGGCGTCCTGGTAACCACTGGGCCAGTGGAGATGGTCATGGCTGTCCGGGAGGTCCCGATGGCCGAGGGAGCTGGGCAGGTGCTCCAGGAGCCCCACCTGCAGCCCACACACCGGGCCCTGGCTGGGGGTCCCTGGGACCTCGCTTCCTTCCCCTCCCCCTTCCCCAGGGTCCTCCTGCGGCCGGGAGTGCTGTTCACCCCGCTGGCTGCAGAGGCAGGATGTCCTCTAGAGAGGCCTACTCCAGAACTCAAAATAGCATGAAATTTAATTTTCCGCTTATTTGACAAGGCTGGGTCCGGGCCCCAGTCCACAGCAGAGATAAGGGTCCCGGGGCCCGGGGGCGAGCCAGCTGCGCCTGCACAAACACTCCACGGTCCCCAGGCAGGCCGCGTGCAGGTGAGGCGGGGGGCGTGCTCCCCCCTCGGGGCCCTGGTTGCCGGGCGCTAAAGCAAACGGGCTCTATTTGCCCAGTCTGCGATGACAATGCTGTCGCCAAATATTTGCCAGCCCCTGGCGGCTGCAGAGCGCGGCTATAAATGCTTGTGTCCGGGTGAAGGTCTGCCTGTGGAGCAAGAGCTGTCGGCCCCGGCCAGGTAGGAGCCAGGGCCTGGGGGAGGCAGACGCTGCTGGGGACACCACAGCACTGGGGATCTGGAGTCTGTGAGTCCTGCCCAGGGCTCTGTGGGGAGCACCCACCCCTGGGAGAGACCCCCAGACCACTGGGCAGGCCCAGGACTGGGCCGGCATTGGGGCAGACAGGCCGCCATGGGAGGGCACCTGCATCTGGGCTGTCCGTGAGCAGTCAGCCCCAAAGTCCAGCGCTCAGGACACTGGATGCCTCCTGCGAGGGGGACCCCAGTACTTCAGTGAGATCAGGACCACAGCTGGGCAGGCCAGGGTCGGGAGGCCTCGCAGTTCACCTCCCCGACAGCCAGCGGGGAAACATCCTGACCCCGAGGAAAGCCTGTCCCAGAGCCGTGGATGCTCCCCACAGTCCTGCCCGCTCCCCACAGCCCTTCCTACTCCCCGCAACACCCCTCCCTCCCTGAAGCCCTCCCCCATCCCCAAAGCCCTCCTCCCTCCCTCCGCCCTCCTGCCACAGGCTCCGGACAAGATGGGTTCAGGCTACCTGACCCCAGGGGCACCCACGTGTCCCCTCGAGGAGGGGCTGGGCAGCCCTTGTCTGTGTGGTGGGCACTACCTGGCAGCTGGCCCAGAGGAGAGCTGCACCCACCCCACAGTCCCCATCCAGATACCCTCCTGCCAGGCCCCTGACCCAGATACCTCACTTGAGTCGTCCTGGCCAGGTGCAGTGGCCCCTGGAGCCCACCCCTGCAGGGACCTCCCACCCCAGCCGCCTTCACCATCGTGGAGACTTCCTAGTTAGGACCACTGGGGTGCTGCCTCCCGCTCCCTTGGGACTGTGATGGCCGGAAGAACCCCACGGGGGCTGCACGGGCTCTGGGCTCAGTTACAGTGACGCCTCCACTTTGATCAAGAGCCATGGAGCCCCTGGTTCTGACCCACAGCAGCCCCAGCCCGGGACCCAGCTCCGGCTCAGCAGCGCCAGCACCCCTGCCCTGGCCTGCAGGGATCCCTGTTCCCCTGCCTGGCTTCTCGAGGTCCCTTCCCCAGGGCCTGCCCTCTCCTGCCCAGCGTCCTCCCCTCCCAAGTGACCACAATTCTAGTGTCCCCACAATGTCCCCATGTCCCCAACTGCCCCCCACGACAGGACCCCACTGCTCCCACCCAGTCACCATCCTGGGCCAGCCGTCCAGCAGGTCTCACAGCACCCCCTGGCCGGCCATCCCCCTCATGCCACGGCCATGCGGCCACAGTGCCCACCCCATCTCTCTCCATGCCTCACTCCTGTGGCAATCCGTGCCCTCGACAAGCACAACTGGGCACCCAGGAGCGGAGGAAGGTCTCTGCGGGAGGCCACAGATGTGTGAGATCCGAGGGCAGCAGTCGAGGGCGGCGGGGGCATGGCCAGGCCTGACAGGGAACCTGCCCCTCTGTCTCCCTCCCCAGCCAGCGCCTGCTGCCCCGGAGGCCCCAGAAGCGTGGGACGCGCGGAGATGGCCGCCGGTGTGATCCGGCCCCTGTGCGACTTCCAGCTGCCCCTGCTGCGCCACCACCCCTTCCTGCCCTCAGATCCGGAGCCCCCAGAGACTTCGGAGGAGGAAGAGGAGGAGGAGGAGGAGGAGGAGGAGGAGGAGGGCGAGGGCGAGGGGCTGGGGGGCTGCGGCCGGATCCTCCCGAGCTCAGGCCGGGCAGAGGCCACGGAGGAAGCAGCCCCCGAGGGTCCCGGCAGCCCCGAGACCCCGCTGCAGCTGCTACGCTTTTCAGAGCTCATCAGCGACGACATCCGGCGGTACTTTGGCCGCAAGGATAAGGGGCAGGACCCAGATGCCTGCGACGTCTACGCCGACAGCCGCCCACCCCGCAGCACTGCCCGGGAGCTCTACTATGCGGACCTGGTGCGCCTGGCCCGTGGCGGGTCCCTGGAGGACGAGGACACCCCGGAGCCCAGGGTACCCCAAGGGCAGGTGTGCAGGCCGGGCCTCAGCGGGGACAGGGCGCAGCCCCTGGGACCCCTGGCCGAGCTCTTCGACTACGGGCTGCAGCAGTACTGGGGGTCCAGGGCAGCGGCCGGCTGGAGCCTGACGCTGGAGCGGAAGTACGGCCACATCACCCCCATGGCCCAGAGGAAGCTGCCCCCATCCTTCTGGAAGGAGCCGACCCCTAGCCCCCTGGGCCTGCTGCACCCTGGCACGCCGGACTTCAGCGACCTGCTGGCCAGCTGGTCAACCGAGGCCTGTCCTGAGCTGCCCGGCAGGGGAACCCCAGCCCTGGAAGGGGCACGGCCAGCCGAGGCCTAGCGAAGCGCCGGGGTCAGAGCTAGCTGGCGGCAGCAGGGCCACCCCTAAGGCACTGGACTCTCCTCCCATCCTCCTGGGAAGAGCCTCCTCCGTCCCTCGCGGCCACCACAGGGCAAACCCAGAGGTCACCAGGGCTGGGCTGCAGTGGGAGCAGCAAGGGTGGTGCCCAGACCTGGCCATGCCCTGGCCTTCAGCCCCAGCAGAGCCCCTGGAGGGGCACAGGGGCCCCCAGAGCCCTGCCCACAGAAAAGGGAGGCTTGAGCTCAAGGGGCTCCACCCACCAGGGCCCCCAGGTGAGGCTGAGGGCCCAGCCCCAGAGATTCCAGGTGAGCAGCAAGGGGCGGTGGAGGACAGAGCCCCCCGAGCCAGCCCTCCCACTGCCTGCCCATCCCACCGAACCCCTAGGACTAAGCGGCCCGGAACCTGTGGCCCCTCCCCTGAGCCCCCGGCAGCAGACGGCAGGGCCGGCGACCGCGGGATGAGCGAGGGCTTTCTTGGAGAGGCAGGAAGAGGGGCCCACTGCCCGACCGAGAGAGCAAACAAGGGCCGTCTCCTCCCCAGATGCCGGAAGGCTCTTCCACTGCAGGGCTGCTGGGCTGGAGGGGCTCTGAGGCAGAGCCAGGGAGCCCGAGTCCAGGGGGCTTCCCCGGGTCCTCCTCACAACCCGGGCAGGGGCAGCTCACAGCGGGTCCTGGCGGGGGCAGGCCTAGGTGCTTCTGCGCAGGCCCTAGCCAAGCCCCTTCCACCCCGGGGGGCTCTGGCAGCCCTAGGGGGCCTGGCAGGGAAGGAGAGAGGCTGCTAAAGTGCCATGGAAAGCAACAGCCTGAAGCCGGGCTGGGTTTGGGCAGGACAGGAAGAGTCATGGGGGTCAAGAGACTGGGTCCCTCCAAGCTTGGGCACCCCCGCTGCCAGGGACCTCGCCACCCCGCTCAGCCCCACAGGCCCTGGGTAGGCTGTCTCCCAGCACACATCAGGGAACCTCAGCTCTAATGAGTACAAAGCCAGCACGTTTATTTCTGGATAAACAGTGAGGGTGTGAGCTGCTGCACCTGCTCCTGGCTGTGGGGCTTCTCCAGGACCCCTCCTGGCCTCCGCAGGGCCCTGAGCTTTATGAGGGACGCCTTCCAGCGCAGCCACCTGTCCAGAGATGCGGCACATGGCCCCTGCACCCCCGCCCCACCCCCCATGGCCCACCTGCTGCCTGTGGGCCCCCAGCCCTGAACCCCGGCCCAAAGGCCCAGGAGGCCGCGCCGGGATCCCTGCTGCCCACCTCACAGCCTGGTACACGCCCCAGCAGTTCATGGGCACCACCTTGCCAGGCGCCATGTCCTTGATGAAGACCCGCGGCCTCACCAGGGATGGGAGCGCCTTCCAGCTGCCCAGCGGCGTCCGCGGGCCCTCCTCACTCCACAGCCGGAGCACACTCTCCCACAGGGTGGCCATCTCCTGCGTGCGCTGTGGGACGGGGATGCTGGTGTCACCCAGGAGCCAGACCTCCGGGCAGGGGATGGCAAACGGGGGCTTATCTCCCACCGGGAGCCTGGAAGCCATTTATCTTCAGGGAAACCCTGCCCATGGCCAGACACTTGGACAGACAGACACTGGCGCCTGCAGCAGGGCAGGCGGGGAGGCGGCAGGGCTGAGGGAGCGGGTGGGAGCTGGGCGGTGCCGGCCGGGCAAGGCCTCCTCACCAGCCGGGCCTCAGTGTTGAACCTGAGGTTCTGGATGGTCTTGTTGGCCTGGACGCAGTTTTCCAGCTTCATTATTTGGTTCTGAAACTAAACATGGCCCCCATTTGGGCACAGACAGGGCCAGTCTGCTGGCATCCTGCTGTCCCCACAGGCACCCCGATATCCACTGTTGAGTGCTTACAGCTTGGGCAGGGGCCACCTGCTGAAATGCTGGTCCTCGTCCCCACTGCAGGGCCCAGGACAAGCTCCGCTGAGGAAGCGGCAGCCTGAGAGTGGCCCTGCGGGGACCTGGCCAGGGCTCAGGGTTGTTCCGGCCCTCGTGGCTGCGGACGGCACCCCGGTGTGGGGGCTCCAGGCAGGTGCCTCCACTTAGAACTGCCAGAGGCTGAGACAAGCTGGGGTGGCCCAGGGACAGCTGTTTTTGTTTTTGTTTTTGTTTTGTTTTGTTTTGTTTGAGATGGAGTTTCACTCTTGTTGCCCAGGTTAGAATGCAATGGCGCGATCTTGGCTCACCGCAACCTCCACCTTCCAGGTTCGAGTGATTCTCCTGCCTCAGCCTCCCGAGTAACTGGGACTACAGGCATGCGCCACCATGCCTGGCTAATTTTTGTATTTTTAGTAGAGACAGGGTTTCTCCATGTTGGTCAGGCGGGTCTCAAACTCCTGACCTCAGGTGATCCACCCGCCTCGGCCTCCCAAAGTGCTGGAATTATGGGTGTAAGCCACCCCGCCTGGCCTCCGACAGGTGGTTTTCTGAGCGTCTCCTGCTGGCTGGAAAATGCCCCGTAGGCTGGGGGTCCTGCCTCTCCGCACGGCTGCCCCGTCTGAACCTGATGGCTCCCCCTCTCTCCCAGCTGGGTGCGGGCAGCCCCAGGACTACCGTGGCCAGCTTGCCCTGCATCTCCGCGATCTTCCGCCCAGGGTTGTCTTCCTTTAGCAGCTGCACGGATGATAGTAGCGTGGCCAGCTCCTGCCGCAGGGCCCCAACCTTGAACTCCCTATGGGCACCAGAGGCCGAGGCTGGCTGTCGGGTGTGCTCGGGGGTAGGGCCAGGACCGGGGACAAAGGCCACTCCCACAGCCACCACAGGGTTAAGGAGGCTCGAGGGGGCTCAGCCCTGTCACCCCTCCAGTGGGGAAGGTGGGGGTCCCCAACGGGGGG
Organism: Homo sapiens; assembly: GCF_000001405.40. Lineage (NCBI taxonomy): Eukaryota > Metazoa > Chordata > Mammalia > Primates > Hominidae > Homo > Homo sapiens. The sequence goes on from NC_000016.10 coordinate 1,436,250, forward strand.
TAGAGGGAGGGGCTGGAGGCGCCTCAGAGGCTGCACCAGGGTGGCAGGGTGAGCCCGGTGCTGGGCCAGGCCCGGGCTCAGGGGGAACAGGTCTGTCACGATACCAGGGGATTGTGGAGAGTAGCGTGGGGACCGGCCCAGCCCAGTAACGGTCAGCAGAGCCCCTGCCCCTCTCCCAGGGCCTGGAGGCTGTACCTGGCCTTGCCTTCGGCGGAAATCCTGAGGTCTGAGTCGCTCTTATGAAGCAGGCACTTGTCGGAGACACTCTCTATCTGAACACAGAGCCGGGAGCGGCGGGCAGCCCCAGGGCGCCATCTAGGACCAGCCTTGGCCTCGACCCACACAGGGAGAGGGAGGAGGGGAGAGGACAAGGTGCAGGGAGAAGGGTCCCACGCCACCTCCAAGGCCCAAGTACACCAAGGCTGGCTGTGCCTTCGCCCACCTGCTGGGGGAGGCCATCCACCTTCTCCCGCACCCCTCGCAGGTGTTCGGTCACCTCCTTCCGCCACCTGGCCAGGTCCTCCAGGGACTTCCTCTCTGCACCTTCCCATTCGGTCTTTGCCTGGGGTACAGATGCCCAGTGAGGGACAAAGCCAAGAGAGGGGGGACAGACAGATGGAAAGACGGACACGGGGAGCTCTGGGGAGCAGGCGGCCCCCACCCCCACTTCCAGCTCTGAGACATTTGTGCACAGGCCTGCAGGCGGCTGGGATGGCCTGGCCGGGCACGCTCTGGAGACACACATGCCAAGGCAGGGCCTGGGCAGCCGAGGGCCCGTGGGGGCTGTTCCGACCACACAGGTGCCCGAGGGAGGCAGGGCAGGCCCCGGTGGGACCCAGCCCCGAAACGCAGGGTGTCGCCCACGTTTGCAGCCGCGCTCGCGTGTCGGTGGATGAGCGGGAACCGGGGGGCGGCGCCTACGCAATGCACGTTACGCCGCGGTGGAAGGGGTGAAGCTCTGCGCACGAGGCCCCGAGGAGCGGGAAACGGGATGCCCGTGGGTGTCACCGCCACAGCGGCCGCACCGTGCGTGGCTCTGTTTCCTGGAAACGTCCAGAACAGGCAGCCCCCGAGACAGGGAGGGGCCCAGCGGTCGCCAGGGGAAGTGGGGATGGGAATGAGTGCGGATGGGGCTGAGGTTCTTCCTGAAGGATGAATGCTCTGAAACTGTGAATAGACACACGGAACTGTGCACGTTCACGGGTGAACCGTGTGGGGAGTGAATCCATCTCAACAGAGCTGTTACACAGTGAACAAGAGCACGAGGGGTGGAGGCCGCTTGTCTGCCCCGCCGTGAGCTGCCCGCATGGCCGGGCCGTGGGCCGAGGCTCCAGCTCGGGCCTCACGGGCTGCAGATGCTGGGCCGAGGCTGCTCAGCGGCTGTCCTGCCCCACACAGGAGTCTCTGGGGCTCGGGGTCTCCCAGGCCCTGGGGACAGTCGCTGGGTGGGACGGGAGGCTTGGGACCGGCCTGTCAGGCCTCTACCCTGGGGGCAGTGGTGGGCTGAGAGCTGGAGGGGTGGGGACTCCCCATAGCCCCGCCTGCCCCCGCCCGCTGCCTGGCGCACCTCGGACAGCCTGAGGCCCAGCATCTGCTCCTGCAGATCGAGCCGGCTGCTCAGAGCCGGGAGATGGCCACTCAGCTCCTTTAACTGCCCGGCCAGCTGCGCCACGGATGCCTCCAGAGCCCGGCTCTTCTCTCGGAGCTGCAGGGGACAGGTGGGCACGGGGAGGCCTGGCTGAGCGCCCATCCCGTGTGCGTGGGAGACCCCGTTGGGGACATGTTGCGCTACCCCCTCACCAGCACCAGCTCTCCATGCATCTCCTGCCGGGCCAGCTCGCCAGCCAGCTGTGCGGCCTCCAGGTTCTCCTGCACATAGGCGGCCAGCTCCCCAGCCCGGCTTTCCTCCAAGCGCCCCTTGGCGTCCCTAGGGGTTGGGGACACATAGACACCCTCAGTGGAGCCTGCCCACCTCTCAGCCCTGGGCCAGGGAGGGGAGCTTGGCTGCTGGCTCCAGAACCTCCCAGGAGACCCTGGGATCGGAAGATGGGGTGCGGTCACAGTGCCACCAACACGGGTTCACTCCCCATGGCCACCAAGATGGGCGTTCACTCCCCACGGCCACCAAGACAGGGGTTCCCTCCCCATGGCCACAGCTGAGTGCCCCAGGGAGGGCAGGCTGGGTGAGGGACAGGAGGCCCCACAGGAGGGAGGAGGGTTCGCACCATCCAGCTGCAGCCCTCGGGGTCGAGCACTCTGCTCGGGGGAGGCAAGGTCATTCCCTGCTGAGTCGGCCACTGCGGCCCCCTCCTGAGTGGGACATCAGGGGTCCCCCCGCCTGACAGCACCTGAGGCCCCAGGACACCCACCAGGCTTTCTCCTCGGCCAGTAGGACACGGTTCAGCGACGCCTGGTTCTGCTGCACAAACTTGGTCAGCTGGGCCACGGCAGCATCCAGGCCCTGGCACTGCTCCAGGAGGTGGCTCTCCTGCCAGGGGGTGGAGGCCGCCCTGAGACCTGCACCCCGGCCCCGGCCCCACCTGCCCGCCGCCCGCCCGGCCCCACCTCATGCTGCCCCTGCAGGGCCCGCAGGCGCTCCTCCATCAGCCCCCGAAGCTTCTCCCACCGGCTCTCCAGCTCGCCCCGCAGGCTGCCCTCCAGCTTCAGCCGTGAGCTCTCCGAGGCCTTCATTCTCTGTGGGGAGACCCCACTGTCAGCTGCAGGTCTGCGTCTGGGAAGGGGGGCAGGGCAGGCCAGCCGCGGGCAGGCTCCCACCTTCTCCAGGGCCAGGAAGCTCTTCTGCAGGAAGCCGCACAGCTTGGCCTCCCTCTTCAGGAAGCGCAGGCTCACCTCTTCGCCGAGCTTGGTCACCTGGGCCTGGGGCGGAGGCACATTGTCCCGTGTGCAGCCTCTGCTGGACACGCAGCCGGTCCCCCTCCTGCCCATGGTCTCCATCAGAGTTGGAGTCCCCTGCTGTCCCCAAGCCCTGAGCCCGGCTGAGCTGGGCCTGCCACACCCTCAGCCGGAAGAAAGCCACGGCGGGCAGGACCACTCTGTACCCAGACGACCAACCAGGCATGGGTTTGTGAAGCATGAGAAGGCCACGCTCAGGTGGGGTCCAGACACACTTGGCACCCACCACCGAGGCTGCCCAGGGAAGGCCCCCCAGCCGCCACCAGGCCCGGCAGGGAAGCAGGAGTGTCGTGCAGGTGTCCCCATGCACGGGGAGCCAGGTGGGCTGGGCAGAGCCTTGGGGCCTTGTCTCCACACCAACAGCTGCTTTCCTGCCGCCCTGAAGGGGAGGGGAGGGGGGAGGCGCAGCCGGCCCCATCCCTGCATCTCATACACGCAAAGGGTAGGCAGGCGGCACAGGCCCTTCATCAGCCACGGAGAGGCGCCTCCCGGGAAACTTCCCCTCCACCCAAGCCCCTGCTGGCCTCCTGCCCCCCAGGAGGTCACCTTAGAGTAGATATTTTTCTGTAAAAAGCCAGATGGTACATGTTCCCACCTCATGGGATCTCTGTTGTAACCCTCTCAGCATGGCGGTTACAGCCCCCACAGTAGACATTGACAACATGTAAAAAATGTTCCTGTGTGCCAATAAAACTTTATTTACAAAAACAAGCAGTGACTGGCGCAATGACTCACTCCCACTTTGGGAGGCCGAGGCTGGTGGATCACCTGAGGTCAGAGGTTCAAGACCAGCCTGGCCAACATGGTGAAACCCTGTCTCTACTAAAACTACAGAAAGTAGCCAGACATGGACAGCTGTCTGTAATCCCAGCTACTCTGGAGGCTGAGGCAGGAGAATCGCTTGAACCCAGGAGATGGAGGTTGCAGTGAGCTGAGATCATGCCACTGTAACTCCAGCCTGGGCGACAGAGCGAGACTGTCAGAAAAAAAAAAAAAAAAAAAAATGGCCGGGCGAGGTGGCTCACGCCTGAAATCCCAACACTTTGGGAGGCCGAGGTGGGCGGATCATGAGGTCAGGAGATCAAGACTATCCTGGCTAACACGGTGAAATCCTGTCTCTGCTAAAAATACAAAAAATTTAGCTGGGCATGGTGATGCGTGCCTGTAGTCCCAGCTCCTTGGGAGGCTGAGGTAGGAGAATGGTGTGAACCCGGGAGGTGGGGCTTGTAGTAAGCTGAGATCACGCCACTGCACTCCAGCCTGGGCAACAGAGCGAGACTCCATCTCAGAAAAGAAAAGAGAAGGGAAGAGAAGAGAAGAGAAGAGAACAGAAAAGAGAAGAGAAGAGAAGAGAAGAGAAAAAAGAAAAGAAAGGAAAAGAGAAAAGAAAAGAAAACTTTTTGGGAGGCTGAGGCAGGAGGATCACTTGAGCCCAGGAGTTTGAGACTGGCCTGGGCAACACAGTGAGACCCCGTCTCTACAAAACATCAAAAAATTAGCCAGGCGGGCTGGGCGCAGTGGCTCACGCCTGTAATCCCAGCACTTTGGGAGGCCGAGATGGGCAGATCACGAGGTCAGGAGATCGAGACCATCCTAGCTAACACAGTGAAACCCCATCTCTACTAAAAATACAAAAAAATTAGCCGGGCGTGGTGGTGGGCGCCTGTAGTCCCAGCTACTCGGGAAGCTGAGGCAGGAGAATGGTGTGAACGTGGGAGGCGGAGCTTGTAGTGAGCCGAGATCGTGCCACTGCACTCCAGCCCAGGCAACAGAGGGAGACTCCGTCTTAAAAAAAAAAAAAAAAAAATTAGCCAGGCATGGTGGCATGCGCCCGCAGTCACAGCTACTGGGAAGGCTAAGGCAAGAGGATCACTTGAGCCTGGGGGGTTGAGGCTGCAGTGAGCTGTGATGGCACCACCACGCTCCAGCCTGAACAACCAGGCAATACCCTGTCTCAAAACAAAAAACGAGTGTCGGCCTGGCTTTGCTGCCTCTGGCCCTAGAGAGCACTCAGACACCCGGACTCAGGGAAAGGCAGACGCCCTCATGAGCGGCAGCTCCCCCACACCTGGCACCTTGGGAATCCTCAGCCCAGCACCCCTGCCTGCTCCACACGGCCACTCAGTAACTTCCTGAAGGGCAGTGAGAGGGAGGCTGCCGGCTCCGGGCAGTGGAGCTATGTGGGTGGCAGCTGGGTGCCCCGGCAGTCCTGGCCCCTCACCCAGCGTACTGCCTGATGCGCACGGGAGCTGGCTGCAGTCCCCGGTCTCTATTTGTGGAGCTCAGACCCGGGCTGCTGAAATGTGCAGCTGCCCGTTCCCTCCCCACCCACAGCGGAGGCCCCTGCTGAGGCCACAGCAGGAGGGGGAGCCACTCCAGCCCCGTGGGTGGGACCCTGGCTTCTAGGAACTCGTGTCCTCGAGGAAGGTGAACTCCGCTTTGTGTGCAGGGAAAGGTGGAGCCCGAGAGTGGCCGTGGAAGGGGCTTCGGGGCTGCGATCTGTGGACCCGGGCAGGCGCTGGCTGTGTGGGGAGGGGTGGAGGCGGCAGGACACAGGCAGCTTCCTGGGACGAAGAGCGCCCAGATCTGCAGCTGCCGGCCCCACGTGGCAACTGAGCTTTTTTTTGAGATGAGGTCTCGCTGTGTTGCCCAGGCTGGTCTTGACTTCCCAGGCTCAAGCGATCCTCCCGCCTCGGCCTCCCAAAAGTGCTGGGATTTACAGGCGTGTGCCACTGCACGTGGCCTGAGCTTTTGTTTTTTTGTTTTGTTTTGTTTTTTGAAATGGAGTCTCACTCTGTCACCAGGCTGGAGTGGCGCGATCTCAGCTCACTGTGACCTCCTCCTGCTGGATTCAAGCAATCCTCCTGCCTCAGCCTCCTCAGTAGCTGAGGCTACAGGTGCCCGCCACCACACCTGGCTAGTTTTTTGTATTTTTAGTAGAGATGGGGTTTCACCATGTTGGCCAGGCTGGTCTTGAACTCCTGACCTTGTGATCTGCCCGCCTCAGCCTCCCAAAGTGCTGGGATTACAGGCGTGAGCCACCGTGCCCAAACAACCTGAACTTTTGAAATGGGGCATGTGCGGCTGAGGAATTGAGTTTTACATTGTCTACAACTATAGCTGATTTCAGTGGACACAGATACATGGTGAACGGCCGCTGTATCGGATGGCACAGGCCGAGAGGGTTAGGGTCTCCTCCTCGGCCCTCTGGGCGGCCCCCCTGAAGCCTGGGCCTGGTGGTACCTGCATTCTGGCCACCTCCAGGTCCACCCTCCGGCTGCTGTCCTCTTGGTTCTTCTGCAGGGCGCCGCAGGCCACCTCCCGGCCCTGCTCCTCCTGCTGCAGCAAGTCGGTCAGCTTGGCCAGTCTAGAGAAGTCGGCTGTGGTCACACCAGCCCAGCTGGCCGGAGGGCCCAGCAGGGTGAGGCTGACCCACAGGCTGGCCAGGCAGGAGGTGTACGACCCCCGCCCCCTGCCCCACCAGAAAACAGAGGAATGGGAAACACAGCACCGGTGGCAGGGAAGGGCTGCTGCGAGTCTCTTCCCCACAGAGGGTCCGCAGCGGGCCCAGGCTTCCCAGCACGCTTGGCACCGAGGGCGGTGCCCCGCCGGGTTACTGGGGACACACGGCAGGGGGACCCGTGTCTTGGCTCAGCCAGGGACTCTCAAATGACCCCACGCAAGCTCCGGAGCCAGCCACGGGCGGTGGGCGCCCACCTGAGGCCGGCCTCTTGCTCGGCGCCCCTTCTCTCCGCCTCCTGTTGCACCTGCCTCCTCCTGAGCCGGGTCAAGGCTTCCCGGACCTCCACCAGCCTGGGACACAACAAGCCATTCCCGAGAGGCCCAGGCGGGCTGAGCAGCCTCGGCGGGCTGGGGGTCTGGCCAAGGGGCCCCTGTGGCCACCTCCCATGGCTTTCCTGGGCCTCTGAAGGCCGCCCAGGCACGTACAAACCCGGCCTTTTCTAGCTGGACCTGGATGTGTATCCCCCACTCCAGCGACACCCAGCGGGAGATGTGGACCCCCCACCACACCTGCCGCTGCTTTCTCGCCACCACCTCCCCGCCCTGGGCCTGTGCCCCTAGGTGTGTGGGGGGTACCTTTTGTCCAGGGCCTGCATCTGGTTCTGGAGACCAGAGAACTGCGAGGAGGAAGAGGAGGCTGTGGGCTGGACCTAGGCCCGGGTCTGGCACCTGCCCCTGGAGTCCACCCAGCTCCGGCACCACTGGCCCCTGGGAGCTCTGGGCCTGGGCAGCAGGGGTGAGCTGGGCTCCAGGCCCAGAAGCAGCTGCCCCCAACACCCAGGAAAGGGGCAGCTCGACCTGTGGGTGGGGGAGCCGCTCACCTCCGGCGCCTCCTTTTCGGGGGCCTGGGCTGCCGGCCGCGCCTCCTGCTGCAACTGCCTCAGCTCTGAGCCCTGCAGCTGCACGCGGGCCCGCACCTGGAGCAGCTCCCGCAGCAGGCTCCGCGTGGCGCGCTCACAGCGCTGCTTGTGCTCCCGCAGGCAGGCCACCTCGGCCTGCAGCTCCACCACCCTGGCCGGGGCGAGAGTGGGCGAGTCTGGCGGTGCCCGCCGTGGAGGCGGAGGCGGCGGCGACGTGGTCCTCCCCCGCCAGCACCCCCTGCAGGGCTCACCACTGCTCCAGCTGGTTCCAGTGCTTGGCGGTGTCCTGCTCGGGGACAGAGGCCGTGGATGTCGGATGGCTGGACTCATACCTCTCCGAGAGCTCCTCCAGGCTCAAGGGCTCGGGGCTGGCCAGGCCTCCTGCCAGGAGGAGCCCCAGGTCTTCCAGGGTGACGGCTCTCAGCTGGGAAGGGGCCGATGCCCCTGAGGGTCCACTGTCAGCCAACTCTACAAGGAGGCATCTTGGGAGCTTGCCCCTTGGGGCCCGGCCCCCACTGGAGCTTACGGGAACAAGGCCCCAAACCCCCGCAGGACCCTCGCCCACCACCCAGAGCTCAACGCGTCTCCTTGGGTCACACAGGATCCAGACGGGCTTGGCTCAGACAAGTCCAGGGCCCTGCCTGAAGACACACAGCACTGGGCGGCAGGAACAAGCGAGCTGGAGGGAGCCCGGGGTCAGAAGCAGAGCGGTCCCCACCCTCACACCTGTGGCAAGCCCCTCCCTGGGCCCCGCTCCTCCGCTCTGGTCACCTGACATGGCTGCTGGGCTGCACCGGCCACCCTGCCCTCGGCTGTAGCTTGGGCCTTGGGGCCTCTGAGGTTGCCCAGAGCTGGGCACAGGCCAGGGGGGTCAGGAGCCAGAGGAAGTCCCGTGAGAGCTCTGGGCCTTGAGGGACGAGCTGCTGCCCTCGTCTGGCTGCCTTCTCAGGGTCCCCAGGGAGGCAGGTGTGGGGCAGCGGGGCCGTTCCAGAACCTTCCTTCTCTCCCCAGAACCTCACGGCTTCACAGCCCAACTGCCAATGGAACTCTAGCCCTCAGCTCTCCCACTCCCGCAGGGCCCCCCAACTGCCTGCTTCTGGATGGATCTGAGGGGCCCCACTCCCGAGAGGGCGCAGACACGTGTCCTCTGGCAAAGGGGACTTCTTCAGCTGCCGAGGGAGGGGAAGGAGGCCCTGACGAGGCCTGGGCACGCCGGGAGGGACGCTGGGAGCAGGGAGGCCGAGAGCCCCAGGACACCCCGGACACAGCCAGGCCCACGTCCGAGCGGAGCCCGAGGCCTGGGCAGCGCCATCGGGGTGAGGGGCACAGCCGGGCTCCACGGGAACCCATCTTGCTCAGCAGCCCCATTAAAAGGCAAGAAGCAGCGATGTGAATCCTAACCGCTGATTTTATTTAACCGAATATATCCAAAATATGATCACTTCCAGGTCCTCAGTACACAACCACCACGAGGGAAACCCAGACCTAGGTTTCCGGCGCCGACTCTGAGGCCCGGGAGTTTTCTTCTTGCGTCACCCCAGCGTGGGCACCCCGGCCCGCCCCCCTCCACCTGGAGCGCCTCTGCCTTGCCCCCAGACCCACCAGCCAGGAGCCAGAGGAGGGAGGCTGAGGGGCGGGGACGAGGAAGAGGATGTGGCTGGTGCCCTGGGTGGCCGCAGCCGCTGTCTTTCACGCCTTTCTCACTCCACACGGTGCCCCGACCCCAGGGTCCCGAAAGTCCCAGGCTGTTGGACGTGGTCTGGGTGGGGTGGGAGGGACGACGCTGGCAAAGGCGGGCTGAGAGGATTTCTTTATTTCGCGTTCAGACCCAACACACTCGGACACCTTGGGGCCCTGTGAGGGCTAAGCAGGGTGGTGGCGTCAGCTCCCGGGGAGGCCCCACTCCCTGGGGAGGAAATACACGGCAGGGGGCCGCACCCAGCCCCCCACGGAGGGACCCGTGTTGCTCTAACAGGGACACTGAAGTTGCCTCTGCCGCCCCGTGAGGGGCCTGTGGCGGCCCCAGACCCAGCCCAGCCAGGCCAGAGGAGCCTCCCAGGGGCCCTCAGGTGGTGAGGTGGGGGCTTCCCGGCCCCGGTGCCCACCGGCCCTTCTAGCTGCCTGTGCTGGGCCAGGTGTCCTCTGAGGCCGGCAGGAGTCTGGCCCCCGCTGCACCTGCGCTTGGTGGCTGGCAGGGGCGGGGTAGGGAGGTCACCCTCGAGGCCGGGGTCCCCATGTGCTAGGGGAAGACCTGCCTTCCCAGCCAGTGTCCACAGGGCAGCAATTCCACGCTCTGAGGCTCAGGGACCAAGGCAGGGCTGGGTGTGGGGCCCAGACTCCAAGCTCTGGGGGTTGGGGGACCAAGGCAGGGCTGGGCATGGGGCTCAGGGCCTTGGAGGTTTTTCTCAGCTCTCAACATCACAGCACAGGGCCCGTGAGTCACCCCAGTCCTCTGGGCCTGTGTACCCAAGCCGGATGCAGGCCGGGGAGTGCACGTGGGGCTCCTCTGTGGCGCCAGTGTGAAGCTGCTCTCCGGGGCGGTCGCAGCCTCCAAACCCTGGTGCTACGAGTCCGTGCCTCAGGCCCAGGGACCACAGGCCGTCTGCTCATGGCTGAAAATGAGGCCAAGCAGCTCCCAAGTCTCGAAGACTCCACTGGTGTGGAGGCAGAGGGGCCCTTCCAGGGCAGGGCAGCCCTCGGGGCAGCAGCAGGGGCAAGGGCTCTGTCTCACGCACACGGGCACAGGCACGCAGGTGCCGGCCCTGCCGCTGGCTCCCAAGAGGCCGATAGCCCGGTAGGGAGGTCACACACACACAGCTGATCCCTGGAGGTAAAGAAACCTAGACGAGGAGAGTGGAGGCTGGGCCTGCGCAAGGAGGCGCCAAGGGGGGAGACCACTGCCCACAACAGGGTCAGTCCCGCGAGAGGGTCAGTTCCGCGCCTGCCGCCTGCCCGCCCAGCTGCAGGGTGCTCGCCATTGCCACTGCTGGGGAGCATGGTTTGGGCCGAGAAACCAGTGACTCCGGGAGGAAATGCAGAAGGGCCGGGGTGCCAGCGCCAGTGCCCATTATGGGCAGGGCTGGGCCTCACGTCTGGGCCAGCGAGAGCTCCTCCAAGCCTCTCTTTCCCAGGCGGTACCTGGCGAGGTCCTTCCTGGTCACCAACCCGACAACCTGCAGGACAAGTCCAGGCCACAGTGACACACGGGTCGGCTCCCGCCTGCCTGTGGAGCTCCCTGCCTTGTGTGTGGCTGGGGCAGCACAGGCAGGGGGCCCTGGGGGCTTCAGCACAGCCCCCGAGCTGAGCACGGGGCTGGGGAGGGGTGCAGCCATGGGGCATGGGCCGACTCGGTGCTGGGTCCTGTGCTTCCGTGTCCCCTGCCGGGAGCTGAGAGTAAGCACGGGCAGGAGGCAGAGGGGAGCCCTGCACGGCATGCCTGCACCCCCACCGCCCCCGCTCACCTGATTGCGGTTGTCCACCACCACCAGGTGCCGCAGGCCCAGGGCCCGGAACAGCTTGAACACCCGTGGGAGCGACGCCTCCTGCAGCAGGGGCACAGCTGTCAGTGCCCGCCCACACAGCAGAGGCAGGCGGGACCCTCACCCAAGCTGGCTCCCTGCACCCCCCACCACGGCGTCCAGGCACGTCCTGAGCCCCCACGCCCGTCTGGCCAGCCCCCTCAGCCCCTTGACTTCAGCTCTAAAGCCTGCCAGGCCCTTCACAGGAGACAGAGTCACCGAGTCCTCTCCGCTGTGGCCCCCCCCGGCTGCCCCTCCCCGAGGCTCTGGACCCCACCCCCTGCTGTTCAGTCCCAGGCCCCACGCCCATGCCCATGCCCTGCACATGCCTGGGGCACCGTGTAGGGGGAGGGGTTCATGAACTCGGAGAGGTCCATGGTGCACTCCCGCTCGTCCTGGGACACGTGGATGGACTGGATGGGTGGGAAGCGCGGGTAGGCGTCTCGGAAGTCCTTCAGCCTCAGGCGCCGCTGTACCAGGCCCAGGTTGGACCGCTCCACAAACACCTGCGGGCGGCAGAGCCCTGTGTCAGGCACCCAGGCAGCACCCCCGGGGCCCCCACCCGCCCAATGGCCCGGAGCCTGGCACGCACCTTGTGCTTTAGGAGAACGATGAGCTGGGAGCGCAGGATCAGGCCCTGGAGCCGGGCAGGCTGCAAGACAGGCCCGCGGTCAGGGCCACGGGCCCGAGGGTGGGAGGCTGCGCTGGAATGCTGTGTCGGGCCCCGCTCTGACCCTGTTCCGGCCAGATTTCCCATCTGGGCATGGGCCCCGTGTCGGTGGCTACCTGCTCACACCAGCCTCGCCATGGCATCCCACACGCACAATGCCACGGGACCCAAGGATCGGCGACAGGGTAGCGGGGCCTGACCGCGCACAGCAGAGAGCCAAGGGCCCAGGGATGGTGGCTTTGCTGCAGGGCAGATGCAGCCCCACTGGGTCCCAATAAAAACCAACCTCCAAACACCCAGTGTCCACGTCTAAAAGACACACAGCAGTGGCCGAGCTGTGTGTCCTGTCAGGGCCTCCTGACAAAGTCACGGCCCCCAGTGCCACGGCTCTCAGCCCAGCCTGGGTGCCAACCCCAAGACCCTGCCAGGCCGCAGCCCCCCCCACCAGCCTCAGCGTCCACACAGCCCTCCATGGCTGCACACTCAGCTTCCGGCACTCCTGGAACTGCCAGTGCACCCAAACGTGCAGCTTCCCCATCCTGCAAACCTTGCCGTGTGCTTCCCACCAATGGACTCGACAGAGGTCACATAGGCAGGACCCTGTCTATGGGGTGCCCGGTACCTGGGTGTCATCGGCATGCTCCACCACGGGGAAGCCGTTGTGATTGGACGCCGTGTCGCTCAGCACGTCCACAATGACGCCGACCTTCTCACGCCGCCTCAGGCAGGTCACTGGTGTGCTCATCACCTCCCTGCCGGAGGAGCCCGGCCACACATGCCCGTCACACGCCACCAACTCCCACAGTTACCTCTGCGGGCTGGTGAGGTGTGAAGCCGCTGGACAGGAAACGCGGGGCTGCCTGGAGCCCGCAAGCCGTGCACCCTGCCCCTGTGCAACAAGAGGCCGCTGGACACCCTCCCCACCCACAGGTGTCCTGGGCGCTGTACCTGGCAGTGAGTGAGTGTGAGGTGACCGGGGCCTCCCAGTGCAGGAAGGGCACACTCTGCAGCTGAATGTGCATGTCGTACAGGCCCTGCGGGCGGGGCGGGAACACAGGGCTTGAGGAGTCCACACCCACCCCTGGAGCCCCGAGCCTACCCCTGGGAGCCCAGAGGCCGCCCCCAGAAACCCTGAGCCTACCCCCCGGGACCGGCTGTTTGGAGGCTCACAGGGGCCCCTCCCCTATGGCAGCACCCACGCTCTCAGGGTGAGGCTTCGAGGCCCTGGCGCACCTCAATGAAGACGTCGCCCACGATCTTGGCGGTCATGAGCACCAGCATGATGGGGAAGCCGTAGGTCACGTTGCTGGTGGCCTCCATCATGATGACGGTCAGGCTCAGTGTCATCCGCACAATCCCGCCTGCGGGAGCCATCATGAACCCCAGCACGTCCACCCTCCTGGCTCAGGGTCACGTGGCCACTGCCTTCTCTGCAGCACCCATCCCATCCACCTGCTCCCAGACCCTAGCCCCGCAAGGACAGCCATGGCCCCCTCCAGACCCCGTGGAGCTCCCCACCCATCGGGCAAGAGCTGGGACATACCCAGCTGGGCAGCAGCTCCCATCAGGGCGTATTTGCCGGGGTCCGCCCAGATCTGTGGGAGGTGACACGGAGGAGGTGTCAGTGTGGTGGCAGGCCCAAACCCACCAAGATACACAGACGGAGGAGGCCCTGCCCAGGCCCAGCAGCCCCACAGCCAGGAACAAACCTCGTGGCCGCGTACATACACACAGAACAACCTAGCACAGTACACCCTGCTGCGGAGGCTGCATCCTTGGCCTGAACCAGGCGCTCAGCACCCGAGCAACAGGGGAGTGGCAGGCATGGAGGATGCAGAGGGCACAGTCACCACGCAGCAGCCCAGGCCAACTAGGGAGCACCGTCCAGCATGAGGAGTGAAACCCCGGCACACACGACACAGAGAGCCCCGGGAACATCAGGCTGGGCCACAGAACCCAGGCATGGAGGCTGCAGAAAGCGGGGCACGAGGGTCGGTGGGCACAGGGTTTCCATTCTGGGATGACGGAACATTCTAGAAGTGGTAGTGACGGCCGCACTGCCTCGTGAACGTGAGAAACGCCGCTGAACTGCCCTCTTTAAAACGATGAGTTTTACGGTATTTGAATCATGTTTCAATTTTAAAAACCAAACCAAACCCTTGTGCGGAGGGAGATGGGCAGAGCACACGGGCCTGGGGAGCAGGAGTGGGCGCTTCCTGCCGGGGATGAGAAGCATGGCCGGGGGCTTCCTGCCAGGGCCTCTTACAGGTTTTCAGTCTTATTTAAGCGACTGAAATGAGAAACAGAAGACACATAAGAGAACCCAGTCCCAGCAGAGGCAGGCAGAGAAGGAAGGCCTGCGGGGGCTGAGGTCTGGAGGGCAGTGTATGCCGCTCTGGCCCCCGGCCTCACAGAGAGCAGCCCTGGCCGGACATCCACCCCATGGAGTCTAGAAACAGCTCTGCAGCAGCCCACAATCACCTCTGCTTTTCATCACATTCTCAAGAATAAGGACACGAGCCTCCGCCCCCTACCTTCGCCTGGTCCAGACTCCACACATGGGCTGCGCTGCCACAGTACACGCTGCCACCACAGCAGGACAACGCCCACGGCCCGTGAACCACGCGAGGACAACGCCCACGGCCCGTGAACCACGTGAGGTGCGACACTTTTGTCCTGCCCTGGGACTTCTGCTCCGGCCCGCGATGCCGCAAGACCTGGCTCAGCTGCAGGGCCCCACAGCCTCCCCTCCGGCCCCACTCACCGCCGCCCCCGTGAGGTAGGACAGGGAGATCCCAAAGAGCCGGCCCCAGGCAGCCCCGATGAGCAGGGACGGGATGAAGACCCCGGCAGACACCGTGAGCCCGTAGGTCCAGCAGGCCAGGAAGAAGTAGACCAGCGTGAACAGGCCGAGGGTCAGGGGGTTGTAGGAGCCTAGGAGAGAAGAGGGGCTGACGGGGCCTCCACGACTCCCGCCTCCGCAGGACTGCCCTGCCCCGCTGCCCAGTCTCGGGCCTCACAGTCACCTTCCAGGAGCCCAGCAACCTGAGCTCCCGAGCCCAGCGGTCCCCAGAAGGCTCCCTGTTCTCAGCCTCCCTGGGAAGCAGAAAGGCTAAAAGGATCCCATGGGGAGGCCACAGGGGAAGAGGCTCTGCGGGGCCCTGATGCCAGCAGAAGCAGGAGCCGCGTCCAGCGGGGCGGCCCAGCTGGGTCTAGCAGCGCCAGGTCTACACTCCATGGGTGTGCACCGTGGTGCAGCTCGCAGCCTGGCTCCGGGAAGAGGGTGCCCCCCACAGCCTGGGGTTCCTTTCCTGGAGCAGGCAGCACTGTACTGCGTGCAGGGCGGGTGAGACCGCCAGGGACACAACTGCAGAGGTGAAAGGCCGGCACTCCAAGGTCGCGGTCTGCGCTTCCGTGAAACACTTGTGGTCGAGCGAGGCCAGGCCGTGGTCTTGGTGTGGGAGTCACCAGGCTGGGTTTTCTTTTGTTTTTTGAGAGAGGGTCTCGCTGTGTCACCCAGGCTGGTATGCAGTGATGTAATCACAGCTCATTGTGGCCTCAACCTTCTGGGCTCAAGCAATCCTCCCGGCCCAGCCTCCCAAGTACCTGGGACTGTGGGTGTACTACCGTAGCCAGATAATGTTGCTTTTTTGCAAAGACAGAGTCTCGCTAAGTTGCCCAGGCTGGTCTTAACCTCCTAGGCTCAAGTGATCCTCCTGCCTTGGTCTCTCCAAGTGCTGGGATTACAGGAGTGAGTCCCTGCTATGATCCATGCTAGGGATGACCCCCCAGCCCAGGGCTGCAACCTCAGCCCACAGGGGACACTCAGCCAGAAGGCATCACCCAGGCCCTGATCCCAGGGCCTGCCCAGCGGCACTGCCCACACACACCTGGCGGGTCGTGGAAGAGGCTCACCACGCTCTTCTCCGGGGTGTTGAAGAAGGCCGCAGCCATGGAGTTGTACTCGCCATCTGCACAAAAGAGCTGTGGGGTCGGGAGAGAGCACACGTTGGGAGGGGAGATGAGCTGGTGGGCTGCAGGCACAAACCTGGTGTCGCCGTGAGAGGCCGTGTACCCTGTGCCTGGCCAGCATCAGGCGCGAAACCACACGATCCTGCCATTGGGTCAGGGCCACGGTCACAGAGGGCAAGGAGGACACACAAGGCCCAAGCCATGGTCACGGAGGGAAAGGAGGACACACACGGCCTAGGCCCAGCAGGGGGCCGTGTCTAGCCCTGGGGGGTGGGTTAGCAGGACCATGGGCTGAGACGCTGTCCATCCCTGGTGCCGGGGAAGGTGGGCCCAGGCGCTCACATGAGCTCCTAGAAGAGGCTGTTGGCGCCCCGGTGCCACAGGCCCAGAGCCTCCTGGGCTCCAGCAGCACAGGGGGTGTTATCCACGGGGCTGGAGCAGAGTGTAGCAAGGCTGGTCAACCCCATGGCCCCGGGCCTCCCACGTCTCTAACGGTTCACACCTGACCCGTCCCATCCTGCCCACTCCCGCCGTGGCACCCACTGGTCTGCTGGGCCTCTAGGCTCTCCCTGTTCTGGATGTTTCATGTTAATGGGGCTACGTCGCGTGACCTCACGTGTGGTTCCTCTGAGCGTAGTGCTTTCCAGGGCAACCGTGTCACAGTGCAGATGGACGCACGGACGGCGGTGAGCCGTGAGCGCCAGGCACAGGTCCAGTTGTGGACGGAGGTTTGCATTTCTCCTGGGTCCACATCTATGGTGCCCCCATAGGGCGCCTGAGGCTCGCCCCGTCAGGCTGCCATTCTGGGAAGAGGACTGGGGGGAGCCTCTGGCCCCCATACCACCGCCCATTCCCCTGGCACCTCAGCAGACACCTGGCCTCCTCTGAGATCTGGGTGGACAGGACTAACCCTCTTTGAGACACGCCAGCCCATGCGCTTCTGGAACTCGGCGGGGTGGGCAGCCCTCCTCCCGTAGCCTAAGCGAGCCTCCTGGAGGCCGCCCTGTGGCTGCCCTGCCTGCTGGACCCCGCCCGGGCCCAGCCTCCCACCTGCAGCGGGTAGGACATGGAGCCCCCCTGCAGGGGCTGGCAATCCCGCGACGAGTAGATCAGCACGAAGGCAACTGTGGCCGTGACGGCGGCCACCAGCACGGCCTCAATCACCTGCAGGCAGGGCCGGTGGATGTACCTGGAACCAAGAATCAGGCTGCATGGCAGGCAGGACGGCAGCGCGGCCCCTCCGCAGGCCCCATGGCAACTCGAGTCCCTGATGGAGGACACTGGGCCCGTGGTGCTTTTTGTTTGTTTGTTTTTGTTTTTGAGACGGAGTTTTGCTCTTGTTGCCCAGGCTGGAGTGCAGTGCTGCGATCTTGGCTCACTGCAACCTCCACCTCCCAGGTTCAAGCAATTGTCTTGCCTCAGCCTCCCGAGTAGCTGGGATTACAGGCGCCCGGCTCTACATCTGGCTAATTTTTTTTTGAATTTTTTAGTAGAGACGGGGTTTCTCCATGTTGGTCAAGCTGGTCTAGAACTCCCGACCTCAGGTGATCCACCCGCCTCGGCCTCCCAAAGTGCTGGGATTATAGTCGTGAGGCACCGCGCCCGGCCAGGCCTGTGTTTAATCATCAATCAGGCACCCAAATGTCCTGGGGTCGTCCTCTTCCCTGGGGTAAAGACTCCTCGGCAGCAACTTCTCCAGATGTGTGGGAAGTGGCGCTACCCGTGCCCCGGCTGTACCCGACAGTATTGAAATCAGCACAGACCAAGAAGGAAGAAGCCGGGGGGCCCCGGTGTCCCAGGACAGCTGCGGTTGCTACCAGGCAGAGCCAGGCGGTGAAGGTTGGGCATGCCTCGCCCAGGCCCGATCCCACGCAGGGCCTCACTTCCTACCCAGGGGCCGTCCTCCAGGAGCCCTCGCACTCCTAGCCTTGGGCTAGTCCGTCACCCTCCAGGCCCCGGGACACATCTCTGACCAGCTCCACCGGGGAAACCATCAGGAAGGACGCTGCATACACAGCCTTTCTTTCGGCTGTGGCCTAGGAGTGTAAACCCCATTCCACCACGTCCGCTTTCAAAGGGCCTGTGTGGCCACGCCTGCCAACGCGATATGCAATGCGGTTTCTCCTCACCTGATTCGAAACATGGTCAGCCAGTAGTTCAAGGCATTGAACACTGCTCCAAGCACACCGCCTGCGAACAGGGGAAAGGCCAGTCAGCGACACCGGAGGAAAAGTGCGGGCCTCCGCCCGCCGGCTCCCAGATGGCAGGAGAAGCTGGAGGGTTTGCAGAGGGAAGGGGACGGCAGGGGGCTAGGGGGTCCTGGTAAGATGCTTCCTCCACATCAT
The DNA here is from genome assembly GCF_000001405.40 of Homo sapiens. Lineage (NCBI taxonomy): Eukaryota > Metazoa > Chordata > Mammalia > Primates > Hominidae > Homo > Homo sapiens. The sequence goes on from NC_000016.10 coordinate 1,454,050, forward strand.
CACACCCTGAGGGCTGGGGGAGCTGTTTCTCAAAGGCTCTGCCTTCCTTCCAGGGCAAAGGTGTCCAGCAGAGCAATAAATACTGGTGGGAGCAATTCTATCTCTTACAGGAAATCCCATCCATCCCTGCAGCCCTGTGGTTTTTGCCAACAGAGATAAACAACGGGAAGCCACAGAAGCGAAGCTTTGGGCTCCCCACTCCCCACGTGTACTGCCCATGGAAGAATCTGGAGGCCCCCGGGTGGCCCTGGGATGAGGGCAGGCTCCAGGGAGCCACAGCCTCCAGTCCTCGTCTCTATGGCCACGTCACAGCTGAGCCAGGCCCGCAGGCCGTCCCTGCGGTGCTGGGAGAAGCCCTTACCCACCACGCCCATGGCGATGAAGACCGGGATCTCGTGGATCGTGTAGGCCATTTTCTGTGCAGAGAGAGGGAGAAGGCAGAGGATGTGAGGGAAAAGGCCCACAGCTCCTTTCTGCTGAAACTCAAGGACCACCATCTTAAGAGAGCTGTCCCCACAGAGAGCCTTCCCGCCCTTCCACGCAGGCTGCGGAAGTCCACAGGGGAGAAACACACTGGGTGTTCTGAGCAGGCCTGGCCCCTGCCTGGCGGGGTGGCCAGCGAGGCTCTCAGAGACCCTGCCACCCTCAGCACCCGGGGCGGGGAGGGCCCCAAGCACTGGGAACATAGCCCGTGGTCCCCCAGTTTCCTGCGCACAGAGCCGCCCTATCGATGGCACGGAGAGTCTCCCCAGCCCAGGCCCCAGGCTACCCTGGAAACTAGGCCTGAGCCCACCTGCCCCGAGAGCGGCTGCTGCACGTGCCCCCAGGCCGTGGGAGGCCCCATGCACGCAGCAACTGTGTGACATCCCAGGTGCCCTGCTGGTCACATGGTGCCCTGACCTGAGGGGCAGCTTGGGGTGTCTTCCTGCAGCCCCTCGGGGCCCTGGAGCTTACACAAGAGCTCTCAGCTCCACAGCTATCAACCAGAGTTTTCTAAAGGACCAAATTCTCAACCTGGGCCTTAAGCAAACAGGGTCCTGGACCAGGATACGAGGTGGGCGAGGTGGGCGATGGGGCAGGTTACCTCCGAGTCAAACCTTCCGAAGTTGATGAGGCCTGGGCTGGACAGGTCCCACATGTTCCCGTGGTAAATGCTCAGAACAAAATTCAGGGTGAACGTGGAGATCATGGAAGCAAAGAACTGCGGCAGAGGGCAGGAAACCAGCGCCCTCAGAGCCACGCTCCCAGCCCAGGGCTCACGGACCAGCAGGGACCATCGCCCCTCCTGTCAGCCCCGGGGCCAGGAGTCTGCAGACCCCGCCCAAGGCAGAAGGGAAGGGGCTGGAGCCAGGGGTGGGCGCACTGTGCGGGCAAGGAGCGGCCCAGCCCTCTCTGGACTTGCCAGTGGAGAGCAAGAGGGGAAGGTGGGGCAGGGCTGGGTTCCCGGCTGTTTGATCCCCTACCCGGGAGCCACCCAGGGCTGGCAATGGTGCCCAGGACCAAGGGCGAACTGGGCAGCAAAGGCAGGACCGCTGCTTTGGGCAGGACCAAGGCCTGACAGACCCACAGGGGGTCCAGCTCCAGCCGCAGCTCGATGGGTGGCCCCAAGGTGGACCCCATGGTGGGAAATGAGAGCGCAGCATGCACCCTGATCAGGAGGCAGCCATCAGCAGGAACTTACGATCCTCCAGGTCAGGAACTGGTTCCAGAAGGACGCACCCTCCTCCAAGCTGAACAGGACCCCACCTGGAAGGCAGGCGGCCGGCTCGGGTGCCAGCTGGACACAGGGCACCATGCCCACCACCAACTCCCTCCCCCAGGCTCCAGGGAACCCAGACCACGTCAGAAAGAAGCTAATGGGGTGGGCCCCAGCCACACAGAGAGGGACCCTGAGGGAGGTCTGAGGGCTGGACCCAAGTACACTGCCGGCCGCTTCCAAATGCCCCGGCCGTGACTCCAAGCCTCTGCCACCCTCAGCGGGCACTGGGCCTACAGAGAGGAGACCGTTCCTTCCAACACACAGGGCGAGGGCAAAGCATTGGACCCGGTGCGGCCCTCCTCACCCACGGGGGCTCCAAACGCCGCTGACACTCCGGCCGCAGCCCCTGCGGAGACGAAGTCCCGCTTCTCTGTGTCTCTGCGGAAGTACTCGAAGATCTGCAACAGGGACAGACCAGGGTCGGGGCAGGTTCCTTGAGGGCACGGCTCTCAGAAAGGGAGAGCAACTGCCAGGACAGGGGCTGTGCAGGGGAAGGGGCTTTCAGGACAACCGAGTCAGCAGCTCTGATTCCTGAAGAGCACCGTGCTGCAGACCACGGCAAGAGACAGCAGGGTCAGCACCACCACCGGCAGCCCAGGGAAACACGCAAACACCCAGCCAGGAGCTCCACTTTCCAGCGCACGCAAGATTCCAAAAACCTCTACCCTCTAACGAAAAGCGCACGGATGGAAACCCAGCCTTGCTGTTCTTTGTCCTGCGGGACGCTGCCTGCCTCTAAATTCACACATGGCCGGCGCGGTGCCTCACGCCTGTCATCCCAGCACTTTGGGAGGCCGAGGCAGGCGGATCACCTGAGGTCGGGAGTTTGAGACCAGCCCGGCCAACATGGCAAAACCCCATCTCTACTAAAAATACAAAAAACTTAGCCAGGCGTGGTGGCGGGCACCTATAATCCCAGCTACTCGGGATGCTGAGGCAGGAGAATTGCTTGAACCTGGGAGGTGGAGGCTGCAGTGAGCTGAGATTGTACCACTGCACTCCAGCCTGGGCAACAGAGAGACTCCATCTCAAAAAAAAAAAAAAAATACAATCACACACAAATGCAGCTCAATCCCCATCAACATGCTGGGGACTTTTTTGGGGAAAAAGTGTTCCAAAGTGTGTCTTGACAAATAAACAACAGGTGGGCACACTTGGTCTCAGGTTCTGCACTCCTCTGAGAAGCCGCTTGGAGCCACAGACCCTCCCACGGGAAACACTGATGCACGTGTGGCAGGGGACCCAAGGAGGGAAGCAGCGGGCCGTAGGGAGGCCTTGCCGGGCAGGGACTGTGCCCGCTGGCTCTGGGAGCCACCCGCCAGGCTGTCCTCAGATGGGGCTGGGGCTCTCGGCCTGGGGGTGCTGAGGGAAGCCCATCTCCCTGAGTGGTGCCCGTGCCCGTGCCCATGGCATCTGGAGCCCACCCACACAAGATTTCAACTCACCTTGAAATCTCGTTTCAGTGACGTTGACCTTCCCTGAGAGATCCCGGCGGCAATCACTGAACCTGAGTGGATCATCGGCCCTTCCTGGAGACCAGAAGGACCGGTGCTCAGAGACACGCGTGACGCGGCCCTTCCTGGAGACCAGAAGGACCGATGCTCAGAGACACGCGTGACGCGGCCCTTCCTGGAGACCAGAAGGACCGATGCTCAGAGACACGCGTGACGCGGCCCTTCCTGGAGACCAGAAGGACCGGTGCTCAGAGACACGCGTGACGCGGCCCTTCCTGGAGACCAGAAGGACCGGTGCTCAGAGACACGCGTGACGCGGCCCTTCCTGGAGACCAGAAGGACCGGTGCTCAGAGACACACATGGGCGTGGCGGCCCTCGCGGGCCCGGCGGCCTCAGGCTCCAGCTGGAGTGGCCATGTGCACTTTGTTACCTTTCCCACGGCCAGGCCCCCGACCACGGACAGGATCACACCGGACACTTTGATCACCAACGTCTGAAACACAGGGAGACGCATGGCCTCTGATGAAAAGGCAGGCGCTGTCTTTGGACCTGAGCCGTAAAACAGCACACACAGCCCCGATCAGGCAGAGTGGCTGGGACACGGGGCCTCCGGGAGGGGGCCAGCACCCCCAGGCTGGGTCTCCCCATGGCCACAGTGGAGCTAAACAGCAGCCAAGCGTCCCCCGCACTCACTCGGGGGACCTGCCCTCTGTGGCCTCAGCACTGAGCAGGCAAGGGGTTCTTTCGTTTCCTTCCTTCCTGAGGCAAAGCTGGGCCGCCCACCGCATCCTACAGGCACACCTGCCTCCGCCAGCGTGGCCAGCACAGGGGAGGTGTTCCCGCTAGCCCCGCCTAGCAAGGCTCCTCATACACCCCTGGCACTGGAAGGCTGGTCACCTGCGGCTCCACGATGCCCCCTCTCCCTTCGGCTGCTCCCCGCCCCCAGGGGCCTCATCCTCTCCACCTGAGAAGGTGTGTAAGGTGTTTATCAGCCTCCCTGCCCCAGGGCAGAACCCACAAGGGCGCAGACCCTAAACACAAGGGCGCTGAGTGTGTGGGGGAGGACTGTATGTTAAAGATGCCGAGCAAACTCAACCCTCAGCCAACAAAAGTTATAGAGCAACATCCAAGAAGGTTCAGGCCAGCCTGGCGCGGGTGACAGGCGGGTCGCCATTCCCAGCTGCTCCAGTAAACCTGATCTCCCACCACAGGGCAGGGGCACCCCAAGGTCACCTGGGAGCTTTCGCCAGAGGGGACACACTGGTCCCGCTCCTTGGCCACGGGGACCAGGCCCCGGAAGCACCCCCAGGGGGCAGCGGCCATGCTGCCCACCCATCCTCAGACGGGACGGGGCTGCGGCAAGTCTCAGGCTAAGGAACGATGGCGGCACAGACAGAAGCAACCACAGCGGAACTGGGTCAGGACTCCCAGCACCTCCAGAACCAGATGCTCTGATAACACCAAGTGTAAATGACCATGAGGCAAACTGAAAGCGGGAAACTGCTACACGCCCACTACCACGACAGCTTCCACGGTGAATCAGTCACCACCACGCAGCCCACAGTCACAGACGCGTCGCACAGCTGTGTCACACATGCACCACGCAAGCATTTCTGTATGACTACTCATTTCTTACGTAATTTAATATGTGCAAATACCAGTTGTTACCACTTTCAGAAAAAAAGGTGACCCCTTCACACCCAGCCAGCCCATCTGCACACAGTGCCACCAGTACACAGGGTGGCTGAGGCCAGTTCTGGAAGGCAGGCAGCCAAGAGAGCTGCTCCTGAACCAGCAAAGAGCGGGCGCCCACCCTGCCCAGCCAGGGCCACCGCACCCTCACCTTGAGCCGCACCACGTGGGGGATCTTCACCCCGTTGAGGAAGCACTTGATCTGGGGGATTCCGCTGCCAGCAGCCACCGGCTGAAAGAGGGGAAGCACGGCTGAGTGGGTCACGGCCAGGCTGAGACAGATGCAGCCCCTCAGCCCCAGGAGCCCCAGGAGCTGAGGAGAGCAGCAGACACGTCGGGGCCTCAGGGAAGGGGAGCTCAGCACACAAACGTCGGGGCCCCAGGGAAGGGAAGAGCAGCACACACGTCAGGGCCCCAGGGAAGGGGAGAGCAGCGCACACGTCGGGGCCCCAGGGAAGGGGAGCTCAGCACACACGTCGGGGCATCAGGGAAGGGGAGAGCAGCACACGCGTCGGGGCCTCAGGGAAGGGGAGAGCAGCACACATGTCGGGGCCTCAGGGAAGGGGAGCTCAGCACACACTTCGGGGCCCCAGGGAAGGGGAGAGCAGCACACATGTCGGGGCCTCAGGGAAGGGGAGCTCAGCACACACTTCGGGGCCCCAGGGAAGGGGAGCTCAGCACACACTTCGGGGCCCCAGGGAAGGGGAGAGCGGCACACACGTCGGGGCCTCAGGGAAGGGGAGCTCAGCACACATGTCGGGGCCTCAGGGAAGGGGAGCTCAGCACACACTTCGGGGCCCCAGGGAAGGGGAGCTCAGCACACACTTCGGGGCCCCAGGGAAGGGGAGAGCGGCACACACGTCGGGGCCTCAGGGAAGGGGAGCTCAGCACACACGTCGGGGCCCCAGGGAAGGGGAGCTCAGCACACATGTCGGGGCCTCAGGGAAGGGGAGAGCAGCACACACGTCGGGGCCTCAGGGAAGGGGAGAGCAGCACACACTTCGGGGCCCCAGGGAAGGGGAGCTCAGCACACACGTCGGGGCCTCAGGGAAGGGAAGAGCAGCACACACGTTGGGGCCCCAGGGAAGGGTCTCATGTCGTTGGGGTAGCTGCTCTCACTCTTCCCAGCCCAGACACAGATCAAGGACGTGGTGGAGGCGGAGGTGGAGATGGAAGGAGGGGAGGGCAGAGTGAGGAGATGGAAGGAGGGGCGGAGTGGGGTGAGGGTGCCCAGGCCTGTGCTGGTAGGTCAGGAGCAGCACCCCAGGGCTCTGGGGGTGAAGAGGCCCTGGTGTGTCTGCTCCTCCTGAGGTTGTGAGTCTGGACCACGTGATTCTAAAAGTGCCCGGGTTGTCAGCCAATGTGATGGTGGGGGTGGGTGAGCTGCAGGGGTTCCCGCCCATTCACCAAGACCCCCAATCCTTCATGGGGTCCGCCATAGCTGCGGCATCCTGCCACCCACCTCTATGAAAGCCACAATCACAGAGCCCACGAGCACGAAGGCGGCGTTCAGCGTGGCCCACAGCAACAGGGAGAAGGACAGTCCGCCCTTCTCTGTGAACTTGTCGATATCTGGGGCTCATCAAGGAGGGCTGGCTGCTTCCCCGTCATGACCACCCAGCCCAGACCTCAGCCCTGCCCCACAGACCAGCCTGGCAGATGCCACCCTGCTGGGTGGAGCCATGATGTTCACTGGACATCCCAGAGACGTCTCACGGCCCAACCATGACAGGGACACAGCCAGCCTGGCCGGGCCGCCTCCACCTGCACTGGAACACGCTGGGCTCAGGACTTCTGCCCGGGACTCGGCCCAGGCCACGCCCCCCTCCCAAGCTGCAGCGGCCGCACTGGGAAGGATACTGCCCTTGATGACCCTGTACTTGAGGCCAGCCAGGTTTTCCACCACGATGTCAATGAAGCAGGCCACGAGGCCCGTGAGGATCCCAATGAGGGCGCAGATGACCCAGCGCTTGATCTCCACCGTCCGGAAGGCCTGCAGGGCGCGGTCAGGGCGAGGGTCAGGCAGGGCCCTGGCGCAGTCACTCTGGCAGCAGCAGGACCGCCCAGACCGCCTGCAGGCCCCGGGATTATGAAGGGCCCAGTGTGCACGGTGCGCTGAGTCCCACAAAGGACAGTTTCTGGCCAACATCTGAGGCGCACCCGGGGCCCGAGGGTGACTCGGGGAGGTGGGTGAATTCCCAACAACTTCACAGCCAGCGGTTGTTATGCTGGGCACCGCATCTGGCGGCCGTAAGAGCAGCCTTCTTGGTTACGGTGACCGTGACCCTCCCACTGTCTCTAGAAACCAGACGAACCACAGGCCTCAGAGGCGGAGTCAGAGGAGGAGGGAGGAGGTGCGTCACCTCACCCCGGCAGAAGAGCAGCCCCAGGCCCGGCCGGCACCAGGCCCCGCACCGTGGGGCCCTGCAGGGAGCGGCGTCCAGCTCACCGTGTGATTGATCCGCCGCTCCTCCTCCAGGAACAGCTGGTTCTCACTGTTGTCATAGTCCAAGCTCTGCAGGCCGGGACAGCAAGGGCAGCACTCAGCACCGAACCCACGCTCTGGGTGCGGGCACAGGGGACCGGGAGTGGGCTGGCAGGGGGCAGAGGCCGGGTCTCAGGGTCAGGGGGACAGAAGGACGCCCACCTCATACTTGAGGGACAGGAGCTTCTCGTTGTGTGGGATCTCCTTGGGGAAGGGATGTGGAGGGTCCATATCCTGTGGCAGAAAAAGGCAAAGAGAGAAGCACAGTTGACAAGGCCACAAGGAGAGAGGCCCCTCTCAGCTCACACACGAGGCCATTATCATCCCGACACCAAGGACAAGGACACAGCAAGAGAACTGCACATGGGGCGCGGTGGCTGACACCTACAATCCCAGCACTTTGGGAGGCCGAGGCAAGTGGACCAGCTGCGGTCAGGAGTTCGAGACCAGCCTGGACAACAAGATGAAACCCTGTCGCTACTAAAAATACAAAAATTAGCTGGGCGTGGTGGTGGGCGCCTGTAATCCCAGCTACTCAGGAGGCTGAGGCAGGAGAATCGCTTGAACCCGGGATGCAGAGGTTGCAGTGAGCCGAGATTGCGCCGTTGCACTCCAGCCTGGGTGACAGAGCAAGACTCCGTCTCAAAGAAAAAAAAAAAAAAGAGAACTACAGACCAACACCCCTACAACCACGGATGCAAAGATCTTTGGTAAGACACAAGCAAAGTGATTCCAGCAATGCCAGGAGCAAGGTGAATTCAGCCTAGGAATACAAGTTAGTTTAACATCCAAAAATCAATCCATGAGGCCGGGTGCGGTGGCTCACACCTGTAATCCCAGCACTCTGGGAGGCAGAGGCAAGAGGATCAACTGAAGCCAGGAGTTCAAGACCAGCCTGGGCAACAGAGTAAAACCCTCATCTGTCTTTTTTTTTTTTTTTTTTTTTTTTTTTTTGAGATACAGTCACTCTTTTTGCCCAGGCTAGAGTGCAGTGACGCGATCTCAACTCACTGCAACCTCCGCCTTCCAGGTTAAAGCCATTCTCCTGCCTCAGCCTCCCAAGTAGCTGGGATTACAGGTGTGCACCACCACGCCTGGCTAATTTTTGTATCTTTAGTAGAGACGGGGTTTCACCATGTTGGCCAGGCTGGTCTCAAACTCTTGGCCTCAAGTGATCCACCCAGCCTGGGCAACACAGTGAGACCCCAACTCTTAAAAAAAAGCCAAAAAAAAAAAAAAAAAAAAAACCAGGCATGGTACTGGCATGAAGATGGCCACAAAAGAATGGAAGAGAATTGAGAGAGTCCAGAAAGAAATCCAAAACATGTACGATCAATTGATTTCCCACAACAGTGTCAAAACATTTCAACAGAGAAAGGTAGTGTTTTCAACAAATGGTGCTGGTACAACTGGATTTCCACATGCAAAAATGAAGCTGGGCCGGGCGCAATGGCTGACAGCTATAATCCCAGCACTCTGGGAGGCAGAGGCAGAAGGACTGCTTGAGGCCAGGAGTTTGTGATCAGCCTGGGCAACATAGTAAGACTCCATCTCTACAAAATATTAGCTGAGTATGGTGACATGCGCCTGAGTCCCAGCTACTTGGGAGACAGACAGGAGGCAGAGGCTGCAGTGAACCATGATTGCACCACTGCACTCCAGCCTGGGTGACAGTGAGACCCTGTCTCAAAAAAAGAGAGAGAGAGAGGGAGGGTATGACGTTGGACCCTTACCTCACACCACATCCAAAAATTAACTCAAAAGGGATGAAAGACCTAAAACTGTAAAATTCTTAGGAAAAAACGGGTCAGTCGTCATACTCTTGGGTGAGGCAATGGTTTCTTAGATTTGACACCAAAAGTACAAGCAACACAAGAAAAAACAGATTAGCTGAACCTCAGCAATACAACCTGTGCGGGGTGTGATGCACCTGTGGTCCCAGCTCCTCAGGAAGAAGCTGAAACGGGAGGATTGCTTGAGCCTGAGAGATGGAGTTCAGCCTGGGCCACACAGTGAGACCTCATCTCAAAGAATAGTAATAATTAATTTTTTTAGACAGGGTCCCGTCTGTCACGCAGGCTGAAGTACAATGGTGTGATCATGGCTCACTGCAGCCTCAACCTCCTGGGTTCGATCAATCCACCTGCCTCAGCGTCCTGAGTAGCTGGGACCACAGGCGCACACCACCACACCTGGCTAATTTTCGTTTTTGTTTTTGTTTTTTGTAGAGACAGGGTCTCACTGTGTTGTCTAGGCTGATCTCCAAATCCTGGGCTGCAGCCTTGGTTTCCCAAAGTGTTGGGATTACAGGTGTGAACCACCACACCTGCCCAGAAAAAAAAAAAAAAATTTGAGGCAGGATCTCACTCTGTCACCCAGGCTGAAGTGCAGTGGCACCATCTCAGCTCACTGAAACCTCCACCTCCTGGGCTCAAGTGATCCTCCAACCTCAGCCTCCCAAGTAGCTGGGACTACTGGTGCCTATCACCAGGCCCAGCTAATATTTATATTTTTTGTAGAGACAGGGTTTCACCATGTTGATCAGGCTGATCTTGAACTCCTGAGCTCAATGAATCCATCTGCTTCCCAAAGTACTAGGATTACAGGCACGAATCACCTCCCTTGGCCAAAACTTTTTTAATTAAATAAATTTGAGCAACAAAAGACACCACTGAGAAAGTGAACAGAAAACCCACTGAACGGGAGAAAACTTCTATAAATCATGTATTGGATGAGAGATTTGCATCTATGTATAAAGAACTCCTGCAGCTCAATTATAAAGACAACAAACCCAGTTTAAAAATGAGCATAACCAACACGCGTGTGGCCGGCCAGGCACCCGCTCCAGGGTTGAGACAGGAGAGGACTGATTGCTGAATCTCACGTGCTGGCTTTTTCCCTTCTCTCCCAACTCCTGCCCCTCCCAAAGCTGACACCAGAGCAAAGGCTTTGAAGTCCAAAAAGGCAGTGCCGAAGGCGCCCACGGCCACGAAACAGATCTTCCGAAGGCCTTGTGGCTCCAGAGGCAGCACAAACGTATCAGAAGGGCAGCCCCGGAAGAGGCGCTGCTGGCTGTACAGGACGGCATCTGAGCACGGCGCCGGCCTCGGGAGCGACTGCGGCAGAGCTCAAACGGACGCAAGGCCGAAGAGCACCCGGACAGGTGGACTGTGAGATGCCTCAGCCTCTGACGTGGCCCAGGGCAGAGCCAGGTGGGGCCTGATGGGGAGAAGGAGGACGCCCGGGGTGTTGCCAACATCAGGATCATCTCAACAGGAGTCCCGCACAGACATCTACCCAGAGACGATGAGTGAACGGCCAGCGGCAGCAGAGGACTCCCGGCCTCACCAGCGGCTGGGGGAAAAACCGAGGCCGGCGGGAGATGCCCCCGAGGGGAAGGAAGACGAGCACGCTGCCGCTGAGCTCAGGACTCCCAGGGCAGCCACTGGCACGGGAACATCTAAACCCCTGCCCTCTGAAGTCAGAGGCATCCGGCCCCCTCTCACTCTCCTGGGGCTCCTCACTGCCCCCCCAAGATCCCTGTCCTTGCCCTGTCCCAAAGCCAGGTCCAGCCCCCTCGCTGCCCATGCTGTCACTGCTGTCCTGACCGGCTTCCTGCGCCCTGCACTCCTCCGTCTGAGAGCACTTCTGCCCAGCTGCCTCTGCTCACTTGGCGTCAGGGACCATGTCCCCCCAAGGAAATCTTCCCTGAACCCCGGCCCTGGGGCCCCACTATCTCCCTGCCGCTCGGCCCGTGCCCATCCCTGTCACCCTCTGCTAAGATGCAGCTAGCTCTGCGGGAGGACGGGGAACACCCCCAACTCACCGGGTCCAAAAGTTCATCATCCAGCTCCACGCTGCTCATATGTCCGACTCGGAAAAGCGCAGAACGTGGTGACTAAAAGCAGAAGAGAAATCATGAGGGCGCTCAGGCGTCGCACGCTCTGCTCCGTGGATTCTCACTCCCGCCGCCGCACCCTGGCCTCGCCTGACCCTGCCCGGGAGCTCAGGAATGGGCTAGGCCAGGCCTGCCTGCTGGGTGGGGGCAGCAGGGCTGGGACGGGCCTCCCTGGGCCCTGGAAGCAGAACTGATCCGGCTGCCCCTCGGCCTGTCAGCGACACGTCCAGCCCGAGTCCAGGGCGCAAGCTCCCTGCTCTAGACTGAAAGCGAGGCACCTGCCACCCACCAGGAAAGAAGGGCTGGACAACACGCCGCCCCCAATGCAGTGCCCGCCACAGCACCCTGGGCCATCCTGCCCAACCCTGCTCCCGAGGCCCTGCTCAGCCACCTGCCACCTCCACAGAGTCACCTCCACTGCAGCCTCTCTGGGTCTTGAGACACAAACGGCTCCACAGTGTTCACGCTGCCCTCCCCACAGGACGCCCAGCTGTCAGGCAGAGCTGGGTGGGGTCTCAGCCACCTAAGGCTTTGCGGCCGCCCCAGCTCAGGGCAGGGGCAGGGCAGCGGGCCCTGGGTGGCGTGGTGCAGATGTGACTTACGGAGCTCCCACCCCAGTCTCCGGCTCCTTACTAGAGCCAAGGCGCTGAGGCCAGGCTAGGAGGAGCCAAGACCTCAGCCTCCTTTCCCCAAAGAGATCCTTTGGAGACGACTCCAATTTCCACTATCTCCTGAATCTTTAGCAACATCTGGGGACATGAAGGGAAGAAGGGCTGCCTTCCAGGTGGAGGGACCGCATGCGCAGGGCGCCCGCCATCTGCATCAGAGAGCCCGTGCGCCTGTCAGGAAAGTGTTGGCGGAGGAGTCCAGCGGCTGGTACCGGCCGTGGGAAGACCAACGAGGCTGCCGCCCGCCTTCCCTGGGAGCAGCCCTCCCGGCCCCCAACGCCGTCCCCTCCTCATCCCCCCATCTCTCCCTCCACCTTCCTCAGGCTCGGCCTCCCGCACCAGGTTTCAGCAGGGCCTGGAAGTGCTTCTTGGTGATAGAACGGCAGGTGATGGCGCCAGGAGCCCACAGGGCCGAGGTGGGGACGGGGAGACGTGCAGGAACGGCCTGCACTGGGGCCCAGTTTTCCCTCAACCTCCACCTATCCACGGGGATCACGATTACCACACACAGGCAAGGACACAGAAGCAGAGAAGGAAGGTTTGGGATCTGAGGTCACTGCGAGCCAGGGGTGGGGGTCCTGCTTTCTCTGGAGTGCTCACCCCTGAAGGAGACGGGCTCCCCAAACCGCCATCCCAGAAACTGCCTTCAGAACCAGACCTTCCCGGCGGGGTACAGTGGCTCATGCCTGTAATCCCAGCACTTTCAGAGGCTGAGGCGGGCAAATCACTTGAGGCCAGGAGTTCGAGACCAGCTGGGCCAACATGGCGAAACCCCATCTCTACTAAAAATACAAAAAGTAGGCGGGCTACTTGGGAGGCTAAGGCGGGAGAATCGCTTGAAGCCGGGAGGTGGAGTCTGCAGTGAGCTGAGATCGCACCACTGCACTCCAGCCTAGGTAACAGCAAGACTCTGTCTCAAAAAAAAAAAAAAAAAAAAAAAAAAAAAAAGAACCTGACCTTCCAGCCCACTGCCCTCCAGGGACCCCTTCCCCAACCATCGTCCTGTTACCAGCCACCGTCGCCCTTGCTGTACACCCCCCGTGTTGATGACCCGGTAAGTGGCCCTGGCAGGGGAAGGAACCTGGGCACGTGCCACTGGCCCTTGGCAGACACCAGTCAGAGCCTCCTCCTCTCCCCAGGCAAAGAGCACTCTCAGGCCATCCCCATCAAAAGCCAGGAGCAGAGGCCAGACAGACAGACAGACAGACTCGCAGGTGTCTGCCGTGGCATCTCCACGCCCAGGGGAGAGTGTGGGAGGGGCTAGAGTGCACAGGTCCTGCTGGACACAACCCTGAGTCACAGGGCGCCTGCCCCTCCTCTTCCCCCAGCCTTGCCACATGCCAGTGGCTCTCCCTGAGCCCTCAGTCACAGGCGAAACTCACAGCTTGAGTCTCCTGCCACACGGGCTGACGGTGGGAGGAGGAAGGTGCCACGGTCCAGGCATGATGGAAGCAGTGGCCTGGCCAGCTGCCCACTCCCTCTTGCTCACACTCACATCAAAGCCCCTGGACTCCAGGTCTCACCACCAGAAAACAGCCCTGGGACCAGCGCTGGGCCTCTGACCCCCACCTCCCAGGTGGACAGGTGCCCCGATGCCCCAAACAGAGACCACGGAACCCAAAAGACCCATTTCACCATGAGGAAGGACCCCACGTCCAAACAGGCACCCTGTGGGACACACCCTGCCCAGAGGGCCACCCTCTCCATCACTCAAGATGTCAGCACTTCTCTCTAACGCCACTCAAGGCCTGCCGTGCTTCTCAGGCTATTCCTTGCTGGAAATAACGGATCATTCTGGCCGGACGTGGTGGCTCACGCCTGTAATCCCAGCACTTTGGGAGGCTCAGGCAGGAGGATCGCTTGAGCCCAGGAGTTCAAAGCCAACCTGGACAACGTAGTGAGACCCTGTCTCTACAAAAAATCAAAATCAGCAAGGCATGGTGGCGTGTACCTGTGGCCCAAACTACTCAGGAGGCTGAGGCAAGAGGATCGCTTGAGCCTGGGAAGTCGAGGCTACAGTGAGCTATGGTTGCACCACTGCGCTCCAGCCTGGGCAACACGGCAAGACCCTATCTCTAAAATTAAAAAAAAAAACCCAAACAAAACGAAAACAGCCACAGTCACATGTCCTGGGCGCCAGGCCTGGGAGGCCTTGAGGAGGGCCACCGTCTACACCACGACAGCACTGTCCCACAGCAGCAGGCAGAGCCGCACATGCATTCAGGCCAAGGTGAAGGCTGCCGGTGCAGTATGTGACCAGCGGGCCACCCCCACCGCCGCCGCCTTGGCAGATCCGAGAGGGGTGAGGGGTGAGGGGTTGCCCCCCAGCAGGGCATCAGCTGCCCCTGCCCGGAGTGAAAGGATGGGGCTCCGGCGCCTTGCCTTCCCAGCATCTCTTTCCTTAACTCTGCCAGGACTTTGAGAAGGTGGCTTTCGTAATGGAAGAACACGACGTTTACTTCAAGTTCAGCAATGCATTCCGTGCGGTTACTTTCTTTTTTAAATGCAAGCTCTTATAAATTAAACACTAGATGCTGTTCCTCAAACTCCTGCCACACACGGCAACCTACACGGTCCCAAGCGCCGGACACTAACTAAAAACAGACAGGCTCAGGAACACGTGAGCCAACACTCCCGAGAGGCGAGACTCGGGCCGGACGGGAGGCGAGGTCATCAGGGTTGGGAGTGGGTGGGACTAGAAAGATGGGTCTGAAAATAGCCTGCACCCCCTTCCTGGTGCTTACGCGGATCTACACGCATTGCACCGACACTCTCTTGGTTTTGGGGCTGCGCTGTTACGGAAAGGTAAACATTGGGGGGAAACTCGGTGAAGGGTACACAAGCCCCCTGTGCTACCTTTGCTGCTTCCTGTGAATCCAGAGTGATTTAAAAGTCAAAAAAGGGCTGGGCACAGTGGCTCACGCCTGTAATCCCAGCGCTTTCGGAGGCCAAGGCGGGCAGATCACCCGAGGTCAGGAGTTCGAGACCAGCCTGGCCAACATGAAGCAACCCCGTCTCTACTTAAAAAAAACGAAAAAAAAAAAAAAAAATTAGCCGGGCATGGTGGTGCACACCTGTAATCCCAGCTACTCGGGAGGCTAAGGCAGGAGAACTGCTTGAACCCGGGAGGTGGAGGTTGCAGTGAGCCGAGATCCTGCCACTGTATTCCAGCCTGGGCAACAGAGCAAGACCCTGTCTCAAATAAATAAATAAAATAAAACAAAATAAAAGTCAAAATAATGTATAGAGGGGAACTACATCAAACTTTAAAACTTCTACACATCAAAGAAAACAACAGAGCAAAAGGTAACCTATGAAACGAGAAAATATTTGCAAATGTGATAAGGAATTAATATCTGATAAGGGATTAATATTCAGAATACATAAAAAAACTCAGGGTCAGGGGAGGTGGCTCACGTCTGTCATCCCAGCACTTTGGGAGGCTGAGGCGGGCTGATCACTTGAGGTCAGGAGTTCAAGACCAGCCTGACCAATGTGGCGAAACCCCAACTCTCCTAAAAATACAAAAATTAGCCGGGCATGGTGGTGGGCGCCTGTAATCCCAGCTACTCAGGAGGCTGAGGCAGGAGAATCACTTGAACCCAATAGGCAGAGGTCGTGGTAAGCTGAGATCACACCACTGCCCTTCAGCCTGGGCGACAGAGGGAGACTCCGTCAAAAACAAAAACAAAAATAAACAAAAAACCAAAAACCAAAAACAAACATAAAAAAGCAGCGTCTGAAAGTCCCACTTGCACGCCATGTTCACAGCAGCACCGTTCACAATGACCAAAATGCGGAAGCACCTGCTGTGCCGATGGATGAGTGAGTCAAGGAAATGCAGCCTCTCCCCGCAATGGAATAATTCAGCCATAAAGAGGAATGACCACCGACCCGTGCTGCAGCACGACGGGCCGGAGGACACTGTGCCCCGTGAAATAAGCCAGTCAGAAAAAGACAGCTCCCGCAGGTCCACTCGCAAGAGGGCCCTGGAGCCGTCAGGTCCCCTGAGGCAGATGGCAACGAGGGGGCTGGGCAGCAGGAGGAAGGGAGAGCGTTGAATGGGTGCAGTTTCAGTTTGGCAAGGAATGGGTTGTGTAACACTAAGAGCGTGCTCAACCCTACTGACTGCACTCACGGATGATTAAACGGTCATTAAACAAAATGTTTTTTAGAAACAAGGTCTTGCTATGTTGCCCAGGCTGGTCTCTAAGTCCTGGGCTCAAATAATCCTTCCGCCTTGGCCTCTCAAGTAGCTGGTATGAGAGGCGTGCACCACCATGCCTGGCTCAAAATGGTAAATTTATGGTATGTGTTCTTTACCACAGTTTTTTTTAAAACTTAAAGCAGGATTAAAGACCATTTGCTGTTCTGCTCGGCCTGTGTTGCGTCCTAACATTCAGCAGGCCTCTGCCAGGACCAGGCTAGACGCTAGGCACAGAGGATACAGCAGCTGCCCCGCGGGGGGATGGGGGTTACAGTCAAAGGAAACAAGGTGACACACAAAGGCCACAGAGACCAAGGAGAGGCCTTTGCTGTCCATGCAGTGTCCCCATGGCGTTAAGGCAGAGACCTAAAGCAAGACAGACACTGAACAGCAATGCTGGAGGGCAGGGAAGGGCAGGGGACAGCAGGGGAACCCTCCCAGGCTGGCAGAGGACTTCCTGGAGGCCAGAAAAGAACCAAGGGGCACTTCCTCAAGTACAGCAGAGCTCAAGGGGCCACTGGCGACGACCCCAGACCCTCCCCCGCAGCCTTGCTGCGCCCACAGTTCTTTCTCAGGCTGCGGTCTGTGGCTCCGGGTGCCCAGGCAGGACACAGTCCCACACTAACCCAGACCCCTGCCCTGCCAAGGTCTTATGTGGAGTGTCCCAACATGAGTTCCCAGGGATGTCCTGCAAATACCCACCTCCCCTCACTGCCCCCTGAGACCCAAGTGTTTCTGGCTCCAGCCGCTTTCCCTCTCAGTTCTCAAGGAGTTCTGCTTCCTGCCGCCCACACACGGCCAGGGCTGGCTGACCTCACCCTCGCCCTGTCCCAACACCACCAGATGAGCAGTGACTGGCTTGGTCAATTCACCACTACACCACACAAAGCAAGACCGGCCTGAGAACAGGAACAGCAACCCACAGGCAGCTCTGAAGGGCCTGGGCTTTCAGCGGGCACCCAGCCTCCAACAAGCCACTCCACAGTCTGCCCTGCCCAGGGCAGCCACCTCATAGTGTTTGGCCAGCTGTGCCCACGCTGAGGTGGCAACGACACCACCAGCCAACCTGAAAATCCTGCAACAAACCCTAAAGAGCCTGGAGGCAGCTAGGACCAGTTCTCATGTTCACTGGAACAGTCCCGTCAGCAGGGGATGGCCTGGGTTGATATTTTAGCTCAAAACAGCTCTGGAGGCCTTGAACCCAAGGGCAGCTTACAGTACCCCGTCTGTGGCCACACTGGGGTGCGCCTGAGCCTAACTGTGAGCTGTGCCCACCAGTCAGAGCAGACCCTCCCCCAGAAAAGCAGCACCAAGAAATCCAGTAGCTACTCAGGAAGTTGGACAGGAAAGTCACAACGAACACGAATCCCTCTTGTGTTGCTGGTTTTAACACGACCGGGCACGACTCACGTTTCTTCAGAGCGTAGTTTGTGACAGGCACCGTGCTCAGCGCTATGCATGCGTTAACTTTTTCGCAGACGGGAAAACTGGGCAACAGGGAGGCTACAGGCCTTGCAGGAGGCCATCGGCGAGTCCGATGCTCAGAGCACAAACGCCTGGCCTAAGAGGTGGTGTCTTGGCCTCTAGACTCCGCCTCTCCAGTCTGTCTGCAGGGGAAGGCTGGGGCCCTTCAGGAATGGGGTCCTAGCTTCCCATGGGCTCCCCTAGAGATGAGCCAAATTCAAAGCCTGTTCATGTGCGCAGCAGGGCTGACCTCCAGGCTCCACAGCGCATCCCAAACACACACTCCCTCTGTCCTTTCCCCCCGTCCGCCTGCCTGAAGATCTTGTGCTCTTCAAGCCCAAGCCTTGTGACTGCTCCTGCCCCAGGGGCCCTGCAGACCATCCGCACAGGGCACTGGGCCTGTCTCCAGCAGGAAGGAAGCAGCTTTATGCGCCTGCGTCCCAGGCAGCCACAGAGCAAGTGCACGATAAACTATTTTTTAAATTGCTTGTAAGCAGAGTATCCGCTGTTATTAAATGCAAACAAACAAATAAGCTTACAATGACTTTTAAGGGAATAGTTTTTTTATTTTTATTTTTGAGATGGAGTTTTGTTCTTGTTGCCCAGGCAATGGCGTGATCTCGGCTCAGTGCAACCTCTGCCTCCTGGGTTCAAGCGATTCTCCTGCCTCAGCCTCCTGACTAGCTAGGATTACAGGCGCTCACCACTATACTCGGCTAATTTTTCTATTTTTAGTAGACATGGGGTTTCACCATGTTGGCCAGGCTGGTCTCGAACTCCTGACCTCAGGTGATCCACCTGCCTCGGCCTCCCAAAGTGCTGGGATTACAGGCATGAGCCACCGTGCACAGCCGGGAATACTTTCTAAGGTTAAGAGATCAACAGATTATTTCCCAAAAAATCAACTCTTCTATTTGCAAAGACAGACAGGAAACCCCAAGCACATTCAGTCCCAAGAGAAACTCAAATTCAACCTCCATCAAGGTTCCTAATCTTTACCTTTCAGCCCTTAAAGTTGGGTTTATTCCTTCTACCTTGTGAACTTCAGATTTCTTTAATTAAAAAAATTTTTTTTAAATTTTTTGAGATAGGTTCTCAAACTCCAGCCTGGGCAAAAGAGTGACAAACTACCTCGGAAAAAAAAAAAAAAAAGCACCTCACTGCAGCTTCAACCTCCTGGGCTCATGCGACTCCTCTGCCTCAGCCTCCCGAGCCAGTAGCTGGGACTACAGATGCATATCACCACACCTGGCTAATTTTGTTTTTTTTTTTTTGAGACAGGGTTTCACTATTTTGCCCAGGCTGGTCTTGAACTTCTGGGCTCAAGTGATCCTCCCCTACCTTGGCCTCCCAAAGTGCTAGGATTACAGGCATGAGCCACCACACCTGGCCTTTCTTTTAAAACAGAAACACACACACACACACACAGAGGCATACACATACACACACAGGCATACACACAAATAACTAATCACCCATGGCCCCATCACTTCAAATTAACCCCTTCAGATCACTTTTCATGCAGACTACAGCACGGAGAGCAGGAGGGCCCACTTCAAAGGGAGCTGAGCTGCTGCTTCTTATCAGCAAAAGGCAGACTATGACCTTCTTTGTCTGGTGCGTTTCTAAGGAATTGGGAAAACCTAAATGTAGGTTCTATGGAAACAGGCTGATTTTCGTGTCCTTCCTAAACTTTTTTTTTTTTTTTTTTTTTTTTGAGACGGAGTCTCGCTCTGCCCAGGCTGGAGTGCAGTAGCGCCATCTCCGCTCACTGTAAGCTCCGCCTCCCGGGTTCAATTGATTCTCCTGCCTCAGCCTCCCGAGTAGCTGGGACTACAGGCGCCCGCCACCACGCCTGGCTAATTTTTTGTATTTTTAGTAGAGACGGGGTTTCACCATATTAGCCAGGATGGTCTCAATCTCCTGACCTCATGATCCACCCGCCTCGGCCTCCCAAAGTGCTGGGATTACAGATGTGAGCCACCGTGCCCTGCCGTCCTTCCTAATCTTTAAGCACAAGACAAGTGTTTAAAGGACTAGACAAGAGAAAATGTAAAGAATAACTGCAAAGCAGATTAAGACCCATCAACAAAACGGTCCATTAACTCAAAAGTAACACAATACGGCCAGGCGCAGTGGCTCACGCCTGTAATCCCAGCACTTTGGGAGGCTGAGGTGCGGGGGATCACGTGAGGTCGGGAGTTCGAGGCCAGCCTGACCAACACGGAGGAACCCCGTCTCTACTAAAAATACAAAATTAGCCGGGCGCGGTGGCGCACGCCTGTAATTCCAGCTACTCAGGAGGCTGAGGCAGGAGAGTCACTTAAACTCGGGAGGTGGGGGTTGCAGTGAGCCGAGATCGCGCCATTGCACTCCAGCCTGGGCAACTACAGTGAAACTCCGTCTCAAAAAAAAAAAAATATTAAGACAATACACAGACAGGGAAACAAATGTACCCGCAACGGTTCTCCAGACCTTAACACTGCTCAGACGCACGCTGCAGGGTGACATGCGGAACGCATTCCAACCTCTGACTTGCTGCTTATTGTGTTTGCCTGCACATTGCAAATTCAACTCGGTGCGAAGGGAGACTGAGTACAAATACTCGTCACTCCCAAGATCACCTGAAAGTCGGGACTGATCCCCACACAGAAAGATGGCAGATAAAGGCGCTCAGTCATTCTCACTGAAAGACAGTGACCCGGCTGCAATCTTAACTGTTTCCATCTCCCAGGGGGTCAAAAACGCAAACAAAATTAGTTGCTCGTGTAGGATGACAATTTTTAAAAGTCACCTGAACAGAAAGCCACTTGCACCCCTTTAGGGCCAGTCTGGGGGACACCGGAGGGAATGAACGTGCGCCACGGCTGCCCCGGCGCCCCTCAGCGCCCCACATTCCGCGGGGTCTGGCGAGCTCCGCCTCGCCCACGCAGCCCTCCCGGCCACCGAGCCCGGCGCGGCCTCCGAAGACTCCAGACCCCAGGCGCCCCCGCCAGCCCGGCCCCGCCGAGGAGCCCCGGGGCGCGTTCCCGAGTCCACCGCGCCTCGGTCGCCTCCAGGACCGAGACACGCGGCGCCGCCAGAAGGCTCACGAGGGCGCGGGCTGCGGGGCGCACGAGGGCTCAGTTTCCCCGCCTGCGCCCTGCCCGGCCTCACCTGGCGCGCAGCCCCAGGCCCAGCCCCGTTCAGCAGCGGCGTCCCCCCGCCGGGCCGCGCCGTCCTCCGCAGCAGCGGCGCCGCCTCCTCGTCGTCCCGGTCCCGGCCGGACCAGGACACCTTCTTAGAGACGTTGGCCATGGCCCGCCGCGGAGCGACACCGGCCGGGAAGCGCCGGCTGCCCCCGTGTTTGTTCTCGTGACCCGCGCCGGCGGCCACGTGACGCGCGACGGGGCCACGTGATGAGCGACGGCGACCATGTGACCTGCAACGGCAACCACCGAGGCCCGGTCGCGCGGGGGCTCCTGGGAGCCGCGCTCCCGGCGGGTCGTGGCGCCGCCCGCCCTAGAGAATCGCCGCGGCCCTGAGGACCCCGTTCTGCCCACGCGACTGCAAAGGCGGCCCCGTTGGGCTGAGCGCCGAGTGCTTGGGAGGCGAATGGCCGCCCCCGGGACCTCGGGCCCGGGAGTCGGGGCGAGGGAAGCGCCCGGGGCCTGAGGGCAGGAGCCGGCTGGAGGGGCTCCCCCAGGCCCGGTCGCCCGCGCCGATCGTGACGGAGCCGCGGTGGGGAAGGGAGGAGGGAGGCAGGGGCGAGGGCAGGCCTTTCCTTGCCATAGGCGGCGGCTAAAGACGTGAAGGATGAAATTAGAAGTCCCGAAGCATGCATCCGCCCTCGCAGTAGGCACTCGGGCGAGGGTCGGAGTGGAGGCTTCCTCCAGGCAGCCCCAGAGGGTCCTCCCGCCTAATGAGAAAAGAACAGAAGGCGAGTCCTCTTCAACGATCAGGCCCCAGAGACAGTACAGGAGGGTCGCCTCTGGAAACTGCCGGCTACTACGCAGATAGCTGTGAATTAGCCAAATAGCCGCCCGGACCCTGTACCCGCACCAGGGCACAGCCCATCACTAATCAATGGTATTTCCATAAACCAAAGAGAATTCTTGACAGCTTTACATCAGCCCCCACCCTGTCCCCACCTTCTGGGTCATTTATTTATTTATTTTGAGACAGGGTCTCCTTCTGTCGCCCAGGCTGGAGTGCGGTGGTGCGGTCACAGCTCAGTGCAGCCTTGACCTCCTGGACTCAAGCCATCCTCCCGCCTCAGCCTCTGGAGTAACAGGGACCACAGGCCTGCACCACCACACCCGGCTAATTTTTGCTGTGGAGCTCACAGTGTGTTGCCCAGGCTGTTCTCAAACTTCTGACCTCAAGTGATCCTTCCACGTTAGCCTCTAGAGTAAACTCTTTATATTTTGTGCCTCATCCTCTTCCTTTTAAAAGGTCGATATTTTTATTATTGAGACGGAGTCTCACTCTGTCGCCCAGGTTGGAGTGCAGTGGCCCAATCTCGGCTCACTGCCTCCCGGGTTCATGCCTCAGCCTCCCGAGTAGCCGGGACTACAGGCGCCCGTCACCATGGCCGGCTAATTTTTTGTATTTTTAGTACAGATGGGGTTTCACTGTGTTAGCCAGGATGGTCTCGATCTCCTGACCTCGTGATCCACCCGCCTCGGCCTCCCAAAGTGCTGAGATTACAGGCGTGAGTCACGGTGCCCGGCCTTTTTTTAAATTATTATTATTATTTTTTTATTTTTGAGACACAGTCTCACTTTGTCACCCAGGCTGAAGTACAATGACAAGATCATAGCTCACTGCAGCCTTGACCTCTTGGGTTCAAGGGATCCTCCTTCCTCAGCCTCCTGAGTTGCTAGGACTCTTCGTATGAGCCACCATGCCCGGCCATGGTTGGCATTTCTTTTTTCTTTTTCCTTCTTTTTTTTTTTTTTTTTTGAGACGGAGTTTCACTCTTGTCACCCAAGCTGTAGTGCAATGGCGCTATCTTGGATCACTGCAACCTCCGCCTCCTGGGTTCAAATGATTCTTCTGCCTCAGCCTCCCGAGTAGCTGAGATTACAGGCACCCGCCACCACACCTGGCTAATTTTTCTTTTTTTTGTTTCCTTTTGGTTTTTTTTGAGACAGAGTGTCGCTCTGTTGCCCAGGCTGGAGTGCAATGGCGTGATCTTGGCTCACTGCAAGCTCCGCCTCCCGGGTTCACGCCATTCTCCTGCCTCAGCCTCCCAAGTAGCTGGGACTACAGGCGCCCGCCACCACGCCCGGCTAATTTTTTGTATTTTTAGTAGACCCGGGGTTTCACCGTGTTAGCCAGGATGGTCTCAATCTCCTGACCTTGTGATCCGCCTGCCTTGGCCTCCCAAAGTGCTGGGATTACAGGCATGAGTCATGGCGCCAGGCCTAATTTTTGTATTTTTAGTAAAGATGGGATTTCTCCACGTTGGCCAGGCATGTCTTGAACTCCTGACCTCAGGTGATCCACCCACCTTGGCCTCCCAAAGTGCGGGGATTACAGGAATGAGGCACCGTGCCCGGCCCAGGGTCAGCATTTCTTAACGGTGAAGGGAAAAAAGAAACCTAGCAGGCGCCACCTGAACCAAGCAACCCAGTTCAGCATTGCTGGTGATGGGATAAGGTGGCATCGTGTGCCTCCTGATGTGATGCACCAGGAAGGACACAACGTCCCTTCCGGAGCATTCCTGCAAAACATGCTCACCTTGAGTCCACTCATAAAGGGGAAACACCAGATAATCCCACTTTGAGGGACAGCCTGCTGAACATCTAGGCCATCTTCTTCCACAATGTCAGTATTGTGAAAGAGACAAAGAGAGGCTGAGGAGACAACCTCACGTGGGTCTGGCATGGTTGAGACAATTGGCAAAGATTGGACATACACTGTATGAGCTAACGGTGTTGGAGCAGTAGTAAATCTCCCACGCGTGATCATTATATTGTGGTTACGTCAGGAAAGCTCCCCGATCTTAGGAGATACATACTGAAATACTTGGGACCTTGTGTTGCTATGTCTGCAGCTTACACTCGGACAATTCAAAACCTGACAATAATCATAATGAGTAGCAGCCTTCTGAGAGGGAGGGAAAATGGCAATGTTAACATCTGGCCCTTGGCTGTCTGCACCACCATGCAGCAGGCAAGAACGAGCACCTTAACCGAAGTGGCAGGAAGGGAGCCAAGAAGAAAGAGGTTGGTCCACTGTCTGAGAGAGACTGGCATGAGGCGAAAGCACCAGCTGTGCTTGGCATAAGGAGTATGGAAAACACCAGGCACAGGGACGTCAGGAACCAAAATCACACCCGATGGCCTCAAGGGCCGTGTTTTTGAAGTCAGTACTGCTCATCTGCAGAATGGTGAAGTTGCATCTGGAAAATTCAAGCTAATCACTGAGGATGTTCAGTGCAAAAACAGCCTGACCAGCTTTCATGGAAAAAAAAAAAGACCATGATTGAAGCTCATATGGTTGTCAAAACTACAGATGATCATTTGCCTCATCTGTTCTGTGCTGCTTTTACTAAAACAGTGCAGCAAGCAGATTGGGAAGACCTCTCACAGGCAGCACTGGCAGGCCCGTCAAATCCAGAAAAGATGGTGGAAATCATGGCCCAAGAGGTGCAGACAAATTACTCGAAAGAAGTGGCCCATGAATTGATGCTAGACAGCACTGGGAGAGACACAGAGAAGGTTCCCCAGTCTATCCAGGTATCCTCTCCAGGATGTCTTCCTTAGAAAAGTAAAAATGCTTGGGAAGCCCAGGCTTGCATTGGGAAAACTCAAGCTTTGTGGTGAAGGTCGCTGTCCTGGAAAAGCTACTGGGGATGAGACCAGTGCTAAATGTGAATGAGCTGACGGATATGAGCCCCCAGCCCAACAACCTGTTTAAAATTCAGGCTTTGAATGTTGATAACCAAACTAACATTTGACCCAGCAATCCCCTTACTGGGTGTATGCCCAAAGGAATATAAATTGTTCTATCATTAAAACACATGCAGGCCAGGCGCAGTGGCTCACACCTGTAATCCCAACACTTTGGGAGACTGAGGTAGGTAGATCACTTGAGGTCAGGAGTTTGAGACCAGCCTGGCCAACATAGTGAAACCCCATGTCTACTAAAAATACAAAAATTAGCCAGGTGTGGTGGCAGGCGCCTATAACCTGAGCTACTTGGGAGGCTAAGGCAGGAGAATCGCTTGAATCCAGGAGATGGAAGTTGCAGTGAACTGAGATTGCACCACCTCACTCCAGCCTGAGTGACAGAGCGAGACTCTGTCTCAGAAAAAAAGCAAAACCAAAAACACACGCACGCGTGTGTTGATTGCAGCACTATTCACAATAGCAAAGACATGGAATCAACCTAAATGCCCATCAGTGGTGGACTGGATAAAGAAAATGTGGTACATGTATACCATGAAATACTATGCAGCCATAAAAAAGAATGAGATCGTGTCCTTTGCAGGCACATGGATAGAGCTGGAGGCCATTACCCTTAGTAAACTGACCCAGGAACAGAAAAGCAAATACCGCATGTTCTCACATAAGTTGGAGCTAAACGATGAGAACACATGGACACAAAGGGAAAAAAACAGACACTGAGGCCTATTGAAGGGTGGAGGACGGGAGGAGGGAGAGGAGCCGAAAAAAATAACAAAATATTGGGCTGGGCGTGGTGGCTCACACCTGTAATCCCAGCACTTTGGGAGGCCGAGGTGGGTGGATCACTTGAGGTCAGGAGTTTAAGACCAGCCTGGCCAACATGGTGAAACCCTGTCTGTACTGAAGATACAAAAATTAGCTAGGTGTGGTGGCACACACCTGTAATCCCAGCTACTTGGGAGGCTGAGGCACAAGAATCACTTGAGCCCAGGAGGCGGAGGTTGCAGTGAGGGGAGATGGTGCGGCTGCACTCCGGCCTGGGCGACAGAGCGAAACTCCATCTCAAAAACAAATAAAAATAACTGTCCAGTACCAGGCTTAGTACTTGAGTGAGGAAATTATGTGTACAACAAACCCGCATGACATGAGTTTACCTATATAAAAAACCTGTACATGTACCCCTGAACCTAAAATAAAGTTTAAAAATAATAAATAAAGCCGGCCGGGTGCGGTGGCTCACGCCTATAATCCCAGCACTTTGGGAGGCCGAGGTGAGCGGATCACGAGATCAGGAGATGGAGACCACGGTGAAACCCCGTCTCTACCAAAAATACAAAAAAAAAAAAAAAAATTAGCTGGGCGCAGTGGCAGGCGCCTGTAGTC
Source organism: Homo sapiens (assembly GCF_000001405.40). NCBI lineage: Eukaryota > Metazoa > Chordata > Mammalia > Primates > Hominidae > Homo > Homo sapiens. The sequence goes on from NC_000016.10 coordinate 1,479,957, forward strand.
CCAGGTACTTGGGAGGCTGAGGCGGGAGAATGGTGTGAACACGGGAGTTGGAGCTTGTGGTGAGCCAAGATCACGCCACTGCACTCCAGCTTGGGTGACAGAGTGAGACTCTGTCTAATAAATAAATAAATAAATAAAATAATAATAAAGATAACACTTGAAGAGTCTAGAATAAATATATATGATGTGCAATGTATTCATCTGCAACTTTTTTTAGGCTTGAAATTTTTCCAAATCAAAAGTTTAAAAGTTCCTTAGAGGCCGGGCGCGGTGGCTCACGCCTGTAATCTCAGCACTTTGGGAGGCCGAGGCGGGTGGATCACGAGGTCAGGAGATTGAGACCATCCTGGCTAACACGATGAAACCCCATCTCTAGTAAAAATACAAAAAAATTAGCCAGGTATGGTGGCGGGCACCTGTACTCCCAGCTACCAAGGAGGCTGAGGCAGGAGAATGGTGTGAACCTGGGAGGCGGACCTTGCCGTGAGCCGAGATCGTGCCACTGCACTCCAGCCTGGGTGACAGAGCAAGACTCCGTCTCAAAAAAAAAAAAAAATAAATAAATAAATAAAAGTTCCTTAGAGCCTCTAAAGCTGAGAAGATAATGGAACCCTCCCTTGCTTATATCAAAATAAAACCAAAACTAAGCCCAAAATAAGAGGAAGGAAATCTAAAAGGGTTTTGAATTCCCCAGTGATTACACTACAATACTTTTTCTGAAATACCATGAACAACATTCTTTGAAAAAAGGTATTTTTCTCATGGGTGTGCCCTGCCTTTGTGCTTGTTTTGTTTTGTTTTGTTTTTGAGATGGAGTCTCGCTGTGTTGCCCCGGCTGGAATGCAGTGGCATGATCTCAGCTCACCGCAACCTCTGCCTCCCAGGTTCAAGCGATTCTCCTGCCTCAGCCTCCCGAGTAGCTGGGATTATAGGTGCGTGTCACCAAGCCTGGCTAATTTTTTGTATTTTCGGTAGAGACGGGGTTTTACCACGTTGGCTAGGCTGGTTTTGAACTTTTGACCTCAAGTGATCCACCTGCCTCAGCCTCCCAAAGTACTGGGAGTATAGGCGTGAGCCACCACGCCTGGCTGGCTTTGCCCTTTTGAGGGATGGTGACAAGGGCATTGCACCCCCATGTCATACAGGACAGCGAGCGTTAAAGATGAGAATGAAGCTGACTTTTCCAAGGCTCCCCACAAGCAGGCAGGAGTTGAACCTGGGTTAGTTTGATTTCAAAACTCTTGCTCTCAAATGCTTTGAGTCAAGGACTGACAGCAAGTCCCCTGGGGGGTTCAGAGGTGGGACAGTTCCCCTCCCCAGGCTTCTCAGAGGCAGGCACCATGTTGCCTGACCCAGTAGGAGTGCAGCACATTGTTGATTGAATTGAATGGATGGACTTGGGTCTTGTGGGTTGAGGAGGGTTTGGATGAAGATACCCAGGTGGGCAGAGAGCTGAGCAGAGTGCTGGAGTGGGGCATGGTGGGGCTGTATGCAGAACCCACAAGAACAGAGCTTGGGAAGAAGGGGTCATGCTGGGGAGGGGAAGCCAGGTCCCAAAGGCCATCCTTCTCAGCCCAGGGACCTAAGTGTGTCCTTTTCTGGGACAAGTGGCTGTTTCAGAAGAGGAATGGGCTGGGGGGTGGGTAGGGTGGGGGAGGGGCTCCTTGTCGGGAACTGACTTCCCCAGCAAGACAAGGGCCCCTGTAGGTTTTTTGTCTGTATTTTTTGTGGTTTGTCCTCCTCACCCGGAAACGTAACAGACTTGGTGAAAGGTGGGATTCAGTGGGCCTTAGAGGTGGGTGTGGTTCACACCTCAAAATGCACAGGTATGATTCTGCTGAGAAAGATCAAAAAATACAATGAGAAAGGAAAAAAGAAATGAGCAGGGGGCTTTGTTGCTGCTCCCAGTGGGGTTGGTGAGCCACATGAGATGGATGCCCAGACAGCCCTACTCCAAACCCAAGACTGGCCCCAAATCCCCACAATCCCCAAGCTGCCCCCATACTCCCAAGTCCAAGCCCTTGCTCTGCTGTTCTCCCACCTGGAGTGAGCTGAGCCCTCCCCGTGAAGCATCCTGAACGCCCACCTCTGCCGAGTCCCTGAGGCTTAGATTCTGTGGCCACGCAGCTGAATACCGCTGTGGCCCGGGCGACATCTTGGTCCCCCAGGGCGCTGGAAGCACCCGCAAGCTGGGGAGGGGCTGCACCCATCTGGGGGCCACTAGAGCCTTTGTCTCAAAGCCCTGCCCCAGTTCACCTTCTTGGGACCCTGGGCAAGACAACTGTGCTAAGGACATCACTGTCACAAGAAATATTTGTGACCCGAATGACCAATCTTTCCCCAAAAAAGACGTCCTATGGCTCCCTCCTCAAAGGCAGAGTGGGGTGGAGCAAGGGCGTTCCAGAAAGCATCTGAGGAGGCTGGGGAAAGAAAAAGGTTTGGGAAGGAGCTGCCGTCCATAGAGTTACACACTGTCATGCAGAAGCACAACTCGGTGAGTGACTCGGGGAACCGTCACGCCGGCATCCGCGGGGCTTTCCAGCTCTAAAATCCCATCTCTGACCTTGAGTCATGCACAGGTGGCACTGGGGGAGGCGGGCTGGGCTGATCTTGACCTGAAAGCCCAAACTTGCTGGGGTCCAGTTTGGGTCTACAGGCTGCTCTGCAGAGACATTGCTAGGAGACTCCAGGGACTGACTTAGGGCACTTTCCCCACGGTGCCAGCTGGGCAGGGTCCAGGCATCCGCAGAGCTGAAACCACCTACGCACTGGGCGGAGGGGCTCGGGCCCCTTGTGGATCTGCTAGTGAAGGCTGTGGGACCTCTCTCGTCGGCCTCCTCACTTTTCAGATAGGAAGAGGGAGAATGGGAGGGATTGGCAAATTCTGAGAACCAGGCCTGTTCTCTCGATCAGCGGATTTGGGCCCCTCCCCTGCCCCACCCCACCCCACGCCCCGCTTTCTCCTGTCTGCACCAGCTGACTTTTGGATTCTTGGAGATCTTGTGTTTGGGCCTTTCTTGGGAATCTCCAACATCATGAAGTCAATTTACACCAGACTGAAACTTCAGTACAAGTCTGTTCTAATGGTCAATGCAAATTTTGTTTTTTACCCTGCCGTGATTTGGAATTAAAAAAAAATTATCAAAAAGAGAGGCTGGGCACAGTGGCTCATGCCTGTAATCCCAGCACTTTGGGAGGCCGAGGCGGGTGGATCACCTGAGGTCAAGAGTTCAAGACTAGCCTGGCCAACATGGTGAAACCCAGTCTCTACTAAAAATACAAAAAAATTAGCCGGGCGTGGTGGTGGCAGCACCTGTGATCCCAGCTACTCGGGAGGCTGAGGCAGGAGAATTGCTTAAACCTGGGAGGTGGAGGTTGCAGTGAGCTGAGATTGCGCCATTGCACTCCAGCGTGGGCAACAGAGTGAGACTCTGTCTCAAAAAGAAAGAAAGAAAGAAAGAAAACACAAAACCAAGTGTGGACAAGGATGTGGAGAAACAGGAACCTTCATAGATTGCTGGCGGGAATGAAAAATGATGCAGCAACTTTGGAAAACAGTTGGGCAGTTTCTCTGAAAGCCTAGACATGGGCCGGGCCTTGGGGCTCACGCCTGTAATCCCAGCTACTCGGGAGGCTGAGGCAGGAGAATCGCTTGAACCCGGGAGGCGGAGCTTGCAGTGAGCTGAGATTGCGCCATTAACCCCAGCCTGGGCGACAAGAGTGAAACTCTGTCTCAAAACAACAGGAAGCCTAGACGTGAATTTACCATAAGACCGGCAATTGTACTGCTAGGTATCCACCAAAGCGAAAAAAATGCCCACACAAAGACTCGTCTGAGAGTGCTCAGAGCGACTTTATCCGCAGTAACCCCAGCTGGAAACTACCCAGATGTCCACCAGCGGATGAACAGATAAACGAACTGCGGTCCATCCATACAACGTGACATGCTTTGGCAACAACGCAGATGAAACGCTGAGACATGCCGCGGCGTGGACGAAGCTTGAAAACCTTGTGCTAATTAAAAGAAGCCAGACACAAACAGACAATTGCTTTTGGTTTATTTGTATGCAGTGTCCAGAACAGGCAAATCCATAGAGACAGAAAACAGGCAGGTGGCTGCCAGAGGCTGGGGAGGGTGCGGGGGACCCAGGAGCAATTGCTACACTTTTTAAGGAAGGGAACAGAAAGGTCCTAAAACTGGGTTGTTAACGATGGCTGTACAACTCTGTAAATTCACTACAAATCTTTGAACTATGCGCTTGAAACGTGAATTTTATGATATGTAAATTTTACCTCAATAAGGTTTTGTTTTGTTTTGTTTTTTGAGACAGGGTCTCACTCCGGTTGCCCTGGCTGGAGTGCGGTGGCGCGATCTCGGCTCACTGCAGCCTCAGCCTCCCAGGCTCAAGTGATTCTCCCACCTCAGCCTCCCAAGAAGCTGGAACTACAGGCACAGACCACCACACCTGGCTAAATTTTTTGTATTTTTTTTAAGTAGAGATGGGGTTTCCCCGTGTTAACCAGACTGGTCTCAAACTCCTGGACTCAAGCGATCCACCCGCCTCTGCCTCCCAAAGTGTTAGGATTACAGGCGTGAACCACGGCGCCAAGCCAATAAAGTTGTTTTAAAAGCATTGCCTGGGCCAGGCACCGTGGCTCACGCCTGCACTTTGGGAGGCCGAGGCAGGTGGATCACCTGAGGTCAGGAGTTCGAGACCAGCCTGACCAACAGGTTGAAACTCCATCTCTACTAAAAATACAAACATTAGAGCTGGGCATGGTGATGCACACCTATAGTCCCAGCTACTTGGAAGGCTAAGGCAGGAGAATCGCTTTATCCCAAAAGGTGGAGGTTGCAGTGAGCCAAGATTGCACTACTGCACTCCAGGCTGGGCAACAAGCAAGACCCCATCTCAAAAAAAAAGAAAGAAAAAGAAAAAAGAAATAAAAAATTTTCAGCCAGGCGCGTTAGTGTGTGCCTCTAGTCCCAGCTACTCAGGAGGCTGACGTGGGAGGATCAGCTGAGCTCGGGAGGTTGAGGCTGCAGTGAGCTATGATTGTGCCACTGTACTCCAGCCTGGGCGACAGTGTAAGACTCTGTCAGAAACAAAGAGAGAGAGAGATAAAGAGAGAAGAGAGAGAGAAAGAGGAAGAGGGAAGGAAGGAATGGAGGGAGGGAGGGAGGGAACGGGAAAGGAAGAAGGAAGGGAGGGAGGGAGGGGCCAGGCGTGGTGGCGGGCACCTGTAATCCCAGCTACTCAGGAGGCTGAGGCATGAGAATTGCTTGAATCTGGGAGGCGGAGGTTGCAGTGAGCCAAGATCATGCCATTGCCCTCCATCCTAGGAGACAGAGTGAGACTCCATCTCAAAAAAAAAAAAAAAAGATAAGAAAGAAAGGGGCCGGGCACAGTGGCTCACGCCTGTAATCCCAGCACTTTGGGAGGCCAAGGCTGGCAGACCACGAGGTCAGGAGATTGAGGCCATCCTGGCTAATATGGTGAAAACCCCTCTCTACTAAAAATACAAAAAAATTAGCCTGGCATGGTGGCAGGCGCTATAGTCCCAGCTACTTGGGAGGCTGAGGCAGGAGAATGGTGTGAACCCGGGAGGTGGAGCTTGCAGTGAGCTGAGATCGCGCCACTGCACTCTAGCCTGCACAACAAAGTGAGACTCCGTCTCAAAAAAAAAAAAAAAAAGAAAAAAAAGAAAGGAAGACAGTGCAGGAAGTAAGAATGCCGTGGTGATGGAAGAAACATGGGCTTGCAGGCCACCCTGACCCCAGGCTCTCTCTGTCTCTGTTCGCTCCCTGTCCACCTCCCCACTCCCCAGGATGGAATAGGCACCCCTATGTGAGGGCGCAGGTGTGCAAAGCCAGGACGGGTGGGGGTGGCCTTTGTAGAATGTGCTGGCGGGGAGGGCGGTGGCGGAATGTGGATGGGGGCATGCTGCCCTTGCTGGCCTCAGCCCCCGTGCGGCTCGGCCTCAGGGACAGCGTTCCAGGCAGGTGCAGTTGGCCCCCTGCACAAATCCGCCTGCTAGTGCAGCATTGGCCAGCGTCAGGATGGCACCTGTCGGGAACTCTTTCCCGATGGCAAGGTTTGCAACTTCCCCGGGAACCAGCGCCCGATCCCAGATAGCCAAGCCAGACATGCTCCCCACGAAGGCCTCGGAGCTGTCGAATCCGCCCCCCACGCTGTCTTGTTCCTGGCCCAGCACGAGGGACCCTCCGGGGGGGATCTCATAGCCCTCCCTGAAGCGGGAGCCGGTGGCCACCAGCCTGCGATCCACGTGGAGCCAGTACCTGCCCTGGGTGGACGTCCAGATGACACAGATGTGGTGCCACTGGCCGTCCAGCAGCAGCTGCAAGGGCAGCTCCCTGAAGGCCGGGTCCCCGATCACGAAGTGGATGGATCCGGGCAGCAGGGAGTCTCGGCCGTGCAGCACCAGCTTGTTGTCATTGTCCTCGGTGGCGTAGGACAGGAGGGTGCCCAGGCGGCCGGAGGCCGTGCGGACCCAGCTGCAGAAGGACAGGGCTCGCAGGGCAGTGACGAAACCAGGGCTGAGGAAGACCACGTTCCTGGTGGAGGCGTTTGGGAAAACGAGGGTGGGGCCCACGCCGCAAACTAGAAACAGAGGAGGGAGGGTCAACCCCTTGCAGGAGGCCGAGCAGAAGCATCCAGAAGCACACGTGCTGTGGGTGCCTGGCCTCCCACTCCCGGCTGCCACCCTTCACGGAGCACTGACTCTGCGCTGGCCCTGCCGATGGCTCCCCTGCAGCGTCTCCTTCACTCTCTTGATGGGATCACCCCAGTTCCACAGGCGGGAAGACTGAACATGAGGGCCGTACTCGGGAGTGGCGGGGTCCTGCTAGGAGCCCTAGCTGTCGGCCCACCCAGCTGAGCCAGCGCCCCTCACTGCCAGGGAGTCTCTGCAAATTTCATGACTCACAACAGCGCAGGTTTAGTGTTTCACATTTCTGGCGGTCACAAGGCCAACACGGTCTCCCAGGGCTCAAATCAGGTGTGGACAGGGCTGGTTCCTCTGGAGGCTCCAGGAGAAACCATCTCCCGCCCTTTCCAGCTTCCAGAGGCGCCTGCACCCTTCGGCGTGGGGCCTCCTCGTCTGTGCATCCCGCCACCTCTGCTTCTGCCCTCACGCCCTCCTCTGACTGTGTTCCTCCTGCCTCCCCTTAGAAAGCCTCTGTGATGACGGTGGGCCACCCCCCCCGATGATCCGAGACCCTCTCCCCATCTCCCGGCCCCTAACTGAACCTCTTTTGAGAAGCCTTTTCCAGGGGGCCTGGTCTAAGGAGGAGCTGGAGGGAAGCCTGGCCGTGAGCTGGGAGCCTGTGGTACTTACTCTCTCCTGGCACCTGGGGGGACCATGCCTGCTGCCGAGGGTCTTTTGGGGCAGTCCCACTGAGTACCCGATGGCTGCCTGAGGCTGGAGGCTCCCGCCTCCCTTGGAGAGGGGCCGAGGAGTCCTGTGGGGGGCCCCTGTGCTCAGAGGCAGCTCGGAGCTCCTGCCTGTCCCTCTGAAGCTTCAGGGAGGTCGGGCCCAGCTCCTCAGGCTGGGTTGGGGTTGGGACCAGGGCCGGCCCGAGGGCTGCAGTGCCAGGGTGGGCCACGGGCAGCCGCCCCTCCAGAGCAGCCAGCCTGGCGCCCTGGCTGTGGACGAGGCCCTCCAGGCGTGCCAGTGAGTCCTGCAGGGCGTCCCTCTGGGCCTTGTGTGCCTTCCTTTCCCGGGCCCGCTGCTGGCTCCTCTCGCCCAGGGTGAGGTCCAAGGCCCGCAGCCGCGTGTCTACTTTCCGGCCTCGGCGCTGCAGCTTCCTCACCCAGGCCTTGAGCTGCGCCAGCTCCCCCTGCACCGAGGCCTGTGACCGGTTGACTGCCTGAGCCACAGCCTGGCTCTCTTCCGCCAGGCTCCGGAACCGGACGTCAACGTTGTAGGACACGTTGTAGTTGCTGGCGATGTTCTGCAGGTGTGTCCAGGTCACCTCCTGGAATCTCCGGAACTGTAAGGAGGACACGGTGATGATGGGGCGGGCCGGGCCGGGCCGGCTGGGCGGGACGGGAAAGGCTTTGCCCTCTCAAGTTGGGAGCAGCGGCCGCGTGCCCGGGCCACGGCCAGCACTGGCTATCTGCCCACCGATTTGATCCCCACTGCGATGCCGTGAGATGTGGTGGGTGCCAGGGACTGACCCCAGGCCATGCAGCTGCACCACGTGGGGTGTGGACTCCAGGCCCACAGCTGGGGCTCTGATCCCCACCGCTCACCCCATAACCACCGGCAAGTCACTTTCCCTCGTGATTCCAGCTCCTGCCTGTGAGCAGGGGACGGCAGGGTGGCCTCATGAGTGCTTTACGAGGCCCAAACAGGAAGCACCCAGCGCAGGCCCGACAGGCCCACAGCACTCCGGAACTGTCCGTGGACCCCGCGTGGGAGTCCGGGAGGCCGTTCACACCGACTGCCACAAGGTGGACCTGTGACCTCCCAGTTTCCACTCCCCATGACACTACCCGGCCCCCATGGCCCCCAGTTCCCCTGACTCCCTTCCAGACCCCCTTCTAGCCTCTGGCCCCACCTGACCCCCACATGTTATGAGGCTTGTGTCCTGTGTGAGTGGAGCCCAGCTCAGCTCTTCCCTGGTGTCCAACTGCAGGTGAAATAATCTTCATGGATGGAAAGAGCGTCACACGCGGTGTTCGTGTCCGCCAAGCCCTGATGTTTACCAATCTGCTTCTGTAACATCCGTCTTCCATCTGCTGCCAATTTAAAAACCCGACTGCGCCATGTCAGGGGTATAACTTGCCTGTTCCTCCAGCCTACGGAGCCTCTCGAAAAACGGTTTCCTGGGCCCCACTGGGGCGGCTTCCTGCGATGAAGCCCCATGTAGATATATAGGCACAAAAACAAGGAAGAAAGACAAGGTCTTCCTCCACGAGCAACCCATCCGGAGAGACGGCAAGGCCCCAGCAGTCTCCCTCCAGCCGCAGGAGAGGGTGAAGGTGGCTCCGTGGGTCTGTCTTGTGTCTCGTCCCCCCAGCTCTCCTGTTGAGTGGTTTTCCTTCTTTGGCCCTGGCTGGATGTCAGGTTCTTCCTGCCGCCTCCATGAAAGGCATCTGCCTTCAAGCCAGTGGGCTCTGAGACTTGCAGGTTCCTAAGGAGACAAGCTTAAAACAGATGCAAACAGTTTCTTTGAAGAATCATTCAGCTGGGTGCAAGCCCGCGGGCAGGAGGCGATGGCTTTAACAGGAGCACATGGACTTGTGCTCCCGAGAAGTCGAAGCAAGACAGGGAACCCGACGGGGGCTGGGGAGTCAACAGAGCCAGGTCTGCACAGGCACCCATCACCCAGGCCGTGCACGGCTGCATCCTGGGAGGCCCCGTCTCTCTCAGTAAAGCAATGGAAATGTGACTGGGAGCCACCTTAATTAATTAATTATTATTATTATTTGAGATGGAGTCTCGTTCTGTTGCCTAGGCTAGAGTGCAATGGCGCAATCTCAGCTCACTGCAACCTCTGCCTCCCCGGCTCAAGCGATTCTCCTTCCTCAGCCTCCTGCCTCCTGAGGAGCTGGGATTACAGGCGTGCTTTACCATGCCCGGCTAATTTTAGTATTTTTAGTAGAGATGGGGTTTCACTATGTTGGTCAGGCTGGTCTCAAACTTCTGACCTCATGATTTGCCTGCCTCAGCCTCCCTAAGTGTTCGGATTACAGGCATGAGCCACTGCGCCTGGCCAATTAATTAATTTTTTTGACGGAGTCTTGCTCTGTCACCCAGGCTGGAGTGCAGTGGTGCGATCTCCGCTCACCACAAGCTCCGCCTCCTGGGTTTAACGGATTCTCCTGTCTCAGCCTCCCAAGTAGCTGGGATTACAGGTATGTGCCCCCACATCCGGCTAATTTTTGTATTTTTAGTAGAGACGGGGTTTCACCATGTGGGCCAGGCTGGTCTCAAACTCCCGACCTCAGGTGATCCACCCGCTGTAGCCTCCCGAAATGCTGGGATTACAGGCATGAGCCACCGCGCCCGGCCAATTTTTGTATTTGTAGTAGAGACGGGGTTGCCCCATGTGGGCCAGGCTGGTATTTTTGGTTACAGGTTGTGTACTGGCTTGAATGAGACCCTCCTAAAAACACACATAAGCCCCAGGCAGGGCCTTATGTGGAAAAGGTCTCTGCGGATGTCATGAAGGATTTTGAGATGAGACCATCCTGGATTATCCAGGTGGCCCTAAAGCCAATGACAGGGGTACAAGAGACAGAGGAGGAGGCACAGAGGACACGGCCTGTGAAGATGGGGCAGAGACTGGGGTGACGCTGCCACGAGGAACCCCCAGAGGCCCCAGAAGCTGGAAGAGGTAAAGTGGGAACCCCCAGCCCAGAGCCTTCGAGGGAGTGTGCACCTTCACTTCAAGACTTCCAGCCCCCAGAACTGTGATAGGACTCATTTCTGTTGTTTCAAGCCGCCCAGCTCATGGGAATAAGATCATCCACAAAGTTGTCCCACTGGGGGCATCCATCATTCCCAAGGTGGCATGAGCCAAGAGGGTGCCAGGCCAGGAAACCATCGGTGGCCCCCAGGCTCCCCTTGTCAAGCGTCAGAACACCATGGACATGGAGAAGATGCAGAAAGCATCGGAGAGAACATCCTGGGCACATGGACGGGGTTGGGGCCTTAGGCCCCGGGGGACTGGCAGCCACCAGGACAGCGACGCTGGTGCCACACACAGAGCGGCGGATCTCGCAGCTTCCAACTGACAGTGAGTTCCATTTATTTATGTATTTATTTTATTTCGGTAGAGAAGGGTCTTGCTATGTTGCCAGGCTGTTCTCAAACACTCCTGGGCTCAAGCAATCCTCCCAGCTCAGCCTAGCCAAAGTGCTGGGTTTACTGGCGTGAGCCACTGAGCCTGCCTGATTTCCATTTAAAGTTGTGGGTCGGGGCAGGGTGTGGTGGCTCTCTCCTGTAATCCCAGCACTTTGTGAGGTCAAGGTGGGCAGATCACTTGAGTCCAGGAGATCGAGACCAGGCTGGGCAACATGGCAAAACCCCGTCTCTACTAAAATTACAAAAATCAGCCAGACGTGGTGGTGTGCACCTGCAGTCCCAGCTACTTGGAAGGCTAAGGCGGGAGGATCGCCTGAGCCGGGGAGAAGGAGGTTGCAGTGAGCTGAAATCGCGCCACTACACTCCAGCCTGGGTGACAGAGCAAAGAATAAAGACATTTTCAGACACACAAAGGCTTGAGAAATTTGTCCTCCAAGCACCCACTGTTGGATGCGGGGCTTCAGGAAAAGAAGGGAATAGGGAAGGACGGAGCTGCCGTGGGCACTGGCGAGGGCTGGAACCCAGCAGCGGACGGAGGAGGAGTTTCCGGGATGATGGGATGCTGCCTGCCCCATATCCCATCCATCAGCTCTGCCTGCAGAGACATGCCCTGAGTTCAGCTGCTTCTCTACACCCCCATTCCGCCCCAAGCTCATCCTCACAATGGCCACCTAGTCCCCTCGTCCGTGTCGCCCCCCTACCGTCTGCTCTCCTAACTGCACCAGCATGGACCCGTGCCTTCAATGGCTCCAGGAGATGCCTGCCACACAAGCAAAATCTTAGTCCCTGCGAGGGCCTTCTGTGGCCTGGCCCACTGCCTCACTCCCTCCAGGCCTCACCCCTGCATATGCCTCCCTCGGCTCCACCTCCCGGGCAACAGTTGCGGCCTCAGGCCTTTGCACCTGCCGTTTTCCTGCCAGTGAGACTCTTCCCTGGCTGTCAACACATTCAGGGCTCTGCTCTAAGGTGTTCTGTTCAGAGCTCTCACCTTACGTAAGACAGCACCCACTGCTCTCTGGCTCTTTTCTTTTTTTTTTTTTTTGGAGGAGTCTCGCTCTGTCACCCAGGCTGGAGTTCAATGGCACAATCTCCACTCATTGCAACCTCTGCCTCCTGGGTTCAAGCAATTCTCCTGCCTCAGCCTCCCAAGTAGCTGGGATCACAGACACATGCCACCACGCCCAACTAATTTTTGTATTACTATTATTATTATTATTATTCTTTTTTTAGGAGAGACGGGGTTTCACCATGTTGGCCAGGCTGGTCTCGAACTCCTGAGCTTGTGACCCACCCGTCTCGGCCTCCCTAAGTGCTGGGATTAGAGGTGTGAACCACTGTGCCCGGCCACTGGCTCTTATTTTCTTACCCTACCGGTTTTTTATTTTGATTCCTTTTTTTTTTTTGAAACAGGGTCTTGCTCTGTTGTCCAGGCTGGAGTGCAGTGGCAGTGAACATGGCTCACTGCAGCCTCAACCTCCCGGGCTCAAGCCATCCTCCCACCTCAGCCTCCTGAGTAGCTGGGATCACAGGCTCATGACACCGTGCCTGGCTAATTTTTAAATTTTTTGTAGAGACAGGGTCTCACTATTTTTCCCATTCTTGAACTTCTGGGTGCAAACGATTCTCCCACCTCAGCTTCCCAGTGCTGGAATTACCGGCGTGAGCCACCGGGCCCGGCCTCTGCCAGTTTTTCTGCTCGAGGCCTGTCACCTGGCATATTTCGTATGTACTTTATCTGTTCCCCCGATAGGTGAGCAGGAACTTTGCATCATTTGTTGCTCAGAAGGCTTGGTGCACCAAGCAGGCATTTAATCAATGTTTGTTGAATGGATAACTGTTCCCCAGCTTTTCCCACATCCATCACTGCTGAAATGGCGCCTCTTTAGGTGTCTTCCTGGATTGCCCCCTCCACAAAGATGAAGCCCCCCACACTCCGCTGCGGTGTACAGAAGGCACTGCATGTTGTAAATGTTCAGTGTCCGGCTGTCCAGCCTGGCGGCCACAGCCAAAGGTAGTACCGAGCCCTTGAGATGGGGCTAGTGCTGCAAGGGAACTGGACTTATTTAACTTCAGTTAATTTACAGAGCCACATGCGTCTAGCGCTTACCCTACTGGTCGCAGTTTTTATTCCACGACCCGGCCTCATTTACGGAGCTGCAATTGTTCAGATCTGACATGATCTCAACTGCTCTTTTACTTCCTTGTGTACCGTGCGTTTCCCTTACTGGCCTCTGACCCTTGAAAGCAGAGCCTTACATCCGGGGAAGACGAGCCAGGCCTGTCTTGGTAAACATCTGCCTTAGAGCGAACGCTCGGCGTTCTGGAGAGAATGTGGGACCCGAGGCGGAGGGAAGAGACGGCTGACATCACTCCAGGGTAGGGACGACCGAGATGGGAGAAACTAAGGCGAGAACCCACCACCCGGGCGCAGCGAACCCAGCTCGCAGCCACGTGGGGAAGCGCGGCCCTGCCCTCAGGCCCCGCCCCACTCACGCGTCAGGCCCCGCCCACCCCACCGCCCCCCGCTCCCGCGTCCAGGCTCCGCCCCGTCCCCGCGCAGCGCAGGCGCAGATGCGCCCTCCCGCCTGGCGTCCTCCGCAGATTCGCGCTGAGAGGCCCGCGGAGACCCGCCCCAGAGGCTCAAGAAAACCCGCGGGAGCCTCGCCCGGACCCAGGAACTCGTGCTCGGGGCCAACCGGCTGGGCCGCGATCGCGTTTCGTCCGGGGCCGCGGCGGCCGTGGGGAATCGGCTGCAGCGAATCGGTGGCGCGCGGCGCCTGAGCGCGCTGCAGTCACCCGGGAGCCGGGTCCAGGTCGGGTTGGGGGTCGGGGATCGGGGATCGGGGGTCCGGTTGGGTCGGGTTGGGCTCCAGGTCTGGTTGGGTCGGGTCCAGGTCGGGTAGGAGTCCGGTCGGGGTCCGGGTACAGGTCGGGGTCCGGGCCTGGATCGGGGGCGGGTCCGCGTGCGGCTCCTCTAGCCCCGAACCCGTGTTCCCCGTAAGCTGTTGGTTTCTAAGGGGCGGAGGAATGGCGACTGGAGCCACCTCTCACCGCTCAGGGAGCCGGGAGGGCCGGCAGCTCCCGCGGGCCGAGTTTCCCGCCTTGGGTGCGAGGACGCGTGGGGCCGCGCTGTGCCCGGGGAACACTCACCAGCATCTCTAGCCTCCACCTCCCTCTCGCGCCAGTGGCACTCCCGGTTGAGACAACTGAGAATGTTCCCTGGGCACAGTGGCCCGGGTTGAGAAGCCCTGCAGTGGCTGGTAGCGTTGGGGTCCGAGCGGAGGAGCGAACTCTGGGTGGAAACCGGCAGGCACTGGAGGGGAAGGAGGCGGGACAGGGTTGGGTGGGACCAGGGTTGAGGGGTGTGGGGTCTCGGGGCGCTCACCGAGGGGCTTCCTGAGCTTGTGTGGATTATTTCCGTGCCCCAAGCTGAGCCCTGTGTCCATGTCACAGGTCGTCTTCCCGTGACGCCCAGATCTGTCCTGCAGGATGGAGCCAGCACCCTCAGAGGTTCGACTCGCCGTCCGGGAAGCCATTCATGCCCTCTCGTCTTCGGAGGATGGCGGCCACATCTTCTGCACCCTGGAGTCCCTGAAGCGGTATCTCGGTGAGATGGAGCCTCCAGCGCTCCCGAGGGAGAAGGAGGAGTTTGCCTCGGCCCACTTCTCGCCTGTCCTCAGATGTCTTGCCAGCAGGCTGAGCCCAGCCTGGCTGGAGCTGCTGCCCCATGGCCGCCTGGAGGAGCTGTGGGCCAGCTTCTTCCTGGAGGGCCCGGCGGACCAAGCCTTCCTGGTGTTGATGGAGACCATCGAGGGTGCTGCGGGGTGAGTGGGCTGGGCCCATCCTGGGGTTGCCGGTAGCCTCAGAAGTGATGAGAGTGGCTTGAAGGACTGGACCAAGAGCCTCTCTAGTCCCTGTGAGGGGCTAGAGAGAGAGCCTGCTCCTGGCTGAACCCCTGAACAGAAGAAGCGGTCTGTGTCTGTCTCCTTTGCGACGGGAGGCACCTGCTGTGTCTCACAAAGTCCCCCACTTGCTCCCCGTCCGGCTGTGTCAGAGAGGGATGGGGTGGGAGTGTTCACATCCCAGGCGGCAGAGGCAGCCCGTCAGCTGGGGACGTTCCAGGTTTTCCAGGGAAGCACAGCTGTCATCACTGACACGTGTCCCATGTGGACTCCCAGCCCCAGCCGGCTCCCAGGCTCAGCCTCAGATCACACTGCAGTCCTTGCCGGGACACTGCATCTTGAGAAGCTGGGTTTTCAGAGGTTGCTGTGATCAAAGCAAGCACTGAGTTATCCGCGTCAGCAGCAGGGGAGGGGTGTCCAGTGAGACTCCAGGTTGGGGAAGCCGCTCAGGGCCCCGAGAGCTCTCACACAGTAATCGCAGTTATTTAGGAATGGATTAACAGATTTTCCCATCCGGCTTGTGGTTTTGGACTTCACGCTGGTTATGTTGTTGGGGCTGCCCGTGTAATCCGGGCTGCTGGTTCCTTGTGGCAGGAAGGGGGCCCCGAGGATGGGGGTTGGCGGCTCTGCCCAACACGCCCGTATCTTCAGCCCCAGCTTCCGGCTGATGAAGATGGCGCGGCTGCTGGCCAGATTCCTGCGCGAGGGCCGGCTGGCAGTGCTGATGGAGGCGCAGTGTCGGCAGCAGACGCAGCCCGGCTTCATCCTGCTCCGGGAGACGCTGCTGGGCAAGGTGGTGGCCCTGCCCGATCACCTGGGCAACCGCCTGCAGCAGGAGAACTTGGCCGAGTTCTTCCCCCAGAACTACTTCCGCCTGCTCGGCGAGGAGGTCGTCCGGGTGCTGCAGGCGGTTGTGGACTCTCTCCAAGGTGAGGCCCTGCCTCGGGGACCCCCTTTGCCACCCGTCTTCTTGGGTCCTCGTCCCCTGCCACCCTCTGGTGCCTCACGGCCTCTGGAGACTTTGGAGTCTCTGGTTGATGCCGTCAGGCAGGTGGGGATGTCCCTGTCCCGCACAGTAGTGACCGGCAGGGCTCATCCGCTGTGGGCTGAAGTCCGCTGCCCTCCACGCGGGCTTCTCTTGTCCCTGCAGTCCCTTGGGTTTCCAGGGCCCAACTGTGCTGTGGTGGCCAGGTGGGGGATCTCGAGGTTCTCAGGTCTGGAGGCAGACGCTGGCGGTGCCCTGGAGAGGGGGTGCTGTGGGAACGGCCTTGCCCGCTGCTGGGCTGCAGGGCCCCGTGAGCGCCCATGCTCGCTCTGTTTTCCCTGGGGCGCCAGATGGCGGCTGCCGCGAGTGTGCGTTTCACTAGCGAGAAGGAGGCTGGGCCGGGGGCCTGCACAGCACCCGGAGCGTCTGCCTCTCCCTGCAGGGTGACCCCTTCCTTCTCTTGCCTTTCCCGAGCTCCAGGCGACAGCTCAGACGCAGGTCGAGCACCTGGGTCCGGACTCCACCCTCCACATGCTGCCCCGACCTCGTTCTGAAACTCCCTCCCTCGCTCAGGGGCACCCTGGGGTCCTGGAGCAGCTCGGCGCCCCCTCAGAGCCCAGGAGGAAGCCGGGCCCCTCGAGTCCCTGCGTGGGGCCTGTGTGGCCCAAGCCCCCTCGCCTCACCTGGGGGTTCCTGCAGCAACCTCCTGAGCCCCTCCTGTCTTTTCCGAACGTAGCCCTAGGCTTGCAGCTGCTGCTGTGCATGGGCCCATGTATTAAGGAGGCTTTGGGAACATCTCGGACACATGTGGAATGCGGCTTTTTCACGTGTTCGGGGTTGGCTGGGGCCGTCCTGGTCCCCACGCGGCTCTGTGCTTTCCGCTGCCCCGCGTCCCAGCTCTTCTGTGGGGCTGGTACAGCCCGGCCCCTCCCGGTTCCCCACGTTCCCTGGAGTGCGCTCCTTCCCTGTGGGCGGCCGTGGTGGTGGTGCTGCTCCAGGGTCTCATGCCCGGCTCAGGGCCCAGGCCTACCCTGCGTGGCTGACCCAACTTGGCCGGGCCCTATCGATGCTTTCTCTCCTTCCTCGGCAACATCATACCGGTCCCGACCTCCTACACCATCGTGACGATTAAGTGGGCTAAGATGGGTGAAGGTTTGAAAGGATTGTGATTTGCTTGTCAGGTTCCACGCACTCCTGTTCAGATTTGCTGGGTAGGCTGATGGGCACCAGCCGTTGTTTTGAGTGAGTTTTGCTGTCGGTTGGAGTCCGCCTGACCGAGAGCAGCTCTCCCCACACCTAGATGTTCTTTTGTGCCTTCCCGCCGGCTTCCTCATCAGGCCTCCCTTTCTGTCCCAGGTGGCCTGGATTCCTCCGTGTCCTTCGTGTCTCAGGTCCTTGGGAAAGCCTGTGTCCACGGGAGGCAGCGTGAGTAGAGCAGTGCCTTCCTGCCCATCCTGCCCCGACCCTCACAGCCCATCAGCCTTCTGCAGAAGGCCGAGAATCCCTCCTGACCCTGGCCCTCTGCAGGGTCCCCTTGCCCGGTCCTGTCCTGGGCCCGTGGGATCTGGGGCTCAGCTGTGCTTACTGGGGAGCTGTGGGACTGTCCTTGCTGGACCCACACAGCCCCAGACACCAGGTGGGTGCAGCTCCCCAGGCTCAGGTCCTCCGTCTGTCCCCTCAGAGGAGATCCTGGGCGTGCTGGTACCCCGGCTGGCAGCGCTCACCCAGGGCAGCTACCTGCACCAGCGCGTCTGCTGGCGCCTGGTGGAGCAAGTGCCGGACCGGGCCATGGAGGCTGTGCTGACCGGGCTGGTGGAGGCCGCACTGGGGTAAGCAGCCAGGCTGTCCTCCAGCTGCACTGGCTTCTGGGGTCTGGACCCCCAGAGGCTGCCATTCCTTCACGCTACTTCTCCTGGGCGCCGTGCTGCAGCTGGCACCCCCATGTAGGTGCCACAGGGTGTGGGTGGTGCCCTCTCAGTTCCCGCACGTGCTGATGGTGACCTCTGTATCAGAGGGTCCCTTTCTCTTATGAAATAGCATCGATGCTGTGAACAGCCCACACCGTAAAGGCGCCTGTACCTTGGGCCGTCCACCCGTCCTGCGCCTGTGGTCCCCCTCGCACACGTGTGCACCATGTCCAGGCTCTGACATGGTGATGGGCGGTGACTCACTTCCCCACGTCTTTGTGCAGGAGAATCAAGGTTGCATTTCTGGAAGCAGGACTGCCGGCCATTTACCCCCACAAACCCTGCCAGCTCACCTGCCTCAGATGTCTCCCCTCCCTTCAACGTGTGCAAGGACATACCTGTCTCTGCCCAAAGTATTTCCTCCTCTTTTTTTTTTTTTTTTCTTTTTGAGATGGAGTCTTGCTCTGTCACCCAGGCTGGACTGCAACGGTGCAATCGGCTCACTGCAACCTCCGTCTCCTGGGTTCAAGTGATTCTCCTGCCTCAGCCTCCTGAGTAGCTAGGACTACAGGCGCCCGCCACCACACCCGGCTAATTTTTGTATTTTTAGTATAGACGGGGTTTTGCCATGTTGGCCAGGCTGGTGTTGAACTCCTGGCCTCAAGCAATCCACCCACCTCGGCTTCCCAAAGTGTTGGGATTATAGGCGTGAGCCCCTGCACCCGGCTGACTTTGCATTCTTGATTCTGGGTGAGGGTGTGTGTGTGTTTAAGGCATTTGTATTCTTTTCTCTGTGAACTATATAATCATGTAATCACATTCTATTTTATAGTTTGTTTTGGTGTTGTTGTTGGGGGGGATTGTTTTTAGAGACAGGATCTTGCTCTGTCTCCCAGGCTGCAGTGCAGTGGTGTGATTATAGCTCACTGCAGCCTCGACCTCCTGGGCTCCAGCGATCTTCCCACCTCAGCCTCCTGAGTAGCGGGAACACAGGTGCGCGCTATCATACCCAGCTAATTTTTAAATTTTTTGTAGCGACGGGGCTCACTTTGTTGCCCGGCTGGTCTCAAACTCCTGGCCTTAAGTGATCCTCCTGCCTTGGCCTCCCAAATGTTTTTTTAACCGTTATTTCTTTGTGTGGAATTTTAAGTGATAAGTGAGGGAGAAATCCAGCCATATCTGTTTCCACACTGGCTGGATAGACTTGTGGGGCTCTTTCTGGAGACCCATAACCTCTCACCGGGAGGACTCTTTCAGTCTGGACCAGGGGCCTACAGGCTACTTGGACAAAATTTGGCCCGCTGCATGTTTTTGTAAATAAAATTTTTTTGGCACTGTCAAAGGAGGCCTTCGAGGGTGGACCCGCCTCCGCCCGGGCTGAGGTGCAGGGAAGGAGGCTGTCGGGGGTGGACCCGCCTCCGCCCGGGCTGCGGTGCACGCGCTCTCTGGGTTGTGGCATTTATGCCCCAGAGAAGGGAGGATGAAGGCCCAGCTCAGGCAGTCGGAGGATGGAACCAGAGGCTCGTGGCTAGGAATTGGCAGGCCGGGAGTCAGGCCGCCGTCTGTGGGCATCGGAGTTCACGCTCTCGCTCCTCCCTGTCTCCAGGCCGGCTTGCAGCTCTGGCCCCTGACTCTGTCTTGCAGGCCTGAGGTCCTTTCGAGACTGCTGGGGAACCTGGTGGTGAAGAACAAGAAGGCCCAGTTTGTGATGACCCAGAAGCTTCTGTTCTTACAGTCCCGGCTCACGGTGAGGACGCCACGGAGGGTGCAGGCTGCTGGCTGCCCCATCACAGCAAGAATGGCTGCAAAACATGGGGTCGGAGCGGTGTCTGCTGCCTGGGAGACCCTGCCTGTGATTTGGCAGTGGCTGGCAGGAGTTGGCGAGGCGGTGGGTGCCTCCCTGCCCTGATGACAGGCCCTGCTGTGACGGCTCTGAGTGAGGGCTTCTCATGTGTCAATCTTCTAGACTCCCGAGAAGCCACCCGCCCTAGCTGCGTTCTGTGCCAGGGGCCTGAGGGGGTGGGGTGGGGTGGGTGGGGGATAGGTGAGGACACAGAGGAGGTCGTGCATTTCCGGGACTTATGACTCCCGTCCCCATGGCCTGGAGCCCGGAGGGGGTGAGCCAGGTCCCCTGAGCCCAGAGTGGGTGAGCCGGGTCCCCTGACTCCCGGCCACATCTTGCTTCACCCTCCTCCTTTGCTCACACGAGAACTTAAGATGGCGAGGCCCTGCCCCAGCACGGCAGCAGCTGCATCCTACGTTTTTATATGGAACCGTTTTATCACGTTCAGTTCAAAGGAATAGAGGCGGGTGGGTCGCTTGAGCCCAGGGGGCAGCTTCTGCGGGAGGGGAGGGGTCCCGCATTCCAGGAGGCAGTGGCCGCCCCCATGCTTGTCCGTCTGCTGCCCTCAGTCTGGTCCCAGTCCTGGCATGGCTCTTGGCCTTGGGAGCCCCGGGCTGGCCAGGCGGCGGCCTCAGCCCAGTGGACAGGCATGTGCTTTTATTGCAGACGCCCATGCTGCAGAGCCTGCTGGGCCATCTGGCCATGGACAGCCAGCGGCGCCCGCTCCTGCTGCAGGTACGTGCCTCCTGGCTCTCCGTCCCTGCGAGGCCCTGGGAGAAGAGCCGTGCGGGGCTCACCTTTTGGGCGGCAGGGTGAGGCTGGCTGGGCTGGGGCGGAGCTCCCTCAGAGTGGCTGTGGGCCTGGCGGGGACAGACTGGCCCCGAGCCCCACACAGTCGTGGGCCATGCCACCTGCAGGTGCTGAAGGAGCTGTTGGAGACGTGGGGCAGCAGCAGTGCCATCCGCCACACTCCCCTGCCGCAGCAGCGCCACGTCAGCAAGGCTGTCCTCATCTGCCTGGCGCAACTCGGGGAGCCGGAACTGCGGGACAGCCGGGATGGTGAGCGGGTGGTTTGGGCTCCCCCCGGCCTCGGGCGCCCCGAGGTGCTCAGGGGGCCTGTCCGGTGCTTGCAGAACTGCTGGCCAGCATGATGGCGGGCGTGAAGTGCCGCCTGGACAGTAGCCTGCCCCCCGTGCGACGCCTGGGCATGATCGTGGCAGAGGTCGTTAGTGCCCGGATCCACCCCGAGGGGCCTCCCCTGAAATTCCAGGTGAGCGGGCCGTCCCCTCCGCGTCCCCGTGTGGCTGGCCCGGGTCTCCCGAGCGGCTGCCTCTCCAGCCCCAGGGTCACCGCCTCTTCCCGGGGTCCAGACTTGCGGAGCGTCCGTGTGGACTTCTCGCAGGGCTGAGGCTGGAAGCTGTGGCAGGTTCTCAGCCCTGAGCTCCTGGGGCCACACAGGGTCGGGTGAGCACAGGGCCCCCAGAAGGATTGCCTGGACACGTTCACAGACTCTCTCTAGACGGGGGCCCGAGGGAGGCTGGGGTTAAGGGGGCCACCCCCTGCAGTTTGTCCGGCCGGGGCTGCAGGGCAGCCAGGTCGCTCTGGGTCGGTGGCCGTGGGTGTCAGCCTCTCTGCTGCCGGCTGCCTGGCCATGGAGGAGCCCTGTCTGCCTTCAGGCTGTGGAGGTGACGGCCTGTCCTCTTATCTGCTGAGAACCTGGGATCTCTCTGGGGCATTGGCCTTGGGGGAGGCCCAGCTCCTTCGAGAGGGGCCACGGCCCCTCAGCTTTGAGCACTCCCAGTGCTACCCTTGGCCTGAGGTGGAATCTTAGAAAGTCGCTTTTAAAAAGACACCTGGCTATCCAGGGCCCAGCCACTGAGTGAGACCGGGCTGCGAGGGAGGCCACAGTGGGGAGTGGCTCCCGTGGCTCCGTCTCGGGGAGGGGCGCTGCAGCCTGGCGGATGCCGCTGAGCCTGCTCCCCTGCTGTAGTACGAAGAGGATGAACTGAGCCTCGAGCTGCTGGCCTTGGCCTCCCCCCAGCCTGCGGGTGACGGCGCCTCGGAGGCGGGGTGAGGGTCTCTGCCCCCCGGGACCCCACCGCGTGCACATCTTACTGCTCTGGATTCCGCTGCCGGGATGGGAGGGGGGAAACCCTTTCTTTCTGTCCTGTGAGTCCTGAGACCAGAGGCTCGAGGGGCCCCTAAAGGATTTTTGTTCCTTGTTTCCTTAAAGCACGTCCCTCGTTCCAGCCACGGCAGAGCCCCCTGCAGAGACCCCCGCAGAGATCGTGGATGGCGGCGTCCCCCAAGCACAGCTGGCGGGCTCTGACTCGGACCTGGACAGGTAGGGGCTCTGCCACCCCAGTGGGCAGCGTGCAGGAGGCCGGGAGGCGAACCCCTCACACTCCAAGCTGCGGCCCCGTGGGGGGCTCCCTGCCTGCTCCGTGCTTCTTCTCTTTCGTCCTCATGTGAGGGCCCGCAGCTCCCAGCTCCACCGTAGGCGCAGGGGCCGAGGCGTGAGCTCCGCATCTTGGGGAGGAGAGAGGGGCTGGCTCTGCCGTTGGGCACTTCCTGTCACAGGCCATGGGCTGCTCATGTCTGCTTTGCTCTCCCACAGCGATGATGAGTTTGTCCCCTACGACATGTCGGGGGACAGAGAGCTGAAGAGCAGCAAGGCTCCTGCCTACGTCCGGGACTGCGTGGAAGGTGGGCACGGGCCCCTGGAGGGCCTTGCTGGGCTGGGCATGGGTCCCGCTCACAGCCTGGTTCTGCCTCAAGGGGCCACCGGGAAGCCCTGGGCCCGGGGTGCCGCCCGTGCTGCTGGCTCTCATGGGTTCAGGGTCAGGGCTGAGGCTGACCGAGGCCTCTCTGGGTTCTGTGCAGCCCTGACCACGTCTGAGGACATAGAGCGCTGGGAGGCAGCCCTGCGGGCCCTTGAGGGCCTGGTCTACAGGAGCCCCACAGCCACTCGGGAGGTGAGTGGGGGGCGGGAGTGGGTGGGGAGGCCCAAGATGGTAGCTCCCTCAATGCCATCTGTGTCCTGGCCACTGAGGGTGACATATGGCTCCCGTGTGTGACAGGGCTGCTGCCTCTCCCGGGGGGCCTGCGGCCTGGGGCCTCTGCTGGGGTGGGTGGCTCCGGCCCTGTGAGCCTCGGTGAGGCCTCGGCGGGCAGCTGGGTCCGACAGGTTTCCCAGCCCTAACCCCTGCGTGCAGGTGAGCGTGGAGCTGGCCAAGGTGCTTCTGCATCTGGAGGAGAAGACCTGTGTGGTGGGATTTGCAGGGCTGCGCCAGAGAGCCCTGGTGGCCGTCACGGTCACAGACCCGGCCCCGGTGAGTTCCCGCACCCGTGGCCCTGGCCAGTGCAGGCACAGCGGGAAGCACTGGGAGCTGCGGTGCCTGAGTCTCGGTCCTGTGCTGGAGCTGGCTGTGAGGTGCCCGGAGGTCGCCCCGGGTGGCCCTCAGGTCCCGGACCACAGCAGCCTCTCCCCTGTGTCCTCAGGTGGCCGACTATCTGACCTCACAGTTCTATGCCCTCAACTACAGCCTCCGGCAGCGCATGGACATCCTGGATGTAAGTGCCTCCTGGGCCTCAGTCCCCCTGGTCTGGCCCAAGCTGCCCTAAGGTGGGGCTGCCAAAACCTGGGTCTCCTTGTTGCTGGGCCCCAAGGGCTCGTGCAGGCCTGTCCACTGCCTTCGTGAGTGTGTGACCCGGCAGGACTCAGCAGTGGGGGAGTCAGGGCTCCCGGGGCAGAGAGTTTTGTTTGTTTAAAATAACAGCTTTACTGATATAATTCACACGCCATAAAATTCACCGCTTTAGGGTAAAATGTGTGCTGCGCAGGTGAGGGAATATTATTTAGCAATGAAAAAGAAAAATTTGAATCCCAGCACTGGAAGGCTGAGGCGGGAGGATCGCTGGAGCCCAGGAGTTCGAGACCCGCTTGGGCACCACAATGAGACTCCATCTTTATTAGCCAAGTGTGGTGGTGGGCGACTGTGGTCCCAGTTACTCGGGAGGCTGGGGTGGGAGGATCCCTCGAACCCAGGAGGTGGAGGCCGCAGTGGAGCTGTTTGCACCACCGCACTCCCGTGTGGGTGAGAGAGGGAGACACTGTCTCAAAGATAATTCGACTCTGATACGCACTGCCACACGATGAGCCTTGAGAACATTTAGTTAAAGCAGCCCCAGGGCCTGTATATCGTTCGATTTCACTTAAGCGAGCCGTCCGGAGGAGCTAGTTCACGGAGAGCGGACGGGGCTGCCGGGGCTTGGGGAGGGGATGTGGAGTGAGGGTTTCACGGGGACAGTTTCAGCTTGGGAAGGCAAAAGAGTTCTGGCGAGGGCGGAGGTGATGGTTGCCCATCATGAACGTACTTATTAATGCCACGGAACTGTACACTTAAAGATGGGGAAAACGGGCTGGGCGCGGCGGCTCATGCCTGTCATCCCAGTGCTGTGGGAGACCAAAGTGGGAGGATTGCTCAAGCCCAGGAGTTTGAGATCAACCTGGTCAACATAGCAAGACCCTGTCATCTCCACCAGAAGAAAATTAGCTGGGAGTGGGGCGCCTGTGGTCCCTGCTACTCTTGAGGCTGAGGCAGGAGGATGGCTTGAGCCCAGAGGTTGAGGCTGTCGTGAGCCGTGATGGCACCACTGCCCTGCAGCCTGGGCAATAGAGCAAGACTCTGTCTCTTTAAAAAAAAAAAAAAAAAAAAAAAGCAGCCGGCCACGGCGGCTCACACCTGTAATCCCAGCACTTTGGGAGGCTAAGCCGGGCGGATCATGAGGTCAGGAGTTCAAGACCAGCCTCGCCAACATGGTGAAACCCTGTTTCTACTAAAAACACAAAAAATTAGCTGGGCATGGTGGTGCATGCCTGTAGTCCCAGTTACGTGGGAGGCTGAGGCAGGAGAATTGCTTGGACCTGGGAGGCGGAGGTTGTGGTGAGTCAAGATGGCGCCACTGCACTCCAGACTGGGCGACAGAGCGAGACTCCATCTCAAAAAAAAAAAAAAAAAAAAAAGGGAGGGGAGGGGTTAACGTGGTAAATCTTGTATATATTTTACCACAATAAAGCAAAAAAGACTGAGAACATGAGAACAACTCACCGTAACTGGTCTTTTTTTTTTTTTTTTTTTTTTTTGAGACAGAGTCTCGCTCTGTCGCCCAGGCTGGAGTGCAGTGGCGCGATCTTGACTCACTGCAAGCTCCCCCTCCCGGGTTCACGCCATTCTCCTGCCTCAGCCTCCCGAGTAGCTGGGACTACAGGCGCCCGCCACCACGCCCGGCTAATTTTGTGTATTTTTAGTAGAGACGGGGTTTCACTGTGTTAGCCAGGATGGTCTCAATCTCCTGACCTCGTGATCCGCCCGCCTCAGCCGTAACTGGTTCTAAGGTGCACACTTGGGTGGCGTTCGGAACATCCA
Source organism: Homo sapiens (assembly GCF_000001405.40). Classification (NCBI taxonomy): domain Eukaryota; kingdom Metazoa; phylum Chordata; class Mammalia; order Primates; family Hominidae; genus Homo; species Homo sapiens. The sequence goes on from NC_000016.10 coordinate 1,504,859, forward strand.
CAGTGTCACGCAGCCGCCTCTGTCTAGTCCCAGAGCGTCCTTATCACCCCAGAGGGAAACCCCATCCCTGTCAGCAGTCGCCCCGACCCTCCCAGCCTGGGAGCCTCCGGTCTGGCGCTGGCCTGTTGAGAAGGTGTCCTAGAGATGGAGGCGCACATGGGTCCTTGGTGCCTTCTCTGCAATGTTCTGAGGTCCCCCCGCCCGTGGCACGTGCCGCTGCAGCGTTGCTTTTGCTGTGAGGCCGACTTCCTGGGATAAGGGCATGTGGCTCTGGCGTGGCGGGACTGCGTGGCTTTAGGATGAGGCTGCGCTCGGCCCTGGGCGTGTTCTCATCTCCTGGAGCACGGTGCCCACCTTCCCCACCTTCCCGCCTACCAAGGCGCGGTTGCTGTGAGCTACGGGGAAGTGACTTTTCTCCTTGTTCCCAGAACACACCTTCTCCCAGGCTGGGCGGGCCCCCGGGCCCGTTTCTGGGGCTTTGGCTGACTTGACTCTTGGGAAATGTTCTTCCCTGGAGCAGTGGCGACGGCCCTGGGCCTGTCTCCCTCCAGGTGCTGACTCTGGCTGCCCAGGAGCTGTCTAGGCCTGGGTGCCTCGGGAGGACTCCCCAACCTGGCTCCCCAAGTCCCAACACCCCGTGCCTGCCAGAGGCAGCCGTCTCTCAGCCTGGCAGTGCCGTGGCGTCTGACTGGCGGGTGGTGGTGGAGGAGCGGATCAGAAGCAAGACCCAGCGGCTCTCCAAGGTTAGTGGCGCCTGGTCAGCTCCTCACGGGCATGGGGACCGTGGGTGGGTGGGAAGGGCGGTCAGACACCTCCAGGCGCTGTCTGCAGCGAGGGGCGGCCACATTCGCTGGGGATGGTGCCTTTGCCGGGATTCCTGAAAGGCAGGGTCCATGGTTTGCACCGAGGAACTGGATTTTGGCTGTAGGAGACCCAGACTGGGCTTGGGGACATGATAAGTGACAGGTGTCCTGGTGGTGCTCTGTCCTCAGAGCCCATCTAGGCCAGGGGTGGTGTTGCTCCACCTGAGGATGTTTAGGGGCGTCTGGAGATGTTTTTGGTTGTCACTAGGGGTGGGTTGGAGGCCACGGAGGCATCCTGCAGTGCCCAGGGCGGCCTCCCCAGGACGCTCCTCCAGCCTTGAATGTCCTGCCTGCAAGTTCGGGAACGCCTGGTCTGCTGTCCAGGCATTGGCCGCGGAGCCTGAGTCCCGTCACCAACCCCATGGGGCCTGGGAGCTGGGCGGGGCCGGAAGAGTAGCCCGGGGAGGCAAGGCGAGGCTGAGGTCCACGCTGCTTTGTGGGATCCTCTCGGGCTAGGGGTGCCGTGCCCGCTGCCCAAGCCTGCACCTCCGTGATCGCTGTAGTTGTGTCTGGCAGGGTGGCCCGAGGCAGGGCCCGGCAGGCAGCCCCAGCAGATTCAACTCCGTGGCCGGCCACTTCTTCTTCCCCCTCCTTCAGCGCTTTGACAGGTGAGTGGGTTTTCCGTGGGCCTGTGGACTTGGGGGACAGGGACCCTGGACGTACCACTGTGGCCAAGAAGTTCGGGCTGGGATCTGAGTGGGTTTGGGTGTGAACAGGGTCGTGCTTTGCTGTGGCTTTTTGTAAGCCTGTGTTAAATGGCAGGGAGCGTCCCGCAAGATTCCTCTGTGGTTGAGCTTTGCCATGAGGCACCAGGCATCTGCTCCGATGCTGGGCTTGTGGCATGGCCGGCAGTGCCGCCCGCACGTGCCCGACGCCATCACCTGCTGGGCCCTGCTCGCCTCCTCCTGCCTCAGCCGGCGCTGCACTGGCCCCACGTTCAGGGCGTGAGGCTCTCGAGATGGCAGAGAAGTGTGGGGCCTGGGTTGTGCTGCAGCAGGGGTGGGGGTCTCGGCGTTGGGAACTCCTGGCCCAGGTGGACTTGTGCCAGACAGCCCTGCAGGGGGAGTAGGCACCCGGAAATGTCTGCTCCTACGATCTCGGTGCAGGCAAGGCGGTGGGCACGGGAGGAGGGGCTGTGTGGGGCTCCCTCGGTCTCCCACGGTGGCCCAGGAGGTTGGGGACCTGGCCCTGAGGCACCCGCTGCACCTTGGGCTCCATCCTGTGCTCTAGGCCTCTGGTGACCTTCGACCTCTTGGGAGAAGACCAGCTGGTTCTCGGAAGGCTGGCGCACACCTTAGGGGCCCTGATGTGCCTGGCTGTTAACACCACGGTGAGCCGGGAGAGGTCGCCGGGCGCCGGCCTGTGCTAACCATGGATCAGGAGCGCTCCTCAGCCTCACCTGCGCCCAGGGATGGGTGTCTGAGGGAGGGGCTGCCTGTGTGGGCCCCCGGGCAGCGGGAGCATCCCCTCGGCTGTCAGGCAGGCCCTGTCCCTGCTGCTGCCCAGCAGCGGAAGCCGCCCATGGGTGCTGGGATGTGGGGACGGCGTCGGGACCCCACTGACTGTCCCTCTGCTGGTGTCCAGGTGGCTGTGGCCATGGGCAAGGCCCTGCTGGAATTCGTGTGGGCCCTTCGCTTCCACATCGATGCGTGAGTGGCCTGTGGGGCTGGGCCAGGCCAGGGGTGCAGGCAGACACAGGGGTCTTATTGTGGGGGCCCCGTGGAGCCTCGAGGTGGCTGACAGGCAGCCTGGCCTGGTACTTCCCAAATAGGAAGTGTGCCAGGCAGGGCCGCAGCGTGGGTGGTCTGCCACACTGAGGGGAGTGGGAGGTCTGGGGTGTGGTCCCTGCCGAGCTCAGCCCCCGCCTTCTTGCCGGCAGCTACGTGCGCCAGGGGCTGTTGTCGGCCGTCTCCTCCGTCCTGCTCAGCCTGCCTGCTGCGCGCCTGCTGGAGGACCTGATGGACGAGCTGCTGGAAGCCCGGTCCTGGCTGGCGGGTGAGTGTCGGCCTGCGGTGTGTGTGTGAGATGTGTGTCGGCCCGGGGTGTGTGTGTATGTGTGTGTGTGTGTGTGAGAGATGTGTCGGCCCGGGGTGTGTGTGTGTGTGTGTGTGATGTGTGTTGGCCCGGGGTGTGTGTGTGTGTGTGTGTGTGTGTGTGTGTGTGTGTGTGTGTGATGTGTGTCGGCCCGGGGTGTGTGTGTGTGTGTGGGTGTGTGTGTTGCAGCTCCTGCAGGCCAGGCTGCCATGACTCCTTGGGACCCACACAGGCAGAGTGTGCAGGCCGGAGGTGCAGCCACCCCAGCACTGGCCGTTTCCCTCCTTTGGTCCTGATCCTAGACCCTGTTGGGGTCCCTCTGTGACCCCGCCCACCCGCCTCCCTGGGCCCCTCCGGCCGGTGCAGTCCTGGCAACTTTTTGTTTGTTTGTTTTTTAGACAGAGTCTTGCTCTGTCGCCCAGGCTGGAGTGCCGTGGCACAATCTTGGCTCACTGCGACCTCCGCCTCCTGGGTTCAAGCAATTCTCCCGCCTCAGCCTCCTGAGTAGCTGGGATTACAGGTGCCCACCACTGCGCCCAGCCAATTTTTGTATTTTTAGTAGAGATGGGATTTCACCATGTTGGTCAGGATGGTCTCAATCTCCTGACCTCGTGATCCACCCGCCTCAGCCTCCCAAAGTGCTGGGATTACAGGCGTGAGCCACCGCGCCCGGCCAGTCCCAGCACCTTTTGTTGTTTGCTGGCCTTTGTGGTCCAGTGGTTGGTTTGTGGGGCCCTTAAGGTGGCTTCATGGATACCGCCTCGGTTTCCACGTTTGTCAGGAGGGTCCCGGGTGATACGGGTCCTTCCCAGGGACTTGTGCTCAGACCTCTGTGCTGGGGGGCGCTGGGGGATGCTTTTGGTGAGGTCACCTTTCCTTTCCCGTGGGGCTGGGCTGTGTGCCTCTTCTGCCCCAGCCATCTCCCCTCTCCCCACCTGGGCGCAGTGCCAGCCTGCTGGGTGTGAACGGGTGTTTCCCATGGGGAGTGGAGCCAACGAGTCCCCGGGGACGGGCTGAAGAGCAGGGCACGGTACCGATGGACACGGGAAGGGCAGGCCCAGCTCTGCCCTGTCCCTTCCCAGGACCTGTGCTCAGGGTGGCCGTGAATGTCTTCCCACGGAGCAGCTGGAGGGTCCTGGGCCCAAAGCGTGGGGAGTGCTGTGCTGGGCTTTGCTTCTTTCAAGGGGGGTGAGGCCCCCCAGACACCAGACCCTTGGAGCTGCTGCCCAACCCCTCCTCAGCATGCTGTCGCCCACTCGCCCTGCCTGGAGGAGGAGAGGTTCCCCTTTGGCCAGTGGAGCCACTGATGGGGCTGGGTGGGCGGGCACATTCCCTGCAGTTCCTGGCCCACCTCCTTCCCCAGAGACTCGGTACCTGCGACGTCATCATCTGGGGGCCTTGGGGGCCTGAAGCACCAGGAGGAGCAGGGGGGCCCTGTCCCTCAGCCGATCCCTTTCCACTCGGCTGGCGGGGTCCCGACAGGGTGTTCTCCTTTCACAGGCACCTCCCACAAGGGTCTACAGGTGCCTCCTCACCCTGCGATTCTAGCCCAATCTGGGGAGGAGCTGTGGCCAGCAGAGCCCCCCCAAGGCTCCCCGGGGCCCCAGGCTGCAGGAGGCCTTGGTGAGGGTCCCAGCACTGCGGGCAGCCAAGAGCTCTGGCAGTGTGCGGTCCCAGACACCCAAGAGGCCTCCCCACAGGCGGGTGGCACGCCCACCACCCGGATTCCTACGGTCTTCCACCTCCGACCACAGCCCTTGTCTGCCGTCCAGCAAGGAGCAGGCCCTGCTGGTGTTCCCGGGTTCCCCGGTTGTGCGCCCCACCCCAGGCCCCTTTCCCATGGCTGCCTGTCCCGCGGCTCAGGGCAGCCCTCCATGTACAGTGCTGCCTGCACAGAGCCTGTGGCATGCAGGCCCCAAGGCCGTGGGGAGAGTCCGGGGTCACTGCAGACCCGAGCCCCCTTTCTTCCATGGAGTCAGGCCTGGCGGGGCTGGTTCAGGCAGACTGAAGACAGGAGGAGGGAGAATACGCCCTCCACGCTGCCTCAGCTTTGCTTGTCACTCTCGTCTGGCAGACGTGGCTGAGAAAGACCCGGACGAGGACTGCAGGACGCTGGCACTGAGGGCCCTGCTGCTTCTGCAGAGACTCAAGAACAGGCTCCTCCCACCCGCGTCTCCCTAGTCCCTGGAGGCCTCCCCAGGACCACCCTCGCCGACAGCAAGGCAGGCGGCTGAGCAGCGGCCTGGAGCAGCAGAGCCAGGCTTTGTAGCGAGGCCAGGTCTTCGGCCGCATCCGGTACGGAGAGTGCAGATGCAGGAAGGCCCGGCCTGCCGCTATTTATAGTGCAGCCAGTCCGCTAAAAATACACTGGGCCTGGGCACTGCCCGCCGGGACATGGCAGCCTGGACGTGGGGCTGGGGCTGTGGGCGCTGCTGGCGGGGTTGACTCTTCCAGTGAGGGCAGAACCAGGCTGGCAGGAGGGGAGGACGGTGTACCTGCTGCTCAGAGCCCCCAAGGCTCTCCTCTGAGAGCCACCAAGCAGGACAGAGCAGCTCTTGTCCCAGGTCCCTCGGGCTGAGCGCCGTGTCACCAGGAGAATAGTGCTCACAGCCCAGGCAGGGTGTGTGGCTCCTGGATGGGCTCGTGGGGCGGGATGGGACAGGGCACGGGCTCTCAGAAAATAAACTGCTTTATTGGAATTACAGGAGTGTTGGTGGCCGGTGGGCAGAGCCTAGCAGGGGGTGCAGCCGCCAAGGCCCGGGTGTCCCAGCTGTTGCTCAGGAGCCGTGGGCCCTGCAGGAGTATGGGGAGGATATGATGTGTGGGGAGCAGGGGGGCAGGTGCCCCAGCCCTCCAGCTGCAGCTTCCTGAGGTTCTAGAAGTTTCTCAGGCTTTACAATGTGTAGTTGGGAGAATACGATGGAAGGGTGAACCCGACTCCCTTCAAAGGAATGAATCCAAAAATCTAGTGGAGCTGCCGGGCACCCAGAGGCAGGTGGGACAGAGCAAGGTGCAGACGGGTCACACCCTCCGCCGGCCCGGGCCGCTGCGTTCTCGCCCAGCTCTGTCGCGTATTCCAACACAGACATGTTTTTTCCCAGCAAAAATGCTGGCTTTGCCACAGCTGACAAAAAAATTCCAGAAGATGCCTTTCTGCAGCAGCACGCTGGTCCTGGGGCCCAGGCCCCTCAGGGGTCGTCATCTGCCTCTTCCACCACCTCCTCGTCCAGCTCCCTGGCGTCCTCCATGCTGTTGTGGCGGACCTGCTCGGGGACGGTGCGTGGCAGTGGGAGACCCAGCCCCCGGTGCACGGCGTCCACGGCCTGCGGGCTCACGTAGTAGGACATGTTGGCCAAGGGAAGCCGCCGCCGCATCTCCTCCAGGAATCTGTAGGCCTGGGGCAGAGGAGCAGACATTACTCAGCTTTCCTGAACAACCAGGCACGACCCTCTGCCTGCAGGCCAGGCACGTGCTGCTGCCCCTGGAGGCGGGTGGGGGTGCCTCCGCGCTGGAGGACACGGGGTGCACTGAGGCTTCCCATTGGTGATGGGGGAATGTGGTGATGAGGGGATGCGGTGCCCGCGGACCGCACACATGCCATGTGTGGACACTCAACAGGAAGCTTCGGTCAGCATTTCAGCTGGAAATGCAGAGCCAGGGCCCTGGAAAGTCCCTCAGCAGCTGTGCACAGGCCTGCTCACCGTGCGTGTGCGGGCAGAGCCTCCTGGGGAGGCAGAGGCCCCGCGTTCTGCACTCGAGTCTTGCGGGTGGACATGCATATGTCAGAGTGGAGGGCAGGCAGCGATATCTACTGGTTTGGCTTGGGTATTTTTTTTTTTTGAGATGGAGTCTCAGCTATGAAGATATAATAAGCTTGTTGGATGGCCCCTCCCATCACCTGGCAGTGGACCTGCGTTTAAGGAAGGCCTCAGCTGGGGTGGGCGCTGGTGGAGTGCAAGCCTTCCACACAGTCTCAAACGAGAGGCTGAGGGCAAACATCCACACCTGAAAAGATGCTGCCTTACATGCTGACAAACCACCTGCCATGTGCCAGGCGCTGTGCTGGGGACACAGGGGACACAGGACGTAAGGGCACAGAACAAGCTTGGGTAATGCTGTAGTGGGGAGCCAGGTCAGGCCGAGGTCCTGCAGTGGCAGAATTCAGAGAAGGGCTGGCACAGGGAGGGAGAGAGAGGAAGGAGCTGACCAGGGTCGAAGAGGGACCCTGTGGTCAGAAAGGGCCGGCGTCCTGATGCAACCAGGGCCTGGTGCGTGTGACTGCTCTGTGTGCAGAGCTAGCTTCGGAGAGGGCAATCAAGTGGTTTCCAGAAGGCAGGCAGAAGGTGCGGAGGGCGGGTGAGGGGTGGTGGGGGGCAGGACAGGCGGCATAGGTGGGTGAGGGGTGGTGGGGGGCAGGATGGGGGGCAGGACAGGCGGCATAGGTGGGTGGGGGGCAGGATGGGGGGCAGGACAGGCGGCGTAGGTGGGTGAGGGGCGGTGGAGGGCAGGACGTGGGGACAGAAATGTTGCCGGTCTCCAGCATCAGGAGGGTGTGTGCGGGCTGTGCTCAGATGATGGATGATGGCGGGAAAGCTGAGCGGATATAGGAGCTGTGGCCTGGGTGAGGTGGTGCACGTGACCCCGGGTGGCGCTACAGCAGCAGCCAGGGAGCGTGTGCCTGGGCATTCTCAGTTTAGCTGCGCTTCCCAGTTTCTTTTTTCTTTTGTATCTCGAGTTACTAAATTCCACAGGCTTCAAGCAACCATAGAGAGAATAAAGAAGTTGGCGAAATATTTAAAATGTGGATTTCCTGTTAATTTTGAGGATATAGCAGTCTGGGCATCTCTCTACTCCAATTTTGCTTTTATACGGAAAACTATAGTTCTCCTAGAAATAGAAACCCCGTTGGAGCAGGGCGCGGTGCTGCACACCAGCCACTCACGAGGATCCCTTGAACCCGGGAGGCTGAGGCTGCAGGGAGCTGTGATTGTGCCACCGCACTCCAGCCTGGGCGACAGAGCAAGACCTCGTCTCAAAACCAAACCAAGCAACAACAAAAAAGAAACCTTGTTAGGATTAGACTTGAGTTGTTTTTTCCAGCAGCAAAAGGGGTCAGTGAATGGAAGTGGAACGGCGCAGAGGGGAGTGAGCAACCGGGCCAGGAAGTCTGTGTCTCACGGAGCTGACCTTTCAGCCCTGAGGGAGAGCCACTGCCAAGGAGCTTTCCTGTGAATTCTGGAGGCTGCAGCCCAGCGAGCCCGACACGGTCGCCAGCATGTTTCCCAAGCTCATTTCTCGATACTCAGTTTGTGAGTCCCGGGAACTATCTAATAGGGCAACACAACTGGTGGGTGCAGAGGCCCTGCAGGCATCGGCATAGCTGCAGGGTCTGACGGATGCAGGCGCGTGCAATTCTCTATGTTGGCTACAACAGAATTATGGTTGAAAAAGAGGCCGGGCGCGGTGGCTCACGCCTGTAATCCCAGCACTTTGGGAGGCCGAGGTGGGCGGATCACGAGGTCAGGAGATCAAGACCATCCTGGCTAACACGGTGAAACCCCGTCTCTACTAAAAAATAAATAAATAAATACAAAAATTAGCTGGGCGTGGTGGCGGGAACCTGTAGTCCCAGCTACTTGGGAGGCTGAGGCAGGACAATTGCTTGAGCCCAGGAGGCGGAGGTTGCAGTGAGCCACGATCATGCCACTGCACTCCAGCTGGGCAACAGAGCAAGACTGTCTCAGAAAAGAAAAAAGAATGAGAAGAGAGGCTTCTGACAACAGCAGCACGACTCCTGTGAGAGCAGCCCTCCCCCTAATGACGACGGACACATGGAAAGGCACTGGGGGCAGCCGTGAGCAGGCTGATGCTGGGAGTGGGTGGCACTGGGCAGGCTTCCTGCTTCTCACAACTTTCTTTTTTTTTTTTTCTTTTTTGAGACGGAGTCTTGCTGTGTCGCCCAGGCTGGAGTGCAGTGGTGCGATCTCTGCTCACTGCAAGCTCCGCCTCCCGGGTTCACACCATTCTCCTGCCTCAGCCTCCCAAGTAGCTGGGACTACAGGCGCCCACCACCACACCCGGCTAATTTTTTGTATTTTTAGTAGAGACGGGGTTTCACCGTGTTAGCCAAGATGGTCTCCATCTCCTGACCTCATGATCTGCCCGCCTTGGCCTCCCAAAGTGCTGGGATTACAGGCGTGAGCCACTGCACCCGGCTGCTTCTCACAACTTTCTGCCTCAGGGTAGGCCCAAGTCAGGGCCAGTGTGGGCATCAGCCACCTCGAAGCCTGCCCTCTTCCAGGCTTAAAGAATCAGAATCAAGATTTTTGTTGGCCAGGTGCGGTACCTCACGCCTGTAATCCCAGCACTTTGGGAGGCCAAGGTGGGTGGATCACGAGGTCAGGAGATCGAGACCATCCTGGCTAACACGGTGAAACCCCGTCTCTACTAAAAATGCAAAAAAAATTAACTGGGCGTGGTGGCGGGCGCCTGTAGTCCCAGCTACTCGGGAGGCTGCAGCAGGAGAATGGCATGAACCAGGGAGGCGGAGCTTGCAGTGAGCCGAGATCACGCCACTGCACTCCAGCCTGGGCGATAGAGCGACACTCCATCTCAAATAAATAAATAAATAAATAAATAAAAGATTTTTGTTGACCACAGCAGCTGGAATGTGAAGGTGGAAACGTTGGGATGCAGCAGGCATAGAGGGGATCCCAAATCCTGAGCATATGCTGCCCTCGTCACTAGTTGCTCCCACACTACACATGAGGCAGGGGAGGTGCAGACTTTAAGCCAACTCACGCTACAAGCAGGGATTTCAGCTGCTATCCACCACAGGGGAAAGAGTTTCGGCTCTGAGCTGAGCAAAGGTGATTGCCTAATAAAATGAACCAAAAAAAAGCAATACTCTTTGGAGGAATGTAACAGAATCCAGAGTCTCTACAATGGATTATCCACAATGTCCATGATACAAAAAAATGACTAGACATAAGAAACAGGAAAATTTGACCCATACTCAAAAGGCAAGTAATGGAGATCAATCCTACATGACCCAGATATTGGAACCGGTAGCTAAGATTTTACAGCAGCAGTTACAACTCTGCTTTAGGATATAAATATAAAATATATTTTAAACAAATTAACAAATAGGGAATTTTAGCCAATAAATAATAAAAAGAACTAAGTGTAAATTCTAGGGCTGCAAAATACAAGCTCTAAAAAGATTGCTGGAGAGGTTAACAGCAGATTGAAGATAGCTAAAGAAAGTCTAGATAAATACAAATTAATCCAAAGGACAGAAAAAAAGAAAATAATGAGCAGTAATCACAAATGTGTGTCTACTAGATATGGAAGACCTAACATTTAATTGGAGTCCCAGAAGGAGAAAAAGAGCAAATTTCCCAAATTTGGCAAAACACAAATATAGATCCCAAAAGCCCAGGATAAATACAATGAAAACACCTAGGAACATCATTATCGCACTGCTGAAACACAAATTCAAGAAGAAAGTCATGACAGCAGCCAGTGCAGTGGGAGATGGAGAGACACATGACATGTAAGGGCCCCACAGACAGCCCATAGCTGACTCTTCCAGAAACAATGGAGGCCCAGACAGGGAAAACATTCAAGTGCTGAAAGGAAAAAAATCTGTCAAATCAGGATTTTTTTTGAATCAGGATCTTGCTTTGTCACCCAGGCTGGAGTGCAGTGGTGCTATCACAGCTCACTGCAGACTCAACCTCCTGGGCTCAAGCAGTCCTCCCACCTCAGCCTCCCAAGCAGCCAAGACTGCAGGTGCATGCCACCATGCCTTGCTATTTTTTTCAGAGATGGGGTCTCACTTGTTACCCAGGCTGGACTTGAACTCCTGGCCTCAAGAAATCCTCCCACCTTGGCCTCCCAAAGTGCTGAGATTACAGGCATGAGCCACTGTGCCTGGCCTCAGAATTCTCTATCTGATGAGAACAACCTTGAAGAATACAGGCAAAATAAATACATTTCAGATTAACGAAAAGTAAGAAAATTCATCATCAGGAGATCTGAACTAGAAGAAATGTTAAAGGGAGCTCAGGCTGAAGAGGAGTGATACCACATGCAAATCGGAATCATAGGGAAGAAGTAAGAACACCAGAAATGACGCTTTGGGAGGCCGAGGCAGGCAGATCACCTGAGGTTGGGAGTTTGAGACCAGCCTGACCAACATGGAGAAACCCCATCTCCCCTAAAAATACAAAATTAGCCAGGCGTGGTGGCGCATGCCTGTAATCCCAGCTACTCCGGAGGCTGAGGCAGGAGAATCACTTGAACCTGGAGGGTAGAGGTTGTGGTGAGCTGAGGTTTGTTGCCCACTCCAGCCTGGGCTACAAAGAGCAAAACTCTGTCTCAAAAAAAAAAAAAAAAAAAAAAAAAAAAAAAAAAAAAAACACCAGAAATGGATGGTAAATATGTAGGTAAATGTAAAAGACTATTTCTTTCCTTTTAATTTCTTCAAAATACATATGACTGTTGAAAGCAACAATTATAACACTATACTGTGTTTATAATACATGTACATGTTACACATACGACAAATACAGGTGGGGACACGGGTGGGAAATGGACCTACCTGCTAACTCTAGTGTGGTAAGTATGTTTATGGTAATCTCCAGGGCAAACACTAGAAATACAATGCAAAGAGGAGTAGAGATAAAAAGCTGATAGCTAAAATGAAATTATAAAAAATAGTCCACTAAGGCCAGGTGCGGTGGCTCACGCCTGTAATCCCAGCACTTTGGGAGGCCGAGGCGGGCGGATCATGAGGTCAGGAGATCGAGACCATCCTGGCTAACACGGTGAAACCCTGTCTCTACTAAAAATACAAAAAAATTATCTGGGCGTGGTGGCGGGCGCCTGTAGTCCCAGCTACTCGGGAGGCTGAGGTAGGAGAATGGCGTGAACCCGGGAGGCAGAGCTTGCAGTGAGCCGAGATTGCACCACCGCACTCCAGCCTGGGCGACAGAGCGACACTCTGTCTCAAAAAAAAAAAAAAAAAAAAATCAACTAAAAAGAAGGCAGGAAAAAAGGTTTAAAGTAACAATAATAAAAACTGGTAGAAAAAGTTGACTGGTAGAAAACTGACATGAAAAAGATGGATGGGATTACCATCAGAGTGAGACACTGCAGAAGGAAAGCTGGTAAACTTGAAGCAACAGAAATGGCAAATCCCTAAAATGAAAAACAGAAAAAGTCCTTGGGGGAGAAAAGAAGAGCATCAGTTGAGCTAGGGGATGGTACTGTATATACAAGTCATTGGAATTTCAGAAGCAGAGGAAAAAAGGAATAGAAGGGAACTTCGGCCAGGCGCGGTGGCTCACGCCTGTAATCCCAGCACTTTGGGAGGTGGAGGCGGGTGGATCACTTGAGGTCACGAGTTCAAGACCAGCCTGGCCAAATGGTGAAACCCCATCTCTACAGGCATGCTGATGCACACCTGTAGTCCCAGCTACTTGGGAGGCTGAGGCAGGAGAATGGCGTGAACCCAGGAGGCGGAGCTTGCAGTGAGCCGAGATCGCGCCACTGCGCTCCAGCCTGGGCAACAGAGTGAGACTCCGTCTCCAAAAAAAAAAAAAAAAAGTACAATAATAAGAAAACCCAATAAAATGATGAGAAGAGACTTGAAGCCTTCACAGAAGGTGTGTAAATGGATAATAAGCACATGAGAAGGAGCTGCACATCACTACTCATCCAGAAAATGTGAATTTAAACCTCAGCAAGGTACTGTTCACCCCCTAGGATGGCTACAGTTCGAAAGAATGATCAAATGTTGGTGGGGATGAGGAAAACGCTAGAACACTGCGGCTGAATAAGTGATTAGCTGGTCACTTTAAAGTGACTACACGCTGTCTCTAAAATTAAAAAATAAGCGACTAAAAAATGGAACACCATTTTCTTTTTTTGTGAAAATCCCTGAAAAAGAAATCGTGGTTATTCAGACTCGGGTACATGCAGACATTTCTTCACAAATAAAGTAAGTCTGTCGCTTTCCTGCGACACTGCTAGTAACAGCCAGTAACAGCGTGAGACTGTTACTTTTTGCTACCGACAGATTTTTTTTTTCTTTTGAGACAGGGTCTCGCTCTGTCACCCAGGCTGGAGTGCAGTGGCGCCATCAGATCTCACTGCAGCCTCAACCTCCTGGGCTCAAGGGATCCTCCCACCTCAGCCTCCCAAGCAGCTGGGACCCCAGGTGTGAGCCACCATGCCTGGCTAATTTTTCCCCTTTTTGTAGAGATGGGGTTTCACCATGTCGCCCAGGCTGCTCTTGAACTCCTGGGCTCAAGTCATTCTCCTGCCTCAGCCTCCCAAAGTGCTGGGATTACAGGAGTGAGCCGCCACACACAGCCTCAGTTTGAGCCGTTAAGCCTTCGTTTCAGGAGCCTTGTGTGGCGGGATGCTGCTAGTGAGCAGCACTCAGGCCTCACCGTCTGGTATTCCTCCTTCCGCACGTAGTGCTCCACCAGGAAGCCATAGACGTCCCCGATGCGGATGGTGCTGTCCAGGTCTGGTTCCTCCAGGAGCAGCTCACACTGCTTGATGGACTCCTTGGGGTCCTCTGTGTACGTCCTGCCGAGAGCAGAGATGAGGCCTGGGCCCCGAAGCCCTGAACACCTACTGCTATCAGAGGTCAGAGGAGACTCTTGGCCTGTAAGAGGAGCTCTCCGGAATGGCAGGAGGAAACTTTCTATGAAGTTAAATTCATTAATTCCTTAATTTGTTCATTCATAAATTAACTCATCCATGTAACATTCTTACTGATCACTTGAATGCTGGGTCCTATGCTTGGACTGAAGACCAAAGACTTCCGACCCCTAGTTCCTGCTCTATGGAACAGTCCAGAGGGGGCTAGAAACCTCTGCACAAAGCGTGACCCAGAGGGGATGTGGTGCATGTGGACAGGGTACACGGAGAGGCGCACGGCACCCCTTGCCCAAGGCCGCTGGGAAGAACCCTCCAAGCAGAGAGGCTGCCCGCACACAGGCTGCGTGTGTGACCTGGCGTGAGGGTCTGTGGCAGAGCAGGGTGTGTGGCCTGTGAGCTGGGGTGACACCAGGGAGGTGAGCCTGCTGGAACACAACATGGTCCAGGGCAGGTGACTGGAGCCGTGTGGAGCTCAGGCTCCCATGTCAGGAGGGTCCAGGGCCCATCTGGCCACCCACTGACTCGGCCATTCCAGACAGGCGCCTGGCCTGCCCTCTGACCCCTGGCCCATAGAAGGTTGCCCACCCTGGCCCTCACACGTCGTCTCCCCTCCACCCACGTCCTGTGCTATCCCTGATGACCAGCTGCTATCGATTCTCCTCCGCTCCTGCCCTGTGGCCTCAGCTCAGCAGACATCTGTGAGACGCTGATACCCCAGAATCGACACGTGCAGGTGGACCGTGCCCTTCCAAGGGGCACCGCTTTGTACGACCTTGTTCAAAGGACTTCTGGAACTCTTGTTTTGGAAAAGGTTCTCCGATAAGGAAAACAGCCCTGCCAGCTGAGACAGAAGCTGGGCCCTGAAGCGCACAGGCGAGTGCCCACCGTGGTGGCCACACAGCAGCTCTCTGAAAAGCTGAGTCACCTGCCCATAATAAAGATGGGGAGGTGTTCAAATAAACTTAGCATCTTGGCCTCTCCTGAAAACCGAGACCATCGGCTGGCTGCCTGGGTCTCCTCTCCACAAGCTTGGAGCTGGTGGCAGTTGACCTGTGGAGAGGCATGAGCCCTCTGGTCACCATGGTCCCCCAACCCCAGGTCACACAGCGGCACTCACTCAGGACTCCCCTGCCCGGCCCCTGCACACCCTCAGCAGGTCTGTGGCTCCCCAGACACACCCTCTCCTGCTCCACATCTGCCTCCTCCTCCCACTCCCCCACCAGGTTTCTCTCTCAGCGTCTCTGGTGTTTCCAGAACACCTTCCCAAGGCTGTGCCCGGGCTCTGAGGGCTCCCAGGAGGAGGTGGGGTGTGTCTTCAGCAGTAGTGCTGTCCCAAGTGAGCTCCCATCTGCTGTCCTGCCCTTTTGCTGGCTGGGGTTTCTCGTGGTCAGCCCCGGCCCTGTAGTCACATCTGCCCTGGCCTGTCCCCGCTGGCCCCGGGGGCACACCTGCGGGCCTGGATGAACCTCTTCACCAGTGCCATCCTGCTCTGCAGCTGCGCCAGCCTGGTCTCCTGGTCCAGGGGGCTCTTGGCCTTGGCCTTGGCCAGGCACTTGTAGGCCTCGGTCAGCGCCCCGTGGGCTTTGTCGTAGTTCTGGTATTCATCAATCTCCACCTGTACAGATGAAACCCGTCAAGACCTGCCGGGCTCCACAGCCCTCCCCGGGGCCCCGCTGGCATGCCAGGGAGGGCCTGCACCTGGGCACAAGCGTCATAAAAGCCAGCCAGGAGGTCCAGGGCCCGCCCCTTGGTGTAGAAGCCGATGATGTTCTTCATGATCTCCGGCTCCTTCCGCCAGTCCAGGGACTGCAGGTAGTTAGCAGCCATGATGTAGATTTCCTTCTGCCTGGACACGCTCGCGAAGAACGTGATTTTCTCCGTGTCTCCGGATTTGAGCAGCGCCCTCATGGCCTAGGCAGAGAGACAGCGGGGCTCAGGCAAGCAGGGGCTGGGCCGGGACAAGCACAAGGGACCCCGAGCAGGAGCTCTCACAAGAAGAGTGGCTCAGGGCTGCCCGGTAGAGAGAGATCTTAGTGGTTGTGCTCTTCCTGGCCAGAAAGGCTCAGCCCTAGCTTGGGGTCATCACGAAGGCAAATGGAGATGCGTGCAGGGGGCCCGCAGCCTAACTGCCTGTGAGGTAGCCGCGGGCTGGGGCCGGGAGAGGCTCACCTTCAGCTTGTTGCCGGCCTGCGTGTACTTCTTGGTGGCCAGGTGGTAGCTGCCCTGGCGCATGCAGCAGTCTGCTATCTGCTCCAGCAGCTCCCGCCGCGACTCCTCAGGCAGGTCCGAGGAGTCCTTGGCCACGGTCATCTTTTCCGCCATCTCCTCGGTGATGCTCATGTTCTGCCCCAGGCACAGCTGCAGGGCTTCCTGATACTGCAAAGGTGCAGAAATGGGACGGGGCTGCCGAGGGGGCCGGGAACTGAAGTGCGCCCCTCATCTGCCACCGCTTCAGAGGAAACCAGGCCCCTCGGCTCAGCGGCGGCTTCTGTCTAGCTGGGGTGGGTATGGAGGGGACAAGGATGTCTCCCCTGCCTCACCAACCTACAATCATTCACGTTACTTTCTCACGCTGTTAACATTCCAGAATGGAACGAAGGAAACAATAGTCTCAAGTGATATATGCTCAAGAGAATATTACGTTTGGGAGAAAAGGAAATTGGTAATTTTCTTCTATAATTCTGAATTTTTAAAGTTAAATTTTTGAGACAGGGTCTCACTCTGTCCCCCAGGCTGGAGTGCAGTGGTGCAGTCACGGCAGCCTCCACCTCCCCAGGGTCAGGTGATCTTCCTACCTCAGTTTTTGTATTTTCAGTAGAGACGGGGTTTTGCAATGTTGCCCAGGCTGGTCTTGAACTCCTGGGCTCAAGCAATCCGCCTGCCTTAGCCTCCCAAAGTGCTGGGATTGCAGGCACAAGCCACCGTGCCGGCCTGATTTTCCTAACATTTTAAGAAATATATATATTTTTTTCTGAGGTGGGGTTTTGCTCTTATTGCCCAGGCTGGAGTGCAGTGGCACAATCTTGGCTCACTGCAACCTCCACCTCCCGGGTTCAAGCCATTCTCCTGCCTCAGCCTACCAAGTAGCTGGGATTACAGGCGCCCGCCACCATGCCCGGCTAATTTTGTAATTTTTTTTAGTAGAGACAGGGTTTCTCCCTGTTGGTCAGGCTGGGCTCAAACTCCTGACCTCAGGTGATCCACCCACCTCGGCCTCCCAAAGTGCTGGGATTACAGGCGTGAGCCACCACACCCAGCCCTCATTTTAAGAAAAATTTTACATTCTTCACTTGAGAATATGTCTTAGGCCGGGCATGTTGGCTCATGCCTGTAATTCCAGCACTTTGGGAGGCCAAGGTGAGAGGATCACTTGGGCCTAGGAGTTTGAGACCAGCCTGGGCAACACAGTCAGACCCCCATCTCCACAAGAAAAAAAAACAGTAATAACCCACAAATATATATGAAGTAATAACACATTTATATTTAAAAAAAAAAAAAAAAAGAATATGGCTGAGCATGGTGGCTCACACCTGTAATCCCAGCACTTTGGGAGGCCGAGGTAGGTAAATCACCTGAGGTCAGGAGTTCGAGACCAGCCTGACCAACATGGAGAAACCCCGTCTCTACTAAAAATACAAAATTAGGCTGGATGCCATGGCTCATGCCTGTAATCTCAAGCACTTTGGGAGGCTGAGGAGGGTGGATCATGAGATCAGGAGATCGAGACCATCCTGGCCAACATGGTGAAACCTCGTCTCTACTAAACACAGAAAATTAACACAGGTGTGGTGGTGGGCGCCTGTAGTCCCAGCTACTCGGGAGGCTGAGGCAGGGGAATTGCTTGAACCCGGGAGGCTGAGGTTGCAGTAAGCCAAGATTGTGCCACTGGACTGCAGTCTGGGTGACAGAGAGAGACTCTGTCTCAAAATAAAAATAAAAATAAAAATACAAAATTAGCCGGGCGTGGTGGTGCATGCCTGTAATCCCAGCTACTGGGGAATCTGAGGCAGGAGAATCACTTGAACCCGGGAGGTGGAGGTTGCGGTGAGCTGAGATCGCCCCATTGCACTATAGCCTGGGCAACAAGAGTGAAACTCCATTTCAAAAAACAAAAAGAGAATATGTCGGCCAAGCATGGTGGCTCACGCCTGTAATCCCAGCAATTTGGGGGGCCGAGGCAGGCAGATCACGAGGTCAAGAGATCGAGACCATCCTGGCCAACGTGGTGGAACCCCATCTCTACTAAAATACAAAAATTAGCTGGGTGTGGTGGCAGGCACCTGTAGTCCCTGCTACTTGGGAGGCTGAAGCAGGAGAATCGCCTGAACCCAGGAAGTGGAGCTTGCAGTGAGCCGAGATTGCGCCACTGCACTCCAGCCTTTCCACCCTTAGTAGCCCAGTAAAAAATGGCATCTCCGTGAATTTTGATATGTATTTCTATCATGAATAAAGCTAAGCATTTTATATTTGGGAACCACCCATATTTCCATTTGAATAAACTGTTCCTGGCCAGTCACAGGGCTCACATCTACAGTCCCAGTGCTTTGGGAGGCTGAGGCAGGAGGATTGCTTGAGCCCAGGAGTTCAAGACCAGCCTGGGCAACACAGCAAGACCCTGAGTCTATGAAAAAAAATTTAAAAAATTAGCTGGGGATGGTGGCACACTCCTGTATTCCCGGCTACTCAGGAGGAAGGAGGATTGCTTGAGCCTGGGAAGTTGAGGCTGCAGTGAACCAAGATGGCACCACCACAGTCCAGCCTGGGCAACAGAGCGAGACCCTGTCTCAAAAAAAAAAAAAAAAAGGCTAAGATGGTAAATTTTGTGTTCTGTGTGTTTTTACCCCCCACCATAGGTGAGTGCACCATTCCCTGTGTATGATCAGATGCCAGCGTGAAGGATGGCGAGTCTACACTTGCGGACCTCCTGGGTGTGCCGTATGTGAAACCTAGGGCAGGGGGCACCCACCGCAGCCTTCCTGGAGAACTCATAACCAAGCAAGCAGCCATTCCCACAGCCTCTGGGGACAGGAGACCTGAGCCGTGGTGCCTGCGTGGAGCCGAGCCCAGGCCCCGCTGGCCCCGTACCTTCCTGGCAGCCAGCAGCAGCTCTACCGCCCTCTCGTACTGACTGTGCTCGATGAAGAAGTCGGAGCAGCGGGCCAGGAGCGCAGGGTCTGACGTCTCATCCAGGTCCTCTGCTATGAGCTGTAGGGCCACAAACTGCTGGGTGGCAAAGGCCAGCTCCAGGGCCTTGGAGAAGTGGCCAGCCTGCGGATACGGTGGGCTCTGAGCAGCTGCCCGAGGCCTGGGGGCCCGAGCACGGAGGCCTCGCACAGGCAAGGGCCCCCTGGCTTGCTGCCCCTCCCCCAGGTCCCCACCGGTGGCCAGCCCTCACCTTGTGGTACAGCATGACCGCCCTGTCCATCTGCACGCCCTTCTCCTCGTAGTATCGGGCCGCCTCGATCATGTCCTCGGGGGAGCTCAGCAGGGCCAAGTTCATGAGCTGGTCGTCCAGGCCGTTCTCCTGCAGGGAGGGAGGCAGGGCCCTGAAGCGGCTCCCACTGGCTTCCCCAGGTCCGCTGAGATTCTGGAATGTGGCCGGGTGCGAACCCGCCCCTTCACTTTGACACACTGCTCAGCGATCTCTGCGGTGATGGGTTTTAAGGAGCTGATGACTTACTGGGTTTGTCTACAAGGATTTTCCGATGCTCTGGGTTCTATTTCACAGAGCACTGCAAGAAATACCTGACACGGGAGATGCTTCTGGAAGCGAGAGCCCAGGTTGGGACATTTGTGTGGTGCAGAACGCCCAACAGCTATCTAGGAAGGGTCTGCCGTCTGCAAGGCCATAGGCCGTGAGCAGCCTCACCACCCACTCAGGAGCCCTGGAGCCTGGGAAACATCTGGGGACAATTCAGTGCTTTGCAAACAATGTCAGATGGAAGCGGCCAGGGGTGGGCAGAGGGGTGGGCGGGTGAGGCAGACGGGGTGAGCAGTGAGTGGCAGACACTGGCCGGACCACGTGTCACTGACACGATTCTCTCTGTCCACTTTTCCACTTGAAGCTCTCCTCAGGGGACCTCGAGAAGCGCCGGCTCCCCACCCCGGGCCCGTGGTACCTTGCACAGGCGGATGGCATTCTTGAAGGCCTGTGCCCGGGTGTAGAAGTGCACCGCCTGCCCGACCTCCTCCTGGCTCTCGTACTGGCGGGCGAGGTGGTAGGAGGCCGCCAGGTTTCCTGTCTCGTTGGCTATTTGCGCAGCCTAGAAAGACAAAGAACCCAAAGACGAGACACGGTGGCCTTGTGTCTGCCTCGTGTCCGCCTGGCCGGCTCCCCTGCGGGGACCTTACCTTCTGGACATTGCCCTGGAAGCAGTGGATGCGGACCAGGGAGAAGTGGTCCCGGGCCAGCTCGTAGTAGTGCAGCGCGGCGTCCATCTCGCCCTGGCTCTCCAGGTACTGCGCCCACCACCGCCACAGGGTCCTGCGGGCAGCCCAAGACCATGGATTCTCCACCCGAGCCCCGCTCCAACCCGGGACGGCCCCCACCCCGCCCCTGTGCCACCCTTAGAGTGCATGTCACCTGACCTGCAAACAGGCTGGGCCAAGAGTGAGGACCCCTGGCTTTGTCCAAAGGGAGGGCCTGGCTCAGGGCCCTGGCATGGCTCTGAGGAGCCGGGAGGACGCTGCCCACTCGTGCAGGAAGCACGGGAAAGGGAGCCGTCTCAGCAAGCCCTGGGGTCCCTGCAAACCTCCAGGATGGAGTGCGGTCCCACCAGCCCTGGTGGGGACACTCACTTATCCTTCATTTTATTCACGTAGAGCTCCAGGGACGGCAGGTCCTCCGACAGCATCCTGGGCACCTCGAAGCGGTGCGTGTCCGACTTCTCGTAGCTGTGAGAGAAGGAGACAGAGGTCCTCGTTCCCTCCCATCCCAGCCCCACGGGAACCGGGTGGGCTGAGGGGCAGCGTCGGTGAAACGCATCAGAGCGGTGGCCCTCGGGGTGTGTGCTCCTGGCCTGCAGCTCTGCAGACCCTGAGCACACGTGGCCAGGGGGCAGTGGGGGCTTCCTGCACTGTGGGGGCCCGGGAGGCGGGTCGCCCATCCACACCCCGGGAACGGGTCTAAGAGCAGCTCCTCCTCTGGAGAGGGTGACATGGGGTTTGTCTGTCCTCAGGAGACATCAGGCCCATCTGTGCTCGGCAACTGACACCACCAATGGGACAGACATCTTTCTGTCTCCTGCCTGGGAAGCTGGGTGGCCCAGGATGGAAGGGGCAACCCCACATCTCCGAGACTCCCAGAAGCTTCCTGCCGAGAAGGCTGCCACCACCCTGAGACAGACGCCTCCTCTAAGAACCTCCCTGGCCACCTCACCACAGCACACACAAGAGGCCTCACAAGCCAGGGCCATCCAGAGAGGCAGGGAAGAGGCCGCGAGGGCCGCACTCACTAACTGAGGGCCCGGCTGCAGTCGGCGCTGGCCTCCAGGTGCCCGGCATAGCGGTGGTAGGTGCTGCGCAGGTGCACGCGATCGTGGTGCTCGGCTACCTGGAGGGCCTCCTGCCACCGGCCCGCAGCCTGGTAGAACTTGTTCAGGAGGTCGTGGCGCTTGCACTTCCTGTACAGCTGCTCGGCGTCCTCCTGAGGAATGAGGATGGGCAGGTGTCGTGCAGCCTCCACACACCCACGTCTCAAACACACTGTTCCACGCCAGGCCACCGGTCACCGCACCTTCCCACACCGCCAAGCACACTGACACACGGGGCCGCTGTGGGCACAGCAAACGCCACACACCCACGGGGCATCCCCGTCCCACGGCTGGAGAGTGAGATGCACCACCAAGGGGTACCCCACCTCCCACAGCCCCCCTCCCACAGCCCCCCCTCCCACAGCCTCCCCAGAAGTCCCGTGCTCAGCCCTGCTGACCTGGGGGTCTCTCGGGCGCTCTGTTCCAGGCCCACACACCTGACAGGCACACACCCTGGAGAGCCGGCGGTCGCCTAGCCTCCACCCACCTCACCTCCACCGCCGCTGTCTGCCCAGCTCTCCTGGGTCATGCCTCTCGGCTCTGCCCACATCAGTGCAGGCTCAGGCCGGTGGGCGTGCCTCCTCCTTCCCCAGGGGGCCGTGGCTGTGGCAGGCGTGGTGCCTTCCCACCCACCCCATGGCGGGCGCCCCTCACCAGCATGCCCAGCTGCGTGGCCAGCACGGCCACGCGGGCCTCTAGCTCCGGCTCCTGCTCCGCCTCACGCAGCGCTCGGGCCCCGCGGGCATGGCCCATGTTCCCCAGGCACACCTTGGCCACGTCCAGCCGCTGGGTCTTCACGCACATGCGCGCCATGTTCTCCCAGACGGCCTCACTGTGGGCAGACGGGGGTCTGTGAGGCTCCTGCCCAGCACCTCAGGGCCCCCTGGCCCTACGGCCCCTTCTCCTGGGGCAAGTAGTCATCAGGCACAGCTGCCAAACGGGCATGAGGAGGGGCCTTCACCCATCGGCTCCGCCCCTGGGCAAGACTGCAGGCCATGCAGAGAGGTGCCCGTCACGAGTCCCACGGCCTTCCTAACCCCAAGAGGCAGGGGCCGGGTCCCATTAAAAGACAGAAGGATCTCTTATGCAGATCACCAGGCTCCTCCTCCTTTTTCCCTGCTCTAAGCGGCTGTCTGATCAGGAAATGTGGGCTTCCTGTGTTGCTTGCACACACAGGACCTGCTCTGAGACAAAGCCTCCTGCTCTCACCTGAGCCTGAGATTGCAGGGCCCCTGGTAAACCAGCCCTGCACAGCAGGGACCCTCACCCGACAGTCTGGCAGCCAAAGGGTGGAGCCTGGGGGACGGGGTACAGGGCCCAGACCCTGACCCAGCCCTGGAACCTGGAGACAGGCCTGTCTCCCCAGGAGACGGTGACCCAGCCCACGCAGGGTTCTGCAGAGCCCTGGAGGTCTGCCGAGCAGAGGGCCCTGGAGGCAGGCCTGCAGACGGGCTGACCAGTGGGTCACGGGGGACAGCACCTTCCACCCCAGCCCTGTGCCCCACTCTCGGGCAGTGAATTTTGTGTGTGTGAAGGAACAGGGTGCCAAGTGGGCAGAGCTGCGTCAGGGCACAGGTGCAGGGACGGTGGAAGTCACCCTGCCTCTTAGGGTTTTTTTGTTGTGTAAGACAGGGTCTCCCTCTGTTGCCTAGGCTGGAGTGCAGTGGCACAATCACAGCTCATTCCAGCCTCGACCTCCTGAGTTCAAGTGATCCTCCCACCTCAGCCTCCCAAATAGCTGGGACCACAGGTGTGTGCTACCACACCCAGCTAAGTTTTTGTATTTTTTGTAGAGACAGGGTTTCGCCATGTTACCCAGGCTGGTCTCGAACTTCTGAGCTCAAGTGATCCACCTGCCTTGGCCTCCCACACTGCTGGGATGACAGGCATGGGCCACCGCGCCCAGCCCCCCGCCTCTCCATGAGGTTTCCTGCATTCTTCCCCTGCTGGCGCTGATCCAGGCAGGACCAGAAATGACTGAGGACTTGGTTTGTGTCAGCTCCAGGGTAGGCAAAGGCTGCTGACAGCCACTCTAGGGACATGACGCTGCATGAGAACCGTGTGTCCGCATGTGTGTGGGGGCACTCAGCCAGGCCTCCTGGTGGGGCTGGGCGGGAGGTGGGTCCAAGGCCATCCAGGGAGATCCCGCCCCAAGGGCCTTGGGGCCGGGCTGGCCTGCGGCTTCAGCCCTGACGTGGGCTCAGGGCTTCAGACAAAGGCCCTGTTCCAAGACACAGCTCAGTGTGGTCACCGAGCAGGGACAGGCAGAGGACGCACTGGTCACTTCCTGAATCTCTCTCCTCTGCCACACGCGCCTCCCCTACAAGCCCCACCAAAGCCACACACACACGCACGCATGCACGCACGTGTGCACACACACGCATGCACGCACGTGTGCACACACACGCATGCACGCACGTGTGCACACACACGGATGCACACACATGGACGCACATGCACACACAGATGCACACACACATTCACATGCATGCACACACACATGGATGCACACACAAGCACATGCACTCACATACACACACATGCAGGCACACACACAGGCACACACAAGCACATGCACGCACATGCACACACACGCACACACATGCACGCACGTACTCCCACAAGCACAGGCAGCACACCCTGCAAGTGGCCTCGGAGCATCCCCACCCAGGGCCACCCTCGCATTCCAGGCTGCTCCCTGCAGATAAGCCTCAGTCCAGCCCACAGTCTTAGCAGGGCAGCAGCCCTGCAGCCTCCCCGCTGGCACGGTCACAGGCCGCTCTGAGGACTGGAGGGACCAGCCGCCCACAGAGCCCCGAGCCCGTGGTCCCGGTGAGTGAGCGGAGCTGTGCTGCGTGCAGCTGGGCGTTTTCCTAACGGCCCTGCCCCTGTGAGAAGGAGGGGCTCGGGAGGACAGCCAGGGAGCCCAGTCCCACGGTGGTACCTCCATCTCCGGGAGGTGTGGGCTGCCCACATCTCAGCTTCCCTGGCTCCCACAGAATCACAGGGCAATGGCTCCGAGATGGTAGCCCCGGGCAGGCTCGGTGCACTTGTGTCTGAGTCTAGGGGCTGGACGCAGGTTCCTGGGATGGGCCCTGCGGTGGTGTCTGTGGCTGCAACGCGGCATACCCAGGTGCCCGCTCCCGAAAGCCAGCAGGTACTTTGTGCCTGGTTTTACATGTACTCGGGTGAATTCCACGGACGCATTCCACCACCCAGGGACGCAGGGCGGGCAGGTGCATGTGTCTTAGCAGCAACCAACCTGGCAGCCCCTGCCATGTGGCACAGTCATGCCTGGAGCCAGGAGAGGGTGTGTCCAAACCCACGGGCCAGGCCCTCGTGGGGGTGCCAAGCGTCTGGGGGGCCGGGAAGTGAGCCTGCCTCCCTGCCACTGCCATTGCATGCGTGTCCTCTGATGGCCTCACATGGGGCTCCTCACAGCACCTGGGTGCACCCACTGGCAGCTTCCTGGACGCTCAGTCGGCGCTGCGGTGAAGGTGACACCGGGTGCATGGGACCCCAGGGAGGTGCCCCAGGCGCAGCGTCCTGATCTCCGATTCGCGCTCCTCAGTCTTTTGGGTTCGGAACTCTTGCCACCAACTCAGCACAGGGAGAGGCCTGAGCACCCGGCCCACCAGCCCCTCAGGCTGTGCTGCCCTCGGTCCTCTAGAGCTCCAGGCAGGAAGTCACATCTTTACAATGAAACTTCTTTCTAACAGCAGAAAACCAAGGCTTGTCTTTCTCCTTTATGCTGAGGTCCTGGGTAAAAATCCACGTGGAAGGACCCATGCGTGTAAAACTAGTTTATAAACGGCTCAGACACAGCTGCCCCGTGCTGAGACACGCCTCAAGACTGGGGGTCCAGGGCTCCCCAGAACGCTGCTGGGCCTCATCCGTCAGCAAATGATGCACGTGGAGTGCAGTGCAGGGGTCACATCTGAATCTCAAAAGAAACACTGTGTCCTCACTGCACAGCTTCCAGTCAGTTCTACAGATCGGATGGAAGGGATGCCACGGCTCCTCACAGACGTCTCACTTCTCTAACATCTGGGTGGTGGCAGCACTGGGGCCTCAGTGCGTGAGGCGTGATGGCCGCTTCGTAAACACCACGTTGTAAGACATGCAGTCTTTTTTACTCTCCTGTCCCAAAAGACTTCACGACGGGAATCTTTTTTTTTTTTTTTTTTTTTTTTGAGACAGAGTCTCACTCTGTCACCAGGCTGGAGTGTGGTGGCACGATCTTGGCTCACTGCAACCTCTGCCTCCCGAGTGATTCTCCTGCCTCAGCCTCCCGAGTAGTTGGGACTACAGGCATGCGCCACCACACCCAGCTAATTTTTGTATTTGTAGTAGAGATGGGGTTTCATCATGTTGGCCAGGATGGTCTCGATCTCTTGACCTTGTGATCTGCTCGCCTCGGTCTCCCAAAGTGCTTGGATTACAGGTGTGAGCCACTGCGCCCGGCCCACAACTGGAATCTTTAAAAAATCTCCCGATTGTGCACACCCTCTCCCGAGGCCCAGGTGTGGGGCTGGACAGGGCTGGGACCTGCCTCTACCTGCCCCGCGTGGCTCCTTTCCTCTCCCTTGTCCTGAAAACAACTGGTTCCTTCCGTCCACATCCAATTGCGGTGGAAAATCACAAACAAGCACAGGAATGTGGCAGCTGACTTGGGTCCCAGACGGGCTCCCCTGTGCTCTGAACGCCCCGTCTCTCCCACGCGGAGGCCACCCGTGGGGAGCGGGAGAGAGCCCGCCCGTGGGGAGCGGGAGAGAGCCCGCAGGCCGGCCCTGGTTTTGCTCTGGTTCCTGGGGCCCATGTGTGACCGAGGACCCAGCCAGCACACCGTCAGATGCCCGCACTTCCATGTGCCCTGTCCTGGGCATTAAGTCTGCACCATGCGGGCCTTGGAGAAGCATGTGCTGTATGTGCGGCCACCAGTGGAGGCTGGACACGCCCTCCTACAGGCCCCTGCCTGCCAGGCCGAGGCTGCTGGGAGAACCCACGGGAAGGGCGGTCACAGACCCGCCAGAAGCGTCCAGACCCAGGCGCTCTCTGCAAGCTCCTTCCACAGCCAGCCTCCTGCTCGAGGGCACCAGCCCCGCGTGATTCCCACATCCTCTCCGCGACGGCCGGCCAGGGCTCTCGGGACAGCCTCCACTCCGGTGTGGGGTTCTGGGGTTTGTGCATCTGACATAAATTCCAAGAAGTAAACACCCTCTTAGTTCCCATCCAAGTCTTGAGAATTTCCTGTTGTCCCGGCCAGTCTGTGGAGTCACCCACATCTGCACTTCATCAGCCCCGAGGCACTGGAACAAGAAGCAGATGGGCGGCAGGGGACGCAGCCTTCAAAGGTCCTGCAGAAGCTCTGCCGAGACCACTCTGTGTCAGGATGAGGGTGGCTGGCGAACAGCGGCTTGACGATCATGCTTGCCGAGGCCGCCCCCTCCCTCCGTGTCCCTGTTCTGTGCTAGGGCTCCCGCTCTGCTGGGTATATGGGAGCCGCAGGCACATATGTGGGAGGGGGCAGTGGGACTCCACCGTGACCAAGACCCCAAGCAACAGGGAGAGCAGGAGGGTGTGATGCACTGTGGGGGAAGCCCACCGCCCAGCTGCGAGTCCCCTTACTGGGAGTCACCCCCCGAGAGCCACAGATCCTCCCAGGAGGGTCGCTCTTAACTTACATGCTGCTCCCAGGCCTTCCGCCCTCCCGCGCCCAGCCTGCCATAGCGCGCAGGGTTAGAAGCGGCGTGACAGCTGAGGGCACAGGGACCTGGAGCACCCCAGAAGTGCCAGGAGAGTGGAGGCCGATGCTGGCCTCTGCGAACCAGGACTTCTGGGGGTGCTGCCGCTGTGTAGGAGTCTGGCCGTGGCCTCCTCCCCACTCAACCTGAGGAAAGGACCAGAGCGGGCCGCTGAGACAATCAAACGTGTCCTCTGGGCTCTGAAACCCAGCATTGGCTTTTTGTTGGAAGTTAGCCATTTGAAGACTCCCGAAAGATTAATGGTTTAGTTAATTAAGGAGGAAATAAATTCTTCCCCCATGGAAACTTTTGGGAGACTTCCCTTTCAAGGCCCCCTTCTGCACCGTGTGCTTAGGAACACTGAGTGTTTGAGACACTGCACCCCCGTCCACCTCCGAGGAGCAGGGCACAGGCAGGAAGGGCTGGGGACATCCCCCCAGGGCCTTCCGAGCCACCCGGGAGAGTGGGGGCCGGCAGCACCACTGTGCCCCGCACGCCCCGTCAGGTTCCGGGGGCTGAGAACAGAAATAGAAACAGCAGCTTTTCCCTGGGCACAAGCCAAGGAAGAGGGGAAAGGAGAAACCTGACGGACACGTCTGCGACAAATCCCCGGGGAAAATCCCCCCCAGGCACGTCCCTCAGGAAGCCAGTGGAGAAACGCTTCTCAGGACCCAGCACGCACCACGGGCTGGTGAGGACGGAGCTGCTGCCTTTCTGGAACAGACACAGGGCGTGTGTGGGGAACCTTGCTTCACCTGTGGATATACAGAGCCACATGCCAACGTGTGAATGGAGACTGGTCCCAGGAAGTGGCAGCTCTCGGGACCGCCCTGAGCCAGGGCCCAAGCACGGGCAGTGCAAGGACAGGAAACGGTCAAAGCTCTGCTGTTACCACAGGCTGGGAACAGGACTCTCTGTCCCAGCACTGTCTTGGGCGTGTGCCCATGAACAGTTTGCACGGATGTGGGACACCTGCATTCACGAAGCTTTGGAGCCTGGGTAGGCTGGGAATCCCATGCTGGGTTTCGGGTCTCTGGAGATGGGACAGAGTAGGAGACCCTCTCGTGGTGTCTGCCCAGCTGGGCAGAATAATTCTGAGCAGAATAGACGAAGATGCTTCTGAGCTCCCTGGCAGCATAAGCTCTGCCCGAGAGCCTGACCACTCACAAGGTGACCTGCCTAGTCCTGTCCCCAGCTGTGGGGGGTGACCGTTCCCATCAATAGCAGAGGTGGCCCAGGCCCCACGTGACATTCGCTCTGTCCCAGGCCCCGCTGAGAGCCCCACCCAGCACATCCAGAATCTTACCCTTCTTGCCACCTAAGAATGACCTGGCCTCGAGGTCCTCCAAGTACAGGTCCCTGGCCCCGAGGTCCTCCAAGTACAGGTCCCTGGCCCCAAGGCCCTCCAAGTACAGGTCCCTGGCCCCGAGGTCCTCCAAGTACAGGTCCCTGGCCCTGCAGGTCTGGGTGAACTTGCTCCCTCCAGGCACACGGGTCTCTCCCCTTCCCAGCAATCCTGTGATATCTGCCCCCCTTTTGAGGGCAGCATTCCCGTGGCGGGGGCAGGCCTGGAACACACGGGCGGGGGGAGGCTTGTGGTTCCTATGGTCCTGGGGGTACCTATGGTCCTGGGGGCAACTGGATGGCTGGGGGGTGTGAAGTCCCCAGGGCAGGCAATAGTCGCTCAGTACCAGCCTCCAGGCCCCGGGGGCCACCAGGCTTAAAAGCAACAGGCGAGACGAGGGATCTGTCCCGCACCCGGCATCCCTGGCCTCTCCTCTGGGACAGGAAGATGGGGAGGGGCGGCAGGAGGTGGGCCTGGAGCAGGGCCTCAGAAGTCTCCTGGCCTTTCCCATCAGGAAGCACATCCTGTTGGTGTCTGGCTGCCGCGGCAGGGCCGCTATTTGTTGCGGTTGGCTACGCCTTCCAGCTCACCAAAAACAGTCTCAAAAACAACCATTTCCTCTCTGCTGAGAGCCAGGGAAGGCGAGCTCTGCGCACACGGGCGTCCCTGCAGCAGCCACTCTGCTTTCCAGGACCGGCCAACTGCCCTGGAGGCATCCACACAGGGGCCCAGGCAGCACAGAGGAGCTGTGAACCCGCTCCACACCGGCCACCCTGCCCGGAGCCTGGCACTCACAGCAGGCCGGTGCTAAGGAGTGTGGCGCGGGCTCGACTCCCACTGCTGCCGGCCTCCCGAGTGACTCTGTTTTCCACTGCTGCAGGCGAGAAGAGGCACGCGCGGCACAGGCCGGCCTCCGCTTCCCGGGAAGACGGCGCACTCCTGGCCCTGGGTTCTTGCTGCTGCCCACCCTCTGCTCCCTGGGATGGGCCCCGAGGCGAGCAGCTTCAGCACAGGCCTGGCCCTGCTCCAGGTGCAGGAAGGAGGATAAGGCCGGGCCGAGAGGCGGCACACCTGGACCATCCCATGGGCCTCCGCCCGCGCCGCCCCGAGGATGAGTGGTGATGTCCTCTAGCCACCCCTAGCAGCGTCGGCTCTCCCTGGACGTGCGGCCGCGGACTGGGACTTGGCTTTCTCCGGATAAGCGGCGGCACCGGCGTCAGCGATGACCGTGCAGAGACTCGTGGCCGCGGCCGTGCTGGTGGCCCTGGTCTCACTCATCCTCAACAACGTGGCGGCCTTCACCTCCAACTGGGTGTGCCAGACGCTGGAGGATGGGCGCAGGCGCAGCGTGGGGCTGTGGAGGTCCTGCTGGCTGGTGGACAGGACCCGGGGAGGGCCGAGCCCTGGGGCCAGAGCCGGCCAGGTGGACGCACATGACTGTGAGGCGCTGGGCTGGGGCTCCGAGGCAGCCGGCTTCCAGGAGTCCCGAGGCACCGTCAAACGTAAGTCCAATTGTTTTCCTGATGCCTTCAGCGTGGCCGAGGCTCGAGGGCACATGGGAGATGTTAGGCGCGGACCTGGTGAGCGGGTGGGGAGGCCTGGCCCCTGCTCTGCCCTGAGCGTGGCCTCTGGGCAGGCAGGAGGGGGCACTGTGTCTCCCAGGGAACCAGGCCCCAAGGCCCCCTCTCCCTGGTGAGTGGTGGCCCCACACACTCCTCCTGCTCAGCACAGAATCTGCCTCCAGCTCTTTTACACAGGAATTCATCTCAGGCATTTGGGGGGCCTCTCTGCCGTTACACATAGTTAAGAGATGGGTACATTAATCAAATCAAGGAAAGGCATTTTTCCTTGGTTGAAAATAATTATTACGGCTGGGCGCAGTGGTTCACGTCTGTAATCCTAGCGCTTTGGGAGGCTGAGGCGGGAGGACTGCTTGAGGCCAAGAGTTCAAGACGAACCTAGCCTACATAGCGAGAGACCCTGTCTCTGAACATAAAAAAAAAATGAAAATGCTCTTTCTTTACTCATGAGTAAAATAAACAAGAAGTTTAAAAATACACGGGTGAGTTCTGGCTTTGTTCTCACGGTTGTTGGGGTCTTTGAGGCAGAGAGCAGCAGCAGGATCCCCAGGGATGAGCTTCAGATGGGACGCTGGAAAGGAGACAGGGAGGCCAGGACGCTCGGAAGGGGACAGGGATGCTCAGTGGTTGCAGAGGAGAGGAAGGGGCTCAGAATGATGCCACCGCACCGTGGGGTTTGAGTGGCAGGTGTGAGGCTGCATAAATAGGAAGGCGCTTACAGCCCATGGGGTCATCTCAACAGTCACGGCACAGGGACACAAGGTCTCCCAAAGGCCGACTCTCTGAAACTGTCAGCAAGGTTTTGACTCGCAGACACCCCAAGTCTCTGCTGCAGAGCCTCACAGACTCGGGGTTGGACGCTCCTTCTGCTCTGAAGATAATGCTGGTCTCTGAGGCAGTGCCTCTGCTCCAGGCTTCCGAGGGAGTCCCGGAGTACTGGGGTAACACACATCACGTGTGCCTCAACCACACAGCTCCATCCCCAACCTGCCGCGCTCAGAACCCTCAGCGGGGAATGTCATCCCCACTTCACAGGCAAAGAAACTGAGGCTTTGCAGAAGGCATGTGGCTTGGACAAGGTCCCACGAGGGAATTCAACCCCCTTGTCCACTCAAAGGCCCTCGGCTGCACCGCACAGCCTGGACTGCGCACTTCCTCTCGCATCCTTCACCAGCAGGGACCAACAGCCGTCTTTTAAAAAGATCAAAGCCTATGAATAACTTCAAAGCTTCCACCGGCTCTCAGAACTCGGTGTCTTATGGGAAGCCCGAGGCTTGGGTCTCCGCGTGACTCCGGCCAGGCGCCCTTCTTCCAGACTCTGCCTGCTCTGCTGAAGAAGGAGCCGCAGCCCCGTTACTGTGCTGAACCTCTCGCGGGGGCAGCGGCTTTAGGCCCCTGGAGGTGGGGCCGGGCGCTCATGTGCTTTGGGACCATCACTGGCGTCCAGCCCACAGAGCACCCCCGGGGGAGGGAGTTCCCAGCCGGCCCTTGGCCGCAGCTCTGCACCTCCAGGCCTCCTAACTGCTGCCACCAACACCCACAGGTGGCCCAGGCAGCCCAATCTCAGGGCAGCTGGAAGCCTTGGCGCCCCTCCCTGTTGCTACCTCTTGCGTTCCTCCAGTCACAGGGCCGCGTGTAGCCTCTGGCACGACCTATGCATCCGTCCCAGGCGCCCGGCTGTCCACTTGCTTAGGCCTGCTCACCTCAGGCCAGCAGGACACACGAGGCCCCTCACAGAGCCCCCTGGACTGCCTCCTGCTCACCTGCCTGCGTCCACTGCTCCTCCCTGAGCCCTGGTCAGCCCCTTGGACAATATTTACAACATCCTCCTGCAACTTGTATGGCATCTGCAGGTGGCTGACCCTCAGTGAACCTGAGCAGCGAAGGTTTGTCCACACAAGGGAAGCGTCACGGAAGCTCCTTGTAAACGGGACTCAGCTCAGGAAAAGGAACAGGCTCAACGGGTAACTTTTCTTTAATTTTAAAATTTATTTTAAGACAGAGTCTTGCTCTGTCACCCAGGCTGGAGTGCAGCCACCACATCCCCCAAGGCCCCAACACGGGGACGCGCCCAGAGTCTCCCTTGGCCGTGCTGGTGTCTTCCTCCTGCCTCTCTCGCCTTCTCCTTCACCGACGTCCATCTGCACTGGTGCCCACCTCTCCAAGCCCACGTGCTGCTCTCCCACGGGGTGGCCCCTCTGTCCACAGCAACATTCGCTGCCCCCACTCACGTGCACCCATGTCCCCAATCGGGTGAGGGGCTGCTACCTGCCACCACTGCACATCAAGCTAGCCTATGAACCTTTCTGCAAAATCCTGCCGTGTGACCTAGGCAGGCCTGGGAGTCAGCCCTGGCTGGGGGCAGCAGCTCTAGCCTGGCCACCCCACTGAGTCCAGCCAGCTCCTAGCGTCTTCCTTCCTGCCTTGGCCAGTGTTCCTTGTAAAATCACCCAGCACGTATGATGGGCTGCGACCGTCTGTGCTGTGAGGCTGGGTGCTGGTTTGCTCACAATTCCATCCCGAGAACCAGTCTAGGGTCGGGGTGGGGCAAGCCAGGGAAGACAACGTCACACCGCGTGCCTCCTCACGCAGGCCAGGGAAGACAACGCCACACCGCGTGCCTCCTCACGCACACCAGGCCACCCTCGGGGTTTCCGGATGTCGCTGAGGCCCGCGTGGATGTCTCCGGACGGCTCTGTGCCCTGAGGCCCTGCCCCATGGGGCACATGGAGTCAAAATCATCCAGCGCTCGTCACTCGCAAACATCACCAGGAGCCTGCCTGAGGGACAGGGGACGCGCCCCGGACATCCTGAACTCTGGTCAGGGCAAAGAGGGCTGGACCCAGGGCAGAGGAGCCCGGTCTCGACTTCATCCAGGTTCAGGCCCTCCCGTGCCCCTGCCAGGGGTGTCCTGTGGCCTGTGGTGAGTGGGACTTTCATTACGGATCAGGGGTGCTCTTTCCCTGTGAGGAGCTCGGGGGACCAGGGAGGCCTGAGGTCCACCTCACATGCCATGTCCAGAGGGGGTCTCAATTTCTCCTCCTCACTTCGTCTCGTTTTGGATATTTACGTCATCTCTCTGTATTTCGTGCGTTCTGTCAGGCATCTGAAACAAGGTGGCTTGGGAACAGATGACCGTGTGATTGAATCTCGAGGCAGGCGAGCCAGAGCCTGGCGCTAGCTGAGGGGGAGCCCCACCCCTCTCTCCGGTGGCTCCACGTGGCTCCGTCACCACGCATGCCCCGCCACACATCAAACGGGCACGTAAGACCCTGCCTGAATACAGGTGGAGGACAGAGCTCCCGGGCTTCACCCCCTGCTCGGCCAGGACCCAGCTGAACCACGTTCTCACCGACACCTTTAAAAGTCAGCTGCTACCACGCACAGCCACGCAGAGCCACGCAGAGCCACGCACACAGGCAGCACCCCAGGAACCCGTATAACACCCAAGCAGTGAACGCCAGCTCCAAACAGCTTTCTTGGGGCAGGCGGGAGCGTGGCTCAGACAGGAAGGCTCGGGCAGGAGTGCCTCCTTCCTGGCAGGGCGGTGGGTCTGTGGGTGCCCTTGTGGTGAGCCATGCACCCTGGGGACTTGGAGGCTGCAGAGTGGCTTGTGGGGCACGGCTGCTGCACAGAGCCCCTGCCATGGTGTGTGGCACAGGGCTGTGTGCCTGGAGCTGCGAGGAAGGAAGGCTGAGAGGCCAGGGCTGAGGGCGAGAGGACAGGTCAGGGGTGCGTCTGCTTATTCCCAGCTCCCAGGAACCTTGGTCACTCACCCTCACCACAACTACACGTGCAGCTGTGCCTGGTGCTCAAGCCCACCTCGGTCATGCCATTCTGGGCTATGCTCCTCCCAGGGCAGCTCTGCATCCCTCCTCCCCCTTCATTCTGGTCTTTCCTCCCCTCCAGGGCAGAGCGCAGAGCCCTGGGCAGGGAATCTGAGCTGCTCCTCTCTCGAACATGACCTTCTGCGTGATGTTTTAATGCCTCCCTCATTTTGCAATGTTTAGAGAAGCAGAGGCTTCTGAATGGAAGTCATTGCCAAGACAGTTAAGAGCAAAGATGGCACAGCACCGTGCCACAGATCCTGCTGGAAGGGGCCTCCAGAGCTCACACACGTCCCTAATGTGTGGACAGGACGCCCTCAAAATGCAGGCCTCACTCCGGTCCCTGCAGGCTGTACGTGGTCACTGCTTGGGGCTGGCTGTGGAGTCCGTTGGAGCAGTCAGGAAGGTCCTGCCAGTCAGCCAGGGCAGTGTCTGCCTCAACCCTGGCTCCTGCTGGTCCCATCTGCACAGGCCCTAGGGCAGGTGAGAAACCCAGGGCAAAAGCGCCCCCTACCTCAGGCCTCACCAAGCTGCACGGTGCCACGCGGCCCCCCACCTCAGGCCTCAGCAAGCTGCACAGTGCCAGATGGCCCCACGCCTCAGGCCTCAGCAAGCTGCACAGTGCCAGATGGCCCCCCACCTCAGGCCTCAGCAAGCTGCAGAGTGCCAGACGGCCCCACGCCTCAGGCCTCACCAAGCTGCACAGTGCCACGCCGCCCCACGCCTTGGGCCTCACCAAGCCACACGGTGCCAACGCCGACCCAAGCCTCAGGACTCACCAAGCCACACGGTGCCAAGCCACCCCACACCTTGGGCCTCACCAAGCCGCACAGTGCCAGTGACGTCCCATGCCTTGGGCCTCAGCAAGCCACATGGTGCAAATGCCGCCCCACGCCTTAGGCCTCAGCAAGTTGCACGGTGCCAGGCTGAGGTCAAGCACATCTCTGCTGTCCTCTGGCATTTCCAGTGCCCTGGGCTCTGCCCCTTCCTCCAAGCACTCTGGCCCCACGGCCACCTATGCCCATGCTGAGCCAGGTCCTCACCTGCTGCCAGGCTTTCCCGCTGTCCGTACGGGAACCCCTTGGCCACCAGGCTGGCTCTCAGCCCCCGCGTCTTCTGTTCCTTCTTTAGAGAGAACCTCGCGGGAGCGCTATGGTTTCTAACTCTGCAGTTACTTTGGAGATGAAGGAACGTGAGCTCTCAGTTACGTGGCAGTGACGCTCACTGGGGTGTCTGTTTTGCTGCGAGAAAAATGAGCGAGGGGCAGCTGCTGCCGCTTCCCATGGCCCTGTCAGTGGTGCCTGCCTGTCTGCGGGCAGGCAGCGTGCTCCGCTCTCCCCCTTGCCAGCGGAAGGCTCATGGTGCCATGTGCTGGCTGCTCAGACTCCTCAGCAGCCCGGGGACCCCGTGCCCCAGGGTCCTTCATGCCTCCACTCTCTGCGCACTGCCCTCACACCCTGGAGGTCTCAGGGCTGGGGGCGCCACCCAGGCCGGAGCGGGCACAGTGGAAAAGCCTGGCATCCAGGAAGGAGAGCTCCCTCCGCCCCGAGTGACAGGAGGGGACGCTGTGGAGGGAAGCAGCTTGAAATACAGTGGGTAGGACGGCGGGGGGACCCTCAGTGGCGAGGAGCAGTGTGCCTCCAGGGATGCTGGGACGCCGAAAGCCTAGACTGAGACGATCCCACACACCACCTCAGCCTGGGGCCGGGGCAGATGTGAGCGCTGGAGCAGCACCCAGCCCAAGGGCCAGGTGGGAAGCAGATGCCTCGGCTCCAGAGCTTTGAGGTTATTCTGTGAATCCAGATTGCATTTCAATAAATGTTGAGGTTGAACCGTGTGGAATTGCTAATACTGGCAATAGTGGTTCCAACGGATACTTCTAACCACGTAAACACTCACGAAGTAAAGCAGCCCGCATCCCCCACCACCCCTGAGCCTTGATGCCAGCGTGCCTGCCCCGTGCACGCGTGAACCTCGACAGCTTCCCCTGCTGGGCTGGCTTCCCACAGGCGTGCTCTGAGGAGGCAGCTTGAGGATCTCCCCATCCCCTCTCGGCCTCCACCCAGGACACACAGCAGTCACCCTAGAGGCCAGCACCTTCAGGGCTCTTGGGACATTCTGCTGCTCCCTGGATTCTGGTGTCTGTGATGAATGCGGGCACAGGGACCTGCTCCTGAGCCTGGATTCTGGTGTCTGTGATGGATGCGGGCGCGGGGACCCGCTCCTGAGTGGTGAGGCTGCTTCCCTCTTAGATTCCTGCATCAGTTACCTGAAGAGTGCCCTGAAATTTCAAGGCAAGTCATTTAAAAAGGTGCAACTGTTTATAACGACTTAGTTTTGGGAATCGAATTTCCCAAATATTGTTCAATAGAAAACAAGGCATGGCGATGACAGGCTAGGGACTCTGTGGGGCTGTTGCTTCACATGCAGTCCCTGACTCCAGGCTGAGTGTCTGTCAGCACACACATTGTCTGCTCTGCAGCGTGCAGGGGCCTGGGAACACACTGCTTCACCACCACCTCATTTGGGCCCCTGTGTAAGGTTTTATTTGCGGGAGAACATTTCTCTGCTACAGAAACGTGACGAGCCCTGGTCCCTGAGGGCAACAAACGCACCTCCCTCTGAAGTTCACTCACAGAAGGCTCCATCTGCCCCTGACCACGCATCCATGTGCCCTGCCCACCTGGCTCCTGCAACCAGGTGTAGGTGGGGGACAGAGAAGGCTGGGCACAGGCCTGCTGTGAGTGGGGAAGCAGGCCCTGACTTAAGCCACTGAGTGAAAGATTTGTGGCAGATGGGGTGACGGGGCCCCAGGAGGTGAGGGGGGCAGGTGGGGGGCACTGGTTCAGACCCATGTCTGACCCCTGCTCAGCCCCTTGCTGGTTATGAGGGGCCCAGATGAGCTGCTTCTCCTCGGTCCCAAGTCCCTCAGCTGCTGGGAGGAGGGAACACCACCATGAGCCGCTTGGGGGTCGGGCAGCTGAGCACGCAGGACAGCACGCCTGAGGAGCTGGCCCCCCGCGGAGTCTCCGGTCAGGCAGCGCCCTCGTCTTGGATGCTGTGAATTCAGTGACAGGGAAGCCGGTGTTGCTGGTGGGCTTCCCCTTCCCACCTCCACCCCCACGCCAGCGCCTTCAAGGGTCAAGTCAGGCAGAGAGGAACAGCTGTCTCAGGAAGACAGAAATAGCAGAGTAGGGCCCGTCCCTGCAGGGATACGACCACTGCAGCCAGGCCCGGCGGCTGGGATGAACCCTTCCCATCAGGAAGACATGGGACCCAGGGCTTGCAGGCAGGTGAGGGGGAGGGCGTGATGCTTCCCGAAGCCACTGCCCAATGGAGGCACAGCCTGTGCCGACCGCCCTTTCCGAGGCAAACAGAGACCACGAAAGTGGCGTGACGGCTGGCGTGGCCTCTGGAGCCCACCTGCACTCACCACTGCCTCTCTGCTCTTGGCCCACAGTGCAGTTCGACATGATGCGCGCCTGCAACCTGGTGGCCACGGCCGCGCTCACCGCAGGCCAGCTCACCTTCCTCCTGGGGCTGGTGGGCCTGCCCCTGCTGTCACCCGACGCCCCGTGCTGGGAGGAGGCCATGGCCGCTGCATTCCAACTGGCGAGTAAGTACCTGGGCGGGTGTGGCCACCGCGCCCTTGCCCCCTGTGGCCTTCTGGTGCCACAGGAGGGTCCTGAGGCCTTGGGTGGCCTGGGGGGAAGCTGCAGGCCATACCTCTCAACATGGCCACAGGCCACTGAGAAGCCCCATGGGGCATCCTCCCTCCCTCTTGCTGTAGGCAAGAATGATGAAAGACAGAAACACACCCAGGCCAAGGAGCAGGGAGGCTGCGACCACCTGGCGTGTCTGTCACACCCTTTTCCACTTTAAAGGCTGAGGCACTTTGCTTTCCTGAGTCTGTGGGGTCTGATTGCTGACTGGCCCTTGTGCAGTCCACATGGGGCAGCCTGGGTCCTGCCCCTTCCTCAATGCTGAGGCAGCTGGTGGGGAGCAGCCCCTGGGCAGAGGCAGAAGAGCCCATGCCTGGCCCTGACCTTCCCAGCTAAGAGGCCTAGAACAGGTCAGGCCTAGGAAGGCCAAGGCATGTGCTCTGTTATAAACGCAGCTTCCTAGGACCTGCCTGGGGTCAGCCTGGGGTCAGCGCAGGCCCTTTCCGTGAGCGGGACAAGACAGAGTGAGAACACGCTAGCACGTTCCACACTGCCTGAGCCGACAGTGAGGTGCCTGCACGAGCACATGCTGTGTGCCTGGCTCGGACACTGATGCAGACGGCAGGACCATCACGAGGCCCTGGCTTCCCCAAGCCGCCATGTGAGTTGGGGAGGAGGCCCGGCCTTGCAGGCGAGGGGCCATTGGTGCTCAGAGCCTCCTCTCAACGCTCTAGACCCAGCAACCTGGGACAGGTCTTGAGAAGACCTGGCGTCATAGAGGGTGACAGTGATGGAGTTGTCGTCAACGACCTATGGAAGGGTCCTGCGGTGTTCTAGACAAGTGCTTGAGCCACAGCAGTGTCCAGCCATGACCCCCAGCGACCCCAGGGGGCTCTGCTGGTCTTCTGTGGCTGACTGAGAGGTTTGAAGACTGTGGGCATCTGGGGCAGGCTCAGGTCTCCTGCTGCTCACTGGGACAGGTCAGCCCGGTGCCCGCAGAGACAGGGACACAGAGAAAGCGAGCATGTCGGCCCATGGCTGAGCATGACCAGCACGGAGCTGCCCGCACCCTCCTTCTCCTCCTCGAGGCCGGTGCAGCGTTCTGCAGGTTGCCCTGCAGTTCCCACAGAGGAAGTGGCAGGAAGTCCAGAGTGAATCATTCTAGGAATAATGATCCTGGGCCCTTATCTTTCTTAAGAAATACAATTTCCAGAAGGAGGCTGACAGACTGTGGGGGCAGGTATTCCTGTGCTGGAAAGTGCCCTGAGCGAGTCAGGCCGGGCTCTCTGAGCGCTATTAATAGCATGGCGTGGCCCTGGGCAAGTCACTTCCCCTGGCGGGTAGGGGCGGGAAGGGAGGGGCCTCGAGGCTTCAGTGGAAGAGCACAGGGCGTGGAGCCTGGAACTGGAGCTGTGTCTTGGCTCCATCACCATCGACGTGGGGTCAGGCAGATGACTAAACTAACGTGAGCCTCTGCATGCCCAACTTCGAAAAGGGTAATTTCTGCCCCCACCCAACTGACTGTAAGAACGAATGAGACAGGGATGTGGGACCTAGGACTGACTCCGCCTCCTCCCCTCCTGCATGACTGCAGGGAAAACATGAGACTCTCAACGAGGTACCCAGGCTAGGAAAGCTCCCACGGGGCCCTCTGCTGACCCGAGGGCCATAAAACAGAGAAGTGGTTTTCCTGTCTCACTGAAATGGCCAATCTCTACCGCGTGCAGGAATCGGAAATGCCGTGGCTTAAAGAAGGAAATGGAAGATTTTGAAAATGTAATTGGAAATGCTGGGTCAGAATAAAGATATTTTAGCGGCATAGAGAAAGCAAAAGCAATAGTTTTTGATTCTGAAAATAACTCCTTCTGTAAGATAACCCAATGGATCACTACATTTCTTTTTTTTTTTTTTTTGAGATGGAGTCTTGCTCTGTCACCCATGCTGGAGTGCAGTGGCGCAATCTCGGCTCACTGCAACCTCTGCCTCCTGGGTTCAAGCGATTCTCCTGCCTCAGCCTCCCGTGTAGGTGGGATTGCAGGCACCTGCCACCACGCCCCACTAATTTTTTTTTTTTTTTTTGAGACGAAGTCTCACTCTGTCACCCAGGCTGGAGTGCCGTGGCACAATCTCGGCTCACTGCAAGCTCCACCTCCCGGGTTCACGCCATTCTCCTGCCTCAGCCTCCTGAGCAGCTGGGACTACAGGCGCCCGCCACCATGCCCGGCTAATTTTTTTTGTATTTTTAGTAGAGATGGGGTTTCACTATGTTCGCCAGGATGGTCTCGATCTCCTGACCTCGTGATCCGCCCACCTTGGCCTCCCAAAGTGCTAGGATTATAGGCGTGAGCCACCGCGCCTGGCCACGCCCCACTAATTTTTGTGTTTTTAGTAGAGACGGGGTTTCACCATGTTGGTCCAGCTGGTCTCGAACTCCTGATCTCAGGTGATCCACCCACCTCAGCCTCCCAAAGTGCTGGAATTACAAACGTGTGCTACTGCGCCCAGCTGGATCACTGCATTTCTTTTTCTTTTTTTTCTTTTTTTGAGATGGAGTCTCGCCCTGTGGCCCAGGCTGGAGTGCAGTGGCGCGATCTCGGCTCACTGCAAGCTCCGCCTCCCGGGTTCACGCCATTCTCCTGCCTCAGCCTCCCGAGTAGCTGGGACTACAGGCACCCGCCACCACGCCTGGCTAATTTTTTGTATTTTTAGTAGAGACGGGGTTTCACCGTGTTAGCCAGGATGGTCTCGATCTCCTGACCTTGTGATCCGCCCGCCTCGGCCTCCCAAAGTGCTGGGATTACAAGCGTGAGCCACGGCACCCGGCCCAGATCACTGCATTTCTTAATAAATCTCCTTGAAACTCTTGTTTAGAATTATTAGGACTACTGTGGATTTGGCATGTCGAAAATGACAGCTTACTTCCTGCAAAATCTTATTTCAGGACAAGATAGTGTTTCTAAATGTATTTTAAAAAATCACACATGGGGGCGAGCACCCTGATGGACTAAACCGAGCTGTCTTACAGCATTCCCGGGGGACAGGGCTGGAGGCCTTCGGAGGCCTGTCCTGGTCAGGAGGGATGGTGGCGGGGGCGGGACTGTGCTCCAACACGACCTCTGACAAGGTTGGACCAGGCTCTGTTCAACAACCGCCAGAACGGCAGGCACCAGGGCGAGGGCCAGCAGCACCAAGAGGGCCCCTGGTGTCTCGGTGGCTTTTCTTGCCCCCACAGGCCACCTCTCCCCCTCAGTGTCCAACCATCACCCCTAACGGGTCTGTTTTGCCCAAAAAGGAAATGCATTTTGGCCCTGTTTAGACTTGTTTCATTGACAAACAGGACAGAAAGTAGCTATGTGCCTTTCTTCTATCATGTTGCTAATTTTAGAGTCGGGTTTTTTTTCCTGTACTCGCGTCTGTTTTAAACAGTCAGGGAGAGACTGAAGGGCGCCAGGATGTCCTGTCACAGGACAAGGAAACGCCTGCTATTACCTGTTATGCAAGTGAACCTCGATCCCAGGGCTCGGCAGAGGTGGGGTGGGCAGTGGGGAGAGAAGATGCTCATGAAAGGAGGAAAAGTACATGGAATTATGGGGAGGCTGGAATACCCTGGAAAGCCAGAGTGCAGCACACTGAAAGGAAGGCTCCTTGTCAGCTCCAAAGAGAGGCGATGGGGCCTGTGCTTTTGCTCTCGCTCCATGAATGTTTCTGGGCTCAGTGCCATGCTCAGCACGACGTCTGGGTCTGCAAAGGGACCACCCTCCTCGCCCCTCAAGGCTCCCTCTTCCCTGCTCTGACACCCAGAGAGAGCAGCTGAAATGTGCGGGGACCCCACTGTCCTGGCTTGGCTGCCGCTGCCCTTGGCATTCTATTCAGAGCTTGCATTCTGCTCACTCCACAGACCCCTAGCTTCTCCCCTCTCCTCCTCGTGGCCTCTTTTCTCTGCACTGCACCTCTGTTCTTTCACAGTCTGTGGTCTTGTTGATTTGTGCAGATAGGCACGGGCAGAGAGGGAAAGGAGTATTGAAGGGGGTCAGGGCAAGTTGCCAATGGAAGGTAAAAGGTCATTACAGCCTCTGATGGCTGCAGCCACAGCATGACCCTGGCACCTGACGCCTGAGTGGCACAAGGCTGAGGGCGACTTCTGCAGGCAGCCTAGGCCGGGAGGCTCCCTGGCACTCTCCGGTGCCTGAGGATGCTCCGAGCCCTCAGGTGTTTCCCAGCTGGATCGCTGGCTGGTTCTGCAGGAGCCCAGAGCAGGTGGCCTGGGTTCTGCTCCTGGCTCTGCCCCTGGTCAGCTGTGAGTGCCTGGACGAGCCCCCCTTCCCCTGGTGTGATCTGTGCAGTGGAGAGTGACCACTCCAGCGCACAGATGTGCCCTCGTCAGCAATGCTCGCAGCTGTTATTCCAGCGTCTCTCTGAAGCCCTGCTGGGTAACATGCATGCTGAGAAGCTTCAGGCCCGAGGCGCATCCCACGTGCTCCCTGGTGCAGCACCTGTGCTCCCCACCTAGGCCTGTCTCCCTCGGGGGCGCAAACTGTCCTCTTGGCAAGAACACTGCCAGGATCCGTTCATGGAGCAGGGCCCTCCCGCCCGCAGCTCTGGCTTTCACACAGGGCCCGGGCCTCAGGGTCTGCTGTCCTGAGCCCGGCCTGAAGAGAACACTTTTCGGTGGTTTGATCCAGCAGCCCTGCAGAGCTCTGTACTTGGGTTGAGTCATATCTTCAATGGGCAACTCCTCAGCTGTTGCTGGAGCCCCAGGGCAGCTGTGCTGTCTTACTTGGGCTAGCATGAGGAGGTCGTGGCCATGCAATGGGGTCAAGCCAGTGAAGTCCCCGCCGTCCCCCAGTCGGTGCTCACATGACACTCTCTGCATCCGTGTGGGGACCTGTGGCATCTTTGCTATAAGTATGCTGGGCTTAGCTGGGTTTCCCCTTGTTTTGGTGCCAGAGAGGTGGGCATGATGCCGAAGGCTTCTCGCCTGCTTCTTCCTTGAAACAGTCCCTCTTTCCCACTCCCCATTACCTTGTAATTTGTATAAATGACTTCCAATCCTTTTTGGAAAATGGTGGCATATAACCCAAAATTCCCTGGACATGACATCGGGGCACCAGAAGGACACTAGAAAGGGCACCATGGATGGCACTGGTCCGTCCCGATGCCCCGTGACACACTGAGAAGCTGACTTGTAGAAGTCCGCTCTTCGTGTTTTATTCTGAACTGCCTTCAAAATGGCATTTAGGTTTTCCTGGAGACGCTGACTTTATCAGTCCTTAAATGGCCAGCAGGGTTGATACTCACTGACATGGAATCTTGCTCGCTGGTGAGAAAGTCTGCTGTTCTCTTAGACTTGGGAATCGTCTCGTGGAAATATACACTTTTTTGTTATTTACAATAACCCGGTTCTTTGCTTGGTCTGGATTATTTATTTATTCGAGATAGGGTCTCACTCCGATACCCAGCCTGGAGTGCAGTGGTGCAATCTGGGTTCAATATAAGTTCCGCCTCCCAGGTTCAAGTGATTCTCCTGCCTCAGCCTCCCGAGTAGCTGGACTACAGGCATGAGCCACCATGCCCAGCTAATTTTTGTATTTTTGGTAGAGATGGGGTTTCACCATGTTGGCCAGGCTGGTCTCAAGCTTCTGACCTCAGGTGATCCACCCACCTTGGCCTCCCACAGCGCTGGGATTACAGGCGTGAGTCACTGTGCCTGGCAAATCATCTATTTATTTCTTAAAGCATAGATGGGGTCTTGCCACGTTGCCCAGGCTGGTCTCACACTCCTGGGCTCAAGTGATCCTCCCGCTTCAGCCTCTCAAAGTGCTAGGATGAAGGTGTGGGCCACTGCAATCAGCCTGGTCTGGATAGCTCGCTTGCCTGTCTTTGGTACCCACTCCCCAGGCATCAGTTTATGTCCCTTCGTCTCTTCTTTCCCTTCCAACTTTGGCTGTTGAGAGCTTCGGAGCCTCTCGCTCTTCCCTCCCAGGGCCTCTCCCTCTAGAGAGGATTGTTTGGGTCACCGTCATCTTGTTGCTCACAGGTGGGAAATGCCAGCCCCAGCAGGGACTTGAGGTGGCCAGGGGGCCGTCTGCTCCGCATAGATTCTCTTTAGAGCCAGTTGCACCCAGTTTG
This sequence comes from Homo sapiens, assembly GCF_000001405.40. Lineage (NCBI taxonomy): Eukaryota > Metazoa > Chordata > Mammalia > Primates > Hominidae > Homo > Homo sapiens. The sequence goes on from NC_000016.10 coordinate 1,548,252, forward strand.
CTAGCTCTGCAGCTGTACGAAGAGCATCAGGGGTCAGCCCTGGGGTCTTTCCACTCTGCCACCTGTGTGCATGTGTGACAGCCATTCCAAAAGGAAGGCCTGTGACAGAAGCTGAAGCCCCAAGAAGCCGCAGGAAGGAAAGGAGAGGGGAAAGGGCTGGCTGGGCTGCAGAGCTGTAATTCACACTGTCCGGGCGGCTCACAGGAAGAGGTTGTTTGCTTTGGCAACACAACTTCATGAAATGGAATTGATTCCATGGGCAGAATTTCGTGTTTGCTAAAACTCTTCCCTTACATTTGTTTCTAGACAAACTGATGAACATGATTGAAGTTTTGGGAGAAAAGTCTTCAGGAAACAGGACAATGAGGAGAGAGGGAATCTTAATATAAAGATGGTGGGAGAATGGAAAACTCAAAGGTTTAGGGCCAGCCCCAGCCCTGTCTCCTTCCACCCCTTCCCATCTCCCCCACGTAGGGAAGGTGGGAAGGACAGAAGTAAAAGGCTTCAGAACGGCATCCACAGCGCAGTGCGATCATGCAGCTGACTCAGTCACCTTCTTACGCGCGTCTGGAGGCCAAGGTTAGAGCAGCACAGCGAGGCATGTAGCTACAGGCGCCTCTGCATTTCCGTGTATTTGTTGGCTTTTTACTGCTGACAGGTGGAACACACGGAAGGTTCCCTCATGCCAGGCATCTGTTCACGACGTGAACCTTTCTTCGTCAGGGTAGGATCTGGGCCACCGTCCTCCGCAGGAGCCACCTGGCGCTCTCCAGCAGCGGTGCCCCTGCCTGCTCTGGTGCTAGGACGAGGGCAACGTCCCGTTTTCACCGCATGCCTAGGGCCGCGCAGGTTCATGAGGTTCAGGGCCTGGTGGCGCCTCTGGGTCTCACTGGCGTCCGAGGGCGCTGTCCTAACCTTCCAAACCCCTCTCTACCCTAGTTGTGCTCCAAACAGAACCAAAGACAAACAAAAGCCGACGCTGCTCTCCACACAGAAGTCACGTAAATGCAAAATTTTACTTAGCCTTTTTTCACACAAGGTACAGACCTAGAATTTTCCCATCTGCTTCTGTGGCAACAAAAATGCCAAGTAAGCTCCAGCCTTGGAGCTGTACCACCAGCGAGTGAAGCGCGGCTCCCAGAACGCGGCTCCAGACGCACCCCAGGTGCTTTTCTTTCTTTCTTTGTTTTTTGAGACTGGCTTTCGCTCTTGTTGCCCAGGCTGGAGGGCAATGGCGTGCAATCTCGGCTCACCGCCGCAAGCTCTGCCTCCCGGGTTCAAGAAATTCTCCTGCCTCAGGCTCTTCAGTAGCTGGGATTACAGGTGCCCGCCACCACGCCCGGCTAATTTTTGTACCTTTAGTAGAGATGGGGTTTCCCCATGTTGGCCAGGCTGGTCTCAAACTCCTGACCTCAGGTGATCCACCTGCCTCGGCCTCCCAAAGTGCTGGGATTACAGGCATGAGCCACCACGCCTGGCCACTTGTTGCTAGATTTTCAAAGACACAGCTTTCTAGACTCATGACTCAGGGTTGGCCTGCCCTGTTCCCTCCTGCTTTGTGACGGTCCCTGCCTGTTAGGCTTGCTGTTTACACCTGATCTGCCACCTTGATTACTTTTCCACTCACACTTTTAGGATGTAGGGCCCATGTCCAGGTTGCGTGTGGACATGTGAACTCATACTTCTTTAATCAGTTTATCTACATTCTGAGTCTTTTTTTCTTTTTCTTCTTCTCTTTTTTGTCGCCCAGGCTGAGTGCAATGGTGCAATCACGGCTTACTGCAGACTCGACCTCCTGGGCTCAGCCTCCTGAATAGCTGAGGCTACAGGTGTGCACCACCACGCCCAGCTAATTATTTGTACTTTTTTGTAGAGGCAGGGTTTCACTATGTTGCCCAGGCTGGTCTCAAACTCCCGGGCTCAAGCAATCTGTCCACCTTGGCCTTCCAAAGTGCTGGGATTACAGGCTTGAGCCACCGCCCCAGCCCCTTCGTCTTCTATATTTAGAAACAGTGTTCTTGGAAGCAGACAGATGCTCTGAGGCCTGAGCTCGTGTTTATGGCAAGCAACACAGCCAACCATGCACAGGGAGGTCATGTCTGGATTAGAATGGTCGACCCATTCTAATGCTCTAAACGACGCATTTTCAAAAGCTATGACACTGATCTTAAGAAAATAAGTAAAACTCCTTTGTTACAAAAAGCACTTAAGAAAATAAATAACAATAAAACAACAGTTCAGGAAGCAGCGTGTGATGCTGGCCAGTGCCAGGCAGGCAGAGGGGCTTTCCAGGTGGGCCTCGAGGGACCCAGCGTCTCAGGGCTGGGGTGGCTCCACACTGCTAGGGCACCCGGCAGGCTGCCTCAGGGCAGGAGGCCGGGCTCAGTTCTGCCTACCCGCTCTGTGCTTTGCTCCATGGTTTAGCCTTCCCACTTTTAATTTAGAGTCTGGAGAGCCTTCCCTGCAAGCTTGACCCTCCACATAGGGCAAGGCCCTGCCAAATGCCACCCTCTGGGGACACAGAGATTAATGACTTCCCCATCTCTCTAAGAGGAATGCCAGTTCCCCAAGGAAAGTCAAGAGCGCCCTAGCCGTCTCTGTGGCTGACGCTGACCCTAGCGTGGTCCCCGGCGTGCCAGTGGAGGCTGAACAGGCCTGTTGAGTACAGGGCCACGTAGCCGATGCCAGTGGGTCCTTGGGAATCGTGCTGCCCCTCCGTGAGCATTCGAGGGCACCAGGGTAGCGGCATCTACGTGATCTGGCCAAAGGGCTCTGTCCCTTTGAGGGGTCCTGGTCACTCAACTGCCAAGGCTGCTGTTCCTCCTCGCCTTTCCCGCAGCTCCACACTGCATTCTGTTCTGTTTCACGTCTACTTTGGTCTCCTCAAACGATTAACTCAAAAAGTAATTGCGGAGAGACTTCTGGGAAGCTGTGGTCAATGGTGGGGCAAGTTCTGGCCCCGGGGAGCCTGCCCTGTGGCGGGGGAGAGCGGCCAGAGCCACCCATGGGTAAAGACACAATGACCACGGCTGGCAGGGGTGGGCAGGTGCAACTCTAAGCCGAGGCCCGAAGGATCAGCAGCAGGAGGGGCCCCTCCTCCCCAGGGCCAGTCAAGCCGGGGACAGTGGCACGAGGAGAAGCCCAGAGTAGGTGGACCCAGTGACTGAGAGGGGTGGAAAGGGCCACTGGGCCCCAGGGTGGCAGAAGGGCGGCCGCAGGTAGCAGGGGAGACCCTAAGGCGATGGGAGCCACAAGGGTGCTGAGTGCTGGGGAGACAGGATGTGAGTTTCATACAGATCAGGGTGCAGCGGTGGAGGGAGGGCCGCCTGCATCAGTATCCCCAGCAAGGTCACCCGGCACTGCTGCAGACACCTTGAAACGTCCAGCACATTCCTCACTGTCGAACCCAACTTCAGGACATGCTTGTTCACGGAAGAGCCTAAGATCAGCGGCACTTCAGTCTTCTACGGGGTTTTGTTGGGAGCTACCTATACAAAGGAGGCCACACCACACGTGCGTGGTCCGGCAGATCCGGCAAGATCAACTCTGCGGGACCTCCCACCCGGGCTGGTTGCCCTGTGTTGCCTTAGAGTTTTCTTCCCGAGGTTTTCCTAGAAAGCCACTGTAAATCCGAGCTGTGCACTCAGAAGCCTCCCGGGTGTGTCCCTGGTGATGTCCCCGGGGCCTCTCCCTGGTGACGTGTGGCCCGCGCTGTCCCCCTGCAATGACGGTACCTCCAGGTCCCCTATGTGTGGAAACTGACCCCCACGGCAACCGCAGACCGTGAGGGAGGTTGACCCTGGAAGCCATGGGGGGCACAATCCCTTTCCACTGTTCCATTCGGATGAATGATGTGTGGAACTAGAGGCCCCCTGAGATTTTAAACACGTTTCTGTAACACCCGCAAGTAGAAAGGAAGCCTGGTGAGGGGGAGAAACAGGCTGTGGCCATGGCGGGCTGGAGCCTGATGAAGGCCAGTTACTGCCGGTATAACCTCCTCCCGCCCTCGAGGGTCTCAGGGCTTGCATCGCCCCCCTGCTGGGCTGGGACTCTCCCCAAGGCTCCCACTGTCCCTGCCAAGAGCGCCCCACCCCTCCCGCTCGCCTCTGTCTCGGGTGTCCTGAGCTCTCCGCTGTGCCTGCCCTGCCTCCAGGACCACCTCCTCTGAGCCCTGACACCAGCACAACCCACACCCCACCGGCAGAAAGTGCCAGACCCCGTAAACATGAGTGGACGCTGTTCAAAGTGCCCTCATTTTCCTCACACACAACACAGGCTCATTCCTTCACCCCAGTAACACAAGCATCGATACCACACAATCGTGAGCAGAGGGCACATTCCGCACTGGTAGAAATGCCAGAAGTTTCCTTTGTTAGTATTCATTACAAAGAGAATGCTTTTTTTTTTTTTTTTTTGAAATGGAGTCTCGCTCTGTCGCCAAGGCTGGAGTGCAGTGGCGTGATCTCGGCTCACTGCAACCTCCGCCTCTTGGGTTCAAGCAATTCTCTGCTTCAGTCTCCTGAGTAACTGGGATTACAGGTGCCTGCCACCACACCTCACTAATTTTTTTTTTTTGTATTTTTAGTAGAGATAGGGTTTCACCATCTTGGCCAGGCTGGTCTTGAACTCGTGACCTCGTGATCCACCCGCCTCAGCCTCCCAAAGTGCTGCGATTATAGGCGTAAACCACTGTGCCTTGTCTAGAATGTTATTTTTAATAAAACAGAAGTATCCAGGAGCTACCCATGTATAAGAAGCTCCATGAAGTATTATAAAGAATGAACACAGAAACCAGTCACTGTCATTGTTCAGGACAAAATGGAGATAGATAAATGCTTAATTCATACTTTCTGGAGGGTACAGTGATGATGAAAAGATAATGCTTGGGTTTTTAGGAAAAACAAGGCTGGTTACCCATCTCTTGCTCTCTGTCTCTCCTTCCCTGTGTCTCTGTCTCTGTCTCTCTCTGTCTCCATCTGTCTCTGTGTCTGTCTCTGTCTCTCTGTATCTCTCTTGGTCTCTGTCTCTCTGTGTCTCTGCCTGTCTCTCTGTGTCTCTGTCTCTGTGTCTCTGTCCCTGTGTCTCTTTTTCTCCCATCCTCTCTCGATGCTGGGGCCACACAGGGCAGGGCATGATTTGGTTTCCTGGGGAATGCAGGGGAGGCGGTTGGGAGTGGAGAGACCGGCATGAACAGACGCACAGGTGTCAACATGCAGGCCAGGCGGAGGGACAGCAGTGGGGCTCGGCGTGGCCGGAGCCTGGGGAGGGACATGGACAAGTCCTCTATGGACAAGAGGGGCTGGAGAGTTTAATCTGGACCAGTGTAAGTTACAGAGAGTCTCTGGCACTTTGGGTACAAGAAACAGACTCACTCAGGTTACTGTAACAGAGAGGGAGGGGTGCTGGGTGGGCAGAAGCGGGGCTGGGGCTGAAGGCTGGCTGGAGGCCCCATGGCCTCCAGGACAATCTGTGGCCACATCCCCATGGCTGTAGGGGATGAGGAGGGGCAGGGCCATGTGGACAGCCTCTCCTCCATCCTAGAGCCTATGTTTCCAGCTGGATTAGGACGCCCGGCTCCATCGCTGCGGCCACAGTGTCCTGTTATCCTAGTTGGTAGACTCTAGTCACGAAACCCTGATTTTCCTGTTGTAAGAACTAAAAAGGTCTTTGGAGCTCCTCAAAGATAAAACTGTAAGTGAAACTGTAGCATCAGCGACTAACTAGACGGGAACAAGCTGCGCCAACCAAGGGTTGCTCACGGCCCACCTCTCCTTCTCTGGTTTCAGGCTCTGGAAAGAGAGGGGAAAGCATGGAAGGAAAATCTGCCAGGGAGGAGGGAGGGTCTAGAACGAGAAGCACTGACTCGGAAGTGAGGGAAGACACCAGATATAGCCAAGGAGCCCTAGACAAGGCCCTGGCCCCATCTCCGCCCTGCCTGAGCTGCAGACTCCAGGCCATCTGGAGTTCCCAAAGCAAAGGCCAAGAGCAAGAAAACTGTCAGAAGCATAGCTCTGGGCGCGATGAGCACCAAACTGACCTGTTTCCAGATAAGACTTAGAAAAGTCTTTTCTTTGAATGAATTAAGCATTTACAAAAGTCAGAGATGGATTTAACACAAAATTACTGCTGAGTCTGGGGGGCTAGGAAAGGCCCCCCCAAGTTGGTGTTGCAAGCATCAGTGCTGACCTGAAGAAAAGGCCTGCCGCCTGGCCAGGTCCCAGGAGCAGCACGCCAGGACAGAATTAAGCAGACACATACCACCCCTCCACAGCCGCCAGAGCCTGAAGTCCTAAGAGCCACAGAAGGGCTAATACAAGGTGGCTCAACACCAGGGCAGCCGCCCCGTAAAGCAGGAACCCGCTCTAGGACAGAGGGCTGGGGAAGGATAAAGCAGGCTGGAACCCGCTCTAGGACAGAGGGCTGGGGAAGGATAAAGCAGGCTGGAACCTGCTCTAGGACAGAGGGCTGGGGAAGGAGTGGAACCCGCCTTCCTCTCAGACAAGGCCTCTCAACCCTTCTCTCATCTGCAGGTTTTGTCCTGGTCATCGGGCTCGTGACTTTCTACAGAATTGGCCCATACACCAACCTGTCCTGGTCCTGCTACCTGAACATTGGCGCCTGCCTTCTGGCCACGCTGGCGGCAGCCATGCTCATCTGGAACATTCTCCACAAGAGGGAGGACTGCATGGCCCCCCGGGTGATTGTCATCAGCCGCTCCCTGACAGCGCGCTTTCGCCGTGGGCTGGACAATGACTACGTGGAGTCACCATGCTGAGTCGCCCTTCTCAGCGCTCCATCAACGCACACCTGCTATCGTGGAACAGCCTAGAAACCAAGGGACTCCACCACCAAGTCACTTCCCCTGCTCGTGCAGAGGCACGGGATGAGTCTGGGTGACCTCTGCGCCATGCGTGCGAGACACGTGTGCGTTTACTGTTATGTCGGTCATATGTCTGTACGTGTCGTGGGCCAACCTCGTTCTGCCTCCAGCTTTCCTGGTTAGCGCAACGCGGCTCCACGACCACACGCACTTCAGGGTGGAAGCTGGAAGCTGAGACACAGGTTAGGTGGCGCGAGGCTGCCCTGCGCTCCGCTTTGCTTTGGGATTAATTTATTCTGCATCTGCTGAGAGGGGCACCCCAGCCATATCTTACACTTTGGTAAAGCAGAAAACCAGGAAAATTTTCTTAAAATATCCACAATATTCCTTGAGTGAGTCAGAATCTATAGCCGGTTAGTGATGGTTTCAGACAGAATCGTGTTCGTGTCTGTTTTGCTCGATTCTTTTCCTAAGTTAAATAAATGCAAGCCTCTGAACTCTGTCTATAACTTGTGTTCTATCCATCTATACTGCGACATGGCTGAAAAACATTTGATCCACTTTTTTGTGATTTTTTGGGGGCTCACACTAAGGGTCAAAAAGACCTTTTCAGAGACCCCGTAGGCATACACACTCTTATCCACACTTCTGTTCAACCAAGTCTCAGAAGCCCAAGTCCTTACAGACTCTCTGATCAACAACTAGTAGAATAAAAGGGATGAGGTCTATTTGCTTAAAAACCTTCAGTCAGCCTGTGCGCGATGGCTCACACCTGTAATCCCAGCACTTTGGGAGGCTGAGGCGGGCAGATCATGAGGTCAGGAGTTCGAGAGCAGCCTGGCCAACATAGTGAAACCCTGTCTCTACTAAAAATCCAAAAAAAAATTAGCCAGGCGTGGTGGCGGGTGCCTGTAGTCCCAGCTGCTCGGGAGGCTGAGGCAGGAAAATTGCTTGAATCCGGGAGGTGGAGGTTGCAGTGAGCCGAGATTGTGCCATTGCACTCCAGCCTGGGTGACAGAGCAAGACTCCGTCTCAAAACAAAAAACAAAAACAAAAAACCTTCAGCCTATCTTTAGCGAAATGCTTGGTGGGCTACAAAATTCCTGCATGATGCTGCACTGGGTCCAAACAACCCCGTGTCCTAAATCTGTTAAGAGAGGAACAAGCTGTAAGTCCTTGAGTTGGGCAGAAAACATCTAACATCTACATCTGAGGGGTCAAAACCGGCCCATGCCCCCACCCAGAACCCAGAACCCAAGGCTGCCTGGCCACACTACAACCAGCGCTGCAACCACAGTCCTGGTGCCTGGCCTGGCGCCTCCTCTGCCTGGGTGCGGCACTGCCTGGCCTCATGCCCTGCTGGCATCGGCCAAAAGGAGAAACTGCTGTGACGTGTACGGTCGGGGCCGGGCCATCAGGCCACCCGCTGCTAATATAAATCTTTAGTTTGGCTGCTTCTGGCCTTCTAGCGAGTTGAGGGGATCAGTTTGGATTGTGAGGCCCGTATTGCTCCAGGAATTGGTCTTCAACTGCTAAAGACTGGAAAGCATTTACGGACTGACTGTCTATGACACACTCAGCACACAGCGTAGAAATACCAGATTCACGTCCACAGTACACACTAGCAGGGATAGTTGACTTTCATCTTCCCCTGCTCAACTTTTTTATGACAAGGAATTTTTATTTTTTATGACAAGGAATTTTTAAACCAGAGCAGGCTGAAAATAATTGTTTTTTGTTTTGTTTTGTTTTCTTTTGGACGGAGTCTCACTCTGTCACCCAGGCTGGAGTGCAGTGGCGTGATCTTGGCTCACGGCAACCTCCACCTCCCGGGTTCAAGCAATTCTCCCACCTCAGCCTTCTGAGTAGCTGGGACTTCAGGAACGCACCACAACTGCCTGGCTAGTTTTTGTATTTTTAGTAGAGATGGGGGGGCGGTTCTCCATGTTGGTCAGGCTGGTCTCGAACGAACTCCCGACCTCAGGTGATCCACCCACCTCAGCCTCCCAAAGTGCTGGGATTAAAGGCGTGAGCCACCGTGCCCCGGCCATATTGAAGGTTTAAACTGGCCACAGGGTCAATTATGGTCTGCGACTACCTTTATATGAAGTCAAAGTAATCCAGAGGGGCCGGGCGGTGCTGCTCAGCCTGTCCGGTGCATGTGCAAACCGGAAAGAGCTCATCTGCACAGCTAGTGTGGAAGGCCCGGCAGGGGGAATGAAGGATTGGCCATGCTGCTTCAGAAGGACGACAGCGGGCCGGGGTCCTGCACCCTCTCGGACACCTGTGTGACAGGCATTATCACTGCACGTTGAGGGAGGGCTTGCTCCGGCAACCTAAGGCCACACCCTCCTTTTACCTCTTTAGTTTCATTCTTCGATTTTCTACCCTTTGGACATTAAAATCTGTGAAATGCTCTTGTGAAGATGAAAGAATTTCTAGATTCTCTCAGGAATGGAGAAGAAGGTGCTTGCAGACAGCCCTTGATTGATACCCTCTTTCAGAGCATTTTTAATTGTGTTTCCACCTGGCTGTTTTTAGTGTTTACTTGTCCAAACTTCTGTTTAGGAGCAATTATTCCCAGAGGGATGGGTATTATAGATGTTTAGGAACGGCAGAACTTTCCACTAGGAAGCAGCTAAACAGCCCGAGAGGCTCCCAGCACCAGAGAGGCTGAGAGCTTCCCACGTGGCATCTGCAAGCTGGGCAGCATTTCATCGAGTGGGAAGACCATGAAATACACCATGACGCAGTCATGAGGAGTCAAATATTTCAACAGGCGAACCAAGAAGGCAAACAGGGAGAAAGGAAAGAGCCGTGAGCACGCGCTATCTCCCAACATCCCAGTGGTCGGGATCCTCACCTTTTGATGAGCTTGATGGATTTGAAGGCTTCGTCCATGTCTCCTATGGTGACAAAGAAGCTGAAGTGGAGCATGGCGTCCCGGGTGGCCTTGTCGCAGTCCTCCAGCCCCACAAAGTCTCGCAGGGGTCTCCTGGACACCATCTGAGGGATGTGGTGGCACCCAGGCTCCACCTCGTCTTCTCTGTCTGCTTCTTCGGGCTAAATGACAAAGGACCCATGTGTTTGTTAATTCATATGTAAAGCTGAAGCCCTCACCCAGACCTCGTCCTCTGGATTTAGCTCCCTTATGGGGGAGAAATCCCTCTGCAGACAGACAGATATTTACCAACAGGCCCAGTCCCTGCCAGATGCCCTGAAAACTTTTAGGGTCACTGGCAATGGTCAGAGCTTTTGGCTCTGGCTTCAGATAATGGGTAAGCAAAGGCTGCCCGTGCAGGAATTTGTTTTTTAAACTCTCTTAAAATTAAGTAACAGGAGCATGATTTCAGGTAGAATTTTCCAAAACAATAACCTGGATTGGCTGTGTACCCTCTACGGGTATTTTTCAGGAGAGCCCTCAGCCTGGGCAGTGAGGCCCCGCATGGCACAGGGAGGGACGCGGCTGTGGGCCCAGTGTGGGAGCACACTGCTATGGCTTGCTGGAGGCCCATCCTCACCTGGGCATCTTCTTACACCCAGTTCCTGGAAATCGGTGCTCCCGAGGGACCACTGGCCCTCCACGAGCCCCTCCAACTGCTTGCCTCTTCTTTAATCATGGGTCCCTTCCTCCGTGGGGCAGGGGCTCTGCACGCGCTCTCTGGGCTCTAGCCCTGCCCCTCATCTGGATCCCGTTTCTCTGAGAGCACACGCACTCCCCCGTGTGAAACGGATCACGACGCAGCCTTCTGGGGTCAGGCTTCCCTGGTCTTGTATCTGCTATTCTGTGACTTCCTGAAGGGTGACTCCAGCCACCTGCCTCCCCAGCTGCGCTCCCATCAGCTCACTGCTCCTGCAGAAACTGACTTGCGGCCCCGGTGAGTAGGCCTCATGGGCGAGACGGCACTTGGCCTGGGTCTCAAAGAAATCTGGGGGATTTGTCAGACGCAGTTGTGATGGGGAGGCCCTTCTTGGCACAGTGCAGAGCATAAGCAAAGGCCCCGAGGCCCTGCAGAGAGGCGATGGAGTGGAGGGCCTGAGGACGGATGTGACTGGGGCCCATCTGCAGGGTGCTGAGTGCTGAAGGGTTTGGACTGCTTCTGCCTTGAGTGGAAACTGTCAGAAAACGTACACGCACAAAAACAACAGGGAATTCCTGCCTGCTCTGGTTTAATAAACTGCAAGGAAGCGCCCTGACCTCTGATAACAATGTCAGCTTGGTGTGGACAGAATGGGTACCCAGTTCGCTGTGTGAATGGGAATTCTCATCATTCACCATGTCCTGCTCACAGCTCTGTGAGGGAGGGACTGTCTATCCCACGTCACAGCTGACCAGTCACACGGTGCAGAGGCAGGGTCCTAAGAGCTGCTGGACCCGGATCCACCCTCATACCTCGGAGAAACTAGGCCGAGCCGTTTGAAAATGTGAACAAGGGCAGCGTTAACAGACAAAAGACGTCATGGCTAGTCCTCACTAGACTTGAATGGCTGAGTTACGAAAACTCCCTCTATTGCAAATGTAGGTAAACTAAGTACTTCCTGTGTCCCACACAGCAGAGGAAAGAGCTGCTGTGTCACATGTCCCAGCCATGACCACAGCTGGCTCCTGATGAGCTTTGCTAGGTGAGAGGCATCCTGCTCAAATAAAGAGAGCTGACACTGAGTGTCTCAGGCTTCCAATAGACCTCGGTAAAGCGAACATGCAAGGTAAGCAGAAAGTATCGGTGCACAGACAATTGTACTGAAAATAAGGGAGGAAAAGGATCTCAGGAAAACAACCCGGTGAAGCAAATGACACACGACCTGGGCGTCTGTACTTACGACTGCGTCATACACGCCTGCTCTCTGGAACAACAACTATGAGGAGTGGACGCATGCGGGAAGGTGAGAAATGAGAGAGAAAAGAACAGATGCATGAGTGTGTGCAAGACACAAACGCCACCATGCAAAATTAATGGGGAAAAACTCAACAGAAATAATGTAAAACATTGTTAATGCTTTGAGTTCTGAAATAAAAGAGAAATTAAAGCACATAAGAAACGTAAAGCCAGCATGAAATTCGGAGGAACGCCAATCTGGTGACACTTGTCTATTAAAATACGGGAATTAAGGAAACATGCATTGACAGAGCAGGGAGCCCTCCATTTGGCGAATCACACGATGCTTTCCCAGTCTTCATGAAGCCAGACTGCCTCCACCGCAGGGAACAGTGTGACGCATAAACCAGCACCACGCCGGCCTCTGCTGGCTGTGCAGCCTGGCTCTACATGGTGACCAGGAACACGGCCGCCAACCGCACCCAGGTTCGCGTTTGTGTGAATGCTGTTAATTCATCACTGCACACAAGGTTCCAGCAGAGCCCGAGGACCAGAGGCCAGCACACACCTGGTCACGTCATTGTCACAAGTTAGGCAGTGCCCCACCCCACCACCACCGTGTCCTTTATGCCAGGTCCTATGAAGGTGAATGCCAGCTCAGGGGTGTGTGTGGAGCCGGTGCGCCCGCGGTCCACCGTGGTGGCTGCTGGTGCAGTAGCATCTGTGTTGGCTTCTGTGGCCATGCAGGGCTGCCTGTCCTTCCCCTTCTCGGAATGTCCCTCTGGGGTCTACGCTCCCTCTGTCCCAGTTTAAATGCTCCCTCGACCCACCTTGGGTTATAAAAGTAACACAGGCTTACTGAAGAAAATTAGAAAAGTACAGAGTTCATTCTTAACATCGATAAGCCACTGCATGTGGAAATTCAAAAGCAATCCAGGTCCGAGTCTACAGGGTTTAGTCCTTCCTCTGATTTGACAGTAAACAGGAAGAGGCAGAGAAGACTCTGTGCGTGTTGTTTGCTGACGGAGTGTGTAACAGGAGAGAAGCTTCCATGTTTCACAGAAATAAAAGCAGCAGCAGCTGGTGGCATCCTAGGTCCCGAAAGGTGGAAGCTGGTGGCCCCCTGCCTCCCGCCTGCAGAACCCCTGTGGGGCTCACAGGCCGGCGCCAGCTGGGACGTGAGTCTGAGCCTTAGGTCAGCCAGGCTCCTCTCTGAAAAATCCCCACACGTGACTCGGGATGCTCCCAGAGGCTGAGAACAACAGGTCAGTGAAGCGAGGGGAGCAGCTCTCTCAGAGCCAGGCACTCCACCGTGTCTCAGAATGCTCGTGGGGCACACATGGGCTGCTGTTCTGCAGAGAAGCTGCAGATCCTTTGATCAGCACGCCCTCTCAGAAGCAGAGAATGACTGTTTCAGGTCCAAAAGGGACCTTGGAGACACGGGGACCAAGTCGCAGAGAAGGAAATAACTTGTTCAAAAGAACCTACTGGGGTGTGTGTACTGATGACGATCCCATTCTCTCAGTAATTTAAAAACACGTCCATGCATGAGTCACACACGGACGGGTGTCCAGAAGCCAGAACCCTACTGAAAGGAGCCACCAGCCTGCCCACAGTGGCTGCCTCCAGGCTGGGATTATGGAGATTTGTACTATTTGGGTCTTTACTTCATTCTTTGTAGTTCCTAAGATCCCTACAGTGAATATAGAAATGCATAATTTTAAGAAGGCAGCTAGAATTTTAGAAAGACAGAAAAGCTAAAAAGGTGTTCAGCATTCGGGGAAAAGGCAAGGGGGAAGGGTGCAGAGTCCTGAGTCCTGCCCGAGAGCTCCTTCACCCGGAGACAGCACTCATTAGCACGAGTTCTCTCTATCCTGAGAGCAAAACCACTTCCAATTCTCCCCAGACAGACCGCAGTGTTTGCTGGAATTTCAGGCGACAAGTGAGACTGGATGGCTGATGCTGTCTACGGAGAGGGAAGCCCGGCAGAGCCACGAGGGCTAACTCACATTTCAGCTCCCTGGGACGCTTGCAAGAGCCCAGCCAGGCAAGGGGAGAGATCAGAAGACACCTGTGCGGATGTCGTGGCTTCGTACCTTTCTTGTGAAGTAGTAATAAGGCACTTCCATCCCCAGGAGACTGTGGGAGGTGGCAGGCCGGGGGAAGCTCTCATGAAGCAGGAAGCCGTGCTCTTCGGAAATGAAGAAGGACAGGATCAAAACATCTGCCTGGGAGAGAAAGAAAAGTACTGTTCTGTTTTTTTTTTTAACTTACATAAATTTCTGGGGTATGAGTGCCATTTTGCTACACACACTGCGTCACGGTGGGGTCGTTGCTACACACTGCGTCATGGTGGGGTCGGGTGCTTTGCTTTGATTACACCACCTTTTATCTGCTCCACTTGGGAAAAACCAACACGCCTACTGGAAGGACGCACCTCGTCCAGCTTGCGACCACTGGACTCTCCCAAGTGACTGATTTTCTTGCAGCAAAGGCTCATCATTCCCACCCTGAACTGGTGACTGCAACTCAAAAGAGCTTTCATGGTTTAAAAGTTCTCCCTCTTTGGCGGCTTTACTCTGATTTAAAAATCAACAGTAGCAGGCTGCGCACAGTGGCTCACGCCTGTAATCCCAGCACTTTGGGAGGCTGAGGTGGGCGGATCACGAGGTCAGGAGTTTGAGACCAGCCTGGCCAACGTGATGAAACCCCGTCTCTACTAAAAATACAAAAATTAGCCAGGCGTGGTGGTAGGCACTTGTAGTCCCAGCTACTTGGTAGTCTGAGGCAGGAGGATCGCTTGAACCCGGGAGGCAGAGGTTGCAGTGAGCTGAGATCATGCCAGTGCACTCCAGCCTGGGTGACAGAGCAGGACTCCATCTCAAAAATAAAAGAAGAAAAAAAAATCAACAGTGGCACCACCAACAAAGAGCCCCGACCCTGCTTTCAAGGAACAGGGAACACGCAGCACAGAAACCACATGCTCTGTGGGTCCATTGCACAGAAGCAGAACAAGCAACACCAGGACATGCGCCCATACCTGCAGCTGCTCTGGACAGGAAACCAGAAGAGGTGAAGGGAAGGCAAAGCCTTTCCTTGCTACCTGGTGTGAGTTCAGACAAGGGCGCATCATCACAGAGCAGACAAAGAGCCCTAGGATCAAACTGCCAGGAGACGGCCCTACCTCCCTGCCACGTCTCCATCTTCCCCGGGTGTCAGCCCGCCCATCCTCCCAACTGCCTGGGTCACCCCCACAGCCTGTATCTTGAAGTGGCGCCTCGGGCAGTGTCTTCCCCTCCCTGCTCTGGTGGTGGAGATGCCACCTGGACGTGTCCTCCCGCTCAGCGCCTGAGAACCAAGGGTGGATTTGCTTCTGAACTCAGGGTATCAACACTGACTGCAGATAACTTTTTTTTTTTCTTTTGAGACGGAGTCTCACTCTGTCGCCCAGGCTGGAGAGCAGTGGCGCGATCCCGGCTCACTCCGCCTGGGAGGCGGAGGTTGCAGTGAGCTGAGATTGCACCACTGCACTCCAACCTGGGCGACAGAGAGAGACTCAAAAAACAAACAAAACAAACAAACAAAAGATTTCTTTCCTAGAGAGAGAATCACATGTAGCAGTTGAGACAAGAGAACCAAAAAAATGCCATTCAGGTCAGACCAGACAGTAAGTGTGGAGCTGGCCCATGGGCATAAACCTCAAAGAGGAGACACCACACACCGTGGCTTTTCTGCATAGCTCAAAACAGACCTAGCAATGGCAAATCCATAGAGGTGGCATCGAGGTTACAGTGACGCTGCCATCAGTGGGAGCTGTGAGGCAGATGCTCTACTCCACGTGAACGAATTTTCAGGACCCCTTTCCCAGACCCCATGCTAGGAAGATTTTTTTTATTAATTCTTATTATTATTCTTTTTTAGAGACGAGGGTCTCAATATATTGCCCAGGCTGGTCTCGAACTCCTGGGCTCAAGCGTTCCCTCCCGCCTTGGCCTCCCACAGTGCCGGGATCACAGGCGTGAGCCACCGTGCCCAGCCCATGAAGATCTTAAGTCTGTCAAATGGCCACTGAGTGTGTCTAAACTCAAATACAACAGGCAGAGCGTACCGCAGGGCCAGCGCGCCCATCTTGGGGCTGCCCGTTTGCAGACTGAGGCTGGGAGCGCGGCGTCTCCTGCACGGCTTCGCATACAAACAGCCGGGGCTCACTCTGGTCCCAGAAGTGGTTCACGGGAACATAATTTTTCAGTCCCTCATCCACAAAGAGGTGGCTCCTAAAAGACAAAGGAAGACCCGTTTCAACCCCAGGGCGGGCACTCCTGCTACCAGTCTCCCTCCCACACACATTCCCGAAGCCTCCAGGTGCTGTCCCAGACCATGGTGTCCACGCGCTCAGCTCTGGGAGAACTTTTGGGGTCTCACTGCCATGCGCCCTACTGGAACATGTTCTCAGATTTTAACAACTGGGCTAAGGGTCCGAGCAAAGCCCAGTTTGAAAGAACCACAAAAAGATGACGCTTTGATTCTGGAGGCCTTATGGGGGCCCAGAAGAATCCCCAAAGCAAAAGGGACCCTTTTCCTTTTCCAGGACCAGCAGGCCAACCTCGAGGTGGGATGGCACCCCCTGCTGGGCGGGGTCGAGGCTTTGGCTCTGTGGTCATGCCGGGTTCCTTGTCCCCACCGGTCCCTGTGCCATGCTGCCCCTTGGACCCAGGTCCCTCCCATCTCTAAAGTTCTATGTTGGATGGGTCCAGAACTCAACAAAATGCTGTGGGGAAACACAATGATGTGCCGGCAGACGACACACAAGGTTTCAAGAGAGAGCAGGTGCCCAAGGTGAGGAGGCCTATGAGCCTCATTCGCCGCCCCCAGGGTGTCACGAACCCAGGCTGCAGAGTGGGACCCTGCCGGGCAGCACGACCCATGGCTGCTGAAGAAGGACAGGACCCGGTGCTGCAGGACATGAAGATCCCCTAGTAAGCCACTGCACCCAGCAATGGAGGTGCCCTCACAGCCACGTTCGGCACCAGTGCAGAGCAGAGCAGAAAGCAGGGCAGAGGGGCGAGTGCCATGCTCCAGACAAGGCGGCTCTGAGGCCCAGAGAGCCCGGGGACACAAGCTGGTTCCCGTGAGGTGAGACCGGCCTGGTACGGGACGGGAACGGACAGAAGGCAGGGGGCAAGATTCGAATGCAGAAAGGAACTCAGAGGCTCCCACAGCTCCCAGGGGAAGCCACACACGGCAGGCGCAGAGTCGAGAGGGAAAAGCATGAATGAAAAGACATTTTGGTATGAGAAACGCTGCGGACCTGGGTGACGGGCAGTGGGGACTAGAGGAAGGGTTCGAGGAGCGGCCCAAGAACAGTGGCAGCAGGGGGAGAGCTGGCACTTGGCCAAGTCAGGCATCATTGTCTGAGGTGGGAGAATGGGGCCTGCACTCGGTGAGCTGTGAAGATGGAGAGTTCCACAGGAAGTCACTGGCAGAGGGATGAAATGAGGCCACCAGGTGAAAGAAGGTTCCAGCACTGGATCTGAGGCGGAAGGTGTGTGGGAGAGGCAGGGGGAATCCAGGGGGGCTGGACAGAAGGGGTGTGTCTGATGGTGGTCAAGTAATGGAGGAGGGAAAAAAAAAGAGAGAAAACCACCCCCGAGCCCAGCCTTGTAACTGCTCTGCTCCTCTGTGAGCATATGCAGGCCCCAGGGTGCCCGTCCTGCTTTCCTGCCCTGCAGGCCTGGCTCACGCAGGCTGGGCGGGCTCAGCTCCGTGGCCCACTTTGCTTTTGTGCTTCACTTTGTGCAGAATCAGCCATGAACTGTGAGTGAACTATCATCAGCACTCAAAGTTCTCCAAATGCCCATTCAGTCACAGAAGGAACTCCAGATATAGTGAAGACAGACGATTGTTCTCCCCAGAAGTACATTCTTTAAACAGGCAAATGCCCCCCTACATGAGAGACGCGGATGGGTCTGAGGTCACCACATTTCTCTCCCTGCAGTGACTCATGGGCCACTTCTACAGATTCCCGGCCAGAACCCTTCCAGAAGTTCCAGTTTCCACTCAGCTAACTCCAGAACCTTCCACCTGAAGGACAGAGACTAAGAACTCCAATCTACCCACTGCCAGAGTGTGCTTCTGTTTTCCTCTTTCTTTTTCCTACTGGTGCCTGCTGGGGCCTTTTGAAGGCGCGTTAACTTAGCAACAACCCGCCCAGAAGCCGAGAAGTAACTGAACATCATTTTTTCCAACAAAATCCTCCTGAACCACAATCTTACTTATTAGTCTCTTGCTCATTAAAGGACAGCGTCTCTCTCCGATCAATTTGTCCAGTCTTGAAGTCAAAGACGGTCACTGTGTCCATTTCAACATCGTAGAAGCAGATTTTGGAATCAGGGCTGTTGTCAGCCTAGGAGAAGAGAAAACCAGAAAGCTCACGGAGCCTGCCCAGACCAGCGGGTTGGTGGGCTGTGCTAGGGGACTGACACAGCACATGTCAAGAGAAACACACCCAGTGTCACCAAGTCCACAGGCCACTCATCTTCCAAGGACTAGCATGCTTTCAATATTCATAATTTGTTGGTTTTGGTGTTTTTTGAGACAGGGTCTCGCTCTGTTGCCCAGGATGGAGTGCAGTGGTGCGATCTTAGCTCACTGCAGCCTCCGCCTCCCGGGCTCAGGTGATCCTCCCACCTCAGCCTCCCCAGCAGCTGGGATTGCAGGTGCGGGATAACCGTTCTCAGCTGAAACTCCTTTATTACAGCTGAACTTTTCCACTGCTTCCTTCTGCCATGGTCAAGTAGGCCCCTTCTGCCAGCCCCTGCCTCCTCCCAGCCCCGTGTTCTCCCCCATGGCACCTCCGGGACCCTGTGCTTTCTCTCTCTTTTGGGTCTTCCCGTCAGTGTTAACCCCTCAGAATGCACCCTCGACCTTTTTGAGGCTCCTGGCTGCCTCCTTCTCCCAGTGGCCCCACCTCCCTGGCGGCACCTGCTCACCTGGCTTCCCAGGCCCCATCTGGGTTCTCAGGGCCACAGTGGCCACTGTTTTTCCTCCTTGGGGACATCCTCTCGCCTGTCCCTTGAGCTCCGCCTGCAGCCCTGGCCCTCCCTTCTGACCAGGTGTGGGACTGCCCACTGGCTGCCTCCCAGGCACCTGCCCTTCTGCTCATCCACCTTTGCAGCAAACATCTCCTCACCCAGTTTCCTTTCCCACCTGGCTGCAAAGGTTAGAAACACCTTCTGCAGCCCTGTCCTGCCCTACCCCTCCGCCAGTCCATCGTCAAGCCCCACTGCAGCTGCTCGAGCCCTCCAGTGGCTGCCACGGGGACCAAGTAGGCATCTGCACCCACCGACCCTTTGATTCATCTTCTAGAAAGAACCCTCTAGAAAGATGATATTGACATTATCCTCATCCTTCTGCCCTGAGGTGAAAGTCCCACCTGCATCAGCCTTGGCCCTGCCCTTCACCACGAGTGCAGACCCTCGATGAGGACAGGCTTTGCCAATGCCGGCCTCTGCCCTCTGCCCTCTGCTGTCCCCACCAGTCCTCACCCGCTCACTCTCGCCCCAACCTTGGCTGGGCTGTCACCCCCTCAGCAGGCCTGGCCGGAGCTCCACAGCAGCGCAGTGCTGTGCAGTTCCACACCCTCCAAGCACACGTGCCTCCTTCCCTGCTCATCCACAGGCAGTGGGCGGGGTCCTTGTGCTCACCTGAGCACCTCTGTGTCCGTGGTGCCTAGCACAGCGTCTGGCCCACGGCAGGAGATCAGTCACGGCCCTTGAACAAGCGAATGAACAAGGGAACCCGCACCAGCGGAAGGGAAGGAACCAGGGAAGGAACCAACCGGCTCCAAACAGCGCTGCCATGCCCTGCCACCCCTGCCAGACCCTTCCATGTGGCTGCCGCTGGCCCTCTGCACACCAACATCACCCTGCCTCTCTGAGTGGGACGCCTGAGGGCTCTCCAACAGTCCTGTGCCTCCTCGCGTGCCAAAGAAAACTGAGTGGGATGAAGAAGGCAGGGATGAAGAGGAAGCGAGCAACTCTCCAACAAGGAATCGACTGTTTCGATGAAGGAGGACTTGGAGAAAGGCAGGGGACAGAAGATGGCAGGTCGGGGAGGAACAGAGGCTGGGTGAGGACCATGCTGGGGAGGTTCCCGGAGAAGGTGGGAGGGAGAGACCCGGGGAGACGAGGGGAAGGAGAGTGGGGCTGAACAGAACACAGGACAGGAAGACTTGCACAGGAGGAGAGAGGCACGAGCAGGCAGGAGGCCTGGCCTGGGAGGACAGAGGTGAGGAGGCGGAGTGGGCGAGTGGACGAGGGGTGGCCTCACCTTGCTGGGGAGGATGCTGATGGTGCTCCCGCTGCTGCTGCACCGCAGAGAAGCGATGCCCCCCACCCCAGGGACCAGCTCCGCCAGGCTCCTGCAGCTACAGTGTGCTTTGGCCTCTCTGCAGGGAGGAAGAGGGACCTCAGTGCCCGCCAGAGGCCCAGTTCCCAATTCTCCGCCCACCCTGAAACCTCTGTTCACCGGATGAGTGCTGCACAGCTCTTAGGCTGCTTCTCACCCTGGGTGGCGCGTGTGCACCATGAGGTGGGGCAAACGCAAAACACAGGGTGAGTTCTTCCACCTCAGGTACTCTTACGAACAAGGACGAATATGAGTGCTTCGTCCCCTTCCTCTTGTTCAAGTAGCTTATTAAAAATGCTGTTCTAGGCCAGGCGTGGTGGCTCACACCTGTAATCCCAGCACTTTGGGAGGGTGAGGCAGGCAGATTATTTGAGGGTTGAAGCCAGGAGGCGGAGGTTGCAGTGAACCGAGATCATGCCACTGCACTCCAGCCTGGGCGACAGAGTGAGACTCCATCTCAAAAACAAAAAACGAAAAAAAACAAAACAACGCTGCTGTACGCCGTTCTATACCTGGAGTTTGTGCCTTATGCTCTGTTTCCGCGATTTTTCGTAGCACGTGGGGACTGCTTCATCGCCCGCTGTGACAGCTGCACAGTTTCCCGTCATAGGGACACACTGAGCTATTTAACTCGTCCCCTGCCAGTGACATTTAGCTGTTTCTAGTTTGTTGCTGACATAATCAATACAAAGTATGTAGTGGTAGCTTGTTTTTTTTTTTTTTTTTTTGAGACGGAGTCTCGCCCTGTTGCCCAGGCTGGAGTGCAGTGGCGCCATCTCGGCTCACTGCAAGCTCCGCCTCCCGGGTTCACGCCATTCTCCTGCCTCAGCCTCCCGAGTAGCTGGGCCTACAGGCGCCCGCCACCGCGCCCGGCTAATTTATTTTTGTATTTTTAGTAGAGACGGGGTTTCACCGTGTTAGCCAAGATGGTCTCGATCTCCTTGACCTCGTGATCCGCCCGCCTCAGCCTCCCAAAGTGTTGGGATTACAGGCGTGAGCCACCGCGCTCGGCCGTGGAATTCTTTTCTATGGGACACCTGTCTCTTCTCCTCTATTTATTGACTTACTCATATCATTCGGACTCACACTAGTCATTTTTTTACTTTGGTATATAATTCAAGCTTCTTTCCTTCCTCCCTCCCTCCCTCTTCCCTTCCCTCCCCTCCCTTCCCTTCTCTCCTTCCTTCTTTCCCTCCTCCCTCCCTCCCTTCTTTCCCTTTTTTCTTTCTTTCTTTCTCTCTTTTTGTCTTTTCCCTCCACTCCCCTCCTCTCCCTCCCCTCCCCTTCCTTTTCTCTCTCCCTCTCTCTCTCTGAGACAGGATCTCTCACTCTGTCGCCCAGGCTGTAGTGCAGTGGTGTGATCTTGGCTCACTGCAGCCTTGACCTCCTGGGCTCAAGTGATCCTCCTGCCTCAGCCACCTGAGTAACTGGTACTATAGATGCAAGTCACCATGCCTGGCTAATTTTTTTTTTTTAAGAAATTGGGTTTCACCATGCTGCCCAGGCTGGTCTTGAACTCCTGGGCCTAAGCAATCCACCTCTCTTGGCCTCCCAATGTGCTGGGACTTGCAGGATGAAATGGGCCACCCAGAAAAAAAAAAAATAATAAATAAATAAAATGCTGGGACTACAGGCATGAGCCACCGCATCTGGCCTGCTTTATTTATTTTGTTGCTCCAATTATTCCAGCTTTGGCTATTAGGACCTCTTTTGGTGGGGTCTGTGTCTCTGTGACCCCCACCCTGCCATCTTTATGAGGTTTTTTGGTTTGCTTTGTTTTTAGCACTTCCTCACTTTCGGGCAGCACAGATGCTGCCAGCTCATTTGTACATTTCCTGTCCTGGTCCTAGAGTCAGCATCTCTCCAAGGATCCATAGCTCCTTTATTGGAGGATGGTGGTAGAAACCAAGGTCTGGGCACCAGGTGTGCCTGCTGGGACAGGGTTGTTGCTTCTAGGCCCTCTCAGCTGACAGAGTGAGGAAATATGTGTGTACCAACGGGTACATTGATACAGACCTACGATTCTGTGTATGGAGTCATCCCTACCTACATGAAGCCAGGGATTTGTTCATGCTGACACCTCTACCTCTGATCCACTCTCCCAGGGCCTATTCTAGTCCCTCCACTTGCTAATCTGTAACTCCCACTCCCACTCCCACCACGCGATGCCAGGCTCCTGCCATCTACCCTCCATTTGCTCAGCTGTCCAATTCCAGTGCACACGCATCACAGGATCAGCGTTGCTCATCCCAACCCCTGTGGGGAGCAGAATTCTCCACTAGAGAGCCGAGCTCCTGTGCAGTTCCTTCGGCCTAAGTGCTCGCCAGGGCCTCCCCTCACTCCCAGAGCCACTTAGGTCAGCACTTTCCCCCCACACCCTTTAGTGAAGCTGTTTCATACATTTGGTAACACAGTGAGACTGTTTTGTTACCTTCTGTGTTCCGTCCTGGGGTCCTCTAACATTCTAAGTGATTTTTTTGAGACAGGGTCTCACTCTGTGGCCCAGGCTGGAGTGCAGTGGCACAACCACAGCTCACCGCAACCTCGATCTCCGAGGCTCAAGCAATCCTCCCACCTCAGCCTCCCAAGCAGGTGGGACTACAGGTACGTGCCACCATGCCCAGCTAATTTTTAAAAGTTTTTGTAGAGACAGGGTTTTGCTATGTTGCCCAGGTTGGTCTCAAACTCCTGGGCTCAAGCAGTCTTCTCGCCTTGGCCTCCCAAAGTGCTGGAAATACAGGTGTGAGCTACCCTGCCCAGCCTGAATGATTTTTTAAACATTTGTATACATTAAGGTTCACACTTTGCACCATAAAGCGCTATGATTTCCAACAAATGTACAATGTCATGCACTCATCATATAGAAGCTTCCCCACCCTCACCACTCCCTGTGCTTCAACTATTCAAGCCTCCTCTCCCCGACACGGCTCCACCACCAGGCAAAGGCCAGGAACTGAGCCCCAACATGAGGCATTCGAGAGCACAAGTGGCATGTCGGTGTTAAAATGGGCACCTAAGGAGTCTTCTGGCTTCTAACTCACTTTCTACCCATCACACTGTCTCCTGACTGACTAAAAAAATGTTCACACTTCTATTTGGAAAAAAAATTTACCTTCGGGAAAGATCAAAGCTTTTAAAGTGAGCCAAGTCTGTCCCTACAACCAGGAAATTCCCACAGATGTCCAAGAAGCAGGGATTCCCCTCAGTCTCCGAGAAAAGGAGGAGTTGTTTGACAGTCCCCTGAGGAAAAGGAACAAGAAATGGATATATTTCATGTTAGTTACTGAACATTGTTCACAGATAACCTTGTACACACAAGAAATGGATATATTTCATGTGAGTTACTGAACATTGTTCACAGATAACCTTGTACACTCCACTCATTCACTCGCTCAGTGTTTACTGACGGCTCAGAGTGTGCCCAGCACTCTGCTGGACTCTAGTGCTGCGGGGGAAGGACGGGGCCCTGTCCTCAGGAGAGCTCTGGTGCCTCCAGTCTAGAGGGGAAAACAGACAGCAGTGCGGTCGACAAACAAATACATATGTAATCTCAGCTGAGTAAGTGCCATGTAGGTAAAGAATGGGATCTCAGGAAAGTGCCAGGCACGGAGAGAGGGCGAATTCCATCCACTGGGGAGCTCTGGGGGGCCCTGTCTGTGGAGGCCCTGTCATGTGAAAGCCGCAGGAATACTTGTTACGTTGTGTCACGTGAATGGTTACCCTGGGTGAGGCGGTGGGGGAGAGGAAGGATGCTAGTTACATGCTGGCAATGTCCCACCCGCGAAAAGCCCCTGCACCGTACGCTTAGGCACGACGCACCCACTCTTTCTAAGTGTGTGGGTATTTCAGTAAAATGTTTAAGAAGTCAGCCAGGTGGGCAGAGGCCACAGGGGCGTTCCTGCAGGCTGAGGGGAAGAGTGAGATTTCCTTCTAAGTGAAACTGGAAGACTGCAGGGTTTTGAGCTGGGAAGTGATTTCGCATCATTTATATTTTCAAAGCATCACCTTGGCCTTTCCAGCATGTTAGAAAGCACGTCCCACAGTCGGCACGTTAGAAAGCATGCCCCACAGGCCGGGCGCGGTGGCTCACGCCTGTAATCCCAGCACTTTGGGAGGCCAAGGCGCGTGGATCATGAGGTCAGGAGATCGAGACCATCCAGGCTAACACGGTGAAACCCCGTCTCTACTAAAAATACAAAAAATTAGCCGGGTGTGGCGGTGGGTGCCTGTAGTCCCAGCTACTCGGGAGGCTGAGGCAGGAGAATGGTGTGGACCCGGGAGGTGGAGCTTGCAGTGAGCCGAGAACATGCCACTGCACTCCAGCCTGGGCGACAGAGCAAGACTCCATCTCAAAGAAACAACAACAAAAAAGAAAGCATATACCCCACAGTCACCCCACAGTTGCGCTGGAGCAGACCTCATGCTTTGTGGTGTGTCTTTTAGGGACTAACCTTAATCCTCTGAGTTTCAAAGCGAAGCTCTTGGCTCAATTCAACCAATGCCCAGTGAATGCCTACACCCTGCCCAGCAGTGGGTTGGGGGAGGAGCATCACAAGTGAGTGGCACATCCCCAGGGCACTCCACGTGGGGGCAGCGAGTCAGATGCGAACGGCTGAATGCATCCTGGGGCCAAGACAGGCAGCAGGGAAGGCACAGATCTAGTGCATGGGAGCTGCACAGAATCTGAGTGGCAAGGCAGGCTGGAAGGTGGGCAGAGCTCCAGGAGAACTTAGTGGGCACGGAAATCTAAACACAGACTCCAAAAGCCAGCAAAGGGGCAGGAGCCTGCACAGTGTGTTTAGGAAACTGAGGGTGAGGGACGGATGGCTGGAGTCAGGGTGGGAGTATTCCAAGCTGAGGAAGCTCACTTCATTTTGATGTATCCAGTGGGAGCCTAATAAATGCTTATGGAATGAGCAAGTGGCTGCTTGAACACAGGATAAAAAGAGCAGGGGGAGCGGACTAGCTGATGGGGCCAGGGCTGACACTATTAATGATGACAGAGAGCACTGGAGGCTCCTCGGTGAGCTCACTCCCTGCCCTGCCCCTTACCTGCTGGGTCCCGGGTTCAGATCTGAGCTCAACTCTTTTACATTCTTTAACATCTCTATGTCAATACATTCCCAACTCCCAAAGTACTGTCTTCAGGGCACTGACCCAGCTCCTGACCTCCAGAGCTTGTATTTCCAACTGTCTCTTAGACACCCCTAAGGGCTCTCCAAGGCACCACGAACTCGAACTTGCATCCTGCCCTGCCCCCTATGCCAGCTCTGCCTCTGGAGTTCCTGTCTTAAAGGTGCCACGACAAACCCAACCTCTCAGGCTAGAAAACTCAGAACATCCTCAGTTCTATACTCTCTGTAGCCACCCATCATGCAACTAGTCACCCCCCTTATAAGAGCCACAGTGCCCCTCCACTCCAGCTCTGCTGGTGGCTGCTGCCTGGGGCCAGGCTGAGCTGCTCTCCTGCGGCGTCTCCCACAACTTCACTCTTCTCCACCCTTAAGCTTGGCTCCCCACTACGCTGGCACAGAAGTTACTTTCTAGGGAGAAAATAACACAAAGCCAAGAAAATAAGTCAAAATTGGGGAAAGGAAAGAACTGTTATCAGAGGAAGGTAAGTCCTTTTCAGGGATCAGGCCCCCAGAGACCTTAAATGAGGCAGCAGCCACGCCCTGCTCTCCCTTGAGCTGTGTTCTTCTCTGGAAACTGCCTGCTGCCGCCACAGGTAGCTGAGAACTAACCTGATAAGCTGCCGCAGACCATACCTGCACCAATGCTCAGCCCATTGCTAATCAATGGCATTTCCATCAACCAAAGAGGATTCCTGACCAACAACCTGACATTAGCCTGTGCCCGGTCCCTCTTTTCGGCCTTAAAAACCTGCCTGTAACAAACGTAAAATGGAGCCCAGGCCCAGTGTTCCTCGGGGCTGAGTTTTCTGGGCAGCTGCCTTTATCCTGGCTCAGGTAGACTACTCACTTAATTACTTATTTATTTTTGAGACAGTGTCTCACTCTGTTGCCCAGGCTGGAGTGTAGTTGTACAACCACAGCTCACTACAACCTCAACCTCCCTAGGCTCAGGTAATTGTCCCACCTAAGCCTCCCAAGTAGCTGGGACCATAGGTTTGCCACCATGCCTGGCTAATATTTTTGTATTTTTTTGCAGAGACGAGGTCTCACTATGTTGCCCAGGCTGGTCTGGAACTCCTGGGCTAAAGCAATCCTCCCACCTGGGCCTCCCAAAGTGCTGGGATTACCGTCATGAGCCACCATGCCCAGCCAAGTAGACTGTTTAAATCACATTTTGTGCTTCAGTCTCTTTTTGGTCAACAAAATGTACCCTGTCACTCCTAGCTTCAACCCCAACTGCCCTCAGGGTGACCAGCCCTCCTGCCTCCCTTCCCACCTCCCACCACCAACTGGTCCCATATCCCACCCCCTTCCATGGCACTTGACCTTTGCATGGGAGGCCCCTCCCTCAGGTTCTCCATGGGGCAGATGTGACTCCCTGAAACATACGCAGGGCTGGGGCCCCAAAGTTCTGGCCTAGGAAGCTGTCCTTTTAAGGACTGGAAGCTCCTAAGTGTCTGTAGTCACTGCGTCCCTGACACAAACACTAACAGCAGCCATGCATCTGCATCCTGAGGAGGGATAGTGACCTGGAAGGACATGCTGGGTGTCCAAGAAGGGTCATGAGGGATCACTAACCCACCCTTACTCACGCCAGAGCCACCTTACTAGTTACAACTGACATGTATTCCTTTTGTAACTTAATAAATTAGTGGCCAGGCATGGTGGCTCACACCTCTAATCCCAACACTTTGGGAGGCTGAGGCAGGAGGGTCACTTCAGCTTGGTTCAAGACCAGCCTGGGCAACATAGTGAGACCCCATGTCTACAAAAATATAATAATAATAATAACAAAATTAGCCAGGCATGGTGATTGGCACCTGTGGTCCCAGCTACTTGGGAGGCTGAGGCAGGAGGATGAATTGACCCCAGGAGTTTGAGGCTGCAGTGAGCTATGATGGCACCACTGCACTCTAGCCTGGGCGACAGGATGAGATCTTATCTGTAAAAAAATAAATAAAAATGAAAATAAAAAAGTAGCCAGGCATGGTGGTGCATACCTATGGTCCCACGCTCAGGAGGCTGAGGTGGGAGGATCGCTTGAGCCCAGGAGGTCAAGACTGCAGTGAGCTATGATTGCCACTGCAGTGCAGCCTGGGCAACAAAGTGAGACCCTGTTTCTGAAAATAAAATAAAATAAAAAATTAACAGAGGAATAAAAGGACCCAACTCCATGGCAACTGTTGTTAGGTATCTTCCCAAGCTCTACAAGTAGGACTTCTCAGTGGGCCCACTGTTATTTCCCATCATGCCACTAGTGTTCTCCCAGCAGGCCATTCACCCTTTCCCATCATGCCACTGGCCTCTCCCAGCAGGCCATTCACCCTTTCCCATCACACCACTGACCCTCTCCTAGCAGGCCATTCACTCTTTCCCATCATGCCACTGGCCCTCTCCCAGAAGCCCATTCACCCTTTCCCATCATGCCACTGGCCCTCTCCCTGCAGGCCACTGGTGCCTGCACAGCCCCACCTCTGGAGGTCTTTTCTTGGCAAACACAGGTCTTGAACAACACAGGTCTGATTTTCAAGGGCCCACTTACATGAACTTCTTTTTTCAATAAAGATATTTAAAGGCCAGGCGCAGTGGCTCACACCTGTAATCCCAGCACTTTGGGAGACTGAGGCGGGTGGATCACCTGAGGTCAGAAGTTTGAGACCAGTCTGACCAATATGGTGAAACCCCATCTCTACTAAAAATACAAAAACTAGCCAGGTGTGGTGGCACATGCCTGTAATCCCAGCTACTCGGGAGGCTGAGAAAGGAGAACTGCTTGAACCTGGGAGGTGGAGGTTGCAGTGAGCCGAGATCATGCCACTGCACTCTAGACTGGGCAACAGAGTGAGACTCTGTCTTTAAAAAAAAAAAAAAAAAAAGTATGGCCGGGTGCAGTGGCTCATGATTGTAATCCTAGCACTTTGGGAGGCCGAGGCGGGCAGATCATGAGGTCAAGAGATCGAGACCATCCTGGCTAACACGGTGAAACCCTGTCTCTACTAAAAATACAAAAAAAATAGCTGGGCGTGGTGGTGGGCGCCTGTAGTCCCAGCTACTCGGGAGGCTGAAGCAAGAGAATGGCGTGAACCCAGGAGGCGGAGCTTGCAGTGAGCCGAGATCGCACCACTCCACTCCAGCCTGGGTGACAGAGGGAAACTTCGTCTCAAAAAAAAAAAAAACAAATTTTGACTTTTTTTTGGAGATTTGTAACAATTTGAAAAAACTCAGACAAACTATGTAGCCTAGAAAGAACAAAAAAATTAACAGGTATGTCGCGTATGCATAAAATATAGGTAGATACTAGTCTTTTATCAGCCACGTCCATAAAGTATACACAAATGTGCACATGCTTCCAGAGATGGCACTATGTGCAGCTGAGCGAAGTGTAAACCAACAGAAAGATGCGATCTGCAATCATAACTGCAGACAGGGAGCTGTGGCCCACATCGTGCTCCTGTCGGCATTTCACAGCTGCCTCCTGTTGCCACTGTGCTCAGTTTCACTCAAGTGTTTCGAAGATCCCCTTAAAATGTTGTGCAGTGCTAATCACCTCCGAGTGGGCAGCTCCTCTCTCCAGCAAAATGCACATCACATTAAAAAGTGACCTCTCACGGTTCTAGAGGATTTTTCATGCATTTCGTGCAATACTGTAAAAGGTGAATAACCCCAGGGGGACCCATGTGACATGCCACTAGTGATGCTGGAAGTGCTCCCGAGAAGCAAGGGAAAGCCGTGACATTACAAGAAAACGTGGAATTGCTTGATATGGACAGTAGATTCAGGTCTGCAGATGTGGACGCCACCTGTGGATGCCACCATTTCAGAAAGATGATTCATCCTATAGACTTAGGGTATCGATAAACACAGTACAGTACTATGAATGTATTTCTCTTCCTCATGATTTCTTAGTAGCATTTTCTTTCCTCTAGCTTACTTTACTGTAAGAATGCACTATGTAATACATAGAACATATGAAATATGTGTTAATCGACTGTTCATGTTGTTGGTGAGGCTTCCAGTCAATGGTAGGCTGCGAGTACTGCAATTCTGGCAGAGTCAACAGTTATATGGGGATTTTCAACTGCTCAGGTGGTTGGCGCCCCTACCCCTGCATTGTTCAAGGGTCGTCTAAGCAGCTGCCCCTCATCTGTCCTTAAGAACACAGCCTGGCCGGGCCGGCACTTTGGGAGGCTGAGGCAGGTGGATCACCTGAGGTCAGGAGTTCGAGACTAGGCTGGCCAACATGGTGAAATCCCGTCTCTACCAAAAATACAAAAAATTAGCCGGGCGTGGTGGCGGGCACCTGTAATCCCAGCTACTAGGGAGGCTGAGGCAGGAGAATTGCTCGAGTCCCAGAGGCGGAGGTTGCAGTGAGCTGAGATTGTGCCACTGCACTCCAGCCTGGGTAAAAAAAGCAGAACCCCAACTTAAAAAAAAAAGCCTTGCTGTACCTCCCTTTATGTCCACAACAGATGCCCACATGCAATGGGAGGAGTCAGAGAGGCATAGGTAAAAAGACGGAGGGGTGGGCAGGGATGGCAGCAACAAGTGTGCTTGCTCTGGGCTTGGGATGCCCAGAAGGCTCTCAACTACTCCCTTCCAGCTTTACTGCCTCCCCTCGCACCCAACAGGCTGCAGGAAAACATGTGGTCGCGGCAGCTCCCTCTGCCCGTACTTCTCTCCCAGCTGGCACTGCAGCCATGCGGCTCCTCCCCATGTCTTCCCTCCACCTGATTCAGACAGAAGTCCTACACAGAGGGGCCCACCCGCTTCCGTCTTCTCCTTGGCACTTATCGCTGACTTGTCTCCCGTCTGGATGCCAACGAGAATTGACAATCCATGATGGGAGCACACAAGCACCATGTAAGGTACAAGGACAGGAATGTGGCCGCCCCAGGCAATCAGACGCTGGGTCCCAAGAAGGAACTTGGAGATGGATAAAAATCACAACGATAGCTAAAATCAGGCTCGTGACAAAAGCTCTCAACCTGGTCACAGAACCTTGCTGCACACAGTGGGCTGAATGGTGCCCCTCCCAAAGATATGTCCACTCAGACCTGTAGTCCCAGATGCTTGCAGGGCTAAGGCAGGACAATCACTGGAGCCAGGAGTTCAAGTCCAGCCTGGGTGACATAGTGAGATCCTGTCCCTTAAAAAAAAAAAAAAAAGACATGGCCGGGCGTGGTGGCTCACGCCTGTAATCCCAGCACTTTGGGAGGCAAAGGTGGGTGGATCACGAGGTCAGGAGTTCAAGACCAGCCTAGCCAATGTGGTGAAACCCCGTCTCTACTAAAAAGAAATACAAACATTAGCTGGGCTCCGTTGCCCAGGCTGGAGGACAGTGGTGCAATCATAGCTTACCGAAGCCTTGACTGCCCAGGCTCAAGCCACCCTCCTGCCTCAGTCTCCTGAGTAGCTGGCACTATAGGCGTGCGCCACCACACTCAGCCAATTTTTTTTTGTTCTTTAACAGATGGGTCTCAATATGCGGCCCAGGCTGGTTTCAAACCGCTGGGTTCAAGTGGTCCTCCCACCTCGCCCTCCCCAAAGTGCTCAGATTACAGATGTGAGTTACAGCGCTCGGCCTTTATATAACTTTTGACTTCCCCAAAACGTTAACTAGTAACAGCCTATTGTTGACAACAAGACTTACCAATAACGTAAGCAGTTGATTGACACATATGTATATGTTGTATGTATCATATACTGTTTTTCTCACAATAAAGTCACCCAGAAAAGGAAAATGTTATTAAGAAAATCGTAAGGAAGGGAAAATATGTTTACTATTTGTGAGGTGGAAGTGGGTCATTATCGAGCTCTTCATCCTCATCATCTTCACACTGAACAGGCAGAGGAGGTTGCTGATCTTGGTGTCTCGGGGTGGCAGAACCAGAAGAAATGTGCATCTAAGTGGCCCCTGCAGTTCAGACCTTGTGGTTCAAGGTCAAGTGCACAAGCCAAGGAACAGCAAAGCCTGCCAGCGCCACCTCATGCTGGAAGAGGCAAGGTGGAAGAGCTGGAGGCTCACCCTCAGAGCCTCCAGAAGGCACCAGCCTGGACAGCACCTGGATTGCAGACTTCTGGCTTCCAGAACTGTGAGAGAAAAAATGTCTGTGTCGGAAGCCCCTCGGTTTGTGGTAATTTGTTAGGGCAGCCACAGGAAATCAACACACTGTGTCTGCCCCCAGGTTCCAGCCAGTGTGTGTGGGATGCAGACGGGGCAGTGGATGCCTGACTTTACTCAGAAGGGAACCTCCTGGCCAGGCGTGGTGGCTCACGCCTGTAATCCCAGCACTTTGGGAGGCCAAGGTAGGCAGATCACGAGGTCAGGAGTTCGAGATCAGCCTGGCCAACATGGTGAAACCCTGTTTCTACCAAAAATACAAAATTAGTTGGGTGTGGTGGCGCACACCTGTAGTCCTAGCTACTCAGGAGGCTGAGGCAGGAGAATCGCTTGTACCTGGGAGGCGGAGATTGCAGCGAGCTGAGATCACGCCACTGTACTCCAGCCTGGGCGACAAAGCAAGACTCCATCTCAAAAAAAAAAAAAAAAAGAGAACCTCTTAGAGGTCGCCCTGGCCCTCCCACAAGACACATGCGGGAGACAGCCTGGCTAAGGACATTATGTCCTGAACTGGAGCCACCCAGCCAGCCGTCAGGGTGCACGTTAAGCCCAGCAAGGATTTATTTTCTTTTCATAGCCCCGTGTATTCAAAGTCCTGCAAAGTCATCCTTTTCACTGCAAAAGGTCCTTGCCTTGTCTCCCGATTTCTGAAGTGACAGCCACAGATTAAACAGCTGTCCTAGGATTCATTTTCACCATCAAGCACCTGACGCGGGAAATCCCATCTAGCGAGGTGATATGGTTTGGTTCTGTGTCCCCACCCAAATCTCACGATGAATTGTAATCTCCAATGTTGGAGGTGGGGCCTGGGGGGAGGCGACTGGATCATGGGGGTGGTTTCTCACAGTTTCCTAGTGTGTTCTGTGATAGAGATCTGACGAAATCTGGCTGTTTAGAGTGTGGCCCCTCCCGCTTCGCTCTCTCTTCCTCCTGCTCCGGCTATGTAGGATGTGCCTGCTTCCCATTCGCCTCCCACCAGGATTGTAAGTTTCCTGAGGCCTCCGCAGTCATGCTTCCTGTAAAGCCTGCAGTAATGTGAGTCAACAAAGCCTCTTTTCTTTATAAATTACCCGGTCTCAGGTAGTTCTTTACACAGTGTGAGAAAGGACTAATAACCTTAGGTGAAATCAATAAACAGGCTTTGTCTCAATTGAGAGGCAGGATTTCAAACTCTGCTCTGGTTTTCTTGCAGTGGAGCAGCAACTTACCTGCCAGGTTCGAACTTGAACTCGGTTTGACTCCACCGTGTAAACGTTTTCTTCATGCATTGCTAACACAGGCGTCTCACACAAGAAGGTCCCTAAAATGAAAGACGAACATCAGGATGGCGGCCGCTCATCCGCCAGACTTGCTGGGAGTTTCAGGAGCATTCCCACACACGATCCCTAATTAATCTCAGCCTCACCACAGCTTCATAGGGGTGCACTATCTGCACCTCGCAGATGAAGAAAATGAGGCTCTGAGGCACAGGGAACTGTCGTGGCCACGGCTAGCAGTGGCAGTGCGTGCGGGTCCTGGGCTGATGTGGAGACTCCATGCTGGGCTCTGGGCTCCCTGCCCTTCACCCCTCCCATCTGGCAGCTGGTGCTCCCAGCAGCACAGCATCTATGACAACACACCCAGTTAAGCAAATGTTTGCTCATTTTAGGTGGAACTCTGGTGGCCACAAGCCCTGGTCCCTGGACCTAACTATTAGGGTTGGTGCAAAAGCAGTTTTTGCCATCAACCACAATTACTTTTGCAGCAACATAATAGATAAGAATCTAGAGGCGGGCCTGGTGGCTCACACCTGTAATCCCAGCATTTAGGGAGGCTGAAGCAGGTGGATCACATGAGGTCAGGAGTTTGAAACCAGCCTGGCCAACATCGTGGAATGTTGTCTCTACTAAAAATACAAAAATTGGCCAGGTGTTGTGGTGCATGCCTGTAATCCCACCTACTTGGGAGGCTGAGGCATGAGAATCGCTTGAGCCCAGGAGATGGAGGCTGCAGTGAGCCGCCATCACACCACTGCACTCCAGCCTGGGTGACACAGCAAGACTGTCTCAGAAAGAATCTAGTTAGGGAGATGATAATATACACAAAACAAAAAATATCCCAGCACCTGCTGTGTTGGTTCTACTGGGGGAAATAAGAAGTTCACCCTTGCTCCTAGGGAGTCTACAGAGGAGAGGGGAGGGGAGGAGCGGGGGAGGGGAGGGGAGCGGGGGGTGGGGAGGGGAGGGGAGCGGAGGGGAGGGGAGGGGAGTGGAGGGGATGGGAGTGGAGGGGAGGGGAGGAGAGGGGATGTGAAGTGTCGGTACAATCCTGGACAGAGTGTGAAAAATGTTATGAGAGAACTTTAAGCAACAAAGTGTTAGCAGAGAAAAAAAAATGTGGGAAAGATCTGAGGGAGAGGCGGAAACTAGTGATGGATGTGCCTGAAGAGGTGGGGGCGTTCAAACACACGAGGGGGCAACCGCCCTGGGAAGAGCATGACACGCGGCCTCCTGTGTGGGCAGGCGGCTGAGGGGCAGGGTTGGTGAAGGTGATAACTGTGGAATGGGGGGAGCTGAGCTGCACATCCTGGTGGCGGGGCCACTGCAATGGGCTGGGAAAGGTTCCCTAAAGATGCCAGGTCCTGCTCCCTGGCATGTGTGAATATTACTTTATATGGCAGAAGATGGTAAGGTCTTGGGATGGGGAGATTATACTGAGTTATCCAGGTAGGCCCTAAATACACTCACGAGTGTCCCTGTAAGAGGGAGGGAGGCAGATTTCAGACCAGGGGCAATGTGACCAGAGAGACAGAGACTGGAGGTTTGTGACCACAAGCCAAAGACTGCTGGCAGCCACCAGAAGCTGAAACGGGTTCTCCCCTGGGGCTGCAGAGGAAGCGTGGCCCTGCTGACGCGATCACTTCTGTCCAGTGAAAAGTGAAACTGATTTGGGACCTCTGGCCTCCAGAACTATGGGAGAATACATTTCCCACATCTTTGTCTGAAGCCACCAAGTTTGTGGTCCTTTGCTACAGCTGCCTCAGGAAACTCCCATAGATGTGCTGAAGAGAGCAGGAAGAAAACAATGGCCAAGGCCGGGCGCGGAGGCGCACGCCTGTAATCACACCACTTTGGGAGGCCGAGGCAGGCAAATCACCTGAGGTCAGGAGTTCGAGACCAGCCTGGCCAACATGTTGAAACCCCGTCTCTACTAAAATATAAAAATTAGCCGGGTGTGGTGGCACGCACCTGTAATCCCAGCTACTGGGGAGACTGAGGCAGGACAACTGCTTGAGCCCGGGAGGCGGAGGGTGCAGTGAGGTGAGATTGCACCACTGCACTCCAGCCTGGGCAACAATGGCAAAACTAACCGCAGAGAGCTGGAGAGATCTTGGGGACCTAGAAGGGTGTTTGAGATTAACGGAGCATGTCTGAGGAGCCACCTTGAAGTTTCAGACAGAGGCTGGCCTTGGGTCAAGACACCACAGGTCTCACTGCTGTGCATGGTCTGGAAACATTTCAGAAGATGGGAGGCAGCCACCTCCTCCCTGGAAGGAACCCCACAAAAGCACGGTGGTTGTTTACGCCCACACAGCAGGCCCCAGGATGCACTGGCAGCACGGGGCCACAGCTGCAGCCCTGGCTCTGGAAGCGCAGGCAGTAGCACAAGGGTCTCCCCAGCCCCTGTGCCAGCCCTCAACTGCACCACAGTGGCCCTCTCATTAGGCAGGGAGGAAATAAAGCCAGGTAGTGGGAGTGCCTCTGTCCGGGTGAAAAGAACCCACCTGCACTCCGTATCGCGGCTCCAGAAAGCTCGAAGATCGCCACCTGCCTTCCGTTCCAGACTGCGACAGCATCCTGAAAAGAACCACGGACATTCGAGGCAAAGGGCGGGAAAAGTGAGGTGCAACTGTACACCCCACTGCACACCTCGAAAGCCTCCTCTAAACACTTCTGAACACTGCTGCTCCATCATCCTACGACTATGAGATCACTGGGTCCTCTGTGGACAGGCTGAGGCTGTTTTCCGTGTTATATAAGATATCCATGGGTTTTATTATGATTCTTTTCTGTTTTTTTTTTTCTTTTTTTTTTAGGTTTGGGGAATGGCAAAGAAAGTATCCCTCTCTTTCCTTTATTTACTTTTTAAATTTATTGTTTAACTGACATTTTTTTTAATTTATAAGGGTACATGGCAGGTGTATATATTTTTTATTATTATGTTCTTTTTTTTGAGACATGGTCTCACTCTGTCGTCCAGGCTGGAGTGCAGTGGCACGATCTCAGCTCACAGCAACCTCCACCTCCTGGGTTCAAGCGATTCTCCTGCCTCAGCCTCCCAGGTAGCTGGGATTACAGGCATACACCCCGACGCCTGGCTAATTTTTGTATTTTGGAGTTTTAGCATCTTGGCCAGGCTGGTCTCGAACTCCTGACCTCAAGTGATCTGCCCACCTCAGCCTCCCAAAGCGCTGGGATTACAGGCGTCAGCCACCGTGCCTGGCCTATATTCTTATTACGATTTTCTTTATGAATATAATGTACATGGATATCCAGGAAATAAGAGAATCTAGGATGGAACTGAGAGTGGCCTAACCTGCCATCTGGGGCCCTTGCTGCCCTGAACTACCTGGCCATGGGGCAGTTCTTCTGTCTGTGTCCCACCCACGGGTCCCCTCGGCAGTCACCTTGGTGGCAAACACTCCACTGATGTGCATGTCGGTGCGCAGGCTGTGTGCGACCCCCGTGGACAGGAAGCACACATTCAGCAGACTCGGGGAGACCTGCATGGCGGCCACTTGCTGGTGGAAGTGTGACGACATGGCCCGCTCGCTGAGGATGGCCACGGAGATGACGCTGTTCACTGCCAGCAGGTTCTTCCTGGAACCCCACTTCATTTCCAGGTTGCAAGAGAAAGAACCAGATGTGTGAACAGAGCAGGAGAAAGATGCGGTCAGGAGAATACTTACACACACGAGAACTCAGAAACCATTTCCAAGTACCATTGTTCCGGACTTAAAAAATGATCTTATAAGACATTATAAGAAAAGTCTTATAAAGGTAAAGAGTATGCTGTGTAGAAAGACTTCAAGATACTGATGCTCAAGGGTTGTGATTGGACAGGCAGCACTGGTATGTCTGTTCTGATGGGAAGAGCGTTTTCTAGAGTTTTTCTGAGTGGGACACACTTTTCTGAGTGTGACATAGGGATGTTTATGTTTTTTATAAACAGACAGGAAGTTTACATAATGGATTAAATTATCCAGCTTTCTTCTGCTGATGTGAAATGTTGGTTTCATAATTTTATATTAAACTTCTAAATCTATCTAAAAATAAATAAAGACCTATGCAAAATAGGAAAGTATAAATTCCATATAGGAAAAAACCCAGACATCAGAAACTGCTCTGAAAGGGCTCAGATGTTGGACTTAGCAAAGACTTCAAAGCAGCCACTGGAAACGTGGTGAAGGAGCTGAAGGAAACCAGCCTGGTGAAGTGAAGGAAGCTACAACGACAGTGTCTCATCAGGTAGAGAACAGGAACAGAGAGAAATCATAAGAAAGAACCAAATGCTGCAGAGAAATTAAAACATCCTCACACAAAAACGTGTACACAAGTGTTCGTAACAGCATTATTCAAATGTCCATCAACTGATGAATGGAGAAAGAAAACGTGGTCTGTTCACAGCAGAGAATGTGATTCAGCCATGAAAAGGAGCAAAGCATTGACACAGGCTACAATCTGGAGGGGCCTTGAAACCTCAGCTCAGTGGGAGCAGCCGGGCACAAAAGACCAGGTGTTGTGTGATTCCATTTCCATGAAACATCCAGAATGGGCAAATCCTTAGAGAGAGGAGGTAGATTAGTGGCTGCCAAGGGCTGGAGAGGGGAAAATAAGAGCGACCACTAAAAGGTACAGATTTTTTGTGGCGCTGAAACTGTTCTAGAATTCACTGCAGTGATGTTTGTAAAATTGTGAATATACCAAAAACCACTTTGTATATATCATGAGTTATATCTCAGTAAAGCTCTTTTTCATACAGATAGAGAGAGATGGAGAGGGAGGGATGGGTTCGTGGGTAGATACATATTATAACTAATACAGGTCCACAATCTCTTATCTGCAATTCTGAAATCCAAAAGGTCTTTTAAAATGTCTTATTATTGTTATTTTCACATAGTCTTAAGTTGAATAACTGATAAAAATAGGTTCAGAGTCATTTATGGCCTCCACTTTCTTTTTTTTTTTTTTTTTTTTTTGAGACGGAGTCTCACTCTGTCTCCCAGGCTGGAGTGCAGTGGCACAATCTCGGCTCACTGCAAGCTCCAGCTCCTGGGTTCACGACATTCTCCTGCCGCAGCCTCCTGAGTAGCTGAGGCTACAGGCGCCCGCCACCACGCCCGGCTAATTTTTTGTATTTTTTAGTAGAGACAGGGTTTCACCGTGTTAGCCAGGATGGTCTCGATCTCCTGACCTCATGATCCACCCGCCTTGGCCTCCCAAAGTGCTGGGATTACAGGCGTGAGCCACCGCGCCCGGCCATGGTCTCCACTTTCATGCAGCAGAAAATGAGTGCACCGAACACCCTTGGAGGCTGTACCTGGATTTGCGTGATGTTTCCTTGGAGCTCGGTAGGGGTCTGAAGGGCCCACCTGTCCTTGCCCTCTGCCCCGGGGCTGCCCAGGAAGTCTGGTACTTTCCTCCACATGGCTACTCGCCCTCTGTCGGTACCAGCGGCCAGAAGACCTACAGGTAGAAACAAACTGCATGTGAACAGAGTTAAAAAAAGGGAACAAAACAGCAACAAGCTCTGTTCTCTAACCCCCTTCTTCAAAGCATCAGCCCTCGCCCAGTCTGGTGCCTCTCCACCTCATCCCTGGCTGCATCTTTCTGCCCAGGTCCTTGCTGCCCTGACCTCACAGTGCCAGTGCGGGGGTGGTGGGGGATGCTGCTCTCCCAGCTTTCCTAGAGGCCAGTTGGCCTGGCTCGGGGCTGCCCCATGCTCAGCACTCAGCAGGCACTAGAGACGCGGCTCTGGCTCACCTCCTAGTCTCCTGTGCTCTGGATGTGCATATGCACACATACACACACATGCATGCACACACACACACACACACACACTTCCTGCACTGTCCTTCCCGTGGCATTTCAGGAGGGAACAGAGATCAATGAGCAGGAATCGGTTTGCTTCTTGTTAGATGGGGTCACGCTCTGTCACACAGACTGGAGTGCACTGGCACCATCTTAGGTCACTGCAGCCTCAACCTCCCAGGCTCAAGCAATCCTCCCACCTCAGCCTCCTGAGTAGATGGGACCACCGCTGTACACCATCACACCTGGCTAATTTTTGTATTTTTTGTGGAGACGGGGTCTCACTATGTAGCTCAGGCTGGTCTTGAACTCCTGGGCTCAAGTGATCCTCCCTCCTCAGCCTCCCCAAGTACTGGGATGCAGGTTGTCATGCTTCTAACCAAACCCCCTGGCCTTCATGTGGGATCACAAAGCTCTGCCGTTGCTTGCTTGCCCTTGCCCGACTATTTGAATGGCTGTGAGTTACCAAGTTACCATTGTGTGAGTAGCCTCCACGTTTCACTACCATTATTTTGCAGCCGGCGCACAATGCTTGTGGTTGGTTCTGTTTCTCTTGTGCCAGGCCAGGAAGCCTCACCTTTGACTTTACAGTAACACACACAGTTCATATTCTCTCCTTTCTCAAAGCCAAACTTCTCATCTGGACTCAGTATATAATTCTCTCCTCGTTCTATGTCCCAGAATCTACAACAGAAGAAAGCAAGCCCCATGGAGGGCCTGTGTTAGTGGCGTTTCCCTCTGAGGGGTTTTTGAACCTGTGGAGCAAACATTAAAAGTCAGGAAAAAGACATAGTTCATCAGACTCCTGATATGAAAACGAACACTGCTGTTACATTTGGGACATTTTATGTCCTGTTTCTAATGAAAGAAAGCCGTTGCCGATAGATGGTGGTTTGTATATGGCAGGAGGTCGCCAAGAGAACACAGGAATTGCAGCCCCACACAGAGCACGAGATGGCCCCGGACAGCACACTGAGCTAACGCAGCAGGCAGCAGAGACCACAACGACTGATTCTAGTTATGCCACACTCCGAAAAACCAGGCAAAGAGATTCCACGGGCAAACACCAAGGCAGGGCCACCTGGGGGTAAGGGGAGCCCCGAGGGAGTGCAGTGGGGCGGGCAGGGACTCTTGGGGTCTCTTAATGCTCAGCTCCTCAGTCTGGGAGCTGGTGAATGGGTACGTCCAGTATGAGAGCACTCAGCATCATATGTGCATTTTACATATGCTCCATTCCAACACAAAGCTGACTTAGAGGAGCCTGTTCCTCAGGGAACTCTCATCAAGGGGCACTGGAAAGGCAGACTCTCACCTGAGGGCAGCCTCCCCGACGGCCATCACGAGAAGGCTGCCTTCAATCAAAGCGATGTCTGCCCGGCGGCCGGTTTTCCCGCTCAGCTTGACCTGTGTGAGGAAACAACCGAGCAGAGGCACCGTGCTTGCTGAGACGGCCTGTCCCGGCTTCAGGAGCCTGGAGTCTCTGGTCCTCAGTGACTTCATGGAGACTCACCAAGTGGGGGAAACATGGGGACAAATGATAGAAACTCTGTGAGGTGGCTTTGGGTTTTGAGATGTAGGGGCCGAAGCAAACCACTACTCTTGTACATTAAATAATGGCTACTGGGCCGGCCGCAGTGGCTCATGCCTGTAATCCCAGCACTTTGGGAGGCCGAGGCAGGCGGATCATGAGGTCAGGAGATCAAGACCATCCTGGCTAACACAGTGAAACCCCATCTCTACTAAAAATACAAAAAATTAGCCGGGCATTGTGGCAGGCGCCTGTAGTCTCAGCTACTTGGGAGGCTGAGACAGGAGAATGGCGTGAACACGGGAGGCGGAGATTGCAGTCAGCTGAGATTGGGCCACTGCACTCCAGCCTGGGTGACAGAGCAAGACTCCGTCTCAAAAATAATAATAATAATAATAATAGTAATAATGGCTACTGAGCACAGGGTGTGGGCAGGTGGCCATCGGTGGACATGCTCTGGAGTGATCACTAAGTTGAGCTGGTGCTCCCTGTTCATCCAACCACACGCTCTGGGCAGGCCTATCATCCCTGTTTTGTAGAGAACAAACCTGGCCAGGGCCCACCGGCCAGTGAGGAACTGAGCAGGGTATTTAAAGCAAGGTCTGTGGACTGAACTGCATACCCCAAACTCATATGTGGGAGCCCTAACCCCCAGTGCAACTGTACTTGCCTTCAGGAGGTACTTAAGGTTAATGAGATCCTGGGGTGGATGAGCCCTGGCCTGGCAGGGCTGTGGCCGTGGAAGGAGACACCAGAGCTGGTGCTCCCTCTCCCTCCCTGCCCTGTGGGGACACCGGGAAGAGGCCCCTGCAGGCTGCTTAATGTGGGATATCAGCCTCTAGAACTGTGACAAATGTCTGCTGTCACGTCACGCAGTCCGTGGTAGGTTGTTACGGTGGCCCAAGCTGGCCCCTGGGACGAGGTCCCTGTGACTAGTGCCCATGTCCTCAGCCGCCCTTACAGGGCATGTAAAGGCCCGAATGAACACTGACTGAGAAAAAATCAGCTCTGTCATCTGCAAGAGCATCTTTAGGGAAAGTTCAGTGGCCTCCAAGGAGCAGGGATTCCTGTGGAACAAACCAGCTGGAAGACGGGGATACGGTCGCCTGCCCGCTGAGTTCTGCAGGTGGAATGAGAGGCTGTGCAGCGAGTGTGACTCTCTTACTTGCACCCCAGGTCATGAGGGGTGCAGCTTGGGGGTGGGCCCAGGCTGTCTCCCATCAGGCCTCACATCCACCCAAAGATGCAGGAGAATCTCCATCTCTTTTGTTTCCTTCACCTATGAATTGAATGTGGTATGATAAATAATGACACCGCTAGCTACGTTAGCCGCCCTAACTCAGTTGATAGGCTTTTTTTCAGTCTTGCTATCCAGAAGAGAAAGGGCCGTCAACGAGGCCAGAGAGAACCTGGCCCAAGATCCCCAGCGTGAGCCCCCAAGCCCACTCCCACTCACCTTCATCACTTCTTCTGCTTTGCCCTCAGGAGGCACCGTGTACAGGGACAGCCGGAGGTTCTCTGTGACCACCACCAGTGCCTCCCTCTTCTCCATGTAGAACAGCATCTGAATCGTGCTGTCTGCGGACACCACCTGAGTGGTCTTGCCCTTCTCATCCACATAGTGCACTGTCCCTGGGGACAAACGTGGGGTCACTACATGAGGAGGCCCTGGTTTATCTGCTTCCATGACCCTCACCAGCAGCCATTTCTATCAACTTAAGGACATTTTCAAAGCAAAGCATCTTCAGTATAAGAACTTAAAAATGGGCCGGGCAAAGTGGCTCATGCCTGTAATCCCAGCACTTTGGGAGGCCGAGGCTGGTAGATCACCTGGGGTCAGGATTTCAAGACCAGCCTGGCCAACGTAGTGAAATCCTGTCTATACTAAAAATACAAAAACTAGCCAGGCGGGCGTGGTGGTATGTGCCTGTAATCCCATCTACTTGGGAGACCTAGGCATGGGAATCACTTGAACCCCGGAGGTGGAGGTTGCAGTGAGCCAAGATTACGCCATTGCACTCCAGCCTAGGCGACAGAGCAAGACTCTGTCTCAAAAAAAAAAAAAAAAAAAAAATTAAAAATGAAGCATGTGACCTGACCTTACAGGCTGCAACCTCCACTTCATGGGTTCAGCTCAGCCTCAAGCTGTCTCTATGGATTCCTCCTCTGCCCCTGTCTTGGAGGGTTTCACATCCACACTGCTGACCCTGCAGATCTGGCAGCCTCGGAGCTCTGAGTCCACCTCATACCCTCCACACGCTGAGGCCCTAAATGACAAGCCCTCTCTGTGGCCACTACTCCCTGTCCTTTCTGCCCTGGGTGTCGCTGCTGTGCCGCCTGCCTCCTGCCAGGCTCTCTCTGGACCTCCCTCTCTCAACCTCCACAAGCTGCTCCTGGCCTAAGCTACAGGACTTAACTGTACCCAGCCTGGAATCCCCCTCTTCCTGCCCTGCCTGAGCCTGCTCCGGTGCTGGCCAGCCACTCTGTCTGCAGGCCCTGTGTGAGCTTGGGGACTCAGGCTCATTTTTGCTGCTCTGTGGAGACTCC
The DNA here is from genome assembly GCF_000001405.40 of Homo sapiens. NCBI lineage: Eukaryota > Metazoa > Chordata > Mammalia > Primates > Hominidae > Homo > Homo sapiens. The sequence goes on from NC_000016.10 coordinate 1,590,696, forward strand.
TCTGGGAGCCTTCTCACCTGCCCCTCCCCTCTCATCTTTTTCCCGATGGATAATGAGTTCTTATTTTTATTATTAATTCTTTTTTCAAGAGACAGGTTCTCACTGTGTCAGCTAGGCTGGAGTAGAGTGACATGATCATAGCCCACTGCAGCCTCAGCCTCCTGGGTTCAAGTGATCCTCCCAACCAGGCCTCCCAGGTGACTGAGGCCACAGGCACCACCACACCCAGCACAAACTCTTACCCAGCTGAAGAGTTCAGGATCACCTAGAGGTGAATTGTGACACCAACTAGTATTTAATAAGTGCACAGTACGTGGCAGGCTCAGTTCTAAGCATCTTTACGATAACTGGGTAGACACCAGTATTACCCCCTTTTCCACATAAGGACGTGAGGCACAGCGATGAACTCACCCACAAAGCCTACAGCTCCCGGACAACCGGCAGGAATTCGCAGCCCACACGCCACCAGAGCCAGGCTCCTCCCTGGCACGCACCCCCTCCTCTAGGTGACCAGCGCTTCTTCCTTGTGGGCCTCATCTCTCCACCCCCTTCTCATTAGCCTTCCTGGGGGGCCCCATCCTGGCACGCCCCCTCCTTGCCATCTCACAGTGCTGTGCCCACTCGGATGTCCCCACTGGGATCTTCTCAATGTCCCCCCTCCATTAGCTCTATGTCTTCACCTTCTAAAATGAAAGATTTCCCTTATTTAAAAATTACAAAAACCACACAGCCCCGTCTGCTCTCATCTGCTCTCTTCTTCCTGTCAAGATCCGGCTGCTTGGTGAAACCGATAGCAAAAGCCTCCTTTCTCCCGAGACCCGGCCACCTCTGTGTGGCTCTCATCTCCTCAGCCACGCCAGCAACCCACACACCTGGGCTAGTGTCACATGGCTGTAAGAGATGCGCTTTTTCTTTTAACTTCATATTGCATTTATTCTGGCCTTGGCTGCGCAGCCTGTCCCCCTCGTACAGTGAGGAAGAACGGGCTGAACACCAGCCACACGGTGTCCAGCGCTGACCTCCCCATGAAGGCTGGCCGGGGGCCTCAGGCTGGAGTGAAACCCCCTGCCCTGCTCACACCTCATTCCCACACCCTAGCCAAGTACCTGGCATACAATAGGTGCTTGATAATTACACAGACTGAATACCAGGGGTGCCACCAAATAATTTTTCCAAAACTGTCTCTGGTGCCATGCAGTCAGCCTGTAAATGCTGATTAAAAGCCTCCTCATGAAAACCCTTCAAACACAAGCAAAACTCAACTTGTCTATCAGAACAAAGCGAGGGCAACATTTCAACACTGGATGGATGGCTGCAGAGAGTGGCTGCGGCACTCCGCCTGGCACACGTCATCTTTCTGTGCAGCCTGCTGCTATCACCGTTACTGTTCTATGCAGAAACGCCATCTGTGAGTTTAAAATCCCTACCAGACACCCCTAAAATGCTAGGACCCCTGAGAATCACAACCAAAGTTCCTCACCGTCCATCAGACTGACAAAGAACAACAGCCCCTCGTGAGACCCCATCTTCAGCAAACTTCCAGAACTGCTCTTCTTCCAGTTAAACATGTCCAGGGCTTTCTCATCACCGCTCACAGCTGCCTTTGCCAACTGAACCAGGTCCCTGAAAGCAAACACGACACGAAGCAAGATTCTTCTGCCACTCCTACAGCACCTCAGGGCTGGGGCCCCTCCTGGGTCAGGAGCAGCCCGCTTCCCACCTCCCCCGATGTAAACACACACACAGGTCACAGGGCAAGCCCCACACTTACTCGCCAGGAGGGGGGAGCCGGAAGATGCAGTGCGTGAGGTGTTTCCCATACTCGTGTTTCAGCAGAGGCGTCCCTTGCACTCGGCCCCTTTGGTCCAACCTCCACAAGAGCAAGACACCAAGCTGGAAAGACCCAACACCACGTGTTAGGACAGGTGTCCCGGCAGAGCGACTGGTGGAGGGACAGGTGTCCTGGCAGAGCGACTGGTGGTGGGACAGGTGTCCCGGCAGAGCGACTGGTGGAGGGACAGGTGTCCCGGCAGAGTGACTGGTGGAGGGACAGGTGTCCCGGCAGAGTGACTGGTGGAGGGACAGGTGAACACCAGCCACACGGTGCCCAGCACTGACCTCCCCATGAAGGCTGGCAAGGTACCCTGACGGAGTCACTGGCGGAGGGACAGGTGTCCTGGCAGAGTGACTGGTGGAAGGACAGGTGCCCTGGCAGAGTGACTGGTGGAGGGACAGGTGCCCCGGCAGAGTGACTGGTGGTGGGACAGGTGTCCCGGCAGAGTGACTGGTGGAGGGACAGGTGTCCTGGCAGAGTGACTGGTGGTGGGACAGGTGTCCTGGCAGAGTGACTGGTGGTGGGACAGGTGTCCTGGCAGAGTGACTGGTGGAGGGACAGGTGTCCTGGCAGAGTGACTGGTGGAAGGCAAAAGTTAAACTGTGCAACAGAACACATGCATATTCCTTTTTTAAAAAAGTTACAAAACTACTGTGTATACACGATGAAAATTTCAAACAATTCAAAAGTTTTTAAAGAAAGAACTGGAAACTCTTCTACAGAGCGTCTCCACATCTTCATGCCTAGAGTTAGCAACTGCTATATTTTCAACTTTTTAAAATAAACTTTTTTTTTTTTTTGAGATGGAGTCTCACTTTGTCACTCAGGCTGGAGTTCAGTGGTGTGGTCTCGGCTCACTGCAACCTCCGCCTCCTGGGTTCAAGCAATTCTCCTGCCTCAGCCTCCTGAGTAGCTGGGACGACAGGTGCATGCCACCACACCCAGCTAATTTTTGTATTTTTAGTAGAGACAGGGTTTCACCATGTTGGCCAGGCTGGGACCCCACGTGACATCTGGCCGCCGTGTCTCCTCAGGCTCCTCTGGGCTATGACAGGGTCTCAGGCTCTTTGTCTTAAGGCCCTGGACAGTGTGAGACCTGCTGGCTGGGTATATCATGGGATGCCCCTCCACTGGGATTGTTGATAGTTTTTCTCATAGTTGCCTGGGGTGGAGGACTTGGGGAGGAGGAGCATAAAGCTGAGGTGCCTTCTCTGCATGCTGCCGGCATTGTCACTGCCGGCATTGACCTCGACCACCTGGTGGAGGTTGTGCTTGTGGGGTCTCTCCACTGTGAAGCAGCTCTTCCCCGGATCCCCCTCCATCCCGTACTGTTCAGAAAGAAGTCACTCTCTGCAGCCTGTACTTGAGGAGTGGGAGATACACCCTACCCTCAGGGGTGGAGCATCCATGTAAACCACCCGGGCTTCTTCAGCATGGGAGACCTGCCTCTTCACCACCATTAACTCATTCATTCAATCCTGTGTTTGCATCAGGGTGGACACGTGGGTATTTACTTCCCATGCTGGGTTATCATCCAAGGCTGCTTCATGTATTCTGTTGCTCACATTGTGCCAGCTTTAAGCTCTCTAGTTGGCCTCTCTGTCCCTTTGATGTGCCCCCATTACCTGGGTTTGGTGAGCACTTCCTTTCTGGTGCCCTAAGATTACCTAGGTTCATTTTATAAAAAAAGTTTTTTGTTTTTTTTTTTTGAGACAGGGTCTCACTGTGTCGCCCAGGCTGGAATGGAGTGGTGCAATCACAGCTCACTGCAGCCTCTGCTTCCAGGGCTCCTGTGATCCTCCCACCTCAGCCTCCCGAGTAGCTGGGAATACAGATGCTCACCACCACAGCTGGCTAATTTTTGTATTTTCTGTACAGATGGGGTCGCACTATGTTGCCCAGGCTGGTATCAAACTCCAGGGCTCAAGCAATTTTCCCACCTCTGCCTTCCAAAGTGCTAGGATTACGGGTGTGAGCCACAGCGCCTGGCCTAGGCTCATTTTTGTATTCCAGTTCTGGAATCAGCCATTTCTCCGAGGAGCCACGGTTGTTTCCTGGAGAATGGGGTAAGAAGTGAAGTCCTCGTGCTTGGTGCGCTGCGTGCTCAATCTAAAACCATCACAGTCGCAACTGCGCGGCACAGACAGGTGCGAGTGGAGTTCGGGAAGGGGAGGACGGCTCCACAGGGACAGCCGGCGGGGCCTCCCGGGACGAGGGGATGCGGTTAGGCGGCACCCAGGGGCAGCATCTCAGTCTGAGTCCGTGTGCGTGGCTCTTCCGCTCAGACGCCAAGCACTCCCCAGGGGACGCTTCCTGGCCCAAAACTGGGGGCCCTTTAGCCCACAGTACGCTCTTCTTCCCACCGCCTTTTCAGGCAGCACCGACTCCAATCTCCCCAAATGCTGGATAACATGCTTTTTATTGTACACAGGAAGAGTATTTTCAAATAATGTCAGATTTAAAGGAAACTTGCAGGCCGGGCACGGTGGCTCACGCCTGTAATCCCAGCACTTTGGGAGGCCGAGGCGGGCGGATCACAAGGTCAGGAGATGGAGACCCTCCTGGCTAACACGGTGAAACCCTGTCTCTACTAAAAATACAAAAGATTAGCCGGGCGTGGCGGCGGGCGCCTGTAGTCCCAGCTACTCGGGAGGCTGAGGCAGGAGAATGGTGTGAACCCAGGAGGCGGAGCTTGCAGTGAGCCGAGATGGCGCCACTGCACTCCAGCCTGGGTGACAGAGTGAGACTTCGTCTCAAATAAACAAACAAACAAACAAACAAATAAATAAAATAAAGGAAACTTACAGACCAGGCTTGGTGGCTCACGCCTCTCATCCCAGTACTTTGGGAGGCCGAGGCAAGCAGATCACGAGGTCAGGATTTCGAGACCAGCCTGGCCAGCATGGTGAAACCTGGTCCCTACTAAAAATACAAAATTAGCCAGGCATGTTGGTGCACACCTGTAGTCCCAGCTACTCGGGAGGCTGAGGCAGGAGAATCACTTGAATCTGGGAGGTGGAGGTTGCAGTGCCATTGCACTCCAGCCTGGGCGACAGAGTGAGACTCCATCTCAGAAAAAAAAAAAAAAAGGAAACTTACACAAGGAACCTCTAAGAAAGGTTTTGCAAGATCTATTAAAATAGCATGTGGCATGTAAGTACACGTCATAGGAATAGTGTATATTATCATATGATTCTTGACTCTAACAGCTTGATGAAGACAAAAATAAAAACACTAGGCAGCCCAGGCACAATGGCTCATGCCTGTAATCCCAGCACTTTGGGAGACCGAGGTGAACAGATCACTTGAGGTCAGGAGTTCGAGGCCAGCCTGGCCAACATGGCGAAATCCTGTCTCTACTAAAAATATAAATATTAGCTGGGTGTGATGGTGCACGCCTGCTGTAATCCCAGCTACTTGGGAGGCTGAGGCACAAGAATTGCTTGAACCCAGGAGGCAGAGCTTGCAATGAGCCAAGATCCCGCCACTGCACTCCAGCCTGGGTGACAGAGTGAGGCTCCGTCTAAAACAAACAAAAACAAACAAACAAACAAAACCACTATTGGTGTATTTGTGTTTAGTAATTTTTAAAAAATATTTTAAAAATAATGCTTACATATTGAGAAAACCCCCCACCTAATGATAGAAATGAAAATGAATGACCCCCCCATCCCCCTCCCAGCCTCCTCCCTGGAGCCGAGGACCGCAGTGGCTCCCGTGTCTGCAAAGCATTTTATGCACACCACATCCTCAGAGGCATTCATTCCTGTGCCCTTCACATGTCATCTGCTAGTTTTTTGTTTTGCTTTGTTTTGTTTTGATTTTTTGCACAAGTGACTTTAGAAATCTTTATTAGCACATACGAGCTTCTAGCTGACCACTTAACCAGCATTCTCAACATCATCAGACAGGCTGATGTCCAAGTTTCCAGGCTGCCACCTGGAATGTCCAAGTTTCCAGGCTGCTGCTCTGGGGGAAGAGGTTGTTGGATGCAAAAGTTTAGAGCGCCTGCGCCCAAAAGCAGAGATCTCTGCTCAGGAGGATGAAAGCAAACCCTCGTTCTGAGAGAGGGACAGATGTCTACTATCAAGAGCTCAACTTCCACCAACTCAGGGGAAAGGAAATCACAGGACGCAATGAGTCAAATATTCCTGATCCTCAGGTTTCTGCCCAACGATCCTGGAATGTGAGCATGAAGTACAAGACGTAGAACTGAGCCCGAGGCGCCTCCACCTCCTCGGCTGCACCCTCTGCTCCTCACCCCTGACTCTAGCATTGAGCTGCCCCAGGGTCCAGGCTTGGGTCTCCTCCGCCTTCATTTTTTTGTACCCGTCACCACTCCTGAGGGGTGTCTCTCCACCATCTGTGAATTCTGCGTTATTTCACACGGTATAATTTTATACAGTAAGACCGTAAAGAAAAGCTACCCCAAAGGTGAGAAACCAGCTCTCCTTGTGAAGAGCCAGAGTTAAGTGGACTAAGGGGCTGATGGGAAAGTGGCGTGCGCTGGATGAGCGTCTTGGGGGTGCATCACGGCATCAGAGTGCGAGTTAAAGTGGTGGGTTCTCCAGCGGCACGTCACTGGGAAGCTTTGCTAAAGGCTGGCTGGCCCCACATCAGGGTGCGCGTCAGGTGAGGGTTTACTTGACCCTCAGACTTGGCTCGCAGGAGTTCCCCAGAAGGCGTGAGTGGCCTGGCCCGTCTAACGTGCTCTCCTCTTCTCTACTGATGGGACTTCTAAGGACACTTAGTGGGAAATCCCTTTCTAGGGATTGCCCGCCTCCCTGGTTACTGCTGATTGGTGCACTGTGGGCACTTGGCCCGAGCTGGACTTTGAGGCCCCTCCCTGAGTCTGGACTTGGGACAGGGAGCAGGAGCAGGCCGTCCTAACCTGGCCGTGCTCTCCTGGGAGACTGTGGGATACCCCAGCGGCCTCAGGTTAAGTGCACTTCTAACTTCAGCTGGTCTGGGCTGATTCCACGGGTAACCACAACAGGGTCTCTGGTGGAAGAGCAGGGAAGCGCCTTGCACCAAGTCTGGGGAAGAGATGTCTCTGCAGTGTAGAGTTCCGAGTGTTGTTCCCTCTTGATTACTTCTCTTCCTGCTTGAACTCATTACTAAATTAGTTCCAGCACAATCTTAGATTTTCTTAGAAGGATTAGGCATTTCTGCTCTTAAATATTCTGACTCACAAGACTTGATCAACTGATACCTGGGTTTCATTTTATGCCTGGATAATCTATTTTGCTAGCTGTTTCTATCTTTCTTTTATTCAAGAGATGGGGTCTTGCTATGTTGCCCAGGCTAGACTCAAACTCCTGGGCTCAAGTGATTCTCCTGACTCGGCCTCCCAAGTAGGTGGGACTACAGGTGCATGTCACCATGCCTGGCTTACTTGTTTCTCAACACAGTCAAGCTGAGAATTACAAAAGTCAATGATCCTGAGTTATTTTATACTAATGTGGGATTGGCAGATGGTTCCACTGCAGAAAGTAGGAAAGATCACCAAAGAAGTAGAAATCTGGGGACAGGCCAATGTCATTAGGTGGGAATTAAACAGAAAAATGGAAGAAAAATCATCCAGAAGAAGGGAACAACCTGATAAAAAAAAAACTTGGCGAATAATATGATTAGAAATAGAAATACAAGCCGGGTGCGGTGGCTCACGCCTGTAATCCCAGCACTGTGGGAGGCTGAGGCGGGCAGATCACGAGGTCAGGAGATCAAGACCATCCTGGCTAACACAGTGAAACCCCGTCTTTACTAAAAATACAAAAAATTAGCCAGGCGTGGTGGCGGGCACCTGTAGTCCCAGGTACTCGGGAGGCTGAGGCAGGAGAATGGCGTGAACCTAGGAGGCGGAGCTTGCAGGGAGCCGAGATGGCGCCACTGCACTCCAGCCTGAGCGACAGAGTGAGACTCTGTCTCAAAAAAAAAACAGAAACACAAATGGCTCCTATAAATGATATTCATCCTTGATAGCAAGAGAAACATAAATGAAAATTCTAAGAAACACTTAGACCCACCAGGGAGCTGTTCTGGATGAAAACACTCTGAGATACTACTTTCCTGAGCAGTTCTGCTACTCACACGCAACTCTCTAGGGAGAGAGGCTGGTGTGCACTATGAGCCGGCCCAGGCCCCAAGGACAGTGGTTTGGGCATCCGCTAAGCCACAGGGCATGCCCCGGGACCCATCTGCACCCCCTTCTTGGTGCTTTCTAAATGTACACAGGTGAGGGCAAGGAGCAGCCGCCTGCCTTGGCCTCCCAAAGTGCCGAGATTGCAGCCTCTGCCCGGCCGCCACCCCGTCTGGGAAGTGAGGAGTGTCTCTGCCTGGCCGCCCATCGTCTGGGATGTGAGGAGCCCCTCTGCCTGGTTGCCCAGTCTGGAAAGTGAGGAGCGTCTCCGCCCGGCCGCCATCCCATCTAGGAAGTGAGGAGCGCCTCTTCCCAGCCGCCATCACATCTAGGAAGTGAGGAGCGTCTCTGCCCGGCCGCCCATCGTCTGAGATGTGGGGAGCGCCTCTGCCCCGCCGCCCCATCTGGGATGTGAGGAGCGCCTCTGCCCGGCCGAGACCCCGTCTGGGAGGTGAGGAGCGTCTCTGCCCGGCCGCCCCGTCTGAGAAGTGAGGAGACCCTCTGCCTGGCAACCACCCCATCTGAGAAGTGAGGAGCCCCTCCGCCCGGCAGCTGCCCCGTCTGAGAAGTGAGGAGCCTCTCCGCCCAGCAGCCACCCCATCTGGGAAGTGAGGAGCATCTCCGCCCGGCAGCCACCCCGTCCGGGAGGGAGGTGGGGGGGGTCAGCCCCCGCCAGGCCAGCCGCCCCATCCGGGAGGGAGGTGGGGGGGTCAGCCCCCCGCCTGGCCAGCCGTGCCGTCCGGGAGGGAGGTGGGGGGGTCAGCCCCCCGCCTGGCCAGCCGTGCCGTCCGGGAGGGAGGTGGGGGGGTCGGCCCCCCGCCCGGCCAGCCGCCCCGTCCGGGAGGGAGGTGGGGGGGGGGTCAGCCCCCCTGCCCGGCCAGCCGCCCCGTCCGGGAGGTGAGGGGCGCCTCTGCCCGGCCGCCCCTACTGGGAAGTGAGGAGCCCCTCTGCCCGGCCAGCCGCCCCGTCCGGGAGGGAGGTGGGGGGGGTCAGCCCCCCCGCCCGGCCAGCCGCCCCGTCCGGGAGGTGAGGGGCGCCTCTGCCCGGCCGCCCCTACTGGGAAGTGAGGAGCCCCTCTGCCCGGCCAGCCGCCCCGTCCGGGAGGGAGGTGGGGGTGTCAGCCCCCCGCCCGGCCAGCCGCCCCGTCCAGGAGGGAGGTGGGGGGGTCAGCCCCCCTGCCCGGCCAGCCGCCCCGTCCGGGAGGTGAGGGGCGCCTCTGCCCGGCCGCCCCTACTGGGAAGTGAGGAGCCCCTCTGCCCGGCCACCACCCCGTCTGGGAGGTGTACCCAACAGCTCATTGAGAACGGGCCAGGATGACAATGGCGGCTTTGTGGAATAGAAAGGCGGGAAAGGTGGGGAAAAGATTGAGAAATCGGATGGTTGCCGTGTCTGTGTAGAAAGTAGAAGACATGGGAGACTTTTCATTTTGTTCTGCACTAAGAAAAATTCCTCTGCCTTGGGATCCTGTTGATCTGTGACCTTACCCCCAACCCTGTGCTCTCTGAAACATGTGCTGTGTCCACTCAGGGTTGAATGGATTAAGGGCGGTGCAAGATGTGCTTTGTTAAACAGATGCTTGAAGGCAGCATGCTCGTTAAGAGTCATCACCAATCCCTAATCTCAAGTAATCAGGGACACAAACACTGCGGAAGGCCGCAGGGTCCTCTGCCTAGGAAAACCAGAGACCTTTGTTCACTTGTTTATCTGCTGACCTTCCCTCCACTATTGTCCCATGACCCTGCCAAATCCCCCTCTGTGAGAAACACCCAAGAATTATCAATAAAAAAATAAATTTAAAAAAAAAAAAAATGTACACAGGTGCAAAATGGCAAAAGCATAAGGTTACTCACTGCACCATTGTCTAATTAGCAAAAGATTGAAAACCACCAAAATGTTAATCAACAGGGGGCTGGTTCAGTAAATTACAACATTCATATAAAGAAGAGCCGGTTTAAAGAAAACAAGGAAGTTTACTGTTTACCCATATGGAAGAATCACCAGGATACGCTGTAAAATGAAAAAGCAAGAGACATGACAGTGTGTATAGGATGCCACCACTGATGTGAAAAAGAATGAGGAAATCAGGAGACAATGTCCTCTACGTGATATTTCTGCCAAAAACGTTTGAAATGAAAGTATTATGAGGAGACAAACACAGCCAACTTGAGTGAGAGTCTATAAAACAACCAGTCTACATCCTCAAAATGTAAATTTCATGAAAGACCAAAAAAAAAAAAGGGAGGAAAAAAGGAAGGAATGCAGGCAACTAACCAACCAACTGACCAGGGAATTGTTCTTGATTAAAAAAAACTAGCCAGACGTGGTAGCTCACACCTGTAATCCCAGCACTTTGGGAGGCCGAGGCAGGCAGATCTCTTGACGTCAGCAGCTTGAAACCAGCCTGGCCCACATGGTGAAACCCCGTCTCTACTAAACATACCAAAAATTAGCTGGGCATGGTGGTGCATGCGTGTAATCCCAGCTACTCAGAAGGCTAAGGAGAGAGAATCGCTTGAACTCAGGATGTAGAGGTTGCAGTGAGCTGAGAACGTGCCACTGCACTCTAGCCTGGGCGACAGAGCAAGATTCCATCACAAAAAAAAAAAAAAAAGAGAGAGACTAGAGAGAAATAACAGAAATGCAACGTATGAGCCTTTACTGGATTCCTGCTCTAAAGGACATTCCTGGGACAGCTGGAGAAATGTGAACATAAACTGCATCTTGGATGTCAGCACTGTCACTGTTACATTTCCTGGAGTGTGAGAACTCTACTGTGCCTGGGTAGGGAATGCCCTAGGCCTCAGGAGAGTGGCGTCTAAGCATGTAGGGCTGAAGCATCGTTATCTGTGATAAACTCACAAATACTCAGGTAAAATACCCACGTAGCTGGAGGGAAAGCAGACCTGGCAGTGGGAACAGCGGGCGAATCGACATGGAGGGTGGATGCGTGTCCTTGCACTGTTCTTTCAACTCCTCTCATAATGTAGAAATTTCAAATCTCAAGTGAGAGAAAGAATGCACTTGTGTGTGCCTGAAGCAGCAGGATAGGTGGTAAGAATGCACTTGTGTGTGCTGGAAGGCAGCAGCCAGGGGACTGAGGAGACAGGACATGGCTCAGTCTTCACTCTAGATGCCTGTTACCCTTTTTGAATCTTGGAACATGTGAATGTGTTACCTGTGGTTATTTAAGTAAACACATTGTAACATTTCTGCCATATATTTGTGATTCAGTTGCCTCTGCACCATGTCGCTATGCTGTGGGTCTGTCCTGTGTACTGTGTGATGGTGGGCAGCATCCACCACCCACCCACAGGGGTCCAGCTGAATCCTCCCCCAAAATTGTGACAACAGAAAATGTGACTGGACACTGCCCCATGTCCCCTGGGGGGCAGAACCAACCCTGGTTAAGAAGCCCTGAGCTAGACAAACAGGCCTAGGGAAAAGTGACAGTATCTGGGCACGTATCTTTACGAATGCAGTTTCCCAGCAAAGTTCATTTATAAAGGTGCAGACACACCTTTGCCACAGAGTGGCAAATTTTCAAGCCTTGCTTCCAATATAAAACAAAATCTACAATTGCATCTGACAAGATCAACTGAATTTGGCAACAGCACGGTTCCCATATTTTGATCTTTCATACTCTCGAGCATGGTCAGAAAGGGTCAAGGTCTGAAAACAGCGTCTTGCGCGTGTTGACTCACCCTGTCCCCAGACAGCAGGCAGTTTCCACTGGGGCTCCAACGGAGCACGGTGATGTCGGCTGTGTGTGTCAGGGGCATCGTGTGCTGCTCCTTGTCCTGCTTGTTAAACACCGTCACTTCTCCAGTCTCCCAGCCCACAGCCAGCACCAGCCGCGTCGGGTGCCAGCACAGGGAAGCAACCCGGAACGGCCTCTCGACGTGTGTATCTGGCACGCACTCCCCCTGCATTGGATGAGAGGCAAATTCCCACAGTTCAGAGAGGGACAGCTACTTTTAAGAACTTCTGTCTAGGCCGGGCACGGCGGCTCACTCCTGTAATTACAGCACTTTGGGAGGCTGAGGTGGGTGGATCACAAAGTCAGGAGTTCGAGACCAGCTGGGCCAATTTGGTGAAACTCCGTCTCTACTAAAAATACAAAAATTAGCCAGGTGTGATGGCGGGCGTCTGTAGTCCCAGCTACTCGGGAGGCTAAGGCAGGAGAATTGCTTGAACCCAGGAGGCAGAGGTTGCAGCGAGCCCAGATCGCACCACTGCACTCCAGCCTGGGCGACAGAGCAAGACTCTGTCTCCAAAAACAAACAAACAAACAAACAAAACTTCTGTGTGATCTGTGGACTCCACATTGGCGACAAGGTACAAAAGCTATTAAGGCAATGGGGCAATGTTCTCAGTAGACTCTTTAATTTTTCATAAAAACGCACCAACCTTGCCCCTAGCTGAGCTACCAAAGCAGAAGGTAACTTGTGCTCAGCTGGCAACCCCGACCAGCTTCTCATGGAGTGCCACCTTGTCATGATGTGCCACCTCCTCCCCATGGCTGCTGGATGGCTGGCACGCATTTTAGTGCGTGGCTGGGTTCCCTAAAACCTTATCTACAAAAACCACCAGCGAGCCAGCAGGTGAGGTTTGTGGCCCCAGGGATCTCAAAGTGTTGTCCAGAGACCCCAGGACCCTTTCAGGGATCTGAAAGGTGAAAATTATTTTCAGAATAATAGTGACAGGTTAGTGCCATTCATACTCTCCTTCTTTCACGCGTCTACAGTGGAGCTTTTCAAAGGCTGTGTGATGTGGTGATGTCACTAATGACAGCTTGTGAGATATGTGCTGCGTTTCCTCTTTTTTTTTTTCTGAGATGGATTCTCACTCTGTAGCCCAGGCTGGAGTGCTGCAGTGGCATGATCTGAGCTCACCGCAACCTCCGCCTCCAAGGTTCAAGCGATTCTCCTGCCTCAGCCTCCCAAGTAGCTGAGACTACAGGCGCGCCACCAAGCCCAGCTAATTTTTGTATTTTTAGTAGAGACAGTGTTTCATCATATTGGCCAGGCTGGTCTCAAACTCCTGACTTCATGATCTGCCCGCCTCGGCCTCCCAAAGTGCAGGGATTACAGGCGTGAGCCACCGTGCCCGGCCATGTGCTGTGTTTTCTAAAATTTTCTAAAGCAGCAGCTTTGGGGAAGATATAAGTGCGTTTTCAGAGATTAACTTGGTTTGCCCCCAGTTGTTCCACTGGGCTTAGGAGCCATCTTCTGTGATCTCATCATTGTCCAATAGATCACTATTTTGAAATCCTGAAGTTTTCCTTGTGCCAACTGGAAACACAGAAATATGCTATTGACTAGTTTTATAATAGTATGCTTTAGATCTTCTAAATTTAAAAATTTTACCTAAAATTGCTATAACTTTGGAATTTAATAATATTTATTTTAAAAAATATCCCATTTACCATATATGTTATAGGCTCCTGCAAGGGAGAATCTACCCAAAAAAATGGGCAAAAGTGGGGTTGGTGCTGGGGCTGGACTGAGCCCTAAGTCTGGCACGGCCTTCGCAAAGCTGCCAGTATATGGAGGAGCCTGCTGGCAACAGGGGAGCCGCTGACCAGCGCTGCATCGCGCTGCAAGGGCGTGTGTGTGTGTGTGTGTGTGTGTGTGTGTGTGTGTGTGTGTGGAGGGGGGAGCAGTTCCTAAGGGGCCACTTAGCCACTTTCACCTGAAGGATTAATGCATTAATTACAAAAATGGATGAAGGAGTGTCTTCTTTGCAGGTGGCACAGCATGTGCAGGGCTGGAAGGCCGAGGAAGGCTGTGCAAGGCTGTGTCAGCATCAAGGAAGGTGAGCCTGATGTGACAGGTGACAGAGCCAGACCTGGGAGGCGCTAGGGGCCACATCAGGGACTCCATGTTCACCCAAAGAGCAGCACAGGGCCGGGGAGGTGGGAGCAGGGAGTGATTCCATCTGTGATGCCAAGACAGGCCAGGCCTGGTTGCCGTGTAAAGTAGAGGAGGCCTGTGAGGGCACAGCTGCCACAGTAGGAAGCTGTACTGGTGTCCAGGAGAGGGGGATGGGAACCTGGAGGAGGGAAGGGCGGTTGGAAGGGCAAGCAGCAGCAGACTCGCCAGAGGTTCCGGGGGAGAAACTGGGAGGATCTAGTGATGGATTACAAGGTAGGGGAGTGGGAAATGTCAACAGTCATGCCCAGGTTCTTGTTCTAGAAACCAGGATAAAGGGGGTGACTTTCATTGAGATGGGAGGTGCCCATCTCAGTGAGCAGGAGATATGAGGCAGGGGAAGGGTGGGGGACAATTTCAGTTCAGTTTTGTACAGTCTGAGGTCTCCTTGAAACACCCTAGAGATGTCAGGAAGGCAGCTGGGTCCCTAAGCTTACAGCTCAGAGGGAACTTCTAGGCAGGAGATGTATGTCTGCAAGCCACTGGGGATGCTCAGATCACAGGAGAAGGAAGAAATGGAGAGGAGCCCTGACCAAGCTCTGCAGAAGGCCATGGTGCTCACAAGCTGGAAATGGAGGAAGAGCTGGCAAAGCCATGGAGGCCGGGCAGGGAACGCCCTACCCCTGCGCTCTCGGGCATGTTTCCCAGAGGACTTCACAGGAGTGTGGTACAGACAAGGACCCCAAAACACTCAGGGGGTGACACCTAGAAGCAACTGATGACTGTCGCTGCTTGGGTGAAGTTGTGGTGGCAATAGGGAGCCTGCAGAGGGCTGAAGAGTGAGTAGAGGAGGAAACCTCATTTTCTTATTTATTTATATTTTTTGAGATGGAGTCTCACTCTGTTGCCCAGGCTGGAGTGCAGTGGCGTGATCTCGGCTCACAGCAAGCTCTGCCTCCTGGGTTCATGCCATTCTCCTGCCTCAGCCTCCTGAGTAGCTGGGACTACAGGTGCCCGCCACCACGCCCGGCTAATTCTTGTATTTTTAGTGGAGACGGGGTTTCACCGTGTTAGCCAGGATGGTCTTGATCTCCTGACCTCATGATCCACCCACCCCGGCCTCCCAAAGTGTTGGGATTACAGGCGTGAGCCACCGCACCTGGCACCTCATTTTCTTTATGGAATATGAGGTGCACTGGGCACCGAGAGGGTGATTATCGAAGTCTGAGGAGCTTGGGGAACGTTTCTGTTAGGGGGTGAATTGTGTCCCCACAAAGATATGTGGAAGTCCTATCCCTGGTCCTTGTGACATGGCGTCCTTTGGAAACAGGGTCTTTGCAGATGTGGGTAAGCTCAGGTGAGGTCATTAGAGCAGGCCCTAGTTACATATGCCTGATGTCCTTTTAGGAAGAGGAGAAGAGACGCAGACATACAGAAGGGAAGGCCGGATGACACCAGAGGCAGGGCTGGAGCAGCGCATCTGCCAGCCAGGGAGCACCAAGGCTTGCTGGGAACAGCAGGAGCAGGACAGCAGCTCGGGGCAGACACTCCCCTCAGCCTTCAGAGCCAGCGGGCCCTGCTGACACCTGATTTTGGAGTTCTCGCCTCCAGAGCTGCCAGAATACCTTCCTGTTGTTTAAAGCCACCCAGTTTGTGGAAATGATTAGAGTTCCAAATGGCCCCTATGGAGCGTGCAGGAGGGCACTGACAGAGGAAGATGCCTCAGGATCCACAAACAGCACTGTGGGGACATTTCTGGTGATGACTGTGAACTGATAGTGGCTTAATGCTGATAAGCATGAAGGATTCCTAAACATGTCCCCAAGCCACCAAAATAGCCAGCGTGAAAGAACTGCCCACATACTAGGGCTTTTATAACCCTGGGATTTGGCCTCTGTGAAAACTGATGACGGATGTCGTTTTCTTTTTTTTCTTTTCTGAGACAGAGTTTTGCTTTTGTTGCCCAGGCTGGAGCGCAATGGCGTGATCGCCGCTCACTGCAACCCCTGCCTCCTGGGTTCAAGCGATTCTCCTGCCTCAGCCTCCCGAGTAGCTGGGATTACAAGCATGAGCCACCATGCCCGGCTAATTTTGTATTTTTAGTAGAGATGGGGTTTCTCCATGTTGATCAGGCTGGTCTCGAACCCCTAACCTCAAGTGATCCACCCACCTCGGCCTCCCAAAGTGCTGGGATTACAGGCGTGAGCCACTGCGCCTGGCCTCATAGATGTCGTTTTCTTCATGAATAAGCTAGAGTAGAGTTCGTTTGAAAATACACACACGCACCACACGCACACACACACACGTGTGCACACACACGCATACACCCCCCCACATACAAGCATACAGATGCACACACACACCCATATGCACACACCCACGTGTGCGCACACACACACAGATGCAGACATACATATGCGCATACACACACCAATACACATACACGCACACACAGATGCATGTATACACACACACACCCATAGGCACACACACACATGTGCACACACACAAGGACAACAGCAACACAAACAACATGAGCCAGAAGCTACCACAGTCAGGCTCCTTGCTTCTGAGCACTCACTTGCTCCAGGTAAATATCCACGCTGCCTGTTGAGGTTGTGCTGATGTAAGCAACTGCCAAGAATGGATGGACAGGGTGCCAGCTGATAAATGAGGGTGACCCTGCTGCATCCGGGGCTTCTATCTGGTGGTCATAATAGAGGGCCATGACGGAACTCAGGCCTCCTCAGCGCTGAAACCTGCAGGGAAAAAAAAATGACCAAGTCCAATCAGTTTTAAATAAAACAAACAATATGACTGTACATGGAATGACGAAAAGGAAGCATCCCAAAGCCACCATCGGAAGACCATCGGCAACTTGAAAATGCCTTGCGGACTGAGCAGGCAACCTGATGCGAGGAGATCTCCAACAGGGAGACATGCAGAAGAGAAGCAGTTAGACCCGGAATCACCCAGGCTGTGACAGAAACGAATACAACTCATGGCCATCAAAGGAGGAAAGAAAGAAAAGGCCTGCAGCCTAACTACACACGCAATCCTCAGTAACTTTCATTCCAGTCACAATAAGGACAAGTTCTATTTCTGTAGTTCCCTTTAACTTTTTAGACCAAGTCTTGCTCTGTCACCCAGGCTGGAGTGCAGTGGTGTGATCACGGCTCACTGCAGCCTCAAACTCCTGGGCTCAAGTGATCCTCCCACCTCAGCCTCTCAAGTAGCTGGGACTACAGACATGCACTACCATGCCCAGCTAATTTTTAAGTAATTTGTGTAGACACAAGGTTTTACTATGTTGCCCAGGCTGGTCTTGAACCCCTGGCTCAGGTAATCCTCCTGCCTTGGCCTCCCAAAGTGCTGGGATTACAGCCGTGGGCCACCACTGCCTTTTAAACAACATTTTCAAACAAAATAAATGCAAACTGCTCCAGAAAAGAGTACTGGTACAGAAAAAAAACCAGTACTGAATTTCCAATAAAGCATAAAATCAAAGACTGTCTTTTACCTCTGACTCACAGGTGGTAGAAGACAGAAGTCTTCCTCTATTAGAGAGTCAAGAATGCACAGCCGCAGCAGCTGTGAGAAGTTGAGCTTGATCACTTACGTGAACTTAATCTCTCTCTTTCATTCTTCCTTTCAGATCTGGAAAAGATATACACATCGTCCCTTTTCAGGCGGGTTAGGGTGATAAATAAAGTGACGGTCTGGTTACTGCTCACTTTTTTACACCTCAGTCAATTTGGGGAAGTTAACTGGCAGAGAAGAACATACTTGTAGCCGGGTTTGCCACCATTTAAAATTATACAGGCTCATGCCTGTAATCCTAGCAATTTGGGAGGCCGAGGTGGGCAGATTGCCTGAGCTTAGGAGTTCGAGACCAGCCTGGGCAAAATGGCGAACGCCACCCGCCTCTACTAAAAATACAAAAGGTTATCCAGGTGTGGTGGCAGGCACCTGTAATTCCAGCTACTCCGGAGCCTAAGACAGGAGAATCACTTGAACCTGGGAGGCAGAGGTTGCGGTAAGCTGAGATCGCGCCACTGTACTCCAGCCTGGCAACAGAATAGGACTCCGCCTCAAAAAAAAAAAAAAAAAAAAGAAACCCGAACAACAAACAAACACTCCAGATCAAAACCTGGGCAATTTAAAATAGCAAAAGAAACCTTTAAATTAAAAAATATATATTGTTTAGAGACAGGGCCCCCAGGCTGGAGAGCAGTGGTGTGATCATGGCTCACTGTAGCCTTGAACTCCTGGGCTCAAGTGATCCTCCTGCCTCAGTCTCCCAAGTAGCTGGGATTACCTCTTAAAATGAGTTTTGGCCAGGCATGGTGGCTCATGCCTGTAATCCCAGCACTTTGGGAGGCCGAGGCGGGTGGATCACAAGGTCAGAAGATCGAGACCATCCTGGACAACATGATGAAACCTCTTCTCTACTAAAAAATACAAAAATTAGCTGGGTGTGGTGGTGCCTGCCTGTAATCCCAGCTACTCAGGAGGCTGAGACATGAGAATCGCTTGAATCCAGGAGGCGGAGGTTGCAGTGAGCCGAGATCTTGCCACTGCACTCCAGTCTGGGCGACAGAGCAAAACTGTTTAAAAAAAAAAGGGGGTTTTAACATGTTGCAGCCAGCCCCAAGGTTACAAATCCTGGGCTAAGGGAAATTAGGATCTAATAAGTTTACTCTGTGAAAATATTTCTCTGAAAAATGAGTGATACATTAATACGACACTGTGCAATAACTATGAAGGCAAACGGCCCTAATTGCTTTCTTTCCTGCCTGGGGTTTTTCAAGGTTCCCCCCGGCTTTGGGTAAGGGAGCTCTCTCAGGGCTTGATGGCTTTACCTTTGTCGTGTGCTTCTTGCCCAGTGTCCCCACACAACGTTGCGCTTCTCCGTGGCTGCATTTAGACTTTACCGTAAATGTGAGTTTCACTGCTCACACATTGCCCCCCATATTATCTTCCCCAGAGAGCAGGAGGCACCCAGTATTCCCACCTCCTTACAACAGTGCCTTGCACAGAACAGGCCCTGCGCGGATGAAACTTAGCAAGGAGAGAGATTCTTCCTGTTGTATCAATATAAGAAACGGGTTCCAGGCCTGCCTGAATGAGTTCCATACACAATGCATTAATATAATTGTTCATAGTTCCTTTCAACGGCCTCTTAACAAGTTCCCAAAATGAGTATTATCAGTATAATTTAAAAAGTTAACACAAGGAGGAGAGATGGCTGACAATAAAATAGTTATGTACTTGATGACAATCTGTAATAGCTTCAGGTCGGAAACAAGTACCTTTCCTTTTCTTGAAACAAAGTTCCAGTCTCTGGAACATAAAACCGGGAAATACATCAACTTTGGGGAACAGGAGAAAAACTGTATTTATTCTAACCGAAGTACTCCTCTCACTTTCAGGCGTCCAGCGTCTCCAGAGCCTCTACAAGTGCCTCCATCAAACCAGCTTTTGGGAAAGAATCTGTTAAGCCCATTCAGCTAAGCGGCACGGGGTCACAGGGCTTTGAGTAGCCTTCCTCGGTGACGCTGAGTAGGGAACTCCGGGATGGGGCTCCACGGTGGACTCTCGGGGACAGGCACCCGGGGCCACCCTACAAAGCCTCGCCCTCCAGGCCACAGTCCAGAGCCTTCGGCCTGCGCAGGGTCCTCGCTGCATCCAGCGGACGGTACTGAGAAGCCATGCGCTGGCGGTTTGATGCAACACGACCCTCAGGGCCGACCCAGCGAGTGACCAAACATAGCATGTTTTTGTTTTGCATCTCTCGTTTGTCCCGTTTCGCCTCGGGGGTGTGATGGCGCCGCCCACCTCCCCACCCCGCCCATTCCAAAGGGACTCTCCCAGCTACCGGAATCAGCCGCGATTCGAGGCCGGGCGGGGGCGACAGCCATAGTCCGACGAGCGACCTGGACCCCGCGCCAAGCCCGCCCCAGCCTCGATGGGACTCGCGAGGGGCCGCGGGGACTCGGCGGCGCCGGGATCGTGGGAGGAGACGGGAGGGTCCCGACGCCCGCCACCGGTCACATCCTCGGCCCCAAACCCCGGCCTGGCTCCTAAGGACCTGGGTCGGCCGCCCTAGCCCTAAGGCCACTCACCTCTGCCAGGCCGCTGAGCCGCCGCGCGTTGCCGGGACAACGGCGCGCCAGGAACGCGGAAATAGCCGAAGGTGAGCGAGGCGGCCCCGAGGACTCCCGAAGCGCCCCGAGCGGCCGGAAAGAGCCGAAGGCGATCGGGCACGCACGTGCAGCTCCGAGGCCCGAGCGTCGGGGGCCAGGTTATTCCGCTCTGCAAGAGAGAAGCGGGACGAGCTTTTTCTAGGAGAGACGGCGGCGCAGGGCCGGCGTCTGGGTCCCCTTTGTGTGGAGGGCGCGCTGTCACAGCCCCGATCAACCGCGGCATCCTCCCCTCCTGGGCGTGTTCCCTTCCCGTGCATCCCGAGGCGGAGCCTTTCCAGCACGCGGCGGTCTCGGCCCAGGCCTTCCCTGGGCTCCGCTTTTCTAGTTTCGGAGCGGAGGGCGTGGGTCAAGCGTTTCTGGGAAAGTCGATGCGCTCGGCAGTGTCCTGAGGTGTTGGGTGACTGAGGGCCTGTTCCATCGCCGGGCCCCGGACTCCACAGAGCCAAGCGAGGCAGGGAGCGCCCCCAAGAAAGCAGCTGGCGGCCGGACGCGGGGCTCGCGCTTGGGCTTCCAGCTCTTGGGGGCTGGGGCGGGCGGATCGTTGGAGCCCAGGAGTTCGAGACCAGCCTTGGCAACAAGGCGAGATCCTGTCTCTAAAAAATTACAAAAATTAGCCGGGCGCGGTGGCGCCTCTAGTCTCGGCTACAGGAGGCTGAGGGAGGAGAATCGCCTGAGCCCCGGGAGGCGGAGACTGCAGCGAGCCGAGATCGGGCCACTGCACTCCAGCCTGGGCGACAGAGCGAGTCAAAAAAAAAAAAAAAGAAAAGAAAAAGAAACACTGGAATTTGAGCCGGGCGCGGTGGCTCACGCCTGCAAACCCAGTACTTTGGGAGGCTGAGACGAGCGGATCACTTGAGGTCAGGAGTTCGAGACTAGCTTGGCCAACATGGTGAAACCCCGTATGTACTAAAAACACACAAATTAGCGAGTATGGTGGCGCGCGCCTGTAATTCCAACTACTCGGGAGGCTGAGGCAGGAGAATCGCTTGAACCTGGGAGGCGGAGCTTGCAGTGAGCCAAGATTGCGCCACTGCACTCCAGCCTGGGCGACAGAGCGAAACTCCGTCTCAAAAAAAAAAAAAAAGAAAGAAAGAAACACTGGAATTTGAAAAACACCCCTCTGCTTTCTTGCTATGAAGAAAATGACCAAGTGCCCAGCGCCGCTCGGCTACGCTAACGTAGCGCAGAAGCACATACTCCACCCAGGAAAGGGTGCGCTTAACTGCCTCAGACGTGCTTCCACACTTCTCAGAACTCAGGTTCGCGCCCGATTCCACACTCCGAGCTACCACGCCGTTTTCTTCTCACGTATCCGTCAACACTGCTGCGGCCAATCACAGCACGGGCCCTGGCCTATTGGCTGTCTGTCCACCAATCCAAAGAGACGCACAGTCCGCAAGGTCGCGAGGCTGGCGTCACAACACTACTGGCGCCGCGGGCTCGCCCCCGACGCCCACCGGGCTCGTACGTGCGAGCGCGCCCGCCCAGCGCTAGCCAATGGGAGCGCCGTTTTGGGGAGACGGGCCCGAAGAAACATTGGGGGTGCTCGCCCCCGCGTTCGTCGCCCCGCCCCGCGCGCCCGCGCACCCCGGCCCCGCCCCCGCGCGCCGTCCGTGAGGTCCCCACCGGCCGCCGTAGCCGGAACTGCTGCTGAGGGCGGCGGGCCGGCTTCGCTAGGGTGAGTGGCGGCAGTATCTGCGTCCGCAGCCCCCGCAGCCGCGCGCCGGCCCGCGGAGGGGACGTGCCGGGGCTAGCGCCGCTCGACCAGTCGCTTCCGAGGCGGACGACCAGCCCGGCGTTGCGGCCTCCCTGCAGCCGGCGCTCGGGGGCCGGGGCTGCCCGGCCCGGCTGGTTCTGCGGGCACCCGGGGAGGCCCCGGGAAGCCAGGCTGCCGCCCGGCGTTGATGAAAAAGGTGACCAAGGCTGGGCGGCGGGGCTGTCATGGCGAGGCCCGGCCGGGGGGTCCTGTCGGGCGGCGCGGGAGAGCGCGGGGGGGGCGTCGCTTCCACAGCGCCCGGTACAGCCACAACTGGCCTCAGGGCGAGGAGGCTTCTGCGTCCCCATCCCGAGACGCGAGCCGGTGCGGAGCGGGACGGGGCTGGAGGAGACTGCGCCTCCGAGAAAAGTCCGGTCTCGTTGGAGGTTCTCGCGAAAAGGAGGCCATCCCCCTGCTTGTTGGCCCTTAGGGTAAAGTCTGGACGGCGTCGGTCCTTTCAGTGGCGAAAAGCGCTTCCCCGTGCTCGGTCGGCGTCTTGGGTGTGGAGCCCGGCGAGCGGGCGAGTTCACTCTGGTGGCCGAGTTTGTTTTGCTTGGGTCCCGGGTGGCCTGCGGGCGGACAGGTCCCTGGGCAGCGGGGTTCTCAGCCCGAGACGAGGTCTTTGGGGGTTTAGGTTTCTTGAGTGGAAAGAGGTGGGTTGAGGGGGAAGAGTGGGAAGTCTTGCCACGAAATCCCTTAAGTTGGGGTGTTTGTCGTGGGTGGTTTTGTTCTTTGGCAGAGTTTTTTTTAAAACTAGCATGAACTCGAGATTCCCTAGACCAATTCCGACAGGAGAAAACGGCCACGGATCCTTGTGTGATCTGCACCTCAGGGTGGGGGCATCATTGCGACTTTGAAGCCATTTCCCGATCTCTCGGAAAGAGAGGTCCTCGCCCGCGTCCCTGTATTTCGTGGTTGGTGTTGGTGCCTCGATCGTGTGTTCCTTTGAAGTGGAAATGCCCCCGTTCTCAACAGTTGAGTTGAACGCAGGGTCAGTATCTGCTGAGGAATCTAATCTTCAGCGTTTTTGCTTCCTCACACGTGCCCGTCCCGGACTGTTTCTGGGCTGCAGCTCTTGCTGTGTACCTGATTGTCTGAGTTTATTTTTGAGTGGCTCTGCTTTCTGGGCTGCAGCATTTTTAGTCACTGCACTTTGTTGTTGACATTTTACAGGGCGGTGGGTAGCAAAGTTGATGCAATAATTTTATTAATTGTTGCCAAGAGTTTTAACACCATTGTCTTCTACCGCTTCTTGCACCTGGACCCGGACATAACTGGGCTGTCACTTTCCCGGGTGGTTCCAACCTGTTCCATGCAACAGGCTCCTTTGTTGCAAAAGCATTTTTAACTAGTAAATCCCCGCAGCAGCTCACATTTCCCACCCTGGGAAGAAGATTCCCAGAGACCCGGAGCTGATTATTCTTTATGTGTGTTTTAAAATAAGCAGGCGGGCCGGCGGCATTGGGCCACCATGGAGTTCCCCGTGCGGGCAGGCGAGCCCGCGCTTCTCCCGTCCCGGGGTGGATCCGGCCTCCTCTGTCCTCCTCCAGGGCCAGCTCTGGGGGCCGGCGCGTGGGGCAGGTGCGCGGGGCCCGGGAGCCCCGCGCCTTTCGGGGGGCGGGGAGGGGGTGGGACGAGGGGCTAGGGCTGGGGCTGCGGCCCGGCCGGCCGAGGCGGCGCAGGGAGCGAGGCCGGCGCGCAGGGCCAGGCCATGAGCCGCGGCCCCGCCGGGTAGGTGGCTGTGGGCGGGGCAGCGGCCCGGACCCGCAACCGTGCCCAGACCCGCGCCCGCGCCGGGGCTCCCATAGACCCCGGGGCCGGGGCCGGGGCCGGGGCCGGGCAGGGTCCGCCGAGCTGTCGCGCCCTCCCGCCGCCGGCCCGGGCGTCTGGACGCGAGCCTCGGCCAGGGGGCGTCCGGGGAGGCCCGGGAGGGTCCCGGGCTGGTGGGCAGGGCCGGGGGCGGCGGCGTGGGGGCGGCAGGGGCCGCGGCGGGCTCGGGCGGGCTCGGGCGGGCCGGGCCGAGCCGCCGAGAGGGGATTTGGAACAAACAACGGCGGCCATGTTGAGAGCGCGTCGGGGCCGCTAAACTTCCCGGCCTGCGCCCGCCTCACCGGCCGCCTCCCCTCTCCCGGCCGCAGGATGACAGTGAAGTTGGGCGACGGCGGCAGCGGGGAGGACGGGCTCAAGAAGCTGGGCAAGCGGGCGGCCGATGAGGAGTCCCTGGAAGGAGAAGGGGCCGGCGGCGCAGACGCGGCCGAGGAGAGCAGCGGCACAAAGAGGGACGAGAAGACCCCCCGGGCCGGCGCCGACGGCCCCCCCGCGCCCCCCGGCGCGCCGCAGGCGCCGTCCCCGCCGCAGGGCAGCCCCCAGGACCAGCACCACTTCCTCCGGTCCAGCGTGCGGCCGCAGAGCAAGAGGCCCAGGAAGGATCCTCCGAGCGCTGTGGGGAGCGGCAACGCCGGTGGCTCGGGGCCCCGCGGAAAAGGTAGGGCGGCCCGTCCCCTTGGGAGACCCCAGCCCCTCTCCGGGGTGTGCCGCGGGGGAGAGGAACCCCTCGCCCCAGCCGGGCTCCACCCTAGCTCACCCATCCCGCGGCCTACACTGAGGCTCTCAATTTGGGTGGCACTTATGGGGCATGTGTCCCCTCTCTCCTTCGAAGAGGCTGCGACTTTCTATATTTAAACTCTTTGAAGAGGCAGTGAGTATCCTTTTTTGGGGGGGAGTCGAAGAGATCCCTTAAAGCTGTTTCCTTTCCAAAGGATCACTGATGGTTTTCTATGGTTTTGTGTTTCAAACAGCGGACAATAGTTCGGAAACGGGAAGAGAAAAAAATACCTGCTGTATCTCTTTCCCAGACATCAGGCGGTGGAAATGCACCAAGGGAGCAGGCTTTTGAAACTCATTGGGGGGAAGATGGGTAAGAAGCGGAGAAAGGATCCTTGGGGTCTGACTTGGACCCATTGTCCTCTCCTTCAAGTGCTCCTGGGTTGAGAGTAGGAAGGGCATAGAGATGGGGCCCTTTGAGTTGCAACTGGGGTTTACTTCTGTGCCAAAGAAAGGAAAGAGTGGTGAAAACGATTGACATGAACAAGCAGCAGCTTGTAGTGTTCGCCCTTGTATTCTGAGGTGATGGAGAATGTTGCTACTTAGCTGGGGTCTCTTACCAAGATAGTAAGAAAACGGCATGTTAGTTTCGTTCTCCATGTGCCAGTGCTTCATTGTTGTCTGCTCTTATTTCTATTTCAGTCTTGTGCTTTTCCTTACGCAGGTGAATGACTCTGATTCTTTTTGTTTCCGACCATGTTCGCAGCACTTTGTATAAATAGCAAATATAACATCAGCTTCCAGTGAGTTTCACGTGAAAAAAAAATCTTTCACTTCCTTCCTTGGGAAATGCTCGTTTACATTTAGTGAATGGTCCTGGTAGTTTTGACAAGGAAATATATTACGAACTAATGGAGAACCTGCTTTGGAGATCTGTGCCACATGTGTTCCATTAAGCCCACTTCTCCTGCCGCATTCTCAACCGAAGAAGGCTGGCCTCCGGAATCATGGCCTTACTCATTGGTAAAGAATTCTGATATAAGTATACTTATTTAAAGATGTAAATAGAAGGTAACTTAGCATGTTTCAGAATTTAAAACTTGCCTCATATGAATTTATTTTGATGTGAAAGTTGCTGATCAATTTGGAAAACATGAGTGGCTTTGCTTGTTACTAGTTTTTTATTGCTAGTTACAGGTATGTCTAAGCTCATATAAGCTCCATGGTTCCTTCAAAGGTTTGTTGTTCATGGTTCAGAAGCCCTGGACCTTGAATCCAGCCGGCATTCGTCCCCCATGTCCCTGGCCTCCAACCTTGCTCTGCCCCTTCACCCTCTTGGAGATGCTTTTCTGTCGGGTGTCCTCACCTGTGAGGCAAGGAATGAGAGCAGCTACTTCACCCCGTTGAAGTGCGGCTGCTAAAATGAAATAGTGCATTGGTGTGAAAGCACTCTCAGACGTGTACGTGGCTACTTGTATGTATAAGTGAAGTGCTGCTGAGACGTTAGTGATCAGGTCAATTTTTGGCAGTTGGGACGAGGGGAGGCTTGCTTTTGTTTGTATAGTTGAGAGTGGCTTGCTAAGGTGCAGAAGGTTTCCTGAGCTTGGCTCACACTTAGGTTGCTGGCACTTCTTTCTTTGCTTCTTGTCCCATTGTGTGGCTTGGAGAAGCGTGGGACTTTTCATTAAGTTTTAATATTAATAAAATGCAAATTTATTAGAATTTGTGCTCCTCGTGACATATCCATTATCCCACTTTAGCAAGCAAATATATCTTTTTTTTTTTTTTGAGACTGAGTCTCACTCTGTCACCCAGGCTGGAGTGCAGTGGTGCGATCTCAGCTCATTGCAAGCTCTGCCTCCCAGGTTCACACCATTCTCTTGCCTCAGCCTCCCAGGTGGCTGGGACTACAGGCGCCTGCCACCACACCCAGCTAATTTTTTTTTTTTTTTGGTATTTTTAGTTGAGACGGGGTTTCACCGTGTTAGCCAGGATGGTCTCGATCTCCTGACCTTGTGATCCTCCCGCCTCAGCCCCCCAAAGTGCTGGGATTACAGGCATGAGCCACCGCTCCTGGCCACAAGCAAATATATCTTTAAGCAAATAATAAGCTAAGCTGTGATGGTGGCTTTTAGGAGAGGAGTAGGAAGTGGGTCTCCTTTGCATCACAGAACTTCTCGGCCACTGTCTGCCTTGGAGCTTCCCGGGAAGGAAGGCTGCCTGTCCGCTGCTCTCTGCTTTCAGGTTCCTCAGTGCTTTGGGAGGCACTTCACTGTGCCCAGGACATCCTCTGACACCAGTCTTTGGAGAGACCTCTGCTCAGTCGTTGCTTCCATTACCCGTCAGAAAAGAAGGCCAGGTGGTGGCAGTTGCCCCGCAACAGTCTTTAGCTCACCTTCCAGAAAGATGCTCAGAGGAGAATCCTCTTACATTCTGGAGAAATCTGCATCTGGAGTGGTGAGCATCTGTCAGGGAGGAAACGATCAATACTTCATGTTTCAATTTTTCACTTGGAAATGATGTAACTTCTATTATGCCTAAGGAATACTTAGCTCAATCACTGGCAGTTCCTTTGGTTGATTACTTACTGCCCTGGCCAGTTTCAATCTCAGTGGGCCTGAGACTCTTACAGTGAATTTGGAAGAAAGGACTTGTGGAGAAAAGGAAAGTCTGCTTGTTTGGCTTTTCTGCATGCAAGTGTGTTTTCTTTCTCTGAAGAAGACACTCTTATTGACTTCAATGAAAAATGCTTTTTTTTCTAGTTCAGTTTCAAATTTAAATCTTCTTGCATTGATAAAGCGATGGTAGCTGGGATTTAGTGCCTGTTTGCCAGGCATCTTGCATGTCTGTAATTTTGCTTTTAAATGAGTGCAGAACCTGAAGTAGATTGTTTAAGTCACATGCTCAACCTAAACTCAAGGTAAGCTGCAGACCAGAAATCCCAAAACAGACATTCCTGCAGCTCTAATACACCACCCACGTGACCCTGGGACGCACTGGAGATTTCGGCTTAGAGCCGCAGAAACCATCTGAAAGACATAAGTCAGGAGACAGAGTCCTGATACCTTTCCCTATTTGGCCAGTTCATGATCCAGCTAGCCCTGGGCAAACTAGTCCATCTTTTGGATAAAATAAACACCTGCCTCAGAATCGCTTGAACCCGGGAGGCGGAGGTTGCAGTGAGCCAAGATTGCGCCATTGCACTCCAGCCTGGGCAACAAGGGTGAGACTTAGTCTCTAAATAAATAAATAAATATAAAAATAAACACCTGCCTTAAGTCACAAGGTGTTTTACAGGCACCTGGTGTTTCTGCCATGAAAAATGCATGCAGCTTCAAGATTACAGGACTGCAGGAGGAGGCTGCACAGGCTGGCGGGGTGGGGAGCCTACCTGTGGGGTGAGTAGAAGTCCGGGAATGCTGGTGCTCTGCTGGGGCAGATGGGATGAGAGAACACTGGGGGTGGGGACAGAGAGCCTCTGCTTATTTTGGTCCCCCTCTCACCCCGAAGAACTTCAGTTCCATCAAGGATGGGGAAATGCACCATCTCCAGAATAGGGTAATGTAGTCTGAAGTGACAGTCGTTTGTGTGTAGGAATCGGTAAACGACTGTGCACAATTTACTCTTTATATTTTGTATAATCTGTGGACTGTTTGTAGTTTCTAGATGTTTCAAAAAGATGTCTCATAAGAGATTGTACCTGTAGTCCTAGCTACTCAGGAGGCTGAGGTGGGAGGATCACCTGAGGCTGCTGGTTGGAGGCTGCAGTGAGCTGTGGACATTGCACTCCAGCCTGGGTGACACAACAAGACCCTGTTTCAAAAACAAAACAAAACCAAAAAAGATAAAGTAGGTAAGGCAAAATTTGAACATTGGTTTGAAGGCTGAGCTGCTTTTCAAATACCTGTATACTTTTGGTATTAAAACTAGTTTCTGTGGTGTCTGTTGTTGTGAAGTTGTCTAATGAGGTAGACTTTTCGATTTTCATTTTTGTATCTTATTGTGGCTTATGTAAGGATATAACAGGGAGATGATTCATGATTGCAAAGTCAGAAATGTGAAAATTAACATCGTTGTATAAAGTGGTGTGTAGAAGCTCTTTGTCACATAAGTAACAACAGCGGGGTTTTGTTTTTTGTTTTTGTTTTGTTTTTGAGACGGAGTCTCATTCTGTCGCCTGGGCTTGAGTGCAGTGCTGCGATCTCAACTCACTGCAATCTCCGCCTCACAGGTTCAAGCAATTCTCCTGTCTCAGCCTCCTGAGGAGCTGGGACTACAGGCGCATGCTGCTACACCCGACTAATTTTTTTTATTTTAGTAGAGATGGGGTTTTACCGTATGGCCCAGGCTGGTCTCGAACTCCTGAGCTCAGGTGATCCGCCTGCCTCGGCCTCCCAAAGTGCTAGGATTTCAGGCGTGAGCCACTGCGCCCGGCACAACAGCGTTTTTAACACTAAAGAACCACGTTAGAAACACTGAAAAAAGGAGACATTTCCAGGAGTTTGTAGTTTAGTTGGGATATCTTGCAATACCTACAGGATACAATTAGAAAATCTGCTGGTATTTCATGAAGAGGGCATACGCTTTTATACAAACAGTGGAGTTCTAGTTGTATTTCTCTCAAATATTTGTAGGAGGGGAAAGGGAGAATCTTCAAGAGAGACAGCGCTGGTCAGAGCATGCAGGAGGACGCTGAGCCTTGCAGGCACTGAGGGTGGGAGTCCCGGCAGAGAAGGGGACAGTATGAGTGACTCCCAGAGGGTGTCGTGGAGACCATTAGGTTTTAGGTCAGCTTCAGAACCTGGAAGAGGACATCTCAGAGTCTGGCGACCCTGACCAGGGCTCTTGCAGGCACGCCTGGAGTGTGGACCAGATCTTTAGATTGATGGGACAATGCGAGGTCAGGAGGGGTCCCGGTTTGCTCACCGACTGCCTGTCGTATAGGATGGAGCGACACCACTGCGTGTGCATGACGATGGAGCTGGGTAGGGGAGGCTCAGAACTCATCCGAGATGACACCTTGCCTGCGGCTTGGCTTGCTTGAAGGGTCCCCCCATGTGACCTTGGAGATGGTATCCACCAAGCCCTCACCCACAACTCTGGCTCCAAGACCAGAGCTGCTGGCACCAGCATCTGATGCGATGTCTTGTGTTAGGAGAGGCACGGAATGCCTCAGGAGACTTGGAGGTGGACGCGTTGGACCTCTGCAGTTTCTGCGCCATCCTTGGCCTCCTGGGAAGGGTCCCTGCTGTCTTATGCTGCAGACGTAGGCCATGAGGACGTTTCCCGGTGCTGGGGTTGGGGCACGGTCAAGTCTGGAGATGCCCTTCCACGAGCGGGTGTCGCCAGTGCCTTTCTAGCTGAGAAATGAGTGAAGCATGGGGGAGACGGGTGTGTTCACTGCAGTCCTCTCACCTCCAGACCAGACGCTGACTCCCTCGCAGTTGGTGTTCTGTCACTCTTGATTTTACTATTCCTAACCCTCTGAAGGAAGTTCACCAAACCACAGAAAGAGTGCTCCAGGACAGTGAATTGATGTTAGAGATGATGACAGGGTGTCACTGGGCTTCTGCGTCTGACCTCTCACGTCCAGACAGACATCTTCCAAAGGCCCAGCTCTGGCTGTCTATTAGCCGCGTGCCTTTCGGTGAGTCATTTAACTTCTCACCTTTCCCAGGCTGAGGGAGGGACTTTGAGGTTGGTTTCCCCCACCACGACCCTGATCCTCCAGCTCTGTGACAGGACAGTGTGCGCTGCTTGGCTTTCAGAGCTGTTCTGACGGCACGGCATGGGAAACGCCTGGGTTTGGAGTGAGAAGGTTGCGTGGTTCTTGCTGCCTGGTGACTTCGGGGCTTCTAAAGCCTCAGTTTCCCCCATTTCATTTTTTTTTTTACATGACATAATGCTATTAATAATTTCTGAAAGTTTCCCCATTTCTAAAATGGAGATAACTACCCATTGCGAGGACAGGAAGAAGCAGGGCATTTGAATGCATTTTAAGGTGCCATTTAAATACAGGTTCTGTTACTTCCAGGCCTGCTGGGCACTGAGCAGCTGTGTGGCTTTGTGGGTGACCTACTCAGCCCGTGCCTCAGCTTCCCCAGTTGAAAGATATGGATACTTTTTCTTCTTAAGGTGATATGAAGGGGTGCAGGTGGTGGCATTCCAGACCAACCCAGGACATGTGATGGGGAAGAGGACGTGTTGCAAAGAATAGGTGGTAGGGCCTGTCTGGAGCTAGGTAGAGGGGCCAGCAGCTGGGAGGGTGCGCTGGGGCCACATGGCTGTGCCCTCACTGCACCGTCTGCACAGCAGGCTGTGGCAGGTGCTAGGGGTTTGGGAGACCTGAGAAGAGGCTGTTGAAATTGTCTTACTTGGGCGGCAGAGAGCTGGCTTGGGAAACAGGCGGTGCGGATGGGAAGGGGAAAGCAGGTGGCAGTGTGGCCTCTGGAGAACTGTGGCGCTGACACGGGCTAAGCAGGAAGGTGGGTTCCATTTGGGAGGACCTGGGTCCCAGCAGCCTGGGGTGTGCTGTCTGGGGCTGCCGAGGGGCAGAGGGAGCTTGGGGAGGCCCTTTATCTAGGCTCCGTGGGACCCTGTGCTGTCACTGAGCACTTGCTGTGTGTGAGGCCTGGGACCAGGCTTGGGTGTGGGGAAGTTCCACACGGTTCTTGCTTTCAAAGAGTGCACTGTTGGCGATCCTGCTTCTGCACCCCACTTCCCTGCAGGCTTCTCGATGGTTCTCCTCATTGTGCAGACCACACTCAGCCTCTGTGGGCTCAGCAACAGTCACAGATGGACCTGGCTTTGGCCTTCTGCTTTTCGCTGGGTGTCCTGCACCCAGAGAAGCCCACCTAGTTTTGTTTACATCATCTTACCTTTCCGTCTCTTGCCTTTCTCCTCCCATTTTTCTTGTTGCTTCTCTGTCTTCCCCTTCAGTCATCACCTTCTGTTTTCATCTGAATTTCTCTGAGCTGAGTCAGGTGGCCTCACACAGGCTGTCATCGTATTCTACCAGGTGTCTCTGGTCCCACTTTCTATTTCATTTCGCTTGAGCTGTACTCAGTGAGCCGAGGTCAAGCAGTGAAGCCACTTCTGCATCTGAAATTTTAGGGGTGAACCAGAGGCCACCTTCAGTTTCTGCTCTGAAGTTTGTGATTGTTTTTTAAAAAGCATTCCAAGTTTAGGCCGGGCGCAGTGGCCCATGCCTGTAACCCTAGCACTTTGAGAGGCTGAGGCGGGAGGATTATCTGAGTTCAGGAGCTCGTGACCAGCCTGAGCAACATGGTGAAACCCCGTCTCTACTAAAGTACAAAAAAATTAGCCATTGTGGTGGTGTGCACCCATAATCCCAGCTACTCGAGAGGCTGGGTGCCGGAATTGACTGCCTGGGAGGCAGAGCTTGCAGTAAGCCAGGATTGCACCACTGCACTCCAGCCTGGGTGACAGAGCAAGACTCCTTACACAACAGCAACCAAAAAAGCACTCCAAGTCTAGAATAATGGGCACCAAATATTAGAAAAGGTTACTTGGGGCGATTTGCTTTCTTGTCTGTTTTTTGGGGTTTTCTGTCTGTTTTGTTTTGTAGAGACAAGGTCTCCCTGTGTGGCCCAGGCTGGTCTTGAACTCATGGACTCAAGCAGTCTTCCTACCTCAGCCACCCAAGTAGCTGGGACTGCAGGTGTGTGCCACCACGCCCGGCAGTCTACTTTTTTTTTTTTTTTTTTTCTTTTTTGAGACAGTCTCTCACTCTGTCACCCAGGCTGGAGTGCAGTGGCTAGATCTCAGCTCACTGCAACCTCTGCCTCCCGGTTTCAAGTGATTCTTCTGTCTCAGTATCTGGAGTAGCTGGGACTACTGGTGCACGCCACCACATGGGGCTAATTTTGTATATTTAGTAGAGACAGGGTTTCACCACATTGGCCAGACTGATCTCGAATTCCTGACCTCAAGAGATCCGCCTGCCTCGGCCTCCCAAAGTAGCTGTGATTACAGGCGCCCACCACCACGCCCGGTTAATTTTTGTATTTTTAGTAGAGACAGGGTTTCACCATGTTGTCCAGGCTTGTCTTGAACTCCCAACCTCAGGCCTGCCTTCTTTTCTGAATGTTCATCTTGCTTTACTTTCCTCTACTGAGGATGTGTCATTTTTAAAACATCAGAAGGAAAGGGTGAACCCCTCACACCCAGCCTTGGGCTGCTGGGAGGTGGCCTGCTCCTCTGAGGAGTGAGTGCCGCTTCACCAGCCTCATCAGAGCTGCCTTTACTGTTGTGCCTTCTTTTCACATCTCCTGTGTGCCTTTGCCTCCTCTCCACCTCTGAGAGCCCGTCCAGCTCAGACACTCCATTCTGTTAGCCTTTACTGTTTCACTCTCCTTGTCTTGGATCACCAGTGCTGTGATCCACTAAGATTTAGCAAGACATGTGGATTATGGAATTTTAGGAAATTTATGTCTGTTACTTTTTCAAATATACCTAATGCCAACATGGGCTAGCAAAAATAAACCTGATACGTAACGGCAGGGCTGGTTAGCAAGTTGTGGTCTTGGAAGATGATAGTTTAGCGAGTGTTTCTTAGGAACCTGAAAATGGCTCTGAAAGCCTTTGTTGTGGGTGGTGCAGAGGTGGACAGGCAGTCCTTGCTGAAGTGACTCCACGTGAGGAATCCAGGCTCCTAGTGAGCCAGAGTGCCCTGTATTGAAAAGTTAAGTTTCAAATGGCATCTGTACCTGTCCATCATCTGCGGAAGCACCAGGTTCTGGGGAACCACCTGGTTGATTAAGTCCAGGTTTGGTGAGGAATGGGCAGGGCCAGATAACATGTCAGGCATTTGATTAGCCTGGTTGGTAGCACAGAGCATATGCATACCTGAGTTTTGTTTCTGTTGTCTGTGCAGGCTGGGAATGGAGCAGCCGGAAAGCGGCCTGGGTGGGACACACTTGGAACTCATTGTTTATTCCATGCCAGTGTGTTTTGGGCTGTGAGTGCTGGACATTCAGGTGCAGCACCGTCTGGTAGCTCTCTCTGCAACGATGGCCGCATGTGGACATTGACTACTAGAAATGGGGCTGGCGTGACTGAGAGGCTGAGTTTTTTTTTTTTCTTTTTTAAGTTCTTTTTTTTTTTAAGCCTGAGTCTCACTCTGTTGCCCAGACTGGTGTGCAATGGCACGATCTCTGCTCACTGCAACCTCCACCTCCAAATTTGGAGACAGACCCCCCACCGGGTGAGGCACTGAGCCTCTAGCCTGCGTGTGGCTGCCCAGGCAGGGCCCCCTTCTGGGTCGATGAAGAAGCAGATCTGGATGGAAAAGCCTGTGATTATCTCATTAGGAAATCATTTTTACAATAATCTACATTTGCTTGGCTTTTGCTTTTTTTTTTTTTGGAGACAGGGTCTCGCTCTGCCATCCAGGCTGGAGTGCAGTGGTGCGATCTCGGCTCACTGCAACCTCCACTACCTGGGTTCAAGCAATTCAGTTCTCCTGCCTCAGTCTCCCAAGTAGCTAGGACTACAGGCGTGCACCACCACACCTGGCTAATTTTTTCTTTTTTAGACGCAGTCTTGCTCTGTAGCCAGGCTGGAGTGCAGTGGCGCGATCTCGGCTCACTGCAACCACTGCCTCCCAGGTTCAAACGATTCTCCTGCCTCAGCCCCTCCCGAGTAGCTGGGACTACAGGCGTGTGCCACCATGCCCAGCTAATATTTTTTGTGTTTTTAGTAGAGACGGGGTTTCACAATGTTGGCCAGGTTGGTCTCGATCTCTTGACCTCGTGATCTGCCCACCTCAGCCTCCCACAGTGCTGGGATGACAGGCGTGAGCCACTGCACCTGGCCACGCCTGGCTAATTTTTATATTTTTAGTGGAGATGGGATTTCATCATGTTGCGCATGCTGGTCTCGAACTTTTGGCCTCAAGTGATCCACCCGCCTCAGCCTCCCAAAGTGCTGGGATTACAGGAGTGAGCCACCACGCCTAGCCAGTTTTTGATTTTTAAAGCATTTTTGTTTCAGAGTTTGAAGGTTTCCCAGCTTTTTATGGTCCTGCAGTTCCATAAAAAGAGAACCCTGGTTATCACAGGGATATGCTGACAGTTCCCGCTCCCTCTGCGAGGAGGAACTGAAATGGGTGGGAGGAATGTGTTAGGCCATGAAAAGTTTTTATCTGTGGTCTTTTGACTCCTGCCACATCTCTGCCTCCGGTCTCGGAGGAGCCTGGCCAGGGTTCTCGGTCCACAGCTGGGGAATGAAGCCTCCTCGGGGTCGTCTTGGGCTTTTCCCTCCTTGGTCTCAGAGGACTTGGCATGAGATTGGGAACTGATGCTATAATAGGATTTGCAAGGTTATCAGGTCATTCTCAGAACACTACGTTTTTTTGGTGGACATTGATTGAGGGTAAGGAATTTTAAGACTAAAGATTCTTAGGCGTTGGACAGTTCATATTCTGAAGCACTGATTTTATCTAAAAGAAGGTGGTGTTTTACACGTTTGTTTCCTTGAGTTTGAATCTCAACCTACTTATTTGAAAAGATGTTAAGAATATTTAACCAAAAACCTCATTTACAAAAGAAATACGCATGAAATGTGATGTGAGGCTTCATTTTGCAGAGGGAAGGGATCTCTGTCTCCATTGTGGACAGGGCGTCTTAGGCTGCAGCGTCATTGTGCTGTTACATGGTTCCACATAAAATCTTGCTCCTTTTCTAACTGTAAAAACATTTGAGGGTCATTTGGCCAGGTAAAGATCCTGGCAGTCCTAAGCAGCCTCGCTGGTGCCGTGGGTCCTGGGTGCTGCCTGCCAGCATCCTCGGTTGAGGAGTGTGGAGTGGGACCTCAGGGCAGTGGGCCCTTCCCTCCCACCGGCCCTCTACCCTGCCCAGCCCGCCAGCTTTCTGGAACAGATCACTGTACGGTGCTTTCTCTCCAAGGAGCTGAAGGTGGTGGATCATCGTCTGGAAATGTGTCTGGGGTTGCCCCTGCTGCCCCTGCAGGGGGCTCGCGCTCCTCCTCCCGGAACTTAGGGTCTTCTGGTGGCGAGAAGGAAGAAGGCAAAAAGGTCCGGCGGCAGTGGGAGTCGTGGAGCACAGAGGACAAGAACACCTTCTTCGAGGGGCTGTACGAGGTGAGTAGGCTGTGGAGGCACGGCCAGGCAGCCTGGGCGTCCCTCTCGGATCCCTGCCCTCCGTTCCCCGTGCTTCCTCTTTGCTGTTAGATTCTAGAACGCAGATTCCTGGGCGACCCCCGCAGTGGCGGAGGCTGATGTGGGCTCTAGCCTTGCCCACTGACCTTGGCTGTTTTATCTCCTCATTGAGATTTTAGAAGCTAGTACTGGTGAGGTGTCTGTGAGGAGGTGTTTTTGTGTGTTTCCTTCATTTCCTTTTGGATATTCTCACCCCTTGTCTCTCAAAGATGTTCTTGACTGAAGGCCCTCTTGTTTCAGGGCTTTCCCTTTGTGCTGAGTGGGCTGATTTAGGCGGGATGGCCTCTTGAGGGGAGGCACAAGGCGGTGCTTGTCTCGGGGGTCAGTGTAGCTGAGAAACCTCACGAGATGTTGCTGCTGACTTGGGACAAAATGGAAAGTCCTAAAAATAGAGAGAAGCCACTCCCTGACCCCACCGCCCAGTGAATGCCCGTGCTCCCTGCTGGCCAGTTTCACCTGCATTATTGTTTTCTAAATCCTTGTAATTATTGTGAGCATACTTTTTAATTAACATTGCTTGCATTTTTCACGGTGTTTCATAGCTCTTTTGCTCTGTATTTTTTTTTAACGCCTGTAAATATTCTCCTTGCCTGTGTGCTCACTGTGTGCTTTTGTAAAAACATCATATTGGAGCACAGCCATGGCCAGGGTCGATGTACTGTCTGCGGCTGATGCCACTGCAGTGGCATAGTTGAAGAGCTGCACCAGACAGGGTGGCCCTTGAGGCCCTGGCCAGCCACTGCTCTGCTTGGCCATTCCTGTGTGGTCAAGGATGACTGAGATCCTTCCAGATTCTGTTGTCGTAAGTAACGCTGTGGTGAACATCGGTGTGCACGCTTCATACTTTAGACTGCTTCTTTGGCATACAGTATTAGAATTAGGTTCGTGATCGGTGAGCCTTGTTCTTTTTTTTTTTTTGGAGATGGAATCTCACTCTGTTGCCCAGGCTGGAGCGCAGTGGTGCAATCTGGGCTCACTGCAACCCCCGCCTCCTTGGTTCAAGCAATTCTCGTGCCTCAGCCTCCTGAGTAACTGAGACTATAGGCACACGCCGCCACACCCAGCTAATTTTTTGTATTTTAGTTGAGACGGAGTTTCACCGTGTTGCCTGGGCTGGTCTCGAACTCCTGAGCTCAGGCAATCTGCCCACTTTGGCCTCCCAGGAGCCTTGTTCTTTTAATAGCTAATTAATTGGGGTGATGGAGAAGTCTTGTCAAGCCTGGGAAGCAGAATGCTCAAGAAAGAAATGGAGGCTCTGGAATGAGATGTTTAGAGAGGCATTAGAAAAGGAGACACTCGTAAATGTGGGCATGAGACTTGAGTACGGTGCATGCTGTGGCCAGGGTCGCTCCCGCCCTGGGCTGCAGGTTAGGTTCTGCCCACCCCAGGTGGACCGGACTGCCGTGGCAGTGTGGCTTGATTCTGATTGTCCAAAGAGAAGTGTGCATGAGTCCCATTGCAGTAGATATGAAGCCATTTAAACACATTCGTGTGTTCCTTTTCTTCCCTTGGAGGGTTCTAGAGTACAGCAAGGAGGCTGGTTTTGTGTAGATTCAAGCCCCAAATCGTGCCTTTAAGCTGTTTGTTGGTCTTGGAGGACCTGCGATTCCTGGAATGTTTTCAGAATCAGCAACCATTGCTGATTTTTGCCTGAAACAATTACTCCTGTGGTGTGGCCCTTCCTCCTTGGCAAGACTGTAGCCTCTGCAAGAGGGTCTGGGTGCCTGGGAGCAGGAGATGTGGTTGTCCATTAAAGGTAGCAGAGGAGGAGTTCCTTGTTAATGATCCACCCTTTACCCTTATTCAAGCAGTTCAGTTCGTGTCCTTCCCATTGGGTTAAGCTGCTCATTAGAGTTTTTCTATCGGGTAGATGCTTTTTGAGGATTCTGAAATCCTGAATTAGTAATAATAATTAATAGTTGGCTGTTCTGATCATGTAATGCTTTCTGCTGTGGGTTCTCTGTATCTGAGTTTGTATATGAGAAAGAGCGAGGGCAAGAGAAAGGACTTTTTGTTTGTTTGTTTTGAAACGGAGTTTCGCTCTTGTTGCTCAGGCTGGAGCGCAGTGGCACGATCTTGGCTAAATGCAGCCTCCACCTCCTGGGTTAAAGCGATTCTCCTGCTTCAGCCTCCTGAGTAGCTGGGATCACAGGTGCCCGCCACCACACCCGGCTAATTTTTGTATTTTTATTACAGACCGAGTTTCGCCACGTTGGTCAGGCTGGTCTTGAACTCCTGACCTCGGGTGATCCACCTGCCCCAGCCTCCTGAAGTGCTGGGATTACAGGCATGAGTCACCGCACCTGGCCTAACACGTTTCATTTCTGCATTGTGTGTCTCATCAAAACTAGGTGGCCTTCTGGTGGGGTCTTGATGTGTGGCTGACTGGCCGGTGGCAGGTGTGACTGTGAACCCTCAAGCTGTGGGGTGACGGTGACTGGGCACAGGCCTCTGCTCTGAGAAGTGCGGCTTCTGCCATGTTGTCATGGCCACCGCTGCCTTTTTGATGCCTCCCTGGGAGGGGTGCAGCAAGGCTGGCTGGGGCCTGATTGGATGCAGGGACCCCACCGCCATCACTGGGCCTCAGTTGGTCACTCCTGATCATGGGCTGAATTCTCTCCTGCTTCAGCTGCTCCTCAGGCGAGAGTGCTGCCCCTGCACACCCTACTTTGGGCAGTGCTGGGCATGCTCAGATTCGCGCCCGTCCAGTTATGGCCCGTCCAGACTTCTCCCTCTGGCAGGGCGGGCATTCACCTGTGGCAGGGCACTCGCCTCCTTCCTCTGAATACCCTTCCATTTCTGTGGCAGGTCTGCACAGACCCAGCCCTGACTTCATTTCAAGTTCCTGTTCCTGCTTATATCCGTCCATCATCCATGCTTGTTTTTGCCATACAGTTCTTGATTTCCTACCTGACAGCCACACAGCCAGCGTCCTGTGCTTCCTTCTCCCTCTCTGCATAATGGCTGCGGCCTCAGCTCTGGCCTCTGTGCTTCGCAGTGTTCCCCTTCTCTGTCCCCACCTAGGCCCTCCCTGTCTCTGCACAGGCAGCCGGGGGCATCCTCAGCCTGTTACCATCTCCACAGCTCTGTGGACGCTGCAGGTTTCTATCTCTTCACCCCAGACAGCTCTCTCAGACTTTCAGCCCTGCCCATCTTTTGTTCTCATTGCCGTTACCGTGTGTATATCTGGTTCTTGACTCAGGACAGAGCACTCTCGCCACACTGAGAATACAGAAAAGCTTCTGTCTGGTGGGGCTTGCTGCCTTGGAGACACACGGCAGGCGCGACACAGATGCCCTGGGACTTTAGGAGGCAGCAGAGGTTAAGAACACGTGAGCAGGAGGCCTGGAACTCAGGTTCTCAGGGAACCTCTTGAGTAGACGACCCCGCAGTGACATGCAGAGGCCGTCAAGTTGCTTCATCGTGGTTCTTGCCGAGGCCCAGGGAGCGTGGGGAGGGCTGGGCCTGCCTGGACCTTGCAGGAAGGCCTTTCACGTGCTGCTTCGCCTCTTTATGCTTTATCTGCCATTCCTTTTGAAAACAATGAACACGTTTTACTTTTTCTAAAGTTTTTAATTTTTCATTTCATTTTTGCACCCAGACTGGGGTGCCAGCCTTCCAGCCCCACCCGCCAGCCCACAGCAGCTTCTGTCTTCACCTCCCTCAGCCCCTGTGTTGCTGGGAGTTACAGATCCTAAAATGTGTCAGTGTGTCAAGCACAATGCCACCTCCCCTCTGGCCCCTCCAGGTCACCTCACGGTCCCCCAGCTGCCAAGAGTCTTCTGAGGTGGACAGGGTTGGGGGCCAGCACCCCAGCAGTCCCCAGGTTCTCATTTCCCTGAGGATCTTGCTCCCCAGTTACTACCCCTTACCCCCCATCAGCATGTTTTTTATTTTTTTGATTTAAAAAACATCTTTTTTTGAGAGTCAGTCTTGCTTTGTCACCTAGGCTGGAGTGCAGGGCTGCCATCTTAGTTCACTACAACCTTGACCTCCTGGGCTCAAGTGACGATCCTCCTGCCTCAGCCTCCCACGTAGCTAGGACTACAGGCATGTGCCACCATGCCTGGCTAATTTTTAAGTTTTTTGTGGAGATGGGGTTTCACTATGTTGCTCAAACTGGTCTCAAACTCCTGGGCTCAAGCAATTCTCTCACCTCAGCCTCCTAAAGTGCTGGGATTACAGGCACGAGCCACCACCTGGCTCCCTTAACTTTTTGTTTTGAAATGTTTCAGACTTTTTAAAAGTTGCAAAAACAGCACAAAGCAGGTCCCCTCCACCCTGCCTCCACAGCATTAGGGCAGCCGCACTGTGAGGGTATGAGCACAGACATGGCCCTGCCTGCTCATTTGCAGGCGGTATTCAGATTAACAAGGGTCCCACTCAGGTCCATCCTGGCCAGGACGCTGCGCCGCACTCGGCTGCCCAAACTCCTCAGTCTCTTGTAACCTGGGACAGCTCCTGGGTTTTTGTTTTTTGTTTGCATGTTTTTTTGTCGTTGATGACCTCAACACTTGTGGAGACTCACAGCATGTTGGTTTGTAGAATGTCCCTTGTGTCAGTTTGGGTTGATCTGCAGTTTCCTCATGATTCTATGTTACGCATTTCTGTCAAGAATTCCACAGCAGTGATACCGTGTCCTTCTTGGCGCATCCAGTTGGCGGCCCGTGGTGTTCTTTCTGTCTCCGTCCTGGTGGTGTTTGCCTTGGTCGCTGCCCTCAGGCAGCGTCTGCCAGGTCTCACCGTGGCTGGGTCATGGCTTGGCTTTGAGGCTGTGTAAATACCGTGTTTCTCATCATTCTTTGCTCCCACTGATTTCAGCAGCCATCGCTGCCTTTTCCCTGAAGCAGTTGTTACTGTGCTGTTTGCTCCCAGTGAGGACCTTCTGTTTCCTTTATTCTTTCTGTGTTTGCTGATTGGAAGTCCTGTGCCAAGAAGAGCCCTGCGTTCTCCCCCACACGTGCAGTTATTCTGTTACCTACACCCATGTAGACTCACAGATGTTGGCTTTATTCTGGGGGTCATGGTCCACCATGCCATTGTCGGCTTTCTCGCCCCGTTGGTTCCCCATTTGGCCACTGGGGAGCCTCATGCTGGCTCCTGCATCCTCTTCTCACGTCCCCATCGCCTGCCAGTGTATTCTCGTGTGCTGGTGCCGTCAGGCATTCCAGACTCAGTGGCTGCTTGCTGCTCTGCAGTTGGCTGTTTTTCCTGGGAGCCCAGCTTCCCTTTGCAAAGTGGTATTTAGAAACCAAGACCTGGGCGCTAAGGATGCTGGTTACTGCTGAGCCCTTCCAGTACTTAGGAGCTTGGCTTTGATGAGATGATCGAACACTAGGTTCTCTATGGCAGTGCCTGAAGCAGCACTGAGGTGAGGCTGTTCTGTGGAACACAAGTTCTCTTCTGAAAATCTAAGTCACACTCAGCTTTTGCAAAGAAGCGTTCCAAGAAGGGTTGGCCTCCACGTATAATCAGAGTATAGTCTGTGCGGTTCACTTACTAAATGCTCACGTTTGCTGTCCTCGTTTGAATATGGAATATATTTTGTCAGATTAAAGCAGTGAGGATGTTTCTGATCTGTTCTTTAAGATGCCATAACTGCTTCTCTTCCAGAGCTTTTCTTCATGGAGGTGTCTCATTTCATTATCTGTGAAGAACTCTAGCAATTAAGGCATTTGTCCAAGTGATGAGCTTTATGTTTCTCCTGTCTGGGGTGCTTGCCTCTTTGGTATCCATGTGCTCTGATGGTTCTGTTCCTGGTTCCATTGCTCCTTTATCCTGATTAAAACCTAAGGTTCCAGGGAGTCGAAGTTCAAGTTCATACACAGATAAGAGCTTGGAAGGGCTGCTTGTTTGACTACAGCCTGTCTCCTTTCTCCTTTCTCGGAACCTTGGAAAGGGTCCAGTTAACACAGAAAGCTGCATTGTTTTAACCCCTCTACATTTATCATGGAATTTATTTTCCAGCATGGGAAAGACTTTGAAGCGATTCAGAACAACATTGCGCTGAAGTACAAGAAGAAAGGCAAGCCAGCAAGCATGGTGAAGAACAAGGAGCAGGTCCGCCACTTCTACTACCGCACCTGGCACAAGATCACCAAGTACATCGACTTTGATCATGGTGAGTGTGCCACGGGCCAGGCTCGGGGGTGCCCACAGGCAGGGCCGGCTTCTGCTCAGAGCGCAGCTTCCAGCAAGCCCGCCGGACCTGCTTTCTGGCATTTTCTCACCAGCCGCTTGGCCTGGGGCTCCTCGCCTTGCAGCGCTTTGGCTGATTGTGTGCTGTCTAACTCGGTCAAACCAAGTTGCCAGGAAGTGGCCCGTATCCCATGCTCCAGGGTTCTTACCACTGCTTTTCTGAGCTATGGTTTGTGTGTTTCCAGTGGCTCTGAGTGTGCGTGAGTTCTGGGTCCCTGGCTCACCTGAAGCCTGTGGTCTCCACTGCAAATGATAGCACCATGGTCCAGCGAGGGGCTTGGGCCGCAGGCACCGTGCCTGGCGCTGGTCTTCCTGGGGGACGGCCAGCCTTCCCAGGCCTCTCGCCCTCTACACTGGGACCCAGGTCTGCGTCGGCCCTCGTTCAGTCACGGGACCAAGTCATCCCCAGGTAGAATTCTGGCTTCTGGCTCAGAGCACCCTTTGGCTACTGGTGGCTTCTCCGGATGATGCTTTGTCCATCACCATCTCTGTCCTTGGGAGTCTTAGCTGCCTCCTGCCTCCGCCTATGAGAACTACCTCTCCAGCAGCGCACCTGTGCTGGGCCCTGCTCTTCATTCCTGTAGCTTCACACACAGCTTGGTCCTTCCAGATGTACCCCCAGAGCACCCCTCTGCCTTCTGAGCCTTCTTTCAGATGTCTCACATTCTGACCCAGGGTACCTGGACTGTGGCCACACTGCCACTCTTTGTGCCCTTGCCTGTGCCTCGTGGTGACCTAAAGTCCTTCGCCTTGGCCATTCCTGTGGTGTCCTCTGGGTGGGTTATGGCATCTTGACCATGGTGCATCAGCTTTGCCCGGAGCTTTGGGAAGAGCCAGGACCCAGCTCCCCTGTGTGACTGGGCAGAGCCCTGAGGGCCGCAGACACCCCCTGCCCACCACGCAGCTAGCTTCTCCACTGAAGAACCTCCACTGGGAGATTGTCACCGTTTCTGGAGATCCATGGAAACGGCTGTTGGTCTCTGCACATTAGGGGTACCCCTTGATTCGGGTCTGCCGCCGATGCGGTTTTGTTTGTTTGCTTTTGGTATCCACGTGACCATTCATGTAAGATTTTCTGCTGACTTCACCTATTTATAGCACATCAGTTCCGTTTTGTCCTATATTTGATGCCTGTGCTGGTCTTCTCATGTTCAGCTCACTTGTTTATTTGAAATCTCAGCACTGGTCAGATCCCGTCATCCAAGGCTGTTGTGGTTAATGTCAGGTTGTGGTGAGTGGCCTTGTGCCTTCCAGAGTGGCACGCAGCACCGACTTTTCATTGTCGGCCTCTTCCTGTGTCGTCTGTCCTTTGCATCGTTCATTAGTGCCTTTTTGAAAGACAGTCCAGGCTGCGCGCGGTGGCTCATGCCTGTAATCAGCACTTTGGGAGGCAGAGGCGGGCGGATCACGAGGTCAAGAGATCAAGACCATCCTGGCCAACATGGTGAAACCGCATCTCTACTAAAAATACAAAAATTAGCTGGGCATGGTGGTGCACACCTGTACTCCCAG
The DNA here is from genome assembly GCF_000001405.40 of Homo sapiens. Taxonomy (NCBI): domain Eukaryota; kingdom Metazoa; phylum Chordata; class Mammalia; order Primates; family Hominidae; genus Homo; species Homo sapiens. The sequence continues at coordinate 1,633,955 of NC_000016.10, forward strand.
CTACTCGGGAGGCTGAGGCAGGAGAATTGCACCACTGCACTCCAGCTTGGCCACAGAGCAAGACTCCGTCTCAAAAAAAAAAAAAGAAAGAAAGTCAGTCCATGAGAGCAGATCTGCCATCCACTGTGGCTGGTCTTGAAAAGCTCTCTATGGGGGAAGCTGGCCAGCAGCGGAGGGGACTGGGCAGCTGTTTAGTAGATGAGGTATAGAGAGAGGGATGGGATTCCAGGAGCTTCGGTCTAGTGTGCTTTGCTTGAACCATCTGCGGGCAGGGTGGGAAGCGTCTTTGGACCCTCAGGCTCCTGGCGTAGACTTATCTCCTCTTCTGAGGTTCAAATGCACATTCTACTTGCCAACCCAGGCTCTCTCCCATGTCAATTTCAGAAGGCAGTCAAAGCAAACATTTCTTTTCTAATTGTGTCACCTTTCCCTGTTAAACAACCTCCTAATCCTAAACTTGCTGGTGCGAGGAGGCCTCATTCCTCTTTGGCCCTTCTGTCCATCTAGGGTGAAGGGTAAATGCTCCCTCACACCTCTCGGTGGGGGGTCACACCCAACACAGGTCCTTTTCCCTTCTCCGTGTGGGCCCCTGTGCTTCCCTCTCTTCCTGACCTGGCACAGCAGGCTCCTACAGCCTTGGTGTCTCCTGTTCGTGCATCTTTGGTGTGACCCCACATGATGTGCCTTCTTCCTGTTGAGCTCACCGTTCTCCCGTGTTCTCCCGGGTTCTCTGATGGCCCTGACTGTCTCTTCAGCAGGGCTGTCTGCCTCCGTGCCAGCGGGCAGCGGCATTGGGGCACCCGATGCTGACTTGCCCAACAGGAGCATGAGGCTGGAGGCCACTAGGACACTGCGAAGTGACTGGCCCCATGGACTGTCATTGCGCATCAAACAGAGTGGCAACTTTTTCACGTTACATGTATTTTTGGCGTGCTTTGGAGTTTTGTTTTGTTTTGTTTTTTGAGCCAGAGTCTTGCTCTGTTGCCCAGGCTAGAGTGCCATGGCGCACTCTCAGCTCACTGTAACCTCCATCTCCCAGTTTCAAGCGATTCTCATGCCTCAGCCTCCCGAGTAGCTGGGATTACAGGTGTGCACCACCACACCCAGCTAATTTTATATTTTTTAGGAGAGATGAGGTTTCACTATGTTGCCAAGCTGGTCTTGAACTCCTGAGCTCAGGAAATCCACCTGCCTCGGCCTCCCAAAGTGCAAGGATTACAGGCGTGAGCCACCACGCCTGGCCTGTGCTTTGGAGTTTTGAAGAGCACACCGTGTGCACTTTATCATGGGTTTGTCTGACTCATCTTGTGGCGTGAGACACAGAGTGGTGGCAAGCGAGCGTGGAAGGGACTGACTCCGCCCCCAGCTTGGGGGCCTTGCGTGTGTGTTCGTCTTACTAATCTCCCGTGGTTTCCATGCACATCTGCGTTTCCTTGCTGCTGTCCATTGCTCAGTGGAGATTTTGCTTCACGAACTCAAAGTTGGATGAGGTGAGCTTGGTTCCTGTCCCTGAGTGTGTAATAAAACATGAGGTGCCACCTAGGAGGCCGTGGGGCCAGGCGGGGCATCAGGGACACCTCCCGGAAGCCCTGCTTCGTCCCAGGGTCCCACCTCCCCTGGGGTCCCTTGTCTGCAGTGTCTTGCTCTTGGTGCTACTTTCTTGTTTCTGGGTTGTGGGTTTTTTTCTTTTTGCCATTTCAAATAGTGGACTTTAAAATATATATTTTAGAAATGGGGATATTATTCACCCTTTTAAAGCATACAACTTAGTGGTTCTTAATGTACTTACAAGGTTATGCAGCCATTGCCACTCTCTAGTTGCAGAATATGTCCATTGCCCAGGAGGAAACCCTGTGCCCCGGTGCTGGGAGCCCTCAGTTTACTACCTCCTGTCTCTATGGATCGTTCTACTCTGGATGTTTCATAGAAATGGGATCACGTGCTATGTGTCCTTCTGTGCCTGGTTTCCTTCACTCAGCGTCAGGTTTCAGGGTTTGTCTGTGTTGTAGCGTGTGCCAGTCCTTTGTATGGCTGGATTATTTTCCTTTGGGTGGATGGCCACATTTTGCTTGTCTACTGAATAGTGGATCTTAAAGCTTTCCGAGTCATGGGCTCCTTTAAGAAAGTCTGATGAGGCCAGGCGTGGTGGCTCACGCCTGTAATCCCAACATTTTGGGAGGCCGAGGTGGGCGGATCACCTGAGGTCAAGAGTTTGAGACCAGCCTGACTAACGTGGTGAAACCCCGTCTCTACTAAAAATACAAACATTAGCAGGGCGTGGTGGCGCATGCCTGTAATCCCAGCTACTTGGGAGGCTGAGGCAGGAGAATCCCTTGAACCTGGGAGGCGGAGGTTGCAGTGAGCTGAGATCGCGTCACCGCACTCCAGCCTGGGCAACAAGAGCGAAACTCTGTCTCAAAAAAAAAAAAAGAAAGAAAGAAAAAAAGAAAGTCTGATGAGCCCTTAGGTCTTAGGTCTTTCTCTCAGAAGAGCCTTTGAGAGCAGTTGGCCTGTGCTTAGCCGTGTCCGAGACCCATGGTCCAGAATCCTCCTCATATCTTGAAAGCCTGCTTCTCCATTTACCAGTCTTAGGGCCTTGAGAACAGGTCTCTGAGGAGAGAACTAGAGAGGACAATTGTGAGAGTAGAGGGGACAAATGGCCTTCACCCCTGCTCTGTGAAGTGACCCAAAGGGGCCTGGACTGTGTTGTCACTTGGTTTCCCTAGCAGGATTAGGTCTGGTGTAATACAGTAACAAAATGCAAAATAGCAGTGGCCCAAGCGCCTCAGAATTCACTGTCTCGTGGCAGAGACGCCTAGAGGCTGGCGCCCAGGGCAGGCAGGACCCAGGTGCCTCCCATTCTTGTGCTTGGCTGTCCTTGGTGACAGCTCCAGGCAGTGGCTCTTGAGGAAAGAGGGGTGGGAAAAGGGGAACCCTCCTGCCCAAATCAGGCTCTTTAAGGAGGCTTCTGGAAGTCTCCACTACTTCCAGTGGTGTAGCCATGACCAGCTGTCCATGTCTCAGCCTGTTTGCCTCCCAAATAAAACAGGGGCCTTGGCTGGGCACGGTGGCTCATGCCTGTAATCCCAGCACTTTGGGAGGTTGAGACAGGTAGATCATTTGAGGTCAGGAGTTCGAGACCAGCCTGGCCCACATGGTGAAACCCTGTCTCTACTAAAAATACAAAAATTAGCCAGGCCATAATGGTGTGCACCTGTAATCTCAGCTACTTGGGAGGCTGAGGCAGGAGAATCTCTTGAGCCTGGGAGGCAGAGGTTGCGGTGAGCCGAGATCATGCCACTGCACTCCAGTCTGGGCGAGAGAGTGAGACCCTGTCTCCAAGAAAAGAAAAAAAAAAAAAACAGGGCCTCTTACTGAGGAAGGAGAATGGGCCTCAGGCAGGGGTGAGCACCTGTCCTTGGCTCCTCCTCCCGCCTGGGCCCGGGCTATGCAGATCCACTGTCCTGGGAGGGCACAGGTGAGGCAGGAAGGCAGCATCCAGGTTTCAGGGCTGCTGGCCTCACCTGTGTGCAGAGATGGATGACAGGTTTAGTGCTGGCCACATCTGCCACCTTCACGAGTACCAGCTGTTCTGAGTGTTGTGTTTTCTCCTCCAGGGGACATTTCCTCTGCCTATTGGGGTAAATTTCTAACGCCCCACTTTGGTTTAACTTTTTATTTTGAAAATCGCAGACACAGCACCGTGTTCTATACACTCTGCCCAGTGTCCCCTGTGGTTGACAGCTTGCATGACAAAGGTACAGGGAGGAGATCCAAGAAACCACGTGAGCCTGGTGTGGCTCTCACACCCAAGCCAGGCAGCGCCTCCTGTTCCCCTCTCTAAAGCCGCCTTCTCTTCTGTTTCTCAGTGTTCTCTCGAGGCCTGAAGAAGTCATCCCAGGAACTGTATGGCCTGATCTGCTATGGCGAGCTGCGCAAGAAGATTGGGGGCTGTGAGTACGCTGACTGTGGGGTTGCCCACGGCTCCTCCTGTCCTTTGTCACCTTTGGGCTTTAGTGCTCAGAGTTGTTTCTAGTTTCCCTCTAACTTTTATCTTGAAAAAATTTTACTAGAAGAGGTGAAGAATATGATGGCGGCCGTGCTCTTTAGCTTAGATGGACCTGTTGCTGACGTTGGCTACATTTGCTCTCTTTCTCCATGCACATGCACACATGCTCGCGTGCACACATGTGTTCACACACTCTGCATTCCACTCGACTGTAAGATGTCACGCCACAGCCCAGAATACCTCCACCGGCATCACCTCAGAGAACATTTCTCCTATATAGCCTTGATACCATGGTCGCACCTAGACTTTTAGCATTTACCAAACAGGTGTAGTGATCTTACCTAATTTCCTGCCCATATTCAGATTTTCTAAAACATCCCAAAATATCAGTCAGGGCTTCTGTCAAGGGCCGTTGCCCTGCATGTGACTGTGGAGTCTCCCTTGGGTGTCTTTGACTTAGAGCGGCCGCACTGCCTGGGCTTCTGAGACATTGCAACGCGCTCAGGCCTTCCTCACGCAGGCCCTTGCTTGGATTTGTTCCGATCGTCTCCTCGGGACCAGATTCCCTTGAGACATTTTTGACACGACCTCTAGGTAGGGACATTGTAGACTTACCAGGCGCTTGTGCCCAGCGCCCCTCAGCCCTGCTTCTTCTGCCTGACTTCATAAGAAGAGAGCATGCCTGGGCTGTCCAGTGGGCACTGTAGGGGATCCCCCCCTCTTCAGTGGGATACTGCACGACCACGCCAGCTAGCATGTCACAGCTCAGGGCGGGTGGTGGGGCTGAGAGGACAGATACGGAGCAGTCGCCCTGTCTGTGCCAGGCCTGCACCACACTCTGTCCCCTTGCTGCCCCTCCATGCCTTGCTGTGTCCTGCGGGGTGGCTGCTGCAATCTAGTGTGGCATTTGTGTGTGGGAGGCCCTGCCCTCCTGCACTTCCCCACTGGGTCTGTCCCCTGTGGGCCCAGCCACTCCTCTTACCTCCTCCAGCCTGCCTCTCCAGCCCGCACTCATGTCCGTGGGCCTCGTGTCCCAGCTCTTCATGCCTGTTCCTGCCGCCTCTCATCTGCCCTCTCTCAGCCTTGGGAAGCATCCCAGGCCCCAAGGAGTTTACGCCACAGCTCTCCCAGCTCTCATCTTCCCCAGATAAAGGAAAACCCCATCTTGACCATGTGTTCCCACTCCTTGTTGCCTGGTCCTTTTGCACCACTGCTTGTTCTGGTTTCCTCCCTAGAAGCTTCTGAGAGGTGGAGGGTGTCCAGGTTCTTGGCATTTCGAACAAAGAATTGTACAAAATGCACAAACAAAGCAAGGGAAGAATGAAGCAACAAAAGCAGAGATTTATTGAAAACCAAAGTACACTCCACAGGGTGGGAGTGGGCCCGGACGTAGGGGCTCAAGAGCCCTTTTACAGAAGTTTCCCCCTCTAGAGGGGGAAACCTCTAGAGGTTTCCCATTGGCTGCTTGGTGTACACCCTATGTAAATGAAGTAGTGGCCAGCAATCAGAGACTGAAGTGAGGTTACAAAGGTTACACTCTATGCAAGCATCTGATTGGTTGTGGAAAACAACCAATCAGAAGCTAAACTGGTTACAAAGTTACACTTCTTTGCAAAGGAAGACTTGGCCCCAGTCTTGGGGAAGACTTTTTAGACTTTTTCAAACCTAGCAGAAGCAACCAGTCAGGCTGAAGTGAAGTTCCAAAGTTGTACTCCTATGTAAATGTCCGATTGCTTTCTGCTTTCTGCAACCAATCAGAGATACTTTCAATTTCCCATCTGCCATGAAGAAAGAAGGGGAGGGGGCGTTGCAAAGGGAATAGCGTGTCTGGTCCGTTTGTTACTTAGGTGTGGAAAGTTGGGGTTTTCCTTTTGATTTAGTTCTAGGAAGTCAGCGTGAATTGGCCTTAGGTTCCCTACCTCTAGACCCTATTCTCCTGCCTCATGAGGATGCTCAAGTTTGATGAAAATAAATGACTTGATTGCTGAGTGAGGGGCACACTGCTCCCAGGCTTCCAACCCTTCATCCGGGAGCAGGAGAGGTGGGGCACGGTGACCCTGTGGCATGCCATGCCTGGCCGGTTTCCGCAACCGGTTCCTTTCTTGGTGCCTCGCCTGGCGACAAGAGCCCTTTCCGGTGCTTTTCATTCCTTCCTGAAGTTCCGTTTCCATCTGGCTTTGTTTCCTTTCTTTCTGAAAAACCTCCTGTATTTTTTTCCGTGCAGTTGTGCCGGCTGTGAATTCTTAGTTATTATTAATCTGAAAATTCTTTATTTCATCTTCATTCTTAAAAGATGTATTTGCCGGATAGAGAATTCTGATCTGACGGGTTCATTCTTTCATCACATTGACACCGTTGTCTGCTGCCTCTTGGCCTGTGCTGCTCTGATGAGAGGGGTCAGTGGTCATCTATGCCCTCATTCCTCCGTGCGAGGTGCATTGTCTGTCTGTGGCTGCTTTGACAATTTTGTCTTTGGTTTTGGTTTTCAGCCTGGTCGTTCGTTTGTGGAGTTTTTTTCCCTAAAACATGCAGAAGAATTCAAAGAATTTTACAGTGAACAGCCAAGTACCCAGCACCTAGTCTCTCCCGTTAACGTACTGTAGCTGCTTTCTTGCACATCTTGAAGATAGTGAAGAGTCCCGAGCAGGTCACAGGAAATGGGGCGTCTGCTCCAGGAAACTCAGAGGGTGTCGGAGTCTTCATTCTGTGGACCCTGGGTGCCTTGGGGGTTCCACACTGTGGGCCGGAAGGTCAACACCGGACACTGTCAGTACGAGCCCAGCAGGAAGTGTGCGTGGGCAGGTGTGGTGCCTGCAGGAAGCAGCTGTTGAGCCAGGCAGATAGGGATGAGTGGAAGGCCGGCGCTGGGGGACCTAGGAGGGAGCTCTTGGGAGGACAGATCAACTGGTCAGAGGCTGGGTAGTGGGCCTGCCTGAGGAGGGGGCCAGGCAGGGGCGTGCCAGGCTTTCAGGTGAGCGGGGGCGACCAGGGCAGCTGACTCGAAGGTGTGACTTTGAGGGAGGGGCTGCAGCTACTGTAGGGCTTTTATTCCAGAGGAACTTTAATATTCGGTAATGGGATTTGAGTCTATATTGAGCGGAATTGTATGGGAATCTTCAGTGGCTTTGCTCCTAACTACATTGTGGTCTCATTTATTTATTTTTTCCATTTAAAGGTATGGATGACAAGAATGCAACAAAGCTGAATGAACTCATTCAGGTTGGGTAAGTCCCAGTTTCCATGTGAAACATCACTTCTCTGGGTGTTTTGTGTTTATTCTCTAAAATACAGAAGCTGAAATGCTCTCAGTGAGGACCTTCCGAGTTAAAACTTCATAACCTCTCAGTTACGTGTTCAGTCCCAACAAAAGGTGCTTGGTCCAGGGAGCAGTGACTGCGCCCAGAGCCTGTGCCTGCCCCGGGGAGGGAAGGAAGTGCCGTCTTTGGCCTCCTCCTTCCCGAGGGTCTCTGGCTGGGCGTTGTGGTCTCGACGCAGCACTCAGGGCCCTGCTTTTTGTGCTCCTTTTCCTCCACCTTTGTGCCTGCTGTGGGGCTGGTCCCCGGCTTCTAGGGCCTCTCCTTTCCATTGCATTTTTGTCGTGTCCTGGGCCACTTCTGACAGCTTCCCTGCCTTCTTGTGCCCTGGATGCTTCTGTCTCCAACTGGCCGCTCTCCTCCCCTCACACACCTGACTCCCAGAGGGCACATGCTCTCCTGGCCACACAAACAACCGGGCCCCTGATGGTCCAGTTGACATCTGCCCAGTTGCTGCTGTTGGGCTGCACTTCAGGGCAGGGCCCCGCCACCCTACTCCACAGCCTGGGGGTTCCCTGCTTTACAGCTTGGGGAAGGTCCCCACGCCACAGCCTGGGGGGGTTCCCCACTCCGCAGCCTGGGGGTCTCCACTCCGCAGCCTGGGGGGTCCCCACTCTGGAGCCTGGGGGGGGGTCCCCGTTCCACAGCCTGGGGGTTCCCAGTGCACAGCCTGGTGGGGTTCTGTGCATGTACATTTCTCACCTGGTGTGGGTCCTCATGGGTAGCCATCCCATCTTACATCCATCCCGCCCACTGACCACACCAGAGCTATCCCGGCAGCCTGGCTGACTGCTCTCAGTTCACTGAACCACAGATATTGGGTCTGCACAACCAGCCCCGATCCTTGTGGGTATGCCACCCGCACCCAAGAGCCCTGCCCTTGCAGCCACTCCTGAACAGTCCTTACCCATCTCTCTTCCGTCCATAGCACTTCACCCTTGGACCTCTGGTTGCTTTTCCCCTTGGCCCTTCTCCCCCAGGCTTGTGTCTGATGACCTGGGAACCCTCCCTGCCCCAGTGGGAGCAGTGCCTGCTGGGCCAGCACAGGCCTTCCCTCCAGTCCCAGCACAGCAGGTGTTGGGCATGATTCCCAGGCTGTGTGTGAGCTGCCACCAGCCTGCAGCCAACGACTGTAACTGGGTGACCACAGCCACCAGAAAGTGCAGCCAGCTTGCCCCAACACTGGACAGACTTCCCAGAGTGGGTCTGGGGTACAGCCAGGGGCCGCCAGCCATAGGGAGGGTGTTCACCGCCTTGCCCAGGCGCCCCTCCCAGCTTCAGAGCCCTGCTTCCTTCCCACTCTTGCTCCTGCTCTACCTCCATCAGGCAGTATCTGGCTTATCCTGAGCAGCACTGGGCACATTGGAGGAACCGTCTTGAGAAGGCCCAAGATCCAAGGCTTGGTTGGTTTCTGATGTCAGCTGACCAGTAGGCAAGGGGCTGTCCCATGAGGGAAAACACTGCCGCAGGATCCATACTTGGGGCAAATCTTACTTCACCTTTTATTTCATTTCCTCCATGATTGATGGAATGAAGCCAGAGTTCCAGACTCTTTGCTGTATGCTTGAGGACGGTGCACAGAGTGGCCTGTCCGATGAGCGTTCCTTTTGCCAAAACACAGATGTGCTGCCCAGCGGGGGCGTGGTGGGCACCTGCAGCGCCATCCGCGGGAGAACTTATGTAAGAAATAGATTCCTTCTGACCACACGGGCACAGGGAGTTCCCAGGGACTGGAGACACTTGACAAACAAATGCAGGTAGTAGCTTTGTGGAGGTCTTGGGCCTTTAAAAAAAACCAAGGAAGGAGAAGGAAAGAAATGGTTACAAAGAGTATTCTAGGGACAACTCGGGGGGCTTTGATTATGGGCTGCGTGATAGAGTGTAGTCTCCCGAGTGATGACAGGGTTGTGGCTTGCAGGACTAGAGGTGCTGGCTAAAGTGTGCAGAGGGAAAGTGCCTTCTGGTATAAAGAACCCTCAGGTTGCCCAGGCGTAGTGGCTCACGCCTGAAATCCCAGCACTTTGGGAGGCCAAGGAGGGTGGATCACAAGGTCAAGAGTTCGAAACCAGCATGACCAACATGATGAAACCCCGTCTCTGCTAAAAATACAAAAATTAGCTGGGTGTGGTGGTGCATGCCTGTAATCCCAGCTACTTGGGAGGCTGAGGCAGGAGAATCGCTTGAACCCGAGAGGCGGAGGTTGCAGTGAACCAAGATCCCTCCACTGTGCTCCAGCCTGGGTGACAGAGGAAGACTTTGTCTAGGGGAAAGAAAAAAAAAAAAAACCCTCAGGTGGTTCTGCCGAGGGAAGGGCAAGAAGCAGGCATGGGCCTGGGCCATGTCTGTACTCAGTAGCATGTGTGCTAGCGCCCCTCCAGCCTCATCCTCCCGGGCAGCAGGTGCGTGGACAGCGGAATCGAAATGTGTCATGAGCTTATGCAGCACGCTTGGTGCCATTTACAGTCATGCCATCTGCCACTCTGAGAACCAAATGAAGAGGGAGCCTGGCATGGGTCCCCAGCTCCTCCAGGCCGCGTGTTGGGCATGTTGGCCAGAAGGCGGCATGGCTGAATGTCGGCTGTCATCCTCTGCTGTGCTCCTGCAGTGGAGGGGCTCTGAGATGACTGACTGTGGGCCTAGGCGGTGGGCCTGTCAGCAGGATGGCAAGATTGATTGTCCTTTTTCTTAAGGAAGCTAGTGTTGAGGTAGCTCACCTGGCTACCAGCTTGTCTGGAAAAGACTGGGCAGGTGGCAAAAGAAAAGGTGAGCTCAGGTGTGGGCGCTGATGGGGAATTTGCCCGTGTAGCCAAGGATTTTGGCAAATGGCAGGTGAAGGCAGTGCTGACTCCTGGACCGAGTGCTGGGTGAGGCCGCAGCGAGAGTGGGAGCCTGCGCTAAGGGACTTGGCCGTTCTCACCTGACTCTCTGGGCCCCAGCCTCACCTGTCGTATTGTCATCCTCCAGAGAGGTGTGAGACACGGAGAAAAGGTTTGGAACAGCATGGTACCAGCAAGGAAAGATTTCTGTCTGCACCCATGGAGAGATCTGAGGCAGAACGGCTGCTGAATAGTGTGTTCATTGGTTCTGGAAATGTCTGGGTGCCTGTGTGTGCCTGGCACAGGAATGGGTGCTCGTTATGCAGTGGTGACAGCTGTGGTGTGGCAGCTGATGCATGTCCATTGAACAGGTCACCTTAGCATGTGGTGTAGACATGTACAGTAACTGGGGATGAAAGTTACTGTGAAACTGACGTGGCAGGTGGGTGCAGACATGGCAACTGGCAGGAAGGGAACCTGCCTGGGGCGTTTAGGGAAGCGATCAGGGGCCACACAAAGAGTTGGGGAATCACCTGGCCCAGGGAAAGGAAGGTGGGAAGGAGGAACTGGGTCATGGAAGCCTCAGGAGGGGAGGGGAGAGGAAGAGTGCAGAGCTGAGGCTGGAGGGCTGGGCCAGGCCCAGCTCTGAGCACAGGAGGGTTTGCAGCAGGAGAGCCCCTCGTTCTGGGTAAAACTGTGCCTCTCGTTCCCTGTGGAGAAGAGATGGGGACGCTGTTGGAGGTGGTGTGGTGTGGTGTGTACATTCTTTTTCTTTCTTTCCTTTTTTAAATAGAGGCGGGGTTTCGCCATGTTGCCCAGGCTGATCTCAAACTCCTGGGCTCAAGTGATCCTCCCGTCTTGGCCTCCCAAAGCACTGATATTACAGGCATGATCCTTCACACCTGACCCATTTTTTGCTTTAATATTTTTACTTTTGTTCTTTTTTTTTTGCTTTTTGTCATAGTTATAGAAGTTTGTTTTAAAACATTTTAGTTTTTAGAGCAGTTTTAAGTTGACAGAAAAACTGTGTACAGAGCTACGCCCCTCCCCTGCCCCACACGATTTCCCCCATTATTAACACTTCGTTGGTTTATTTTCTTTTGTTTTGTTTGAGATGGAGTCTTGCTCTGTTGCCCAGGCTGGAGTGCACTGGCGCGATCTTGGCTCACTGCAACCTCTGTCTCCCAGGTTTAAGCGATTCTCGTGCCTCAGCTTCCCGACTAGCTGGGATTACAGGCGCCCACCACCACGCCCGGCTAATTTTTTATATTTTTAGTACAGACGGAGTTTCACCATGTTGGCCAGGCTGGTCTTGAACTCTCGACCTCAGGTTATCCTCCCACCTTGGCCTCCCAAAGTGCTGGGATTACAGGTATAATTAACACTTTGCATTCGCGTGGTCCTTTTATCACAACTCATGAGGTTTCCTTGACCCTTCTTCATCACTCAGAGTCCATAGTTTACTTACAGGCCCACTCAGCGTTGTGCCTTCTGTGGTTTTGGACAGATGGGTAATGACATGTGCCCACCCTTCTGGCATCACACGGGGGCAGTTCACTGCCCTGAACACCCTGTGCTCTGCCTGTCACTTCGTAGTGCCCCCAGAAGCCACTGGTCTCACTCTCTCTAGCTTCACCCCAGCAGCCTCTAGTCTCCCGCTCTCTCTAGCTGCACCTTTCCCGGAGTGTCGTCGTCACATTGGAATCATCCTGGGCTTAGTTTTGTAGATTGGCCTCTTCACTTACAGTTCTAGAAGTTTTCACAAATTTGTAGAGTTGTGTAGCTGCCACCACTGTCAAGATATGGAACGCTGCCAGCAACCCCCAAGTCCCCTTCTGTCCCTCCCCCACACCTTGCCCCAAGCACCCTTTGCGCCACTCTCCGTTCCCTGTAATTTTGCCTTTTCCAGAAAGCCATCTAAAGGGAATCGTGGTGTGCAGCCTTCTGAGATGGGCGTCCCCACTCAGCAGTATGCCCTCGAGGCTCTTCCGTGTTGACTTGTGGATCTGCAGCTTATACTTTCACCTGCTGAGTCATGTTCCACAGTGTTGACATGCTGCACTGTGTTATCCCTTCCAAGTGGAGGGACCCAGGGCTATTTGCAGTGTTTTAGTGTTGATGAAGAAGTGCCCAGGCTTTGCCTCCAGGTTTTTGTGTGAGCGTGGTTTTCGGTCCCCAGGAGGAGGAGGAGGTGGGAGTGTGTGTTTGGCTTTACATGGAGCTGCCAGACTCTTCCAAGAGAGTTGCAGTTGCTTCCCACACTCCCCAGCACTCAGCGTGTTCGGGGTGTTTGTCTTTCTAAAGTCACCCTAGTAGGTGTGGAGTGGCATCATGCTGTGGTTTTGATGCGTTTCCCTGATGACTCATGACACCGAGTGTCTTTCTCGTGCTTATTTGCTGTGTGTCTTTGGTGAAGTACCTGTTTTCTTCTTCTTGAGTTTAGAGAATTCTTTGTATATTGTAGACACAAGTCTTCTGTTGGATACTCCATCTGCAAATACTTTCTCCTAGACTGTGGCCTGTCTTTTTGTTCACTTACTGTCCTGCACAGAGTGAAAGTCCTTCGCTTTGATGAAGTCAAGTCTGTCACTGTTTTCTTCTATGGTTTATGCTTTTAATATGACATCTAAGAACTCTTTGCCTAACCCAAGGTCACAGAGATGTGCCCCTGTGTTTTCTTCTAGAAGTTTTCTAGTTTTACATTTAAATCCATGATCTGCTTTGAATTAACTTTTGTGTACCATGTGAAGTTTAGGAGGAGCTTTGCTTTTTGTCTGTGGGTGTCAAGCTGTGCCATCTGAAAGGACTGTCTCTCCTCCATTGAGTGGCCTTTGCATCCTTGTCAAACATCAGTTGACTGTACCGTGTGGTTCCATTCTGGACCTTCTGTTCTGTCAACTTTTGTGACCGTTCTTTGACCAGCAGACATTCGTATTTACAAACAAACAGGAAACCTGTCAAGGTGAGAGATTGGGAAAATGACTGAGGTGCCTGTGGGAGGCTACCCCTGGATTTCAGCCCAAAAGCGATTGGGGTATTTGACTTGCTGTCGCCTCTACCTCTCATGCAGACCTGTTTCAATTAACTGTGAATCTTCTTTGGTTTTAGAATTGTAAAATTAAATTAAAGACTAAATGAATTGAGTAAAGCTCTAAACTAAAGTGAAAGCTTACTACGTGGTTCGCAGACCCAGAGGCCTAAGTTTATCACGTGCTTATTAGATTTATCAAGTGGTTTTGCAGAGAAGAGAATAAATGTATCCGAAACGAAAGCCAGGCTCCCATGTACATAGAGGGATTACTCTGTTTTCGATTCAGAAATGCTGTTCTGTTCTGCAATGATATTTCTATTCTGAAATGCTATTCACCTAGGCGTGGTGGCTCACGTTTGTAATCCCAGCACTTTGGGAGGCCGAGGCGGGTGGATCACTTGAGGCCAGGAGTTCGAGACCAGCCTGGCCAACATGGTGAAATCCCGTCTGTATTAAAAATACAAAATTAGCCGGGTGTATGTTGGTGTATGCCTGTAGTCCCACCTACTCGGGAGGCTGGGGCATGAGAATCGCCTAAGGCCCTGGATTGGGAGGCAGAGGTTTTAGTGAGCTGAGATGGCACCACTGCACTCCAGCCTGGGCGACAGAGTGAGACTCTGCCTTAAAAAAAAAAAAAAAAAAAAAAAAAGCTACTCATGGAGGGGTGTAAATAGAGCCTCTGTTTGAGGGCTCACTTAGAGGTCAGCTTGTGATTCTTCTCTTATAGCCCTGTGCCGGGCCTATCTGGGAAGTCTTAGCCTGTCTTACAGCTTCCAGGCTGGTGCGAGGATGGGGAGGTATGGACCCACGTCCCGGAACTGTGACCAGGCCTAAGCGTCACCCTGGCTTTCGCACTTGAACATGGCTTTTCATCGTGTTCAGTGTCGCAGCCTCAAGTCGGTCGCAGAACTTCCATTTGAGAGAAAAAGACGGAGGACTGTAACCTCAGAATGGTTCCATATGAATGCAGAAGGGTGCACTTAGTTTGATTGAAGGAAAAAAAAAAAGGAAGTCACAAAATAGCAGTTTAACGGAAAATGTGATTATTGAAAACACAGGTGCCACATGACACAGCTCCGCCAGCTGTTTAAATCTTGCCTACTACTGTTGTTTTGGGGCAGATGGAATAAAAAATGGTGAGTGGAAACGTCCATTTGTTTCCAGAGCACTTCATTGGAGGAGATTATTTTAGAATTGACTTGAGCCGGGTACAGTGGCTCACGCCTGTAATCCCAGCACTTTGGGAGGCCGCGGCTGGCGAATCATTTGAGGTTAGGAGTTCCAGCCTGGCCAACATGGAGAAACCCCGTCTCTACTAAAAATACAAAAAATTAGCCAGGGGTGGTGGTGGGCGCCTGTAGTCCCAGCTACTTGGGAGGCTGCGGCAGGAGGATCACTTGAGCCCAGGAGGTGGAGCTTGCAGTGAGCCGAGATTGCACCGCTGCACTCCAGGCTGGGCAACACAATGAGACTCTGTCTCAAAAAAAAAAAAAAAGAATTGACTCCATGCTTAATGACTGCTTTTGACCAATGTTTCCCCTGGTTCCTTCTGCTGCCGCCCTACTCTGACATCATTAATGTTCATAAAACTGCTGTGGCACTTAGATCTGTGTATTTCAGCTGGGTTAAGGTGGTTTAAGAATTTTGTCTCAGGCCGGGCGCGGTGGCTCACGCCTGTAATCCCAACACTTTGGGAGGCCGAGGCGGGCGGATCACGAGGTCAGGAGATCGAGACCATCCTGGCTAACGTGGTGAAACCCTGTCTCCACTAAAAATACAAAAAAATTAGCTGGGCGTGGTGGCAGGCGCCTGTAGTCCCAGCTACTTGGGATGCTGAGGTAGGAGAATGGTGTGAACCCGGCAGGCGGAGCTTGCAGTGAGCTGAGATCATGCCACTGCAGTCCAGCCTGGGCAATAGAGCAAGACTCCATCTAAAAAAAAAAAAAAGAAGTTTGTCTCAGTACAACATGTTGTTCTCTGGGGACTCATCCTCTCTAAATTATCCCTCAAGACAGAAAATCTGTACAGACAGAAAGGGGGTGAGGGCATGGAAGTTTTTTTTCTACCGTCTTGACTCTTTGGTCAGGCTTTCCAAGGCTCAGCTCTGTCCTTTGGTATCCTGTGTTTGATTCCCAGCACTGAAGGCACTCAGTCAGTAGTTGGGTGGGTGGACAGACGGACACGTGAGTGGATGGATGGATGGACACATGAGTGGGTGGGTAGAGGCATGGTCAATGGATAGATAGAAGAGTAGCTGCCATGCATGAGGGATTGTTGAGCTTTCCATAGCTACTGAAACCCAGCTGCTGCTCCTGCCTTTCTGCCAATTGGGACCTCACTGTTTGGCCTTATTTATTTCTATTTTTATTTTTTTATTTTTTTTGAGACGGAGTCTCACTCTGTTGCTCAGGCTGGAGTGAAGTGGTGCCATCTCAGCTCACTGCAAGCTCCGCCTCCTGGGTTCACACCATTCTCCTGCCTCAGCCTCCCGAGTAGCTGGGCCTACAGGCACCCACCACCACGCCTGGCTAATTTTTTATATTTTTAGTAGAGACGGGGTTTCACCGTGTTAACCAGGATGGTCTCGAGCTCCTGACCTCGTGATCTGCCTGCCTCGGCCTCCCAAAGAGCTGAGCCTACAACAGTAGGCATGAGCCACTATTTTTTTTTTTTTTTTTTTTTTTTTGAGATGGAGTTTCACTCTTGTTGCCCAGGCTGGAGTGCAGTGGCGCAATCTCAGCTCACTACAACCTCTGCCTCCTGGGTTCGAGTGATTCTCCTGTCTCAGTCTCCCGAGTAGCTGGGAGTACAGGTGCATGCCACCATGCCCGGCTAATTTTTGTATTTTTTGTAGAGACAGGGTTTCGTCATATTGGTCAGGCTGGTCTCGAACTCCTGACCTCAGCTGATCTGCCCACCTTGGCCTCCCAAAGTGCTGGGATGACAGGCGTGAGCCACCGTGCCCGGCTTGTTTGGCCCTAAACACTTGATTAAAGCCTTAGGTTTTTGGGGTGATGGTAAAATCTTTGTGGGGTATTGAGACTGCATAATGCTGAAATTAGAGCTAGGACCCTTTTAAAAGGATGGGGATTGCAGCTTTGTTTACTGGGATGTGGAGATTGTGGTGTCACCCTTTTTGCCTGTCTGAGGTTGCCAGAACTGGCTGTCTCCATTAGACGCCCTCAGCAGAGGCTGCTTTTCAGCCAAACTGCGGGAGTCATCTGGAGAGTCCCTCCCACGCAGCACTCGCTTCAGACTCTTGTTCACATTTTGATCTCTAATTTTGGTCAGCATTGTATTGGAATAAGATTTTTTAAAAACTATACAAGTAATGCATAAATATAAGTCTTAAGCAATTTTCAAACAATACACAGATAAAATATAAGACCCTCTTCACCACCCCATCCTGCTCATCTCATCGAAGCTAACCACTTACAGTCATTTCATGTGTGTCTTTCTGAATTTTTTTCTTAGTGAATTTACATAAGTAAGTGTACAGGTACAAATATAGATACATATAGAGATGAAGATGTAATTTTTTACGCATCCTTAGAATCACGCTCTGTTCTGTAGCTTTTTTCATAGACTGTTTCTTAGAAATTGAATAGCAACAGCAAATATAGAAGCAGCAACTCTCCTACCTGACGTGTGCAACTGGGAGTTGGTGAATTCCTAAAATTGGTTAAGGCAGAAAGCCGTAAAAACAAGATACACATGCCCTGAGCATTTTGTAAAACACAAGCCCATTGTCGTTCACCAGCCAGTGGGCCGCTGCCCAGAGCCATGTCTTGACTGGGGTCCACTCCTTGGAATTCAAGTTGGTTTTTCTCTCAGATCAGAAACTCCTCACAGGGAGGTCACATAGAGGTGGACTGAGAAGTCACAGAGGTAGACTGAGCTCACACAGAGGTCATGGAGAGGTGGATTGAGGTCACACAGAGGTCACGGAGAAGTGGACTGAGAGGTCACAGAGAGGAGGACTCAGAGGCCACAGGTCATGGAAAGGTAGATTGAGGTCACAGAGGTCACGAAAAGGTGGACTGAGGTCACGGAGAGGTGGACTGAGGTCACACAGGTCACAAAAAGGTGGACTCAGAGGTCACAGAGTTGGACAGGTTACACAGAGGTCACACGGTGGACTGAGATCACGGAGAGCTGGACTGAGGTCACACACAGGTTATGGAGAGGTCGACTGAGAGGTCACACAGAGGTCATCTAGGGGTGGATTTAGGTCACGCACAGGTCACGGAAAGGTGGACTGAGAGGTCACGGAGAGGTGGACTGAGGTCACAGAGGTCACCTAGAGGTGAATTGTCACACAGAGGTCATGTTGAGGTGGACTGAGGTCACACACAGGTCATCTAGAGGTGGATTGAGGTCACACACAGGTCATCTAGAGGTGGACTGAGGTCACACAGGTCATTTAGAGGTGGATTGAGGTCACACAGTTCACGGAGAGGTGGGCTGAGGTCACACAGAGGTCATGGGGAGGTGGACTGAGAGGTCACCTAGAGGTGGATTGAAGTCACACAGAGGTAACCTAGAGGTGGACTGAGAGGTCACGGAGAGGTGGACTGAGGTCACACAGAGGTCACCTAGAGGTGGATTGAGGTCACACAGAGGTCATAGAGAGGTGGACTGAGGTCACACAGGTCACAGAGAGGTGGACTGAGAGGTCACACAGAGGTCACAGAAAGGTGGATTGAGGTCACACAGAGGTCACAGAAAGGTGGACTGAGGTCACACAGGTCATCTAGAGATGGATTGAGGTCACATGGAGGTCACGGGGAGGTGAACTGAGGTCACAGAGAGGTCACGTAGAAGTGGATTGAGGTCACACAGAGGTCATGGGGAGGTGGACTGAGGTCACAGGTCATGTAGAGCTGGATTTAGGTCACACAGAGGTCACAGGGAGGTGGACTGAGAGGTCACGGAGAGGTAGACTGAGAGGTCATGGGGAGGAGGACTGAGAGCTTCTGCTCTGAGGGCCCAAAGTGGGAGGACTGCACAGAGCTGGGGCAGTGGAGAGAGGGGTGGCCATCTGAGGGGACCCCAGGATAGTGGCTTTTCCAGGGATGGGACATCAGCTTGTGCCAGGCCAGTCACCAAGGCAGGAGGGCACAGCACATTTTCTGTAAACAGCAGGTGTCCCTTGGAGTGTGAGGTGTGGTCAGGAAAGTAGCAGGATGTGCAGAGTCACCACTTCTTGTTTGTCACTGTGTCCTCCCACTGTCCTACGCGGGCTCGAGAGGCTGGGGTGGATGCTTGGCCAGGCCCCACCTGGCCTGGCTCAGCGCCTCTCCGTGTGCTGGCCCTTCCGTCCTTCTGTTCACTCACAGGCCTCAGCGTTCCTTCAAAACTCTTTTCCCAGGGCCACCACTGTACGTTACAAAGGGCGGAACCTGCGGATCAAAGCGCCCATGTGCCGGGCCCTGAAGAAGCTGTGCGATCCAGATGGTAAGTGAATGGGGCGCTCCCGGGACCAGAGGCGGTGCCCATGGTGTCCCATTCAATGATGGGCAGGCTGAGCTACCGGGTTGCTGCCACAGTTGCTTTGTGTCTGACCCTGCTTAATCCCAGGGCTGCACATGGACCACTCTTGAACTTGAAATGCTCCCTACGACCACTCAGTCAAGTTGAGCTCAGAGCCATGGCAGCAGTCAGCAGAGTGGTCGGAGGTTGTCAGGATCGAGTCTCCTATGGCCTCTCTGGACCAGTCTGTGGCCTTTGCAAACCCCTGAGCAGCTACATTGGAGTTTCTTCTTCGCTGGGGTTTCTCTGCTCTCCTTGCCTCTGTTTGCAAGGCCATCTGCTCACAGCTGATTTCACTGGTTTTTCTGGCCCAGCCCTTGGTTTTCTACCTTAAGGTTGGGCTGCACTAAACTTTCATGGTTCTTCTGCATTGCAGGCTTGAGTGATGAAGAGGACCAGAAGCCAGTGCGCCTGCCTCTGAAAGTCCCTATAGAGCTACAGCCGCGGAACAACCACGCCTGGGCCCGTGTGCAGAGCCTTGCCCAGAACCCACGCCTCAGGTAACATGGCCCTTGGCACGCAGAGGGGTCCCAACTGCTTGAGCAGGACTGGAAGCAACGTGTGTGAGTTTCCCTCAAGGAACTTCCAGGAGAAGCAGGTCCACCCCTATGCTCTGTCATCACACGAGGACGCAGCAGTGTGGAGGCGACTGGAGTCCAGGGAGCACTGGGCTGCAGTCCTGTATCTGGGCAGGGATCGCCCAACCTGTGTTCAGGCCGTGGAGGGGATGTCGCGGTGAGAAGAGGAGCTGCAGAGCCTTCCTTTCGTCCCCCACTAAGGCCCATACAGTTCCTCTCCCACCCGCTTCTTGGAGACTCGTGGCTCGCATATGCACAAGGCGCCATCGTGGAAATGGACCCTTTTTCATTTGTACATTTTAAAAAATGAGGTGACCGGGTGCAGAGGCTCACGCCTATAATCCCAGCGCTTTGGGAGGCCAGGGCGGGTGGATCACGAGGTCAGGAGATCGAGACCTTTCTGGCTAACGCCGTGAAACCCCATCTCTACTAAAAATACAAAAAAAAAAGGTGGCAGGCGCCTGTAGTCCCAGCTACTCGGGAGGCTGAGGCAGGAGAATGACGTGAACCCGGGAGGCGGAGCTTGCAGTGAGCCGAGATCGCGCCACTGCACTCCAGCCTGGGTGATAGAGCAAGACTCTGTCTCAAAAAAAAAAAAAAAAACAAACAAAAAAGAAATTGAGGTGACTGGGTGTGGAGGCTCACGCCTGTAATCCCAGCACTTTGGGAGGCCAAGGCAGGTGGATCACGAGGTTAGGAGTTTGAGACCAGCCTGGCCAAGATGGTGAAACCCTGTCTCTACTAAAAATACAAAAAAAATTAGCCGGGCGTGGTGGTGGGTGCTTGTAATTCCAGCTACTCGGGAGGCTGAGGCAGGAGAATCACTTGAACGCAGGAGGCAGAGGTTGCAGTGAGCCAAGATTGCGCCCCTGCCCTCCAGCCTGGGCCACAGAGCAAGATTCCATCTCAAAAAAAAAAAAAAGAAAAAATTGAGGTAAAATTCACATATCATAAAATGAACTTAGCCTTTTTTTATTTTTTCTTTTTTTTTTCCGAGATGGAGTCTTGCTCTGTGGCTCAGGCTGGAGTGCAAATGGCGCAGTCTCGGCTCACTGCAACCTCCGTCTCCCACGTTTAAGTGATTCTCCTGCCTCAGCCTCCCGAGCAGCTGGGATTACATGCGCGTGCCACCACGCCTGGCTAATTTTTGTATTTTTAGTAGAAACGGGGTTTCACCATGTTGGTCAGGCTGGTCTCGAACTCCTGATCTCAGGTGATCTGCCTGCTTCGGCCTCCCAAAGTGTTGGGATTCCAGGCGTGTGCCGCCGTGCCCGGTGAACTTAGCCATTTCTAAGTTTGCAGTTCAGGGGCATTTAACACGATCACATTGTTCTGTGGCCACCGTCTCTGTCCAGCTCCAGAGCATTTTCATGACGCTAGAAGAGGCCCTGTGCACCTCAGCACTCACTCCTCTATTCTCCATTCTCACCCTCCC
Organism: Homo sapiens; assembly: GCF_000001405.40. NCBI lineage: Eukaryota > Metazoa > Chordata > Mammalia > Primates > Hominidae > Homo > Homo sapiens. Next base: position 1,654,670 of record NC_000016.10, read on the forward strand.
ACGGCCGCCGGCACCTCCCAGTCCGCCTTGTGTCTCAGTGGACTTGCCTGCTCTGAACGTTTCATAGAAACGGAATCACACGCAGAGGCCTCCGGGCCTGGCATCTTTCACTGGGCGTGATGCTTTTGAGGTTCACCCATCATAGCGCATCAGTACTTCATTCCTTCCGCTCATGTACTTCTCCCTCAGAATGTATTAACACTGTCCAGGCCCGCCCGCCCTTGAAGCCAGAAGGAGCTGGTAGACTAGGCAGAGGCTGTGCGCCAGCACCCACGCCCACGCCCTGGCGGAGACCTTTTGCTGGCAAAGAATACTTGGGATCTCTGTGTTGTTTTCTTTAGCTCTGTGTGAATCTCTGGCCATCGCAGCTGGAAAGGCTGGTTTTTAGCCACAGGAGCCAAGGGCCCTGCAGACGCCCGCTCCCGGGTGCCTCTCCAGAGGTCCCTTGTCTCTTTTGGCACCCTCCTGCTGTAAGCAGCCTCGGGACTCTTCAGATGGTTTCCTTCCTGTTCTGCGAACCTCACTTCCTCCTGTCTGTCGTCTCCGTAGGATGATCGTGGAGCTACATCGAAAGGTCTCCAGCCTCATCGAATTCTTGAAGCAGAAGTGGGCGCTCCATGAGGTGCGAGTTGTATCCTTTTCCAGCTAAAGCAAACCATCCAGGCTGCGCTGCCTCTGCTGCCCAGAGATGGACCACGCCTCCCTGTGCCTGTCATCGTCATGGTCCCCGTGGGCAGAACAGCCATGCTGTGACATGGTGTACATCTGGAACCATAACCTGGAGCCCCTTATTCCCTGGGTGTGGAGCCCCCTCTGTGGCCTTGCAGTGCTAGAACTCAGTCACAGCCAGCCCTCCACGATGTCAGTGGCCTGTGTCTGGCCCACGGGGTGTGGCCAAAGCATTCCTACCAGCAGGTTGAGCAAAACGACCAAGGGTCAGCCCAGCCTTCTTCACATCCATGGCTGGCTCCCGGCCCTGCCTGCTCCCCACATAGGCGTGGTGCGTGTCAGGTGTGAATTTCCTGAAGGTACTAAGTGCCCGGGTCAGCATTGTTGGGTAGTGGTGTGAGGAAAGCCACGGGTGGTGGCATGATTTATACCCTGGGGGATGCCAGTGGGGAGCGTGGCTCGTGTCTGTACCCATGTGCCTGGTCAGCATCCCGACCTCAGTGCTAGCCAGTGTGGGCCTTCCTTGACGGGCACTCAGCGGAAGACACTCGAGGAGCGGCAGCTGCAGGACTCATGCTCCGCACCGATGCAGGAGAAGGTGACACTGCACTTGTTCCCAGGCGAGAACTGTACACTGACACCGCTGCCGGGCGTGGCTCGCGTGGTGCACTCCAAGGCCTTCTGCACAGTGCACTGGCAGGAGGGCGGCCGGTGCAAGCAGAGTGCCAAGGACGCCCACGTGCTGCCCCCAGCCCAGATCCTGGGCATCCAGAGTGGGCAGGGCACGGCCCGGGGCCAGGTGAAATGCCCGCGGAGCGGAGCTGAGGGCAAGGGTGTGGGGCGGCCCCCTCCTGCGGCTGACGCCTTGCAGAGCTCCGGAGAGAGTTCCCCCGAAAGCGCCCCCGGGGAGGGGGCTGCCCTAAGCTTGAGCAGCCCGGACGCTCCTGACAGGCCTCCTCCCAGGCACCAGGACACTGGGCCATGTCTTGAGAAGACCCCTGCAGAAGGCAGGGACAGTCCCACCCGGGAGCCAGGGGCCTTGCCGTGTGCCTGTGGCCAGCTCCCAGACCTGGAGGACGAGCTCTCGCTTCTAGACCCCTTGCCCCGCTACCTAAAGTCCTGTCAGGACCTCATTGTCCCCGAGCAGTGCCGCTGTGCGGACACACGGCCTGGGAGCGAGCAGCCCCCTCTGGGCGGGGCGGCCTCCCCAGAGGTGCTGGCTCCTGTCAGCAAGGAGGCTGCTGACCTTGCTCCCACTGGCCCATCCCCGAGGCCCGGCCCCGGGCTCCTGCTGGATGTTTGCACTAAAGACTTGGCAGATGCACCTGCGGAGGAGCTCCAGGAGAAGGGGAGCCCCGCGGGGCCTCCGCCGTCTCAGGGACAGCCTGCCGCCAGGCCCCCGAAGGAGGTCCCCGCCAGCCGGCTGGCTCAGCAGCTCCGTGAGGAGGGCTGGAACCTGCAGACCTCCGAAAGCCTCACGCTGGCCGAAGTCTACCTCATGATGGGCAAGCCCAGCAAGCTGCAGCTGGAGTACGACTGGCTGGGGCCCGGCCGCCAGGACCCCCGCCCCGGCTCCCTACCCACCGCCCTCCACAAGCAGCGCCTCCTCAGCTGCCTCCTGAAGCTCATTTCCACCGAGGTCAACCCCAAGCTGGTGAGTGGGTTGGAGCCCAGCCCCTCTGGCGGCCCAAGGGAAGCCAGGCCCAGCCTTGGAGGGCTCCCTGCTGGGTAGCTAGGGCCAGCACGGTTGGGGTCCAGATGAGAGAGACAGGGTCCTGTGGCAGGGGGCCAGGAGCCTTCAGGACCTCAAGGAAGTGGGAGAGGCAGGGACCCAAATGGTCCGGGAGACAGAGGCTCTCCACAGACTACTTTCCTCTCCCTCGAGGAGGGATCCTCGGGCACTTGATGAGTGTCCCCACTTACGTGCACGGTTCCAGAAGTGCAGTGATGAGTGGCCTGGGTGCTCCCTTCTGTGTGGGACATGGAAGAAGACGGCCAACAGGCAGGCAGTACCTTGTGAGCCGCCTCGTGTTCCTGGGAGTCTGCCAAGCCCAATCATGCAGCTGAAGGGACAGTGTGCACAGGACCCAGGGTGACAGAGTGAGGCCTGGAGCCGAGCTAGCCTTCTGGCTTATCTAATCACTGTTAACAGGTTTCCACAGAGGGAACGATGGGTGTAGTTCTTGCTCTGGAAAGACCATCCCAGCTGCTGTGCAGATGTGGCAAAGTCAGAGGCTGTCACAGAAGAGCAGGGATGCGGTGCCGCAGCAGAATAGTGGAGCTGGGGACCAGACAGGACGGTCCCTGCAGGGTGTGGGTGGACCCTGAGCCTAGGGAAGGGTCCCTTACCACAGGGAGGCCAGTTGGTGGAGCCGACAGATGGGGTGCAGAAGGCACTGCTGCCAGGAGTAATCCTACCCCACAGCCCCAAGTCCGATAGGATCTCTGGGTGCAAGAGAGCAAGGTCCCACGGCAGGTCCATCCTGAAATGGCACGTTTAGGGGCTGGCGAGCTGCTGGACATGGGCGAGGGGCTCAAAGGATGGACTGGGCAGGAGCTGCAGGTCACTGTGGACCCCTTAGCGCTGTTTCATGGTCAGAATGTGTGTGAGGCTCACATGTCCCTGTGCTGGGGGGACTCGGGACTCGGGCGCTCACGAGCCCCCACACACCCACTGCTCCACACAGGCCGTCTTACAGCTTCTGAGTGATGCTCACTTCTGCCTGCATTCCCCACGCCTCCCGCTTTTTTTCCGCTCCCACCCCCAGCCGGTGCAGGGCTTGCCCCGGAGAGTTGGTCCATCAGCAGGTGGCAGGAATGTGCAGATTTGCCTGGGGAGCATCAAGGGGGCTGGAGGAAAGAAAGTTCTTCCAGGGGTGGTGGAGACTGAGCCCAACCCTCAGGCACCTCTGAGGCCAAGCCTGAGGGTGAAAGTGGCTCGGGGGTCGCATAGCAGGGACACCAGGGTGAGTAAGCGGGGACCAGAAAGACAGTGTCTTTAGAAGGCTTTTCAGGTTTGGCTTTTGGTGGGCTCATGGGAGGGGCTGAGGAGAGACATGGCGCCTGTGTTTGGGTGCCCCAGGGAAGGGGCCAGGGTGGGCTCCTGAGAGGGCAGGCAGCAGTTCTGGGACACAGAGCAGGTAGGAATCCCACATGGAAAGGCATCCCCATCCCCTGGGAGCTAGTTAGGGAGGCTGACTTGGGGTGGGCCTGGCAGACTGGACAGACAGACAGACAGGTGCCTGATGCAGCTCAGGTGTGGGGCCAGGTGGCCCTGTGCTGTCTCTTGCCTGGTGGAGCTGTGACAAGCACCCCAAAAGGCCCGAGCCCCAGAGATCAGGAGATGCCGGAGGCTGCTGAGCCGCTGTCGCAGGTGGAATGAGTAGCATAGGAAGGGTCATGAGGTGGGAGGGGTCCTGGGGAAAGCCTGTAGTATGGGGCTAGGGCCTGAAGGCTCTGAGTGAGCAGACGGGCAGGGCTGTGCTGAGAGCACGGGGTGGAGGGCTTCTTAGTCCATAGGGAGGTTGCCCCGGGTGGGATGTGTGGGGTGTTCAGGAGAGTGAGGAGAAGGAAGAGAGCCGAGAGGCTGGGGTGCTGGCCGAGTCTTCCCAGCGGTGGTGGCGTTTCTGTGGTGAGCCAGACAGGGACCCCAGGACTCGGCAGCAGGCTCTGCAGGCTGTGGCGTGGGCCTGCACATCCCCTGGGGTTGGGCTCTGTGGGCCTGCACAACCCCCAAAGTTGGGCTTCATCCCTGCAGAGTGCTCTTCAGCTGTGCTTGTGTCTGATTCTAGAAAGTCAGCCTATATTTCCTTCCTCTGACTCACAAGCAGAGAGGCTGCTGCAGTCTCATGTTGACTTTTTAATATAGCTTTGAGCTCTTGACACTTGTCACTTGCCATCCGGCACCTCTTCCTGCAGCCTGTGCTGGCACTTCGGGCTGGTTCCCTCCCTCCCACCTCTGCCCGTAGCACGTGGAAAGGTACTTGTGAGGAAGGGAGTGGTTTTCATTACTTACCTGACCAGTGACTTTTATTGATTGATTGATTGATTGATTTTTTTCTTTTTTTTTTGAGACGGAATCTTGCTCTGTAGTCCAGGCTGGAGTGCAGTGGTGCGATCTCGGCCCACTGCAAGCTCCACCTCCCAGGTTCACACCATTCTGCCTCAGCCTCCAGAGTAGCTGAGACTACGGGCGCCCACCACCACACCCGGCTAATTTTTTGTATTTTTAGTAGAGACAGCGTTTCACCGTGTTAGCCAGGATGGTCTCGATCTCCTGACCTCATGATCCGCTCGTCTCGGCCTCCCAAAGTGCTGGGATTACAGGCGTGAGCCACCGCACCTGGCCGACCAGTAACTTTTAAAACTGGCAAGCTGCCAAGCGACTCTGGGGACACTGAGGTTGGGCGTCTCTGGCCCTGGCCTTTGCCGTCATGACACTGTGCTTTCTGAGCTCGATGATTTTCTTGTGCCTCCTACTCCAGGGCACGCAAGAGCCATTTCTCATGTGCTGAGTTTGGACATTGTTTGGCCCATTTCTGTCCTAGGCTCTGGAAGCAAACACCATCTCTACAGCCTCAGTAAGGCCCGCCCAGGAGGAGCAGTCGATGACGCCCCCAGGGAAGGTGGTGACCGTCAGCTCTCGCAGCCCCCGCTGCCCTCGGAACCAGGCCTCCCTCCGCAGCAGCAAGACCTTCCCGCCCAGCTCTGCACCCTGCTCCTCAGGTGAGGCTGTGGCAGCCACACTCCTTGTGCCTGGGCTGCCCTGATGGCACCTCAGGCTTCAGGGGCCGTGCCGAAGCTGAGAGCACAGGTGTGCCTGAGGCCGGACCCCACTGGCCAGCTCGCCACTATCCAGATGACAGGGTGAAGGTGCAGAATCACTGCCTCCTCATGGGGAGGGTGATGCCAGGGCTTGTCGTGAAGGACTTTGGGGTCCCAGGGCGTAGAAGCTGGTGAGAAGCCAGCCTTTGCCAGTCTGGTGACTTTGGGGTCTGCTTCATGGGGCCAGCAAAAGCCTTGCTAATGTGCTGAGTTGGTGGTTCAAAGTCCCTGAGAAGGTTGTTTTTTTTCTGTTTTTCTTTACATGTAAAACCTCAGAATAGAGAATCCTTCAGTTAGGGGAGGTGCCAGTAGGTTAACACAAGTCCCGGAAAGAATGATGGAGCAATCTCCAAGTCCACAGTCTACCCCAGCTGCGTATAGGAAATAATTTAAATTCAGGGATCATAAATTGTGTTCCTGGTACATAAAACCCCAAGACAAGCATGAACAGTTTCCCGAGGCATCAGTTTCACTGGCTTTCAACCCATAGTATTTTTAGAATAAAGCAGAGATTATCATGGTTAGAATGGTGAATTTTTAAGTGTAAAAATGGTGAGTTTTAGACTGGGCACAGTGGCTGATGCCTGTAATCCCAGCACTTTGGGAGGCCAAGGCTGGTGGATCACCTGAGGTCAGGAGTTCCATACCAGCCTGGCCAACATGGCGAAACCCTGTCTCTACTAAAAATACAAAAAACTAGTCTGACGTGGTGGTGCGCGCCTGTTAATCCCAGCTACTCCGAAGGCTGAGGCAGGAGAATCACTTGAACCCGGAAGGCGGAGGTTGCAATAAGCCAAGATCGCGCCACTGCACTCCAGCTCGGGCAACGGAGCGAGACTCCATCTCAAAAACAAAAAAAAACAATGAGTTTTCAACGTAAAATAAGGCCCGGAACAGTGGCTCATGCCTATAATCCCAGCACCTTGGGAAACCAAGGCAAGAGGATCACTTGAGGCCAGCCTGGGCAACATAGCAAGACCCCATCTCTACAAAATATAAAAATAAAAAAAGTAGTTGAATGTTGGGGCTCATACCTGTGGTCCCAGCTACTCGGGAGGCTGAGGTGGGAGGATCACTTGAACCCAGGAGTTCAAGGCCGCACTGAGCCGTGATTGTGCCACTGCACTCCAGCCTGGGTGACAGAGGGGGCCGGGTGAGAGGTCCTGGCCTCCTGGGTGACGGAGGGGGCCGGGTGAGGGGTCCTGGCCTCCTGGGTGACGGAGGGGGCCGGGTGAGGGGTCCTGGCCTCCTGGGTGACGGAGGGGGCCGGGTGAGGGGTCCTGGCCTCCTGGGTGACGGAGGGGGCCGGGTGAGGGGTCCTGGCCTCCTGGGTGACGGAGGGGGCCGGGTGAGGGGTCCTGGCCTCCTGGGTGACGGAGGGGGTCGGGTGAGGGGTCCTGTGAGAGGGGGCCAGTCCCTACTATGAAAGAATTTTTTTTTTTTTTTTTTTTGAGATGGAGTCTCGCTCTGTCGCCCAGGCTGGAGTGCAGTGGCGTGATCTCAGCTCACTGCAACCCCCACCTCCTGGGTTCAAGCGAGTCTCCTGCCTCAGCCACCCGAGTAGTTGGGATTACAGGCATGTGCCACCATGCTCGGGTAATTTTTGTTTTCAGTAGAGACAGGGTTTCGCTATGTTGGCCAGGCTGGCCTACCATGAATTCACAGGGTGATTTACAGCAGCACTGACAGTGATGAAAACATTTAGCAGGGTCCCACAATACTAACTCTCAAATATTTCCTGTTCTTTTACCTCTGGGTCTGTTTTCTAAAAACTAGAGATTTACACCAGGGAGCAGCAAGCTATAGGCCTGCAGCCCAGATCCAGCTCACTGCCTGCTGTTTATAAATAAAGTTTTATTGGCACACAGCCACACTCATTTGCTCACCTGTTGTCTGTAGTTGCTATTGTGCACGGCTGAGTTGCCCCAGAGACGGTGTGGTCTACAGAGTGGACATTGGTTTTCTGGCCCTTCACCAGGAAAGTTGACTGACTTCTGGTCTCCCCTGGAGACACTGAAGGCTCTTCTAGCCCTGGAACATCTTTGGTGTCTTATCTGCCCTTACCCCTGAGCACTGAGCGAAGTGGTGAAGTGCTTTTGTCCTATCCAGGAGACCAGTGGTCTGCTCAAAATGGGAACAAGAATTTCAGTGAGAAGGATAGAAAATCAGTCTTTATGTGGGACTGAGATAGAGGTGTCTCCTTTCAAGGCAGCCGAACGGGTTGCCAAGAGAATGTCTTTCTGACTTTCTTCCCAACGGAATTCCGTGACCCTGGACCTGTTGCTAGGTGAATGCTGTCACACTGATTCTCTCCTCTCCTCTCCCAGGTTTGAGAAACCCTCCAAGACCCCTCTTGGTGCCTGGTCCCTCCAGCACAGGAAGCAATGACTCAGATGGAGGCCTTTTTGCTGTCCCGACAACCTTGCCACCCAACAGCCGACACGGGAAGCTCTTCTCTCCCAGTAAAGAAGCAGAGCTGACTTTCCGCCAGCATCTGAACTCCATCAGTGTGAGTGTGTGGGGCCGGGCCGCCCGCGTGCGAGCGTCCCCGTGGTCTGGAGAGTGCACCTTCAGGTGCCGGACGCTGCTCCCTTACAGATGCAGTCGGATTTCTTCCTGCCAAAGCCCCGGAAGCTGCGGAACCGGCACCTGCGGAAGCCACTGGTGGTCCAGGTCAGGGTCTTCTCAAGTCTGAACGTGTGGCCTCGTGGCTGGGCCAACCAGGACACAGGGCTTCTTCCCTCTCTCACATTTTCATGGTGTAAAATGTGGGAAATTCCTGCCCCTTCCTTCCCTCTTGTGAGTAGGGTAAAAATACAAGTAATAACAGTGAACTTAATGGTACCCAGAAGTAAAGGTAATCTTTCAATAACATGGAAATCCACTTGCAAAAAAGACAATTATAGGGATTCAAGTCCAAAGAATGTCCCAGATTGGGATGTATTTATGGAATCTCAACACCTATTTATAAACATTTAGTCTGTGGGAGCAGTTGCCAGGGCATGTGGGTCAGCCAGAGCCCAGGCCTCTCATGAGCTCCCCAGGAGTCCCCGAGGATGCCGTATGCAAGCCTGGGGGACAGCCAGGGACTCAGAGGCACCTCAGAAGAAGAGCTTGGCATTCTGACGCATAAAAATACAGAAAGTGAGGTGGGAAGTCTGAGGTAATTATGGCCTCAGAAATGTATGGATGTGTGTTATTTTGGATTCATGCACAGGTTTCCTTTTGTTAGACTCTTAGAAATCTCTTTCTCCCTTGAGATTAGTATATTTACAAATGAGACATTGCATGAACGGTCTTAGGAAGAAAGTGCCTGCTAAATCTTAGGTGTTCTTTGTTCAAACTAAGATCAGGGTTGAAAACTATGGCCCAGGGACCACTTCCAGCCTGACTGTTGTTTTGTTTAATTTAAAACAACTTTATAGATAGAGAATTCACATATCATAATGTTTGCCCATTTGAACTTTATGACTCAGTGGTCACAAGGTGTACGACGACCATCACCATGGTCTAATCCCAGAACGTTACCACCCAGAAAGGAAACCCTGCTCCTATGAACTCACGTTGCCTTCTCCCGCCAGCCCTTGGCAACCACGGATCCGCTTTCTGTCTCTATGGATTTGTCTGTTCTGGGCATTTCCTATAAATGGGATCATACAATTTGTGTTCTTTTCCACATAATATTTTTGTAAATAAAGTTTACTGGCACACAGCCGTGATTATTCATTTCTGTACTATCTACTGTTTTCCACACGGGCAGGTATATGGCCCCAAAACCTAAAATATTTCCTGCCTGGCCCTTTACAGAAAAAGTGTGTCAATCTCTGCTACAAAAAGTGTAGCCTTTGGAGTGAAAGCTCCCGCTACTAGGCTGCAGCCTACTGCTGTCCCTAGTAGTGCCTCCTCTCTAGTCTCTCCGACGCCAGTGTCCTGGGGCATTTCAAAGGGTCAGAACTGCAGCGGCACCCCCAGAGGCGGAAGCGCCTCAGACACTTGTAGGTCGAGAGACACTTTTTTGTTCATGTTTTATCTGGATTACTAGCAGTTTCAGTGATGAACACGGTTTCTCAGATGGTAGTCCTTGTCACTCAAACCTGCCGTAGCACATTCAGCCTAATTGTTCACACACAAAAGCCCTGGAAAGGAGCACTTCATGCCCTTTGGTGCCTGTGTGTTACAAGCAGTGACTTTATTTTACTCACCCCATGTGTGAGGAAGCCCAGAATGGGAGGTGTCACTCCTAAAAGTCCATGTCCAGTGGTTATAAACAGGTTTGTATAACTAGTTGCATTCCAGTCAAATCCAGAAGAAAGTTCTGGATTAAAAGTGGATCAGGCCAGGCACGGTGGCTCGCACCTGTAATCCCAGCACTTTGGGAGGCCGAGGCAGGTGGATCACCTGAGGTCAGGAGTTCAAGACCAGCCTGGCCAACGTGGAGAAACCCCGTCTCTACTAAAAATACAAAAACTAGCTGGGCGTGATGGCGAGTGCCTATAATCCCAGCTACTCGGGAGGCTGAGGCAGGAGAATCACTTGAACCCAGGAGGCAGAGGTTTCAGTGAGCCGAAATTGCACCACTGCACTCTAGCCTGGCTGACAGAGCAAGACACCGTCTCAAAAAAAAAAAAAAAAAGTGGATGACTCTGACATTCCTCCAGTTTCCCTGGGGAGGGTTTGATTACCTGGGTTTGTTTGAGAGAGGACCTAACTGGAGCTTGGGGTACATGGGTCCTAACTGTCTGAGCAGTCCCAGGTACCCTGTGTCATCGGCTCTGGAAAAAGCCCCACCTGGCTATGCTGGGCACCCTCTTACTTGGGACATTCCTTTGTAACTGGGAGTGATTTTTTGGTATGGGAGTTTCATCACCTTGATTGTTGACCATTTTCCCCACAGAGAACACTGCTCCCTAGACCATCGGAAAACCAGTCCCACAACGTTTGTTCCTTCTCCATCCTGTCTAACTCTTCCGTAACTGGTAAGGACCCTGAGCTTTTCTGGGGTAGCTTGTCCCTCCTCCTCACAGGAGGGCCTTGGCTTTGGAGACAATGGGTGCTTATTTCCATGGCCTATCTTCAGGCATTCCTTTGTCCATTCTACCGACAAATACCTAATGTGCCCTATGTGCTGGGCTGCAGGCTGCGGTGGCGGGCGAGGCAGCTAGTCCAGCGAGGCAGCTAGTCCAAAGGGTGCCCTTCGTCTGTGGCCTCAGATGGCCCTGTGTGAGGCGCTTGGCTTGGTTAGAGTTGTGTCTCTTGTCTGCTCTCTCTGTGTAATGTCTTGTCAGCCGTTTTATGGGATGGATGTGTTCTTGGGGTGTATGGATTATGCTTCCATCAGTCTGTACATTTAGTGGGGGCCTTGGCTCCTTGCGGTAGATATTACACAGGGAGAAGCCTCTAGTGAAACACATACTCTGTGACTTCCCTTTTCTACCAGTGTTGACTTCCACGTCTCTCACTGACTTATTGCAAGACCCTTAACAGCTGTCAATTGCTTTTTCTCTTGCCTACTTGTCAATTTTCAACTGTGGGAAGCCTGGCAAGATAAAACCAAATTGCAGTGGCAGCATCTTAGTCCAGAATCTGATGCTCTGACTGCCCTGGGGCCTGTACCTCAGCTTGGGGGCTTGTCACCCTTCAAGAGCCATTTCCGCAGGATGACAGTGGTGACCGCAGCCTTCCAGTAGCTCCTGGGAGGCACAGTGGTGGGTGCCAGAGCTTGTGTCACGTTGGGGGCCTGTGTGACCTCTGACTCCTCATGTTAGCATTTGGAATGTTCAGTGGCTTCCAGCTTGGCTCGGCTCCCACACTCCCAACAGTGGCTGTAAAGGAAGCCCCCTGCGGCCACATCCTGCTGTGAGGGCATGGCGGGCGGGCTCGACATGTCTGCTTTTGCCCTCGCCCTCGCAGGGAGAGGTTCGTTCCGGCCCATCCAGTCTTCTCTGACCAAAGCAGCTCTGTCTCGGCCGATCGTGCCCAAGGTCCTTCCACCCCAGGCCACGAGTCACCTGGCCAGTAAGTCTGTACCTGCATGGCCACAGCCACTGAGTGAGCCTCTGAGGGATGTTTTTGTGACCAGGTTTTTTGAATGTTTTCTTCTCCAAATCATAATGTCTCATTACCCTTCACCAAGAACATCTAAGCCCTTGGCTCTTGCATTGACATGAGGTGCGAGGGAGAAGCTGTTCCCCGAGCCCTCTTGGGACATCTTATGGGTTGTCAGTAGAGCAGAGATGTGCAGCGTCCTTTTTGTTGCCAGGTGCTATCGACTTAGCAGCTACAAGTGCCGGCATCCTTTCCGGGAACCCCCTCCCTGCCTTGGACACCGAGGGCTTGTCTGGCATCTCTCCACTGTCTTCAGACGAGGTGACGGGTGCCATCTCGGGGCAGGACTCTACTGGAACTCACCAGGATGGAGACACCCTCCCCACCGTGGGGGTGAGTATGTTTAGAAGGGCTTTTCAGCATTACCACCAACTTCTGGTGTGGACGCCAAAGCCATGGGGCTGAGATCACGCTGGACTCCAGCTCTGCCTTTGGAGGAGAGTCTCTGGACCAGGGGTGCCATGGCATAAGCAAACTCTGTGTAGTACAGAGCAGGAGAGGCCTCCGGAGCCACTGACGAAAGGTGGGGACAGGCTTGCCATGTGGCACTGGAGAACTCAGAGCTAAGACGGTGTGGAAACATAGCTCCATCTGAGAGTGACCATAACCAAGGTGGCAGCCCACAGCGCTGTGCTCGGACACCACTGAGCATCTCTTTCATCTGGGAAGAGAGCAGCCTGTATGGCCTTGGCCATTGCTCCTTTCCAAGGCTCTGAGCACCTGGTTTCTCTGGCCTCCCACGGCCACTTCAGAGCTGCCCCAAGGAGGGTGGGGTGGGCTGATGCTGTTAAGACTCCAGGGAGCCCAGCCCTGCCTGCCACAAGGTTGACTTCCTGATAGGACTTTACTTCACTCTTGGAAGCAACAAAAAATTGGAAGTACACGGTCCACACCTGAAAGTAGCCTTTCAGTGTTCTCGACCTTAGACCCCTGTCCATTTACTGTCCCTCTGCTGTTAGGAGGCCAGGGGGATGGAACGCCTCTTTTTCTGGAACTCTGTCGCGGGTGAGGGTATGGGTGGCATCTGGTGCACCCTGCGGCTGCTCATGGGCGTGCTCTTCCTGCAGGGCTCCGACCCATTTGTCAGCATCCCTTCGAGGCCTGAGCAGGAGCCAGTGGCAGACAGTTTCCAGGTAGAGTGTGCTCTTGGGCTGCTGAGCAAAGCAGCTGCCCCAGGACTCCCTCCAGTGCCCTGAGCTGCCACCTGCAGTCTTGGAGTGGCCCGGCTTCTCTCCTAGACTGTGCAGTGGCTTTGCTGTTCTTCCACCTGCTGTGCCGACTGCCCAGGGTGGATAAATGAATATGGCTGTCCGCCACCTCAGACTTCCCTCCTCCCCTCTCCAAGGTGGGCTGTTTCAGACCCAGCTCTGGAAGAACTTAGCGCTCTGGAAGAACTCAGCTTTCTGGGAGGAGGAGGCTGTCAGCTAGTAACTCCCCCAGCCCCCACTCTCTTTCTGGCAGCAGTCAAAGCAGGTCCAGGCCACTGCAGCCTGACTTTCTGACTCTGCCATAGTGAGTGTTTTTGGGAGAAATAAATTCCCCGAGTGTGTTCCTGAGTTGGAAGGATGAGGTGACTGCAGCGCTCATCACCCTATTGATTTGCCTGCAAGCTAGGAGAGTAAGCTGGTGTTTCTTCCCTTGTCATGGGTTCTGATAGACCTGGTTGTGTCTGAAAAATACCTGTCTCCCAGCAGGGCTCATCTGTTCTCTCCTTATCTGAGCTGCCCAAGGCCCCTCTCCAGAATGGCCTCTCCATACCGCTGTCCTCGTCAGAGAGCTCCAGCACCCGGCTGTCTCCACCAGACGTCTCTGCTCTGCTCGACATCTCCCTGCCCGGCCCACCTGAGGATGCGCTGTCACAGGGCGAGCCTGCCACACACATTAGCGACTCCATCATTGAGATCGCCATCAGCTCCGGTCAGTACGGTAAGGGCAGGGCGGCCTCACAGCCCTTCCTGTCATCAGGTGTTGATCTCCTGCCCCAATGTTTGCCACACTTCCTGGGGATATTCCAGTTTTGTGATTTTTACGAATTGAAAACCTGTCACCTACAAGGTGCTGCCTGTCTCCAGCAGGGACCTTGCAGGTGGATAAGGTACCTGTGGGACCTGAGGCAGCTGATGGCCTGGTAGGCTTGCTCCTGACCTTCAGGCGAGACAGTGGAATGGCCCCCAGGTGCTCTTCAGCCTGGGGATCACAGAGTGTTTTCCTAGTTGATCTTGAACCTGAGCAGGCGGCCTGGGGTCTTGCACAGCTTGTGAAGCAGTTGGGCTGGGCCCTGTGGGCTTTGGTCTCACCTGCTGTCTGGGACAAAGCTCCTGGGGGCAGTGGTTTGTTGTTCACTGGCGCGACCCAGGCTGTGGGCTGAGAGAGATATGAGTTCACAGTGTGCTAGCATGTAGCCTTGGGCAGCTCACCACCTTGCTGAGCCTCCCTTTCCTAAGCGGTAAATTGAGAATAAGGTACAGCTCCTAGGGCTGCTGTGGGTGCCGTGAGATGACTCATGTGCAACCCGTGGTGGCTACTGCCGTCGCCTTCACTCCGCTGCGCCCTGCCTCCCTGCAGAGCTGTTCTGCGGTGCTGCGCTCCTTACCTGCCGAGCCATGCCATCCATCTGGTTCAGCAGGGTAGAGCCCTGCGGCCCTGCTGCCTTCTCCGTGGTGGGCTGGAGAAGTGAGTTGCTGTTCACCACCCCGCAACAAGGCGTTTCTGATCTGGGATCTTGGTTGGCAGGTGAAGGAGTCCCTCTTTCTCCAGCAAAACTGAATGGCAGTGACAGTTCCAAGAGCCTTCCCTCCCCGTCCAGCAGCCCCCAGCCACACTGGATCGCCTCTCCCACCCACGACCCCCAGTGGTACCCCAGTGACTCCACCGACTCCTCGCTCAGCAGCCTGTTTGGTGAGTGTATGGGGAGGGCTCCCATCTCCTTTTCCAGGGCAGCAGGGGCTGGGGTCTGCGGGACACTGGATTCTCATTCTACTCAAACTCCCACTAGGACTGTTGGCTTGTTCGCTTCTCAAGTGTTTGTATTTTTCTGAGTTAATATTTTTGGGTGTAATTTACATGTAGGAAAATGTACACATTTTTAGTGTACAGTTCACCAAGCTTTGGCAAGCATGTATAGCCTGGTAACCCACAAGCCAATGGAGACCTAGAACATTCCCGTGACCCCAGATGCTGGGTTCTGTGTGCCTTCCCAGTCTGTTCAGCTAGCCCGGCCCCTCCCGACTGGGTTCTCTTGAGGGGAGAAAAGGAAACTGGTGTCTTGGCACTCTCTTGGCTCTTCTCTTTCTGTGGTCAGTAAGGTATTCAGAAGTGGATGGTCCAGCTGCCACCTGGCACATTCTTGAATATAGATCGGAGAGTTCAGAGGACGTGTCCATCCTCCTCCCCCACTGCCCGTTTGCCCACTGGGTAGCAAGTGTGGCAGGAAGGGGGTGTATCAGGGAAAGGCACACCCTGCTGCTGTTGCCTGCCCAGAGAGAGCTCCCATTTGGATGTCTGGGGTCTTCCCGCCCACAGTTGTACGGGGCCAGGGCTTGTGGCTGGGCACATCAGGCATGGCGGGTACCATGCCTGACAGCTCTGAACCAGTTGGGCGACCTGGGTCTGGGAGGTGCTGAGGGACCCAGCACCCTGCAGGCGTTTCCTTTTGTCTCATGTAGCAGTGCAGATGTTTGGAAAGTCACACGTAAATCTTGAAAAACTGGAAACAGGCCAGGCGTGGTGGCTCATGTCTGTAATCCCAGCACTTTGGGAGGCCAAGGTAGGAGGACTGCTTGAGGCCAGGAGTTTGAGACCAGCCTTGGCAGCATAGAGAGACCTTGTCTCTACAGAAAATTTTAAAACTAGCCAGGTGTGGGGGGTGCATGCCTGTAGTCCCAGCAACTCGGGAGGCTGAGGTGGGAGGATTGCTTGAGCCTAGGAATTCGAGGCTGCAGTGAGCCATGATCACCACTGCACTGCAGCCTGGGCAAGAGCGAGACCCTGCCTTTAAAAAAAATTAAAAGCAAAGTTGGAAACAACCTGCATGAGACTAGTCACAGAGAAGAAAGTATGGGGGTGGGGATGGCAGTGAGGGTGGGAGAGCATGATGGGGGTGGGGGATGGCAGCGAGGGTGGGAGACCGTGATGGGGGTGGGGGATGGCAGTGAGGGTGGGAGACCGTGGGACTCGTGGAAAACAAGGTGCATGTCTGTATGCACGAAGGCCTGTTAAACGAGAAGAGCTCGTCACGGCGTGTTGAGTCCCTCGGAAGCTCTTCGCACAAGTCTGGATTGGGGCCGGGGCCGGGGCTAGGGCTTGGGCTGGCTGCCCCCAGCCTCAGGACCCTTCCGCTGGACTGGTCCAGACCAAGCAGGGTTCAGGGTGTTTTCCTCTGGCCTTTTCTCCGCAGCAAGCTTCATCTCCCCAGAGAAGAGCCGGAAGATGTTGCCGACTCCCATTGGGACCAACAGTGGCACTTCCTTGCTTGGCCCCAGCTTGTTGGATGGAAACTCGCGGGACTCATTTGTGTCCAGGTCCCTGGCTGACGTTGCAGAGGTGAGTGCATTGACCTCACAGCTGCACCTGACCACCAACCCTCGTGCCAGAGGTTGCCAGCACTCTCCTGCACACCTGTGGGTTAGTAAGAGCTGTTTGCCAAGAGTAGAAGAACAGGAGACAGCACGTCCAC
This sequence comes from Homo sapiens, assembly GCF_000001405.40. Classification (NCBI taxonomy): domain Eukaryota; kingdom Metazoa; phylum Chordata; class Mammalia; order Primates; family Hominidae; genus Homo; species Homo sapiens. Next base: position 1,670,943 of record NC_000016.10, read on the forward strand.
ACTCAGGTCCCTGACTACTGAGAATGGAGAGATCTGGGGACGCTGGGCCGGCTCTCGTCCCCACATGCAGAATGACAGACTTAGTCATAGCTGAGCTCTGCAGGCCTCTGAACTGGAAACCCTGGTCTGGGGCGCAGAGCAGGGTCTCTGAAGGCAGCCAGAGCCGAGTGGGGATGTTACCTCTCCTTCCCTGGCTGTGAGGTGCTGAGGTGCGGGGAGTGTTGTGGAGGGAGGAGTAAGGGGTGGTGGCAGCAGTTGTGTTGTCAGTGCTCCCATCCTAACAGCAGGACCTTTGAGTGGCATCTCCCTGTCATGTTGAGCTGCGGTGCAGGGGAACTGGGATGGGCTCTGCTGTCCTCATGCTTCTCCCACGCCCAGGGTAGTGATAGGAGGAGTCACTGGGGCAGGTTCTTGAGGGGAAGGCGAAACGTGGTTTGTGACTCTCCACTTTTGACGAGATGCAGCGTCCCTCTTTGTTGGCCAGGCCATCTGGTTGTAGCCCTCAAGGCGTCCACCACATGGTTTGTGTGGCATTCGTGGGCAGGTCAGGCTTGCAGGGTGAAGACAGGCCCGTTTCACTGTGACGTAAAGTGCAGAGTGGCAGGTGTGTGGGCAGTCGGGTGAGGGCTCTATGGACAGGGAGGGAACTCCAGGTCCAGGAGATCATCCGCATGGGCTTAGCCCATGTGAAAGTCCTGGAGCAGCATTCCCCGAATCTAGTCCCCACAATGTTGAGACATTGGCAGGTGTTCCTTGAGGATTTTGTGGGTAGATACTTGAGGGACACCCTGGATCCAAAAAAGCTCAAAACAGCTGTTTCTCACGGACACCTCCGCTACCCAGTATCCGAATGTGAATCGTGACTCTTGAGATGATGAACTCATGGGCAGGCTTTGGAGAATTCCAAGCCAAGCCATGATATGACTGGAAATTTTAGCCAAATATACACATAGACACAATTAATAGCGTAGACCTCCATCTCACAGTGTGTGGCGTTTCTCAAACCTGTTTGGCCCCAGAATCATTATTCAGGGCACACCTTGGACTCTGATGTTTCCCGAGAAGCCAGTCTCTGTCTCTTCCCCTGTTTGTGCGCATGTTCCTAAGTGCTGGGCTCTGTGGAGATGGGCGCTGCGTACGTGCCCTGAGGCAGCATGCTCACGCCATGCTGTTGAAAGGACGGGCCACAGCCCAGTGACAGGAGCCCCTTGGAGTCAGAAATCCAGAGTGTTAGCCTCACCCCAATCAGAATTTGCACCTTTAATAAAATCCTGGGCAACAGATGGCACTTGGGAGTGAGTAGCAGAGAAAGGGTGCAGTTAGTATTTGTGAAACGCTGCCCGTCGCGAGTAATGCAAACGTGTTCACCTTCAGAAAGAGCAGATCAGCGTTTAGCATGAGATTTTCCCGAGAGCCCTCCACTCAGAACGTGAGTATGTTTCTCAGCAGGTCCTCGTCATCTGGAAGGATGGGCTGAGGCATTTGTGGATGAAAGGGTCTGGTGGTAGGGCTAGCATGAAGGGGGCGGGGGTGGAGCTGGGTGGCCCTGGGATGAAACGGGTGGGAGCTGCTGATGGACATACAGGGGAAGGAGAATTACTCTTTGCTCTGCTTTTGAAAACAAATTTTAATTTGTCTGACATTTCCCATAATCAAAGCATAAAATTTCATTTACGCCATAGCTCTATTCAGAATTTTCCAGACTTCTTGCATTCACAGTGTCATGCAGTTCATTAAGGGATATTTCTGCAGGGTCTGCTGTGTGCAAACAATGGCCCCTGTCCTCATGAGGCTTCTACTCTAGAGCAGGACGCAGACAATAAGCGCTGAAAACGGCACATTCTACGTATTTGCTCATGGGACAAGATCCCGGTGCCGAGGCCCTCCCGTCCTCCGTCTCCTCAGCTCTGTGCTGCCTCACTCACTCTGTCATGGCCACCACCTTGGTCGTGCTTTTCAGTCAAAGCCTCTTCCTGTCTCAGGGAACATGCCTGTTGCTTCTTTAAAAAGGAACGTACTCCCCATGTGTCCTCATGTCTCTGACGGGAACGTGCTCCCCACATGTCCTCAGGACTGATGGGAACGTGCCCTCACCACATGTCCTTGGGATTCTGACGGGATCGTGCCCTCCACCTGTCCTCATTTCTCTGACGGGAACGTGCCCCCAGCTCTCCTCATGTCTCTGATGGGAACGTGCCCCCAGCTGTCCTCATGTCTATGACGGGAACGTGTCCCCCACCTGTCCTCATGTCTATGATGGGAACGTGTCCCCCACCTGTCCTCATGTCTGTGATGGGAACGTGCCCCCCACCTGTCCTCATGTCTCTTGACGGGAACGTGTCCCCCACCTGTCCTCATGTCTATGACAGGAACGTGTCCCCCACCTGTCCTCATGTCTGTGACGGGAACGTGTCCCCCACCTGTCCTCATGTCTATGATGGGAATGTGTCCCCCACCTGTCCTCATGTCTATGATGGAAACGTGTCCCCCACGTATCCTCGGGTTTTACCCCACCTCCCGCTCAGGTCCCAGTCCTTGGAGCACCCTCTCTGGCCTCCTTTTCCCGGCACTCTCTGTCCCCTCACTCTGCATCTGTTTCTGCAGGCTGCCCCCAGTGCCTGTGTCTGCTGCATACAGTCTGTCTACCTGTTGGGTGTCTTCCCCCATAGGTCTCATGGCGGGCGGGGGGACCAGCACCCTCACCCCAGCCATCAGATGTGCCAGGCACATCATAGGCTCTCTGCGAGCACTTATCTAAAGAGTGTGCGGGCAGACGACAGGTGATTGTGATTCTGCACAGAGCCCTGGGCTGCCATCCCTAGCTTAGCTTCCTGCAGCGGGAGTCGATAGGAGCTTCTCGTCCTGTTTCAGGACCCGCCCTCCACTGAAGGGCCAGCAGGTCGCGGTGACTTGTTCTTCCTGTCTCCTCTTCCTGCAGGTTGTGGATTCCCAGCTGGTGTGCATGATGAACGAAAACAGCATTGATTACATTTCTCGGTTCAATGACCTGGCCCAAGAGCTGTCCATCGCTGAGCCTGGCCGCCGAGAAGCTCTGTTTGATGGTGGTGGAGGCGGCCCCGCTGTCAGTGACCTGTCCCAGTGACCACACGTCCTGGTGGCGGATGAAGCCCTCTTCGAGCTAGAGAAAAATAGATAAGCCCAGCAGCCCCAGAAGATGGTCTGAACAGAGGCATCTCCGCACCCAAGACTGTGCAACGGGCAGGAACGTGGTCACAGAGCTGCTTCCCCACGAGCAGCAGGCAACGGCGTCCAAGGAGACTAGGATGAGTTCTTGGCAAGGGCCAGCGTTAGAAATCACTGTGGTACTAGAGCCGTTCTTCACCACGCCTGGGCCCATGTTAGGGTCTGCATAATGATCCCATTTCAGCCTGTGCTCTGCCTCGATTGTTGTGTTGGACATTCCGGTGGCATTTCCTTCTGAGACAAGGGAGTATGTGTGCCTTGGTGTAGTTGCTGTGCACTAGGAGCTGTGATCTCCCTCTCTGCAGGGAGGCCCCAGCCCCTGCTGCTTGCTTTCTGCCAAACCTGTGCTATGCATCAGCTGTGCCCTCTGTGGACTGTAACGGGCAGGACAGTTGGGTGTGGCCTGGGCTCATGCCTGGTGGTGTCACATCCCAAGGCAGCAAGAGCATGGATACCGATCACAGGGCTGCTGCGGAGTCGTGGGGCCCTGGGCTGGTGCCTCCCCTCCCTAGAGGTTTTGTTCGTACTCTTAACAGGGAGTGGGGGCAGGAAGAGTCCTGTACTATGCAGGTTGTGTGGACTTTACATGGGACCCTGCTAAGCTGGTTGAAAATGTTTTTCTTGTGTTTTAAGAATTAGGAGACATGGAAGAGGAAGAACAAAGTCCCCTCTGTAGTTGGTTTCCTTCCTGTGTCCCTTTGCAAGCTTCCAGGCGATCTAAGGTGTCATTTCTCCCTCCTGGGGTGACCCTTAGGCGCTAATATGATTACAGCGAAGACTTTCCTGATAAGTTCTCAAACTCGATGTGTGACTGTTTGGCACTTGAGACAAACCTGCCTTTGCAGGGAAAGTGTCTCTCACGGGCATTGGTGTGGGCGTGCCTGACATACGTGTTCAGTCCCTTGCATACCTTTGCCTTGAGACTTCTGTGTCTCCTTCCCATTTGGGACACCCAGGTGAGGGCCCAGACATCTGGATGTGGTCAGACCTCACCAAATATATGCCTTCGTGGTGGTCTCCCTCCTTGCGCCCTCTTGGGTGGCCAGCGTTCCTACTGCAGACGGCCCAACATCCAGTCTTTCCCCAGGACAGAGCTAACAAGGGCCCCTTTGCCTTCTCATCCTCAGGAGTTCCAGGCACATGAGTCACCGTCCATCCACATCCAGTGTGGCCTGGAGCTGCTACAGAGGTGTTGGGCAGGCCATGCCTGTGCCGCCATCTCTCCCTTCCTGCCTCATTTCATCCCCCGCAGCAGCCGGGATTGATTGTGCTTTCCTAACCCCCTTGGACCTACTCTCCCTCCTCCCCACCATTCCTCTTCCCCCACATGTGTGGCACGCTGCAGCCCTCAAGGCCAGCCCTGGCCCCTCCACTGCTTCTCTCCCCATCCACAATGGAGAAGGTGAAAAGAGGAGGGAAAGGCCTTTGGTGTGGACAAGCATGTGGACGCCCTCCGTCCTGCAGTCTTGCCAGCCCACCACAGCCACTGTAGACCACAGGCAGGCCGTGTACTGCACCACTGGGAGGACGTGGAGAGGACAGTGAACTTCCAGGCAAGAGCTTCCTTCTTTTGTCTCACGAGTTTTTCTTAGAGCTCTTGCCTGAGCTGGCTTCCCTCCTTCAGACATTGACATGAGATCTTAAGCAAACAGTCCCAAACCTCTTAGGGGTGAAAAAAGAAACATGCCACTTGATTAGGAGAGAGACAGCAGTGTTTGAACTACAGCATCTTTACACTAGCTTGTGTTTTGTGCTACGTATACCAGCTTCCAAAATTAGCATCTCATTGAGCCAGAGAAGACAAGGAGATCTCCCTCTGGGCATCTGGCTTTGCTGCGTCTCTAGAGGGTTAGGATACCAGGCCGAGTTCAGGCCACTGCTAGCTTTCTCATACTCCCACAGGCTAGACCAGAGATGCCAAGTCCCAACAGCACTGAGCTGTGTGCACTGTGCCAGGGACAGGAGGGTTTGTGAACTGCCTGTCAGGGTACCTGTTAGCCCCTGACAACTCAGTGGGGTGAAGTTTTGGAGGTCAGAGTCTGCTTTCGTAGGCTCTTTAGACAGCACCTACCACTTGGTTCTCCAGCGTAGACTCCTGGGAGCAGCCAACTGCAGCCATTGCCATCCAGTGGGGAGATGGGTTAGGGAGGAGGACGGGCTGACTCCTCTCCTGTAATAAAGCTGACAAGAGTTCTAGAGGATTCTGCTTCTCTAGTAACTAGACAGGTGATACGCATTTGCTTGCCACATTAAGGGAAAATGGTGTCATTTGTTGCAGAAAAACAATGGATACATTTTCTTCTGGCCTAAATGAATATTTATGTGCAAACATAGGCAACTGTTAAAGGCTGGAATTTTCAAAAGATCCAAACAGAGACTTCCTGCATCTTCTGCCTTTCCAACAGAAGCGGTGATCGTCTAAGTATGAGCCTGTGGCTTCCTTTGTGCATTTGAGCATGCTGTAATTAAGATGAGATCAGTTTCTTAGAAAAAGCTTTCCTGAATCCCTCTGACGTTGCCTGGGATCTTTCTGTTGATTCGTCTTTTCTGGAGATTGGGACAGAGCATCTGTGGTCCAGGGAAGTTAGTCCTCTGGCCTCAATTCTGTTGTGGATGTGCAGTGATAAGCGGGCATTGCGTGCCTCGGGGGATGCCTAGTTCGTGGCTTCCTGGCTGTTTTGTCCTTCTGTGTCTTGTAGCTGTAGGGTGCCAGCTCAGGGAGTGGGGTGTTGGCGGCGTTTCCGCGGTTGGCCTCCTTGCTTTGCCGCACCTCCAGGTTCTGGGCATGAGAGGCCGTGGCCTCATTTCTGGTGGATAACCTTTTTAGTTTAATAGCATCTTTAATTAGATCACAGCATTGAATTCAAAATTTCTTCTGCAAAGAAAGTTGTGGGGCATAAGACACCGGGAATGAGGGAGGAGGAAGACAGTTGTGTTTTCTCTTTAAACCTTGAGCTCTAGCCGATGCATTTGTCAGGAAATACAGCACTTTGTCTTAAGAAAACAAGGAAGGAGGCCGGGCGCAGTGGCTCACGCCTGTAATCCCAGCACTTTGGGAGGCCGAGGCGGGCGGATCACCTGAGGTGGGGAGTATGAGACCACCCTGACTAACATGGAGAGACCCTGTCTCTACTAAAAGTACAGAATTAGCCGGGCGTGGTGGCGCATGCCCATAATCCCAGCTACTGAGGAGACTTGAGGTAGGAGAATCACTTGAACCTCAGCGGCGGAGGTTGCAGTGAGTCGAGATCGCGCCAGTGCACTCCAGCCTGGGCAAGAAGAGCGAAACTGGGTCTCAAGTTAAAAAAAGAAAGCAAGGAAAGAGTAATTTACAACGAAGGAAAAAAACCCACAGCACACCCTTCGCGGCTGTCAGCGCTCTCCTGATGTCACAGTGGCTGCGTGTCCTTGGGGTGGGTGAGGTGTGGGGAGCCCAGCCCCTGGCCCTGCCTCCCGCGCCCCGCTCCCCTTCTCTCTCTTACTCGGTTAAGCCATAGCGAGGCCTCCGCTCGTTTCAGATATGAATTTGTTTTATAGATTATAAATATGCATATACAGTGTATGTATAAAGCAGAATGCCTGCCTTTCCTGGTTATTTTTTGTACCATATTGTAAATTATATTATTTATTCTTTACCAATTTTGGGAATAAAAGGTGTTTTGGTTATTTAATATAATAAGAGCTGTTAAACTTCTGTTTAAATTTCCAGTTCAACTTGTAAATGTTTTTATTGTGCATAAATACATACTAATGTTGATCTAAGGACTGTCGTTTGTGCCTGTTCTTCAGGGCCGCGCGCCCATGCCCGCAGTCCCTGGTCGGGCAGGTGCGGCCCAGGTGCGGCCCCGCGGTCGGCTCGCGGGCTCCCGCAGACCGGGCTTCCTCCCGAGGGCGCGGCCGTCCCAGGGCCCGCCCGGCCCGCCGCCCAATGCGAGCTCCCACCTCCGCGAGCGGCGTCGCCTTCCCCAATCGGCTGCGGGCGCGGCGCCGACCGTTCAAAGCCTAAGTCGTCGGGGGTGGGCGTGAGGGGCGGTGGCCGCGCTGAGATAGGCTGCGGAGGGATGATTGGCGTCTTGGCGCCCAATGGGCGCTGGCGGGCGGCCTTGAGTACCTGCGCTGGGCGGGCGGGAACGGCGCGCGGCGAGCTGAGGGTGGCGGCGGTCGACATGTTCCAGGTCCCGGATAGCGAGGGCGGCCGCGCCGGCTCCAGGTGCGGCGCGGGGCACACGGGAGGCGGGCGGATAGCGCGACCACGTGGCGGGAGCGGGCCAGCCCAGGGCGTCCACCAGCCGTGTGGGGTTGGGGTGGGGTTGGGGGGCAGGGCGACCTCACAGAGGCCCTCGGGGCCGCCGCCCGCCTTTCTGCGCCGCCGCCAGACCGAGGCCCGAAGCCCGAGGGGCCGCTCGCTGAGGCCCGGGCTGTGGAGAGCTGCCCGCGACCGAGGCCGAGGGCGGGGAGGGGCGCCCGGGCTCTGGGAACAAAGCTGTGTGGAGGGCGGGCTGCGCTCCCTCGCGCCTGGGCGCCCGCGTTCCGTGTGGTGCGTTCCGTGGGGGGTTTCCTGGGGGCGGGGTGTGCCCGTGGGTGCGGCCCATTTTGTCTGTGGGATGCGTGTCCATGTTCCCGGGGGGGTGTCCCTAAGGGGTGTGCGGCGATGTGTTCGTGGGGGGTGTCTGGCCATGCCCCCGCTCCTGTGCGTGTGGCCGTGTGCCCGTGTCCCTGGTGTGTGTGTGGCCTGTGCCCTGCCCATGGCCGCGCTTCCACTAGTTCATGTGAGTCCACTTCCTTTGGAAAGTGCCAGGGCGTCTGGGGAAGAGTCAGTTCTATCTCCTGGGAAGGTGGATGGCGCTCCTGGGCTTCGCTGTAGGAAGAAGTGGATTGGGACGAAGATATCCTGACTCAGCTTTAATAGCCAGGAACACTGAGCACACTTTTCTTATGTTTTTGAACTTTTAAAGCACTCTTTGGGTATTGGGACTCGCATGAATTAGAGGGACAGAGCTTACAAGGTCTTTCGTGCCACTTGAGCAGTAAACTTGCATTGTGAAGTTTGGGTCTTCAGATGCCTGAGGTTTTCTGTATGATGAGCCCCTCTGTGGCACAGCCTCGCCAGAGAAGTAGAAGAGAATATGTGTGCCATGACTGTTAAGACCAATACTATATTGCTTCTCAGCCTTTTGGCTATGATCAAGTGAAGACAAATACTATATTGAATAAATACTAAGTAAAAGAATTGCTCCAACTTGCTAAAAATAAAAACCCTTTAGATTGGCCGGGCGTGGTGGCTCACACCTGTAATCACGGCACTTTGGGAGGCTGAGGTGGGCGAGTCACGTGAGGTCAAGAGTTCGAGACCAGCCTGGCCAACATGGTGAAACCCCCGTCTCTACTAAAAATGCAAAAATTAGCCAGGCGTGGTGGTGTGTGCCTGTAGTCCCAGCTACTTGGAGAGGCTGAGACAGGAGAATCACTTGAACCCAGAGGCAGAGGTGGCAGCGAGCCAAGATAATGCCACTGCACTCCAGCCTGTACGACAGAGCAAGACTCCGTCTCAAAAAAAAAAAAAACCCTTTAGATTTGAGGGAGTTAGGTCAGTATTCAGTAATACTTGTAACCAAATAATTACCCGTGGCAGGGTGCAGTGACTCAACGGCTGTAATCCCGGCACTTGGGGAGGCCGAGGCAGGTGGACCACGAGATCAGGAGATCGAGACCATCCTGGCCAACACGGTGAAACCCCGTCTCTACTAAAAATACGAAAAAATTAGCCGGGTGTGGGGTGGCGGGTGCCTGTAGTCCCAGTTCCTTGAGAGGCTGAGGCAGGAGAATGGTGTGAACCCGGGAGGCGGAGCTTGCAGTGAGCCGAGATCACACCACTGCACTCCAGCCTGGATGACAGAGCAAGACTCCGTCTCAAAGAAACAGCCCTTCATCCATGGAACAGTGATTATTATGCCTAGGTCTGCACCGATGTGGGACCAGGAGTTTAAACTAGTGCTCAGAGCGAATCCGGTTTCTGGTTCCTGGTGGCCAGAGTTTTGCACCACCCACATCAGTGGGGGGAGGGACTGCATCCCCAGCCCTGTCCCAGTTGTGTGCATTTAGTACGTTTCCTTTTTGTTTGTGCTGCCTGGCACTGGCTGCCCGGTAAATGATGGTGTTTATTATCACCCTGAGCGACGCCGATGTTTTTATATTGACTTTCACGCTCCAGAAGTTAGCTGCACAGGGCCGCACTAAAGTCATACTCACACTACCCTGGGGGACTGGTTTCTGGACAAGGTGTTGAGAAAGGGAGAAAACTCTTCCTTTTAGGATGGTGAGGAAGGAAAGCCGGTCTGAACTGGATGATGAGGTATCACTGGAAGCTTCTGCTTGGGGTCCACCAGACGCTGCACATTTGCCACTCATCTGAACGGGGTCGAGTCGCAGGGCGGGCGCCTTGTAAGCGTCACATTTAGTTTTGCTGTGAAGCGAGTCAGGTGGTGGCTGTAAGATTACCTAGCCAGGTTTTCCTCTCCTGAGACCTCACATCTCTCCTTTCCTTGCTGAGGGATTGTCTTGTGTTAAAGGGGTTTCGTAAAAGCGTTATGCTTTAGCCGCGATTAACCTGAGGTCTTCCTTCAAGCTGGAACATTTCTATTTGTAAGGAATTTAATCCAAGTTTATTTCTCACTGCTTCTCTCTAAGCCTGACCAGTCCCCTCATCCTTTCTGAAACTCGGGGACAAACTATTAGAGAGGGTCAGGAGCATGGAGACCCCCGAGGAGGGTCACACAGCTTTTCCCTACCTCTCCAGTGCTGCAGTCCACTCCAGCTGTGTGAGGTTTTTCTTCTCCTGTGCGCTTGAGTTTCTCTTGTGTGTTTTGAATATCTTCACTGAAATATATGGAAGGGGTACCACAAAAGGCAAAAAATAATTGGGAAGCACCCCCCACTCACATTGTGAATTTGTCCCCAAATGTGTGAGCTCTAGCGTTCCCCCTCCCCCTATTAGTGTCATAGTGGTAAGTGCCTGTAGCCTAGAGAAAGCCACACTGCGCCATTGTTGTCGGGCTGTTTTTGTTGAAAGGTCTATTGAACGCTCAGTTCCATTCATCCGAGACCCCTTTGAGGCAGCCCAGCCCTGCGGTCTGTGTGAAACCTGCAGTGGGACCTGTTGCCTTTGTGACCGAGATAGCCGCTGCCCCTTGCCTGGGGCTGGGCCTGTGTGCGCCATAATTTCTGCTAAAACCGTCTTTGGTACCACTTTTTTTTCTTTGCTTGTTTTCAAATAAAATTCAGAAAAGCACATAGAACAATATTAAATATTGTGTTTCCATCACCCCAAAGTAACACTGGTCATTGCAAGTAACTACCACTCACCTCCTGCGCCCATTGGTCCCCATTCCACATGGAGGCCACAGACTCAATTTGGGTTTCACCTCTTCCAAATTTTGGAGTCCCGATGGCACTAGGCGTCTGTCACGTCACTCACACAGACACTGAAACCACCTGTGCAGAGCTCTAGCTTTCCTGTTTAAACTTGAAGCTCCTCCGGGGTAAGGACTTGCTTTCCTCTATCTACGGCGTCTGGGGAAGGATTGCCAATGATAGGTGCTCGAGAGATGTGCAAGTTGAACTGAAGCAAGGGTGAAAGGCAGAGGAGACAGGAGACTGTGAATGTAGGGAATGTGGGGTCGGGAAAGAGTCCTACAGAGCTTGCAGTCAAGGCGAGTCTACCTGGAATCAGATCTGACAGTTTGTAGCACCTTGAGGGCTTGAGAGAAAAGCCATATTTGAAATAAGTCAGTAAAAGGAATTATAGCTCATGCTCAGCTCACATAAGACTTGATAAATTCAGTTCAGTTCGAAAGATTGCAGGCCTTCATCCCTTATTTCCAAAGAGAGAACTGTAGAGACCCGTGCATGTTTAGACCTGCTACACTATCCAAGAAAAATCGCAGAATTGGCTGGGCACAGTGGCTCACGCCTGTAATCCCAGCACTTTGGGAGGCCGAGGCGGGCGGATCACTTGAGGTCAGGAGTTTGAGACCAGCCTGGCCGACGTGGTGAAACCCCGTCTGTACTAAAAATACAAAAAAATAGCCAAGCACGGTGACGCACACCTGTAATCCCAGCTACTCGGAAGGCTGAGGCGGGAGAATTGCTTGAACCTGGGAGGTGGAGGTTGCGGTGAGCTGAGATCGCGTCACTGTATTCCAGCCTGGTAACAGAGTGAGACTCCATCTCAAAAAAATAAAATAGGCCGGACACAGTGGCTCATGCCTGTAATCCCAGCACTTTGGGAGGCTGAGGTGGGCGGATCACCTGAGGTCAGAAGTTCAAGACCAGCCTGGCCAACATGGTGAAACCCCGTCTCTACTAAAAATAGAAAAATTAGCTGGGCATGGTGGCGGGCATCTGTAATCCCAGCTACTCAGGAGCCTGAGGCAGGAGAATCGCCTGAACCCAGGAGGTGGAGATTGCAGTGAGCCGAGATTGTGCCATTGCACTCTGGCCTGGGCAACAAGAGCGAGATTTCGTCTCAAAAAAAAAAAAAAATGTAGAATTAGGAGGGCTGCGTGATTCAAAAATGGATATGGAAGTCAGATGGCCTTATGGCCACTCTAAGAGCACCTCACCTAAAATCTTGTTAAGCCACGCCCTCCCACCCACCACCCTTTATTTTTTTTCCTTTTGGTGAAACAAGTCCTCACTCTTTCGTCCAGGCTGGTGTACAGTGATGCAATCATGGTTCACTGCAGCTTTGACCTCCTGGGCTCAAGCCAGCCTTAGCCTCCCGAATAACTGGGACAACAGGCGCATACCACCACACCCAGCTAATTTTTTGTTTGTTTGTTTGTTTTTTTGAGACGGAATCTCGCTCTGTCACCCAGGCTGGAATGCAGTGGCGCATCTTGGTTCACTGCAAGCTCCGCCTCCCGGGTTCACGCCATTCTCCTGCCCCAGCCTCCTGAGTAGCTGGGACTACAGGCGTCCGCCACCACGCCCGGCTAATTTTTTGTATTTTTAGTAGAGACGGGATTTCACCGTGTTAGCCAGGATGGTCTCGATCTCCTGACCTCGTGATCCGCCCACCTCGGCCTCCCAAGGTGCTGGGATTACAGGCGTGAGCCACCACGCCTGGCCTTATTTTTGTATTTTTTGTAGAGACAGGGTCTCCCCATATGCCCAGGCGTGTCTCGAACTCCTGGGCTCAAACAGTCCTCCCACCTCGGCCTCCCAAGGTGCTGGGATTACAGGTGCCAGGTACTGCTCCCGGACAGCCCTTTCTCATTTAAGCTTGGTTATTGGTTATTTTTAAAAAATAATTTTTCTTAAGTGCACCTGTCTTTTTTTTTCTCCCTCCTCAAATCCTCCAGGAAATGGCAACTGCTGACAGGAAGTTTGGCATCCACCTCCCCCAGCCTCCTGAGTGGACAGGGGCCCTGGGCACCACTTCAGAGGTCGGCCAGCACACGCTTGGTTTCTGGGGTACAGTAGCCAGCCCGTGGGTCTCTGCAGGCGGAGACTGAAGCACTCTCTGCCTTCCTGCTTTATAGCAGGAGATCTGAGAACTCCATTCACATCCAGTCACAAGGAGCCCTCAGCGCTCTTTCTAGATCTTTTGAGGAGAAACTGTTATTTTTGTTAACCAAACCTTGAGTGGTCAGTGTTTGCAAAGCTTTCCAGTGAGATCTAACCTCATATCATAGTTTTTGTGTGATGTTGAGCCCTGTAATTTCAAGTATGGTCATCCTTGGTATCCTGCGGGAGTTGGTTCCAGGACCCCCAGGATGCCAAAATCCAAGGATGTGTAAGTCCTTGATATAAAGTGGTGTAATGTTTGCATATAACCTATGCACATCCTCCATATGCTTTTAAATCATCTCTAGGTTACAAGGTTACATATAATACCTAATACTATGCACATAGTTGTTACACCGTATCACCTGGGGAATAATGACAGAAAAGAAGTCTGTAGATGTTCAGTACAGATGCAACCATCCTTTTATTTCTGACATTTTGATCTGAGGTTGGTTGAATCCATGGAAGCAGAGCCCGTGGATACAGAGGGCTGACTTCGTTTCTAAACGTCTGGGATCACAGACAGTCCCATTGCTTAGGACTAGTGAGAGAGCATGTGCCACTCACTGGTTTAAATCTCAATTTCAGTAAGCCTCTCTCTCAAATGCATTTAAAAGTTTTTCCAGTTGTTATGAATTCAGCGTTTCACCGGTTTTTAATGTAGATAGTGCTCTAGAAATAGAGCTTTGTGGCAATTCCTTATTAGTTCTTAAGTTTAAGTTTTTACAATAAAAAGTGATTCAAGAGCCAGGTGCGATGGCCCACACCTGTAATCCCAGCACTTTGGGAGGCCGAGGCAGGTGGATCACCCCAGGTCAGGAGTTCGAGACCAACCTGACCAACATGGCGAAACCCCGTCTCTACTAAAAATACAAAATTAGCTGGGTGTGGTGGCGCATACCTGTAATCCTAGCTACGTGGGAGGCTGAGGCAGAAGAATTGCTTGAACCCAGGAGGCGGAGGTTGTGGTGAGCTGAGATTGCGCCATTGCATTCCTCCAGCCTGGGCAACAAGAGTAAAACTCCGTCTCAAAAAAAACAAACAAAAGTTAGCCAGGTGTTGTGGCAGGCACCTGTAATCTGAGCTACTCAGGAGACTGAGGCTGGAGAATCACTTGAACCCAGGAGGCAGAGGTTGCAGTGAGCTGAGATCGTGCCACTGCACTCCAGCCTGGGCGACAGAGCGAGACTCCATCTCAAAAAAAAAAAAAAAAGAATACTTTTAAGGGAAACTAAAGAGCAGCAGAAGTAGTCTGGCGTCTGTAAACTAGTCATACCAGTATTAACTAATGGTGGTATGTGATTTCTCAGTAGATGTTAAGAAAATACTTTTGCTGGGTATGGTGGCTCATACCTGTAATCACAGCACTTTGGGACGCCAAGGTGGGCAGATCACTTGAGCTTAGGGGTTCAAGACCAACTTTGGCAACATGGCAAAACCCTGTCTCTACCAAAAATACAAAAAATTAGCCAGCTGTGGTGGTGGGTGCCTGTAATCCCAGCTACTCAGGAGGCTGAGGTGGGAGGATCACTTGAGCCCAGGAGGCAGAGGTTGCAGTGAGCCAAAATCACGTCACTGCGCTCCAGCCTGGGTGACAGAATGAGACCTTGTCTCAAAAAGAAAAAAACAAAATACTTTTACCCTGTCTAGTTGTGCCAAAATCCTTGCACAGTGACAAGCTTTCAGGTCTGCCATCAGTAATTGGCATGTACTCTGTGCTTGTAGGGCCATGAAGCCCCCAGGAGGAGAATCGAGCAATCTTTTTGGAAGTCCAGAAGAAGCTACTCCTTCCAGCAGGCCTAATAGGATGGCATCTAATATTTTTGGACCAACAGAAGAACCTCAGAACATACCCAAGAGGACAAATCCCCCAGGTATGGGCCTTTGGAAATCCTTAATCCTTTGGCCTCCACGATTCTCTTTTGAAAATATTTTCTGTTTCTTTATACTGATCCTTTCCCATATTGTCTGGTTCAGGTAATCACTTGTTATCAGAGTTCTTCCAAAATGAAAACGTTCTGATTTGTACTTTCTCTCTTGAAGGTGACTTGAGTAGTCTTGAATTCTCCATCTGTTCTGGAGACTTTGGTTGAATACAGGCACTGAGGACACAAAAGTGGACGGGGGCTTCTGGTTCCTGCCAGGGAGCTGCTCCCAATTGTTCCACGGACCCCCATGAGATTCCTGAAATTGCGTGCAAATTATTGTGCATTTAAACATTTTTCCTAGGGAGGGAGAGTGTTTTTATTCAGATCGTCAGTGGGATTGAAACTCTTAACAAGGAAGAATTGATCTAGCACACATCTACATAGTTCTTCAGTATTTACCCAACCTCCTAGTGGTTACAGTAGGAGGGACTCTTTGAAAAAGGTTTCTTGGCCAGGCGCGGTGGCTCATGCCTGTAATCCCAGCACTTTGGGAGGCCAAGGTGTGCAGATCACGAGGTCAGGAGATCGAGACCATCCTGGCTAACACAGTGAAACCCCATCTCTACTAAAAAAGAAAAAAAATTAGCCGGGCGTGGTGGCGGGCACCTGTAGTCCCAGCTACTCAGGAGGCTGAGGCAGGAGAATGGCATGAACCCAGGAGGCGGAGCTTGCAGTGAGCCGGGATCGCACCACTGCATTCTAGCCTGGGTGACAGAGCGAGACTCCGTCTCAAAAAAAAAAAGAAAAAGAAAAAGAAAAAGGTTTCTCAGCCGGGCGTGGTGGCTCATGCCTGTAATCCTAGCACTTTGGGAGGCCAAGGCAGGTGATCATGAGGTCAAGAGTTTGAGACCAGCCTGGCCGACATGGCAAAACTCCATCTGTACTAAAAATACAAAAATTAGCTGGGTGTGGTGGTGCACGCCTATAATCCCAGCTACTCAGGAGGCTGAGGCAGGAGAATCACTTGAACCCGGGAGGTGGAGGTGGCAGTGAGCCAAATTCATGCCACTGCACTCCAGCCTGGGTGACAGCTAGACTCCATCTCAAAAAGAAAAAAAAAAAAAAATAGAAAAAGGTTTCTCTTGGCTGATAGACTGTCCAGTTGAATAACCACCCAGTGGAGGTTACCTGAGTCGCTTTCCCCCGTCTGTACAAGAGGGGAAAGCATGGTCTCTTCCATCCTTAGAAGGTTTGAGAGGCCGTGCTTAGGTGTCACTGTGTCAGGCAGGTCATGAATCAGAGCCAGATCCACTCCCGACCTCACTCCGTTTTGGGGTACCAATATTTATTGACCAAATGTAGAGGAAAAAAAGCAGTAGATCCAGAAACTAGTTTTTTCTTTTGTTTTTAGTCTGTTTTGAGACGGGGTCTCACTCTGTCGCCCAGGCTGGAGTGCAGTGTCACCACCATGACTCACTGCAGCCTTGACTTCCCAGGCTCAGGTGACCCTTTTTCCTCAGCCTCCTGAGTGGCTGGGACTACGGGCGTATGCCACCATGCTTAGGTAATTTTTTTTTGTATTTTTTGTGGAGACAGGGTTTAACCATGTTGCCTAGGCTGGTCTCGAACTCCTGGGCTCAAGCCATCTGCCCACCTCGGCCTCTCAAATTGCTGAGATTACAGACATGCACCCTTGTGCCCGGCCGAAGCTAGGTTTGCTGCTTGCCTTTTTTTGGTCTGTTTGGTTGCTTTTTTGGTTGTTAGAGAAATGAGTGTTTCTTATTAAGTGACTAACATTCTCGTTGTTTCCGGTTTATGAATTTAGGCCCAGGGACTCCTGCATGTCCTTTTTAGCAAGGATAGCAGAATAATATATCGCATGCAAGATAGAATCCTATCTGAGCCATTTCCAGGTGTATGAATCTGCTCATTTGGCCCCTACTCAGCAGAGTCATGTCTGGAGCTGTTCCTAGAGCACTCCATGGAAGGCAGGCGGTACCACTTTGCCCGTTCCACATGGTCTCATGCCCAGTGGGGAGCCCGGCCCCTTGCGGTTAGTGAGCCAGCCTCTACTCCTGGTCACAGTGTGTGGTGCCAGCCATCATGGCTCCCCATGCCAGGTTCCTGCTTCTCATGGTCCTTCTCACGGTTGTTGGGAGTTTTCCTATCTCTCCAGTGCTCTTGGAAGACGGTTTATGGTATATTATCAAGGGAAGCCTGAAAGGGAAACTGCTAGTTGTGTTCACCACCCAACGAGATCTGGAGTCCTGCCTTCTTTCTACACTTAGTCACACAGACCTAGCCCCACAGCCCTCTAGTTGCAGGGCTTGATTGAGAAAAGTATGCAGAGGCCGAGAGTGTGTGTGACCGACCACATCATAGCCATCGAATGTTTATCAATTCCCATTCAGTGTTTCAGTGAATCTTCAGTAGTCTCTGTGTTCTTTGTTAGTCACCTGGTTTAGATGTTCCATGAATTGTTCTTCCTCTTCTAGCAATGATGACCAACGTCTATGAATTGTTAATATTTACCGGGGACTGTGCTAAGTGCTTTGCATGTGTATTTTTCATTTGGTGTTCGCTATAACTAGGAGTAGGTTGTTTTGCTCCTTTCACAGAGGAGGAAACAGGCTTGGAAAAGGTCACTGGCATGCATAAATCCCAAGCTAGTCAGTAGCAGAGCTAGTCGGTAGCAGAACTAGTCCGTAGCAGAGCTAGTCGGTAGCAGACCTAGCCGGTAGCAGTGCTAGTCGGTGGCAGAGCTAGCCTTTGAATTGAGGTTTTTCTGACTCCAGATTCCATGCCTTAAACTGACTTCCTGAATGTATCCACTGGGATAAATTTCTCAAAATGGAATTGGTAGATCAGATGATATATGAGTTTAAAATATGGATAGATAGTTCCAACCGGTTTTTCAGGGCATTGCCTGGTGTTTACCATTCTTGTGTATGTGCTTATTTGCACCAGCAGTATTTATCTTTTAGTTTTGCTTTTAAAAACAAATCTTGTAGGCCAGGTGCGGTGGCTCACGCCTGTAATCCCAGCATTTTGGGAGGCCGAGGTGGGAGGATTGCCTGAGCCCAGGAGTTTGAAACTGGCTTGGGCAACATAGCGAGGCCCAATCTCCCAAATAAATAAATGATATTTTTAAAAACAAAATAACACAGAGCCCTTGGAAATCAAAAATCTAGCAGGAGGAAAAAACATCTCTCGAGTTTATCTTCAATTATTAGTGAATTTAAGCATGTTTTCTTGCTTCAAAGCTGAATTTATTTTTCAAGTAAAATGGTAATAGACATATGTGGTATGACTACCTAGTTATGAAGGTTAAAAGCAGAGGTACATTGTTTAGTACCTATTGCACGTATACGTGGTAAAAATGTTTGTGGTTTCCAAAAAATTCAGGAGTGTGGTAACCTTGGGTGAGAGTGAAGGAACACAGGAGTTTCTGGGAACGGGCACTGTTCTCGATGACTTTGGCAGTGGTTACCTGGTGTCTGCCTTGTAGTTATTTGTGATAGTTAATGTCTTACAGACTTTTCTGTTATGTTTCACAGTTTAACTATTTTTTAAAAATGAGTGATGTCTTTGGCCAAAAACTTCAAATTGAGTTACTTTTATCTTCTATTTTAAAAAGCTGGAGTCACATTAAAAAAAAAAAAAGTCAGCCGTTATAGCACAGCCAGGAACATTGCAGTGGGGGCTGGGGGTTGCACACACAGTTTTATCCGCCCCGTGGTCCTGACGTGCTTGTTGACACAGCCCTGCAGCATTGCTGAGGGCTTACTCAGCAGGCCAGGACTATTCTAACCACGTCACCTGAGTTAACTTGTTTAGCCTCACCAGTGACCCTAGGTAGGTATGATTATTTATTACCTTTTTTTTGTTTTGTTGGTTTTTTGAGACAGGATCTTAGTCTGTCACCCAGGCTACAGTGCAGTGGCACCATCACAGCTCACCGCCTCCAACTTCTGAGCTCAGGCAGTCCTCTCACCTCAACCTTCTGAGGAGCGGGACCAGAGGCTAATTTTAAAATATTTTTGTAGAGACAAGGTCTCACTTGTTTCCCACGCTAGTATTGAACTCCTGGACTCAAGCAGTCCTCCCACCTTGGCCTCCCACCGTGCTAAGATTACAGGTGTGAGCCAGTGCACTTGGACTGTTTGTTACCTTTTTAAAGTTAAGAAGATGGATATGAAGGAAGGTTGACATAACTTGTCCAAGGTCTCACAGTTAGTGAGCAGCTGAGCAGAGACTCCCTGACCCAGGCAGTCTGGCCACAGGACACTCTCCCCACCGTGCTGTGCTGCTCTCCCTGGCCAGGGGTGTCAAGCTTGGGGACTGTGGGTCCCTGGGAGGTCCATGGCTGAGGTTCAGAAGGTTTATCACCCTGAAGTCATGTGAAAAATGTACACATTTCTCTGCAGGGCGAGTCCCGCATATCCCCAGGTGTTCTGTTACCACCTGCAAAAGGTAGACACGCCCGCCCGACCCCCCACTTGCTGTGCTCTGTTATAGTCCTCCTTGTCGCTGCACTCTGGGCCCCTAGAACTGGTGTCCCAGAAAGCCACCCTGCTTTAGGCCCCGCCGCAGCAGTGGGGCCCTCAAGCGGGTCTGAAGACGAGCAGGTGCACAGACCCCCAGCCGAGCCTCATCTCCACGCAAGCACACGTGGGCTCTTCATCCGGTTGCTTCTGTGGAGCAGTGTGGATTGTTAACACTAGGAATTAACTGTTGAATATGTGGTTTTTTCCTGTAACCAAATTGCTGTAACTGTACACTAACCTTGTGTGAGAAAAGTTTGTAGTCCTGCTAAAAGCTCCTCTGTCTCTGCCTATATAAATGAAACCCTAATGTCCCTACTTCAGAACACTGACTCCATTCCTTTGGAGTTGGTGTTTCCAGGTGGGCTATACTCAAGCATTACACATGAATAAACTCTCTTTAAGTTAAATAAATCAATTTACAAAATGTAATTTTTCGAGAACAGAAAATGCAAAAGATCAAAACTCTGTAAACAAAAAAAGGAGACCATGTTAAGCAGTGTGGAGCCCCTGCATTTCCCCAGTCCTGTTTCTTCACACGTGTAGGCATCCCCCACAGGTAACTGCTTTTCTTCAGATAAAAGCAAATAAGAACACTTCCCCTTTTACATGAAAACACTGCATGCTATATGGATTGTTTGCACCCTTGTGTTTTCACTGGATGATATGTATAGATACCTCTTTATCATTGCATAGAAAATAGAGTTGACATGTTTATTTCCATCCCAGACACTGTTGTAAGCATTTGACATATGAGCTACAGTAACTCACTGAGCTTTCTTCCAGTCCTGTGAGGGAGTTCTTTTATTATCCCCATTCTACAGATGAGGACTGTGGGACACAGAAAGGCCAAGTAACTTCCATAGGATCACACAGCAAGTTAGCAGAATGCATCTTCTTTCCTCTTAGATTATAAGTTCTTGGTGCACCAGGGCCATGATTTTAATGACACCAACCTCCATTTAGCATAGCACTTTGTCAAAAGTGGGTGCTTGGTGTCTGCTGAGTGAAGAGATGATCAGTTGGTCCCACAGGGTAGCCATCTTTCTGTGGAATGTTAGGCACGGGCATTTATGCTGAGCATCTAGCCTTTAGTCACCTGCTACTAGGAAGTTACCTCTTAGACGCACATTTTCATTATGGCTTATCAAGTCACTTATAGTTGGCAACAAAGATGTTACATGTGTCTAATTTGCTGACATATCTAGTCACTGGAAGTACCAGCCAGAATGAGGTCAGAAGAATGACTAATAAATATTTTCAGGATGGCAGGTTTCCCTTGAATAGGGCATGTTATTAAATTCAGAACTCTTATCTGTGTGACTTAAACATTTAGCTGTTTATTTTTAATCTACTGAAGAACTTTTCATGGGTTTTGTGAGCAGACACTTCAACAGGAAAGCATGAAATGTTCAGGGTTAAAGAAATTCTAGAGGGAAAATCTGCAGTTTGATGCCATCTCACCTCTAGAGGCCAGCCTAGATCAGCTCAGTTCTAGACATAAGGGCTGCAGGCAGGCCCCTGATCCAGCCATGGTTTTCAGGGGTTTCATGGATCTTCAGGGGTTTCAGTCTGAGCATCCTGCCCTGTTGGCCTGGAGCTCAGGGCTGGCACTCGGGGTTCCTATGAGAGGAGGTCTCCAAAGCACTGCGGGGGTGGGGTGGGGTGGGGTCCGGTGGACGTCTGGTTGCTCAGTGTTCTGTGATCGTTTCTGCAGGGGGTAAAGGAAGTGGTATCTTTGACGAATCAACCCCCGTGCAGACTCGACAGCACCTGAACCCACCTGGAGGGAAGACCAGCGACATTTTTGGGTCTCCGGTCACTGCCACTTCACGCTTGGCACACCCAAACAAACCCAAGGTATGGACTGCATTCAGACGTGACAGCGCAGCAGCGGGTATGCCAGGTGCTCTTTCCAAAAAGGCTCCAAGGCAGATGCGACATGTTTTTAGGGAGAATCATGGTGGGTGCCGTAGATTATCCTGGATGCAAGCATTAGTCATCGAGTTTGGAAGTTCCCCTGAGTCACCCAGGAAACAGTCCAGCCTTGTGCTGACTGAAGCCGTGGGGGAAGCTCTTCTGTGCTGGTGGCGGACGCCCACTGCAGACGGGCTGTGGCGGCTCCTCACTGCAGTGCTGCGGGGCGCGGAGAAGCGGTGGGGAGCGGAACGTGCCGCAGACGAGCTGGGCCCTTGTCCGTCTTCCACTCTTCCTGTTTCACCTTGCAGAGGAAAAGTGACAGTTCTTTTCTGATGGGCTTTTCCCCGCACAGTCAAGGTCCTCGGCTGGTTACCTGTGGAGATTGTCAGCACTTGACTGAAGCGTAGCTGACGCCTCTGACCCAGTAATGGCATCAGTAGGATAAGACAAGTGGCCTGGAAAGGAGAGGAATGCCTACACGATGCGACCTCGGGCATGGCCTTAGCAGGGATTGATCAGAGCTGCAGCCTCCCTGGGCTATGGTGGAGGGCTTGCCTAAGGCCAGTCTCGGCTTTCGTGAGGACCAGAGCCTGCACTACCCTAGCTTGGACATTTGTTTGAATGGTGGCAGAACATTTCTAGGGTTTACTGCAGCCACCGTTCATCAGTAAGAAAGACCAGGATTTATTACTAACATAATTAGCGATATTTTTTCATCTATTCACTTTTCTACCTTTTTTGTGGTTAAAAGATATGGTCTGGTTCCTTAAAGTGGAAAATTCTTAACCATTTCTGGAGTTACTTAACGCCTAGAAAACTGCTGCATGTTTATTGGTTTATATGCTGGAAGATGGCCCATTGCAGAATTAAAATGGAAATGTAGACAGAAAGGAGAGGACATGAGTGGATGAGGGCATTGATCGCGGCCAGCCTGGTTTGGATTGCCCTACATCTCTCTTGTGCTGGCATCTCTGCAGCGACATCTCTTTCCAGTGTATAGAGTCTTATATAGGACCTGTTAGACTCTGCTGAGGTTTGGTCGTGTTTTTTCGTTTTATTTTGTTTTTTCTTTGAAATAGAGTCTCATTCTGTTGCCCAGGCTGGAGTGCAGTGGCACGATCTCAACTCACTGCAGCCACTATCTCCTGGGTTCAAGCAATTCTGCCTCAGCGTCCCGAGTAGCCAGTGTTACATGCATGCACCACCACGTCCGGCTAATTTTTGTATTTTTAGAAGAGACAGGGTTTCACCATGTTGGCCAGGCTGGTCTTGAACTCCTGTCCTCCAGTGATCCACCCGCTTCAGCCTCCCAAAGTGCTGGGATTACAAATGTGAGCCACTGTGCCCTGCCATGCTGTCTGAGTTATTTTCAAGAGAGCATCTATTTGGGAAGTATCTTTGGGGGCTTTACTACAAGGTGAACTTTGGCAAGACCAGAAATGTCCCAAAAGTCAGCAATTCCTCTACTACGTAAAGCACTCGAATTAGCCGGACACGAGAGCAAGGTGCTTCCTGCTGAGACTCACACTTTCCAGTGAACGTAGATCAGGTAGAGGACTGTAGGACATCAGTACAACTGGGCATAGAACAAGTGGAAACAGAGTAGAGCTTTCTTTGATTTTCTAATAAAGTTCTTTTGGTCCAGGACCATTGGACATCGCTAGCATCACCAGAGAAATGACTAATTCCAGGTCAGGGTCAGGGAATATACAAAATAAGCGTAGAATATCTCGTAATGCCAGAAAATGAGGAAGCCCTTACAGGCTGCTAGGGTGGTGTCAGAGGACTTGGGGAACAAGGTGAAGAGCAGCCATGGGGCCAGAGATGGGACCATTTGATTATCAAAAAGTGAAATAATTGCAGTGGATTTAAATTCACCAACTGTTCAGAATTCCCGGCTTCCTATTGATACTAAAAGTAATGTAATTTACGACCTTGGGAGAATGCTGGAGGACCGGCTCGTCACTGCGAAAGCGGGCAGATGACAGAAGGGGGCATTTAGCCAGCATTTCCTGCATGAAGTGTGTGTTAGGATAGCAGCTGTTGAAAGAAAGTTCCCTTTTATAAAAGTTTCTGGGATGTAAGTGAAGAAGGAATAAAGGAATTAGAATATCACTGTTTTATAAACTTGTACTGAAATCGTGGATCTGAGAAAATGTTCATCAGTGGCCGTTAACATCACAAAATGAGAGAGAACCAACACTTATGGGCCTGGGAATGGAAATCCACCATGGGCCCCCATTGACGCTGTTTCGTCAAAAAAATCAAGCTCAAATCAGACCAAGCCACATATTAATTAACACCACAGAGCTGCGCTCAGAACAATGGCTTACATAGGAAACAACATGACGAGAATAGAGGGAGGTCCTGAGGATTAAAGAGAGACAAGAATGTAGCCCTATAAGAGTCCTAATGGTGTTTTATTCTGTAATGGGAAAAAAGTCCTATAATTCATATGGAATTTCATGGTACCCCAAGTATCCAAAAATAATAATAATTGAAAAAGATGTTGGAGCTCTTACTTCCTGCTCTCAAATCTTACTGCAAAGCAACGGTAATCCAAACAGCATGGCACTGGCATGAAGACAGACACACTGACCAGTGGAGTCAAGTTGAGAACTGAGAAATAAAGCCTTCCAAAGGGCTTTTTTTTTTTTCACAAGGGTGCCAAGATCATCCAGTGGGGAAAGAACAGTCTCTTTAGCAAATGGCATTGGTACAATTGCATATGCACATGCAGAAGGATAAAAGCTTACTCTTTCTTACACCATACACAAGAATGAACTCAAAATGGATCGAAGACCTAAAGTTAAGGGCAAAAACTATAAAATTCTTAGAAGAAAATATAGGGACAAATCTTCATGACCCTGGATTTGGCAATGGAGGTTTAGATATGACACCAAAAACAGAGGCAACAAAATTAAAAATAAATTGGGCCGTGCATGGTGTCTCACACTTGTAATCCCAGTACTTTGGAAGGCCAAGGTGGGAGAATCACTTGAGCCCAGGAGTTCCAGACCAGCCTGGACAACATAGAGAGACCTCAACTCTAAAAAAACTTTTTTTTAACTAGCTGGGGGCTGGGTACAGTGGCTCATGCCTGTAATCCCAGCACCTTGGGAGGCCGAGGCAGGCGGATCACCTGAGGCCGGGAGTTCGAGACCAGCCTGACCAACATGGAGAAACCCCGTCTCTACTAAAAGTATAAAATTAGCCGGGCCTGGTGGCACATGCTTGTAATCTCAGCTACTCGGGAGGCTGAGGCAGGAGAATCGCTTGAACCCAGGAGGTGGAGGTTGCAGTGAGCTGAGATCGTGCTATTGCACTCCAGCCTGGGCAACAAGAGCGAAACTCCGTCCCAAAAAAAAAAAAAAAAATCAGTTGCGTATGGTTGCGTGCACCTGTGGTCCTAGTTACCTGGGAGGCTGAGGTGGGAAGATTGCTTGAGCCCAGTTGTTCAAGGCTGCAGAGAGCAGTGATTTTGCCATTTGCACTCCAGCCTGGGTGACAGAATGAGATCCTGTCTCAAAAAAATTATAAAAAGCCTAGGCATAGTGGCTCATGCCTATAACCCCAGCACTTTGGGAGGCTGAAGCAGGCAGATTGCTTGAGCCTAGGATTTTGAGACCAGCCTGGGCAGCATGACAAAACCCCTTCTCCACAAAAATACAAAAAATTACCCGGGCATGGTGGTGCACACCTGTGGTCCCAGCTGTTCAGGAGGCTGAGTTGGGAGGATCACTTGAGCCCAGGAGGCAGAGGTTGCAGTGAGCTAAGATCATGCAACTGCACTCCAGCATGGGCAACAAGCAAGACTGTCTGAAAAAATAAGTAAATAAATAGGTCTTCATTAAAGTTATAAACTTCTGTGCATCAAAGGACACTATAAAGAATGAAAACAGGCCAGGCACAGTGGCTAACACCTGTAATCCCATCACTTTGGGAGGCCGAGGTGGGCAGATCACCTGAGGTCAAGAGTTCGAGACCAGCCTAGCCAACATGGTGAAACCCCATGTCTACTAAAAATACGAAAACTAGCCGGGCATGATGGTGGATGCCTGTAATCCCAGGTACTCGGAAGACTGAGGCAGAAGAATCAACTGAACCTGGGAGGCTGAGGTTGCAATGAGTTGAGACTGCGCCATTGCACTCCAACCTGAGTGACAGAATGAGACTCTGTCTCAAAAAAACAAAAAACAAACAAAAAAGCCTGGGCACAGTGGCTCACACCTGTAATCCCAGCAATTTGGGAGGCTGAGGCAGGCGGATCACGAGGTCAGATCAAGACCATCCTGGCTAACATGGTGAAACCCCGTCTCTACTAAAAATACAAAAAAAGTAGCTGGGCGCCTGTACTCCCAGCTACTCTGGAGGCTGAGGCAAGAGAATTGCTTGAACCCAGAAGGCAAAGGGCGCAGTGAGCCGAGATTGCGCCACTGCACTCCAGCCTGGGCAACAGAGTGAGACTCCGTGTCAAAAAAAAAAAAAAGTGAAAAGATAACTCGCAGAATGGGAGGAAATATTTGCAAATCATTTCTGATAAGGAGTTACTATCCAGAATACATAAAGAATGCCTACAACTCAACAACGAAATAACAAACCCAATTCAAAAATGGTAGTGGACTTGAATATACATTTCTCCAAAGAAGAGATACAAGCAGCCAAAAACCACCCGAAAAGATGGTCAGTGTTATTAATAACTGGGGACATGCACATCAGAAACCCGTGAGATGCCAGTGCATGCCTGTTCGGATGGTGTGATGTAAAAATGGAAAATACGAGTTGGTGAGGATGCAGAGAAACTGGAGCCCTCGTGCATTGCTAGTGGGATTGGAAGATGGTGCAGTGGCTGTGGATACTGCCAGTTCCTCAGAGTTAAACAGGATTACCATATGACCGAATAATTCCACTCTTAAGTACGTACTCACAAGATTTGAAAACAAGGAGTCAAACACTAGATCCTTGCACCAGGATTATTCACAGTAGCCCAAGGGCGGGAATGACTCATTTGTCCATCAACAGATGAATGGGTAAACAACATGTGGTCTGTCCATACAATGGAATATTACTCAGCCATAGAAAGGAATGGAGCATTGACACACGCTACAGCATGGATGAAATTATTATGGATGAAATATTACAGCATGGATGAAATATTATGCCAGTATTTAAAAATTTGACTTTGAGGCTGGGCACAGTGGCTCACGCCTATAATCCCAGCACTTTGGGAGGCTGAGGCACGCAGATCACTTGAGTCCAGGAGTTTGAGATGAGCTGGGCAACGTGGCAAAACCCTGTCTCTACAAAAAATAGAAAAATTAGCCAGGTGTGGTGGCTCACGCCTGTAGTCCCCACTACTCGGGAGGCTGAGATGTGAGGATCGCTTCAGCCCAGGAGGCAGAGGCTGCAGTGAGCCAAGATCATGCCACCGCACTCTAGCCTGAATGACTGAACAAGACTCTTGTCTCCAAAAAAAAAAAAAAAATTGACTTTGATATTTAAGGAATCATTAATATTCGCAGTTTTGAGGGTGCTACTGTTATTTTTTAAAGGATGTTTTAAGAGCTACATCTTGAAATATGTATGGATAAATGAAATATCAGGTTTGTTTCAGAATAGTCTGTAGAGGATTGGGGGGGTCCTGAGGTCAGATATACAAGCATTTTTGTAAATTAAAAGGTTATATGGTCCTGATTTTCATTGTCCATTTGAATGAGGGTAAAATTTTCTGAGTGAGTCCTGATTTGGTGGTTTGCCTTGTTGCAGGATCATGTTTTCTTATGTGAAGGAGAAGAACCAAAATCGGATCTTAAAGGTGAGCTTTTGTTTTCTTTCCCTTCTCCTGAGTGGCCTCATTATTTCTGGAAGAGTTGCTAGTCTCTCCTCTGGGAATGAAAAGGAGTCTTTCTTTGCACCTTCTGGGCCACCTGATTAAAACGAGCTCAGGTGTATCCACTGCAAGAGGATTCAGCATTTGAAGAAGGCTAGGGTGAAACCCTGGGACTTGGTTGTCTTGCTCATCAGCCTAGGCCCAGGGCCATGGGGTCGTCTCCTAGAAGCTCATCTGTGTAGTGATGGGCAGGGATCCCAAACCTTCAGTGAACTCATGACCAAGCATAGAGCTGGCAGAACTAATCGAGAAGAGAGGGGCACAAGAGAGGGATGGAGGATGGGGAGGCGGGTGTCTCCATGGTGAGTCACCCCGGGGGAGTGAGCCACTGCTCAGGTTGAGCGGCAGACTTCGACTCTCCCCACGGCTCTTTAGCCTGACCATGGGCATCGGTTTCTGCCTTTGGGTCTCCATTTCCCTTAACTAATGACCAAGATTTGTGGGATTTCATTCACCTTTGAAAAGCCCAGGGTAACAGCAACAGAGCCTGCCTTTGCCTTGCTAAGCCCTCACCTAGGATGCATTCCCTCGCCGCCTCATGGTCACTCTCAGGGGCTTGCTTTCTATACTTGAGATGGAAGAAATGGGAGTGGTGTCTAACAAGCAATATAAAGAAA
Source organism: Homo sapiens (assembly GCF_000001405.40). Lineage (NCBI taxonomy): Eukaryota > Metazoa > Chordata > Mammalia > Primates > Hominidae > Homo > Homo sapiens. The sequence continues at coordinate 1,698,553 of NC_000016.10, forward strand.
CAATTCACTTAGGAAGAAATCAAGGAGTATTTACAGTAGCAAGCCCCAACTTTATGCCCATTTCAAAACTGCATCTGCTAATTACAGTGAGTTGTTTTGGTACCAGATGAAAAGCCTGTCTATATTGTCTTCTCTTTCCCAGTTACAGCATGAATTTCTTGCAGGTTGCTCTATGACACACTTTTTATTTCCACAGCCTGCCTGTCAGGGTCATGGGTTGCCTCTAATGGGATGTTGTTCTAACTTTGTGTCCCACAGCTGCAAGGAGCATCCCGGCTGGAGCAGAGCCAGGTGAGAAAGGCAGCGCCAGAAAAGCAGGCCCCGCCAAGGAGCAGGAGCCCATGCCCACAGTCGACAGCCATGAGCCCCGGCTGGGGCCGCGGCCTCGCTCTCACAACAAGGTCCTGAACCCACCGGGAGGCAAATCCAGCATCTCCTTCTACTAAGAGAAGCCACTGCTCCACCCGGAGCCAGACCAGAAACTCAAGAGATAGGGTAGCCATGTTTTCATTTCCTTTTGCCCAAATGAGCGGGGTGGGAAGAGGGTTAGTCTTATGTGAGCCTGGCTGCTCAGCGTCTCCTGGCCGTCATGACAGCTGCTTGGAGACCCGTGCCTTCCAGATGGCTGGGAGATGCCTCTGTGGGGATGAAATGGGGCACCCCTGGCCATCACTCATGTGTAGTCCAGGTTTGAGAGGAACTGGAAGGGGGGTGAGGGTGGGGAGGTGGGGCAGGGCATGGTCCTTGGATCAACAGCCCGCCAGCTGATTGGATGTCTAGGAATGACTGAAAGAAACCAAAACAGCCTGTCCACTGCTGCTGTGGGATGGAGGAGGCGTAAGCAGAAACACTAACAGTATATTGACCTCTTAGCAGAACCGCTTCCATTCTGGAGATCACGGCTGCTAAATCCAGCATCCCCACTTCATTTTACCCCCAGCATATTGTTCTGTAGTCTTTTCTTGAAACATCTTGATTGCTTTTCCTCGGCAGCTTTCAAAAAACCAAATAATAATAGTTATCCGTCTTCTACTTCATGGAAGATTGTTTTGGTGCCCTGACCCTCTGAAGTGCCCAGTTCCTGCCATCTGAAACCTCGGCCTGATCTGATCTCATGTTGGAATCTGCCTGTCTTTCACACAGGGCTGGTCTTGGTCCTTTACATGCCAGTTTTGCTTGTGAATTCTTGCTTTTTTCCTCTCATCAGCCTTAAGTTTAGGCGTTTGTTGTTCTCCAGTGATGTAGACAGTTCCCTTCACAAGTCACAGTTCTTCCCATAAATGAGGCCCGCTGACCTCTGCGGGACTTTAAAAATCTATTCAGATATTTCCGAGTAAGTGGCTTGTTTAAATTCTTCCTGTGTCTTTCTTTATTCCTTAATTGGTTGGTGGAAAGAAGAGATGCTTGGGAACCTTGGGTTCTTAGGTTTGGATTCTTTAATAATATCTAAAAAGCTAAATTTTAAATACCAGCTTTACATAAATGATTGTTGACTCTGGTCTGTTTCTGACACCTTTCCAGAAAAAAGTCAATTGTTCAGGTACACCAAAGAGGAAGAAGAGCTGTGGAGGCCACCCTCTACAAAGCTTTATAGAACTTCTGGATCTAACTCACAAACAAGCTTCCAGAAGAGACTAGAGACCTTAGGCCAGGAGATGAAGGAGTTCAGTAGCAAAGTCACACCTGTCCAATTCCCTGAGCTTTGCTCACTCAGCTAATGGGATGGCAAAGGTGGTGGTGCTTTCATCTTCAGGCAGAAGCCTCTGCCCATCCCCCTCAAGGGCTGCAGGCCCAGTTCTCATGCTGCCCTTGGGTGGGCATCTGTTAACAGAGGAGAACGTCTGGGTGGCGGCAGCAGCTTTGCTCTGAGTGCCTACAAAGCTAATGCTTGGTGCTAGAAACATCATCATTATTAAACTTCAGAAAAGCAGCAGCCATGTTCAGTCAGGCTCATGCTGCCTCACTGCTTAAGTGCCTGCAGGAGCCGCCTGCCAAGCTCCCCTTCCTACACCTGGCACACTGGGGTCTGCACAAGGCTTTGTCAACCAAAGACAGCTTCCCCCTTTTGATTGCCTGTAGACTTTGGAGCCAAGAAACACTCTGTGTGACTCTACACACACTTCAGGTGGTTTGTGCTTCAAAGTCATTGATGCAACTTGAAAGGAAACAGTTTAATGGTGGAAATGAACTACCATTTATAACTTCTGTTTTTTTATTGAGAAAATGATTCACGAATTCCAAATCAGATTGCCAGGAAGAAATAGGACGTGACGGTACTGGGCCCTGTGATTCTCCCAGCCCTTGCAGTCCGCTAGGTGAGAGGAAAAGCTCTTTACTTCCGCCCCTGGCAGGGACTTCTGGGTTATGGGAGAAACCAGAGATGGGAATGAGGAAAATATGAACTACAGCAGAAGCCCCTGGGCAGCTGTGATGGAGCCCCTGACATTACTCTTCTTGCATCTGTCCTGCCTTCTTTCCCTCTGCGAGGCAGTGGGGTGGGATTCAGAGTGCTTAGTCTGCTCACTGGGAGAAGAAGAGTTCCTGCGCATGCAAGCCCTGCTGTGTGGCTGTCGTTTACATTTGGGAGGTGTCCTGTATGTCTGTACGTTGGGGACTGCCTGTATTTGGAAGATTTAAAAACCTAGCATCCTGTTCTCACCCTCTAAGCTGCATTGAGAAATGACTCGTCTCTGTATTTGTATTAAGCCTTAACACTTTTCTTAAGTGCATTCGGTGCCAACATTTTTTAGAGCTGTACCAAAACAAAAAGCCTGTACTCACATCACAATGTCATTTTGATAGGAGCGTTTTGTTATTTTTACAAGGCAGAATGGGGTGTAACAGTTGAATTAAACTTAGCAATCACGTGCTCAGAGCTTTTGCCTGTCAGTTGTGTGTGTCCCTTATAGTCCCTTCCCCCACAGCTCTTGCTGAAAGAGTTTGCCTTGTTTTGTTTTGTTGTTTTGTATTTAGCCAGAGGATGCCAAAATTAGTCTTCTCAAAGCTTTGAGTAGAGTAAGTGTGGGAATAAGCCAGTTTTTTTTTTTCTGTTTCTGTAACTTAAATGAACGGGTTTTTTTCCCTTGTATGCCACTTGTCCTAACATGTCCTTAAGGTGTTTAACCTGCCTCTGACCTGGCTTGCAATGCATAGGTGAGGAGAAGCAGAGAGCTTGTCATATGCAAGTCCTGTCAAGAAAACAGGTGGGCATGGTGGCTCAGGTCTGTAGTCTTTGGGTCTTTGGGAGGCCAGGGTGGGAGGATCACTTGAGCTCAGGAGTTTGAGACCAGCCTAGACAACATACTACGACCCTGTCTATACAAAAAAAAACTTCTCTAAATTAGCCGGATGTGGTGGTGCATGCCTGTAGTCCCAGCTACTCGGGAGGCTGAGTGAGGCAGGAGGATCACTTGAGACCAGGAGGTTGTGGCTGTAGTGAGTGATGATCATGCCACTGCACTTCAGCCTGGACCACAGAGCAAGACCCTGTGTAAAAAAATAAAATAAAAAACAGATTGGATGTCTTTCTTCTGATGTATTAGCTATTTTCATATGTTTTCTAACATACTTAATATCCTTACAGGCATTATGTGGATTCAGGGTAAACTTCTCAGACTGTGAGCCTGAGAGTTCCTCTCTAGGAGGCTCCACACCATTCTGCCTGCTAGATCGGGGCCAGATGAGATGAAAGTCAACGCTTGAGAAAGAAAACCAACATGCATTAACTGAAACACCGTCTTCACTTGTTCATCCACAGGGTATAGAGCGAGTTCCAAGAACCAGGCTAGGAAATGACACGCTAAGTTTCCTATTTCTAGCAGCTGCCAAGGCCACCAGCAAGCATGGGAACCTCTGGGAGTCACAGCTCCTCCGTCTCCAGAGGCCTGGCAGTGGCCAAGTCTAGAAGGACGCGGGTGCCACCTGGTACAGGGTGAGGGTGTGAATAACAGACCCCGAAGGGTTGCCACCTCGAGCCCCGTGCCTTGTCCAGGAATACACAGGCTCTTTTGATGTCAGGTAACTTTGCCATATGATCTTTGTGGTGTACCTGGTAGGTCACACCCTGTGAGTGTGTAGATGCCTCCTCCCGTGCTGGCTGCTTAATTTCTTCTGCACTCATAATCCTGACCATCTTGAAGATCATCACTGAAATACTCCTGTGTAATGTGTGGCTACAAAGTGCTATCTAAAGATGCTCTCTCAAACTCAGCTCATGAAGATGAGAGGAACATCACAGGGAACTGTGTGGCTTCTTAGCAGGCATCAGGGCAGATACTTAGAAATTAAAGTTGAATTTTAGAAACTTACATTTTATATTTTAATGCCCATCTTACATTTTAAGGTATTTTAGTGAGAAAAAGTTGCATCCCAAATAGTATTTCTGAATCTGAAAGGAAGTCAACTCCTCTGTTACTAGAAGTTCGTTCTTCTTTTTTTTTAGACAGAGCCATTCTGTCACCCAGGCTGGAGTGCAGTGGCACAATCTGCTCACTGCAGCCTCAACCTCCCAGGCTCAAGTGATCCTCCCACCTCAGCCTCCCAAGTAGCTGGGACTGCAGGCATGCACCACCACGCCTGGCTGATTTTTTTTTTTTTTTGGTAGAGTCTGGGTTTCACTATGTTGCCCGGGCTGGTCTCAAGCTTCTGGATTCAAGCGATCCTCCCTCCTTGGCCTCCCAAAGTGCTGGGATTACTGGTGTAAGCCACTATGCCCAGCTGTAAGCAGTTCTAATTCAGCACCAACTTTCAGGAGAAGACCAGTTGTATGATTCCATAAGTGTCAAGAATTATCCAGCACCTTGTTAAAATTTCATTTTAACCAACTTAAAGTAACAAATCTGTGCAATCATGGTAGTGATAATTAATCAATTGAGTTGATGGCCAAGTCTGTTGGCCTCTCCCTGTGGTAGCATTGTTCCTACTGTAGTGTGCTACCTCAGGAATTCAAAGGGCTCAAGTTTCTCAAAGGTATAAAGCAGAAGCTTTAAACATCCCCCAAAATGCAAGCTTGCTCTAACTTGTTCACCAGGAAGAATTATAGATTACATCTGTTTGCCCAGCCTTATCATTTTCACTTTATGGAACCTCACAACTCTCCGTAACCTTTATCGCACGTTATTTGCTGGAGATGGCGCCATGCTCCTTTCATGGATTAGCTGACATTCCTAATAGGCTGGATATTTTAGGCTGTTTTGCAGGCTTAGAAACAGAGATTTGGGGCCAGGCACGGTGGCTCATGCCTGTAATCCCAACACTGGGAGGCTGAGGTGGGTGGATCACCTGAGGTCAGGAGTTTGAGACCGGCCTGACCAGTATGGTGAAACCCCCATCTCTACTAAAAATTACAAAAATTAGCCAGGCGTGGTAGCACATGCCTGTAGTCCCAGCTACTCGGGAGGCTGAGGCAGGAGAATGGCTTGAACACGGGGGGCGGAAGTAACAGTGAGCTGAGATGGTGCCACTGCACTCCAGCCTGGGCCACAGACTGAGACTCCATCTCAGGAAAAAAAAAAAAAGAAAAGAAAAGAAATGGAGATTTGGCAAAATTAAGTCACTTGGGATCCCAGGAAATTGGAATCTGAGGCTGAATGAAACCTCTTAGTGGGATGGTTGAACATGTATACGGCAAATTATGTTGCAAGTGGAAAATGTGAAAAACACAATAGAGCCTGGCATGGTGGCTCACACCTGTCATCTAAGCACTTTGGGAGGCCAAGGGGGAGGATCGCTTGAGGCCAGGAGTTCAAGACCAGCCAGAGTAACAGTGAGACCTCTGTCTCTACAAAAATGTTTTTAAAATTGGCCAAGCAGTGGTGGCTTACACCTGTAGACCCAACTACTTAGGAGGCTGAGGTGGGATCACTTGAGCCTAAGAGTTCAAGTGAGCCCTGATCATGCCAGTGCCTCCAGCCTGAGCAACAGGGTGAGACCCTGCCTCTAAAAACTGAACAACAAAAAAAATCAGTAGGGTGTCAGCTACGGGAGTTACTGTTTCGGTGCAATCAGATTAGGATGAGAGGATCTGAACTGATGAGCATTGCAGTAGGTGAAAGACGGTAAGTGGCCATTTCTATTAGCATTAAATAGTCACTGATGTGGTTTCATCAGGATTCACAATACATGTGTGGCTCCCAAATTGAGTTTCAAAGTCTTGGGTTCATGGTGTCCCCTGCCCAGCAAAATAAAGTGCAAATCTTACGGAGCAACACATTTTAAGTTCAGGCCTCAAGTACTTCCAGAGACAAAAGTCCTGGGGACACTGGCTCAGAATGGGGGAAAGGGGACCCTGGGCCAAGAGTCAACCAGGATGACATGCAGAATCAGACCTGCAAGGGCTGCAGATACTGTAGTTATGAGGCACACCCAACGCTTAAAGATAAATATGTGGTTGGAAGTATAAGAGCCTATTAAAACTGCTAGAATATAAGAAATCAAATAGGACAAAAACAGAATCATTGGCAGGGTGCAGTGGCTCACGCCTGTAATCCCAGCACTTTGGGACGCCGAGGGAGGCGGGTGGATCACTTGAGGTCAGCAGTTCAAGACCAGCCTGGCCAACATGGTGAAACCCCGTCTCTACTAAAAATACAAAAAAATGAGCCGGGCGTTAATAGCGCGTGTCTGTAGTCCCAGCTACTCAGGAGGCTGAGGCAGGAGAATCGCTTGGACCCAGGAGGCGAAGGTTGCAGTGAGCCGAGATCGCGCCATCACACTCCAGCCTGGGCGACAAGAGCGAAACACCGTCTCAAAAAAAAAAAAATCGGTGCAATTAATAACCCAGTGGATGGGTTAAACAGATTGCACGTAGCTGAAAAGTAACCGAAAATCTGGACTGGCGCGGTGGCTCACGCCTGTCATCCCAGCACTCTGGGAGGTCGAGGCGGGCGGATCACTTGAGATCAGAAATTTGAGACCAGCCTGGCCAACATGGCGAAACCCCGTCTCTACTAAAAATACAAAATTAGCTGGTCTGTAATCCCAGCTACTCCGGAGGCTGAGGGAGAAGAATCACTTGAACCCAGAAGGCGGAGCTTGCAGTGAGCCAGGATCGCGCCACCGCACTCCAGCCTGGGCGACAGAGCAAGACTCCATCTCAAAAAAAAAAAAAAAAAAGAAAATCTGAAGCAGTCAGTGCAGTAGGGAGAAGTGGGCGAAAGGAAGGAGGCCACGCTGCTGGGTTTCAGGATGAGATGGGCGTTGAGGGTGCATTCACAGAATCCCGGGAGGAGCCAGCTGAGCGGGGAAGGCATCAGGAGAGGGGAGGCACTGAGCGGGGCGCGGTGCTGTAGGGAACGGAGGCTCATCAGGGCGGCCGGGATTGAGGCGCAGGCGCTGAGCCTTCACCTAAGTCCGCCGAAGTGTGCAGAGCCTGGAGACGGGATCGAGGTCACCGGAAGCCCACGGTTGCGGGGACATGATCAAGCTACAGCGCGCTGGGGGAAGCGACCACTGCCGCCCCGCGGATCCCACCGGCCTGGCCGGGAGCTCCCTCTGCCCGGCTCACCCGCGCTTCCGGCCCGAAGCCCGGCTTCCTCTGACGTCACGGCCCCTGCGCCCCCTGGCGGCGCGGCTGCGGCGGGACGCGCGGGCACCGCCCCCTCCGGCTGGAGGGCGGGACTTCCGGTGAGTGAGTGACGGGCGCAGCCTCGGCAGCGGCGGCGGCGGAGCCCTGAGGCGACAGCAGCTGCGGGAGGCGACGGGCTGCGGCCTGCGGAACCTGAGGCAGCTGGGGAGGGCCGGGCGCGCCGGCCGGATAGCGAGCCGCGCTGGCGGCGGCGGTGGCCGCGATGATGGAGATCCAGATGGACGAGGGCGGCGGCGTGGTGGTGTACCAGGACGACTACTGCTCCGGCTCGGTGATGTCGGAGCGGGTGTCGGGCCTGGCGGGCTCCATCTACCGCGAGTTCGAGCGCCTCATCCACTGCTACGACGAGGAGGTGGTCAAGGAGCTCATGCCGCTGGTGGTGAACGTGCTGGAGAACCTAGACTCGGTGCTCAGCGAGAACCAGGAGCACGAGGTGGAGCTGGAGCTGCTGCGCGAGGACAACGAGCAGCTGCTCACCCAGTACGAGCGTGAGAAGGCGCTGCGCAGGCAGGCGGAGGAGGTGCGTGGGCCGCGGGACCCGCCCGCATCCCCGTCCCGGACCCCCAGCCAGCCCCGGGCCCCGGACCCAACACCCGTCCCGACCCCAGACCCCGCTCCGGCACCCCGGACCGCGGGACCCCTGGACCCCCAGACCCCGCCCCGAGACCCGCCTGGACCCCATATCCCCCGCCCCGGGACTTCCCCACCCCCTCTGCCCGCCGTGAGACACCTCCCTAGAGCACTCCCCCGCCTGCCCCGGGACCCCACCCCGACTCCCGGGGACCCCCTTTTCCGCCCAGGCCTGGGCCCTGGCCCCCTCCTCCGTGCCCCCAGCCCTGAATCTTCAGCCCCAAACCCGATGTGCCTGGCGTCATCCCCGGGGAGCTCAGCTTCAAAGCCAGGCCTCACTCTCCCCTCCCCACCCACCTCTGCATGACAATTGCCTTTGCTTTCGTGCGTGTGTTCAGTCAAAACCGTTTCCCGACCCCAAGTGCTACCTCTGTTGGCTGCCATTCTAAACCCATCTAGAAAAGGAATCTTTTGGTGTTCTTAGGGGGCTGCAGCCGTCTGTGGATGATGTTGGAGACCTTTCCCTTGTCCCTAATCCCGTATTTTGAAGGTCTGTGACACGGGTGAATTGGGTGGTTGATGTAAACACAGAACAAGGCCGCAGGCGGGCTGCTCCTCTGTCAGCAGAAGGAACACTCGAGTTTCTGGAGGTGATGTCTTTGCCCCCTTGGTTCCTTGCTTGGCGAGATTGTTAGCTGATGTAGCCAGGGCTGAGAAACTCCACTCTGGCTTCTGAGGAGTTAACAGTCTGAGTTTGAAGCGTTTAATTCTGTGCTAGGATGTCTCCATAACCTGGAAATCGCTTGTCTGTGAAGCAGTTACAAGAGCCGGGCCCTGTGGGGAGCACCACTTAGCTTCATTCATTCACCGTCAGATACTGAGCTCGGCCTGCCTGTGTGTGGGCCCAGAACCTCGCCCTTTGTCAGAAACAGGTTCAGGGAGGCTGGTTCCCATCCCTGCTTTGCCTCTGTGACCTTGGCCTGTCGCCTGCCTGGGGTTCGATTTTCCATCAAAGGAGTGAATTGCACTAGGCGATCTCCAAGCCCAGAAATTCTCTCATTCTAGGAGTTAGGTAATGCTGTTTGACTTATGAATAGAAGTGTCTTAGGAAATGAGCTTCAATTCCTTTTCAATTAATTCGGCTTAACACATTCTTGACTTTAATAGGAAAATAAAAGATTGTGTCAGTATTTTGGCTTTTTCTGAAACCAAGGTGATTTATGGCCTAGTTTGGTTTAAAGCGTGTTTATAAAAATCATAACAGTATGTTGTATCATTCCTCCTTTCCTGTGGTTTCTATTGCGTTTGGGCTTCGTGTCTGTCGCGAGGTGGTTATGCATTGATTGGAATGCCCCGGTTCCAGCAAAGCTGAGTTAAAGCTCTCAACCTAAGGGAACGCAAAGGTTCATGGATTTTGGAGCTCAGGGTGACTATAGGCATTTTACTGGGAAGGAAACTTGTCCTGAGAAGTGGAGGGGCTGAACCAAGGTCACCCACCCCAGAAGTGCCCAGCCAGGATGCAGAGTGAACCCGACACCGGCCTGGGCACTTGCTTCCATGTCAGGCAGCTGCAGGCACCGGAGGGCTGCTCCCCAGAAGCCTGGAGTGCCAGGGCTGCCCTCGCTCAGCTGTGGAGCTGTGGCTGCCCCCTGTGCTGGGCACCGCCCTCCACTGCTCTCCCACACTCAGTGGCCTGACCTGGATTTCAGGTGGGTTTCTTTTTTTCACCTTGTACCTGTGTGGTCAGTATAGTGGACGAGAAGGAACTGAAAGGAGAAAATCAAGATGGACAACGTTAAGGCTAGGAATTATAACCTTGCCGCTTAAAAATGAGCTGTGCACAGGATAGGCGCTGCCCAGCTCTGTGCGGTTCACATGCAAGCTGCTGTGAGTGCATCTGCCCTCCCCCAGGGCTCCTGCTGAACCAAGCTGGCGGGTGTGCGTGTGGTTTGCAAAGCTATCACCTTTAGTCTGAGACCCACCATTGCCCCAGCGCTTTAGAGAAGCTGCACCGAGAGCTTCGGGAGCCGAGCCCCGAAGCCAGCCAATGCTTGGCCAGCATGGAGGCTATGATTAAACGCTAACGGGGCGCCCTTGGAAAGACCTCAGGGCTTTACAACTAAGGAAGAGGGCTCGATGCTGTCAACATTTGGCATGCCTACTCCTCTACTGAATCAAGCAGACCTTCATTTCCAACTTTGTAGACCATTGTGCCCTGTGGGTCGGCGTCTTTTCTAGGCAGGGACTTGTGATCACATAGACGTGTGTCTGATAAGAGGGGAGCGGGACGTCACACGCTGCAGGCGTGTCTTGTTGCAGAGGAGCTCCTGGGTGAGCTGTCAGCAGAAGCTCCGTCCCCAGCCACTCTGCTCAAGAAGGCTTAGTCAGAGATGGGTAACCTGAGCCACTGCAGCTTCTGAGCAGACAGAATCCGCAGGGTTTTATAAAAACCTGAGCAGAGCAGACATCCCTGTTCCCATCTTCTTGCCGGTCATTACCACAGTGACTCCCAATGTGCTCTGATAACAGGCAGCTGAGTGTATGAGAGTGACAGGAGCTAGAGAGGGTGGGGTCTCCCGAGAGACTGACCCAAGCCGTGGAGTCTGCAGACCCCAGCCTGAGTGTCAGCCCGGCCCTCAGGAGCCACACACCCTGGGTCCATCCTCTTCCCCTCGCTGGGCTGCAGTGGCCGCGGACTTTGCAAGTCAGTTTCATCTCAAGATCCAAGCACCATCACTGGCTGTTGGTTGCCTGGAGAATTGTGGGCAGGCAGATGTAGCAGAGTCAGGGCAGAACCCTTGACGGGTTCTCAGGGCCGCCGTGGACGGCAGGCACCGGACATTGCTAGCCGCCTACCAGACAGTGCAGTTTCTGGTTGTGCAGGCTCTGATACAAAGTTTTTTAAAACCCTCAAGTTATTTCCCAGTGGAAAAGAAGAAGGTGGGAAACAGCAGCTGAACGGGGTGGGGGCTGGCAAGGAGCAGATGCTGCCTCCACACGCACCGTCCGGTGCAGCTCCAGAGGAGGGCCGGGCAGAGCCACCACGTTTGCCGGGCTTACCCGGGCAGCAAAGAGCCCTTCTCCCATAGTGATCAACTGCTTAGCTTACAAGAGGAAAAATAAGGTGTGAGAGATGACATGTGAATATTAGTGGTCATTATTTGCCTTAAAATCTTCTTAACCCTAAAGAAACTGCTGCTGGTAACACCCCCCAGGCTCATGGCAGGCAGCTGGAGTGGGTGTTCTCTCAACAAGCCCAGATGGTGATGTTTGCTGATCATTCGGCATTTGATGCTATGTAAGGAAAGGATGCAAGGGAAGACAGTTTTATCCAAAACTTATTTTTTCCGAGTTAAATAAAAGTTACCGGCCAGGCGCAGCGACTCTCACATGTGTAATCCCAGCACTTTGGGAGGCTGAGGCAGGCGAGAGATGAGGTCACGCTATGTTGCCCAGGCTGGTCTCAAACTCCTGGACTCAAGCAATCCTCCCACCTCAGCCTCCCAACATTTGACATTGAACTCCTGACCTCCTCATCTCAGGTCAGGAGTTTGAGACCAGCCTGGCGAACCTGGCGAAACCCTGTCTCTACTAAAGAAAAAAAAAAGAAAAAAAAATTAGCCAGGTGTGGCGGCAGGCCCCTGTAGTCCCAGCACTCGGGAGGCTGAGGCAGGAGAATCACTTGAACCCAGGAGGCAGATGTTGTGGTGAACCAAGATCATACCACTGCACTCCAGCCTGGGCAACAAGAGTGAGACTCTGTCTCAAAATAAATAAATAGATAAAAATAAATAAATAAATGTCATCCATTTCATAGACTATTTGGGTAGGATTCAGCTGGAGAAAACAAACACCATAATCCCGCTCTACAGAGATGATCAGTCTGCCATTTTTCCTTCTTTTTTTCTCCTCTGCGCCAGACGATCTGCAGGAAGTCTTTTCCATCAATGAATTAAGATGCTGAATCAGAAATTTTTATTTTTGTTTTTCATATGACAAATAGTAAATCCACCACTGCTTGGCCAGAGTATGCGATTTCTTTTCCTGCCATGTTATGATATTAAGAACAGTTTTTTAAAAAATGTTTTTTAAATGAAGCTATCAAGATGGGGCTGCCAGAGCTGCCTTTCCTAGGTGCCTCTGAAAGCTGGCCTGGTGTAGCTGTACCACTCACCAGGAGTACAGCAGTCTCCCTAAAAAGTGGAGCAAATACATGTAGGAACCATGGAGAAGGAGGTACCTGCCAGCCAGAGAGAACACGGGACAGAGGCCGAAGTGGCCCGGAGGCCGCTGGGCGCAGCCTGCCCCTCTGCCGCTCCGCTGCGGGAGCCCCCGGGCCACGCTGGCAGCAGTCAGACAGGGCCGAGAGCTGAGAGAAGTCAGTTCTTCCAAAATTAAGATTTCTAAATGAAATATCTGTTTCATTTTTACGTTTTTAAAAACCATTTTGAAATATGTACAGAAAGGTTGCAGAATTAACACTCCTCACCCAGCTTCCCAAGTGCAGGCGTCTTCCCACGCTGCTTTCTCTGGCTGTGTAAGGGGCTCAGGGGTCCCTGTGTCCTTGTTGTGTCCTGTGTTCTGCGGTGGCCCCTCGTTCTCTGCTCTTATTGACCTTGACCATTGCGACAACACAGTTCAGTCACTTTGCAGCTGTGCCTCAGTCTGGCTCATGGGCCCTGGGGACCAGATATGGAGCATGTCCTCAGGCCTCAGCAGGAAGACCCATGGCATGCAGAGCCTCCTAGATCCTTAATCTGTGCCAGATGGGCATCAGGTGAGGGGCACAAGATTTTTGGATGGGCCCCTTTCCCAGGTTCCCATTTATTACCAGGGCTGGAGGATGAGCTGTTAGTGCATGAAAATCACTACAGAAGCTTGCCCAGGAGCTGCATGGGGTGCCGGCTCTCCGGACTTGTTTTCCTTTGCCCTGTTGAAAGTTGGGGTCCCAACGCTGGGCGCAGTGGCTCACGCCCGTAATCCCAACACTTTGAAAGGCCGAGGCGGGTGGATCATGAGGTAAGGAGTTCGAGACCAGCCTGGCCAATATGGTGAAACCCCGTCTCTACTAAAAATACAAAAATTAGCTGGGCATGGTGATGCACACCTGTACTCCCAGCTACTTGGAAGGCTGAAGCAGGAGAATCGCTTGAACACAGGAGGTAGAGCTTGCAGTGAGCCGAGATTGCAACGCTACTGCACTCCAGCCTGGGCAATTGAGGGAGACTCCGTCTCAAAAAAAAAAAAAAAGAAAAAAAAAGAAAACTGAGGTCCCGAGCTCCCCTTGTCACCCCAAGTATCTAGCCGCCACTAGGTCCTGGTGTTCTTTTGGCCTCAGGAGTTCTTTTTTTTTTTTTTTTTTTTTCTTTTTTGAGATGGAGTCTCGCTCTGTCACCCATGCTGGAGTACAGTGGCGCAATCTCGGCTCACTGCAAGCTCCACCTCCCAGGTTTATGCCATTCTTCTGCCTCAGCCTCCCGAGTAGCTGAGACTACAGGTGCCCGCCAACACGCCCGGCTAATTTTTTGTATTTTTAGTAGAGATGGGGTTTCACCGTGTTAGCCAGGATGGTCTCGATCTGCTGACCTCGTGATCCACCCATCTCGGCCTCCCAAAGTGCTGGGATTACAGGCATGAGCCATCGCGCCCGGCCAGCCTCAGGAGTTCTTTAATGTCCCCACTTTTCATCTCCTTTGCTGCCTTCTGCTTCCAGTCACCACCATCCCAGGGTCTCCCGGCCACTCCCACCGCCGCCACTTTGCCAGCCCAGAGAACCCTCACAAAGCATATCTGGTCTCTGAGTGCTAGGGTGAATTCCAGGCAGGGGGATTAGCTGATTGCTCTCCTGGGGCAGACTGGACATCTCAGGTGGTGATAACATGAGGGGATCTGAGTGACAAGGTGGGCCAGGACACTGGGTGGACAGAGTGAGGCTGTCTTCCCCAGGTGGCCCCCCACTGGGCCCACCTCTCACCAGCCTCATCTGCCTCTGGTCTTCTGGCTGCCCCCCATTCTGCAGACCTGCAGTTCCTGCCTCCTAGACCACCTGCCCCCACCCCTCCCTCGGGGTTTATCTGGCTAGTTCCCGTCTCTGCCGGATTCGCTGGTGTCTGCCTCCGCAGTGCACCTGCAGAGAAGCCCCCATCACCCACTCTGCCGCCCCTGCCTGGGGAGCTGGGCCCCCACCAGGCCTCTCTCCCGGCTTCCGCAAGTTAAGCTGCTCCCTGCCAACAAGGGGCCGGCACCCTTTGGTTCATTCAGCCTGAGCCTGTTGTTTCCTTTTCTCGGCACACCCGGAGATGCTGGCCATCTGTGTGTGTGGATAAAGGGAAGCCGGCTTTCCTCTGTCTCTGCACACATCTCACCAAACTGTGCAGTTCCGGAAGGTCAAGGACTGTCTCTTTGGAGCAGCCTTTCTGACAGAACGTTCTGGGATGATGGAAATGTTGTATTTGGTGCTGTCCACTTCAGTAGCTGCTGGCCACATAGGGCCGTTGAGCATTTTAGGCATGACTCATGGAACTGAGGAACTGGATTTTTAGTTGTATTTACTTGTTTCGGAGATGAGGTCTCGCCACGTTGCCCAGGCTGGTCTCAAACTTCTGGACCGAAGCAATCCTCCCATCTCAGCCTCCCGAATAGCTGGGACTACAGGCTCGTGCCACCATGCCCGGCTGTGTTTTATTTTAATTAATGTAAACATGTGGCCAGGGCTTCCATACTGGACAGTGTGGCTGTGGGCAGTCTAGCTGAGCTGCCTGGAAGCAAGGGCAGATGGTGAGTTACTCAGCTTCATGCAAGAAAGGAAGATGCTTAAAGGGTGGGTTTGTTTCCTGTTTAATGAACATTTTCCAGAAAGAGGGGAGATCCCGTAGCAGTGGGTTTCAGATACAGGAGACCAGACAGGAGAAAATATTGTGAGATGGGAAAGTGGATGCCAGCAACAGGAAACAGCAGAGAGGGGCTGAAGTTCTCGAAAGGCCAAGAAGAGCCTGGTGGGAAACCGCTCGCACCTCAGGACTGCCTGTGCTCAGGGCACAGGATCGACTTTTTCGCCTTGGGCTGCTTTTTGTTTTCTTTCTGTGGGTAACAATTTTATTGCAGTATCATTGACATACACTGAACTGTACATACTTAAAGAGTACAATTTGATGAGTTTTGAAATACGTATAAACACCAGAAGCCATCCCTGCAGTCCAAGCAGCGTAGACGCCCGGACCCCAGAGTTCCCTGTGTCCTATGTAATCCCCCTCCGACCCCTCCTTGCCCCACCTGTCCCCAGGTAACCACTGACCTGCCTTCAGTCACTGTAGGTTAATTTGCATCTTCTAGAGCTTTGCATAATGGCCTCCTGCAGTGCGTACGTGGTTTCCTCTGACATCTTCCACTCGGTACAGTGATTCGGGGACTCACCCAGGCTGTGTGTGTCCTTCCCCCATGGCCAAGCAGGGTCCCAGCAGTGCCGTTTGTCCATCCGCCTGCCTGCAGGGGAGCTGGGCGGCTTGTTTTTACGTAACCTTCACGCATGAGCGGTTTGTAAGCCCGCTCACCCCGTTGGCAGGGTGTTGGGCCAAGCACTGCTCTGGGGCAGGCTGGCAGTGAAACCCAGAGACTAGAATCCGCTTATGAGGGGGGTGCGTCTTTGCGGAGACCCTTAGAGCCCACAGCATCATTACTCTGGTGCATTTTCTTTTGAGCCACTGTTACGGCAAGAGATCCAGGGCGTGCCACGTGAAACGCGACAGGGCCTTTCCTCAAGACCTCTCCTCCGTGTGGTGCGTTTCTCACACAGGGTCTAGGACATTTCAATTCTTGTTATCAACAACCAGATTCAAAACTTGCCTTTTGTTAAAGTTTCGGGGGGCCCCTTCCTCCCCAGGCCTCTGGGGAGTTTGGGGCTCCTGTTCCCTAACCTTTCCTCAGCCAGCCTGCCCATCACCTTTCCTTCTCCCCAGGAAATGAATTCCCAGATATACGCACAGTCCCAGTGGGCCCTTGCACACGTGTGTCTCTATGTCCCTGCCTCGGGTTAGAGCATTCATGTTTTGAGAGCAGGGACCCTTTGGCTACTGAGAAGAGTGAACTGAGGCACGGTTAGCAGGCCTCTCGTTCAGTGGAACCAGAGGGAGTCGGAGGTTGGGGCTGATTAGGAAGTTTCAGAAGCCAATGTAAACTCCTAAGAATGCACCAGAGAATAAAAGTTTACTTGAGAATAATTTTTCCCAGGGAGATGTTTCATAGGATGGGACACTTAACTTGAGGTTTTGGTTTTATCTTCATTTTTCTTCCGCTGGTACCAACCATATAAATTTATATATATATTTCCCAATACAAATGTATATGTACTAGTAAGACAGATGGGAAATATATATATATCTATTTCCCATCTGTCTTACCCATTCTTGAAATCAGTTCGTATTCAACCAGTTGGGATTTGTTTTACGTGGACACTGAACCCAGCCATCCCTTTCACAGAACGTGAGGAAGCCTTGCTTTTCAACCTGGTTTTTGGAGTCCCGAGCTAGTGGCCAGCTCTCTCAGCCCCACACGTAATACCTGAATGGAGAAATGTCCTTCCCTCGACCCGTGTCCCGTCCAGCAGGCTTCAGGGGCAGCTTTGTAACTCCAGAGCCACCCCCTGCACGTCCTCTCTCTGCATTTTAGACCTAGGTGGCCAGGCAATTGTGGGAAATGGAAAGAGCTCTGACTGCCCCCTGCCAGCCCAGGGTAACCACAGCCATGCGAGGTCCCTGCCCGTACCTGGGAACTAGCCATGAAGGGCATCTGCCAGGCACGTGCCCGGCACCTGTCTGCCTGCTTAAGATAAAAGACCAAAAATGAGCGTTTTTCCTTTGGAAATTCATACTACACCCTCATTCCCAGGGAAGGAAATAAATTGATCGGTATTGCACAAGAACGAGATCTTTGATTCGTGTCAAGATTCGTTTCTAACCAACCAGCCAGAGCTGAATTGTTTCTCGCTGGTGAGCCTGGCCTAACAAACGTATGAGAGGAGAGGTTTGGATTTTTTTTTTTTTTGAGATGGAGTCTCACTCTGTCGCCTAGGCTGGAGTGCAATGGCGTGATCTCTACTCACTGCAAGCTCTGCCTCCCGGGTTCAAGCGATTCTGCCTCAGCCTCCTGAGTACCTGGGATCACAGGCGCCCACCACCACACCCAGCTGATTTTTTGTATTTTTAGTAGAGATGGGGTTTCACCATGTTCGCTAGGCTGGTCTTGAACTCCTGACCTCACGTGATCTGCCCACCTCAGCCTCCCAAAGTGCTGGGATTTCAGGCGGGAGCCACTGCACCGGCCGAGGTTTGGATTTAATGTATTACTTTACTCAGCAGGAAAGTGTCCATGGGTTGTGAAAGTTACCAAAAGCCTGTTGATCGCCCTGTGAAAGAACTTTCCTGGCCATTGCTCTGACATTCTGAGTCCAGAATACTGTCATCTTGATTTTATATTGGACATTAAAAGTCAGTCACTGCGTTAACTTTGTTTACATATAAAAGGAAGGATGATATCATTCTATGGAATACTGAAAAAACTGGCTTGGATTACTAGATTTTCGAAGACCCTATGCTCTCAGGTCATTTCTTTTTTTTTTTTTTTTTGAGACAGAGTCTCCCTCTGTCATGCAGTGGCGCGATCTCGGCTCACTGCAACCTCTGCCTCCTGAGTTCAAGAGATTCTCCTGCCTCAGCCTCCTGAGTAGCTGGGATTACAGGTACGCACCACCACGCCTGGCTAATTTTGGTATTTTTAGTAGAGATGGGGTTTCACACGTTGGTCAGGCTGGTCTCAAACTCCTGACCTCGTGATCCTCCCACCTCGGCCTCCCAAAATGCTGGGATTACAGGAGTAAGCCACTGTGCCCAGCCAGGTTATTTCAATATGTATCTTGAAATTCACCGAAAATGCTGGGCATGGTGGCTCACGGCTCTAATCCCAGCACTTTGGGAGGCTGAGGTGGGTGGATGACCTGAGGTTAGGAGTTTGAGACCAGCCTGGCCAACATGGCGAAACCCCGTATCTACCAAAAATACAAAAATTAGCCAGGTATGACCAGGCGCAGTGGTTCACGCCTGTAATCCCAACACTTTGGGAGGCTGAGGCAGGCGGATCACGAGGTCAAGGAGATCGAGACCATCCTGGCTAACACAGTGAAGTCCCATCTTTACTAAAAATAAAAAAAATTAGCCGCGTGTGGTGGTGGGCGCCTGTGATCCCATCTACTCAGGATGCTGAGGCAGGAGAAACAGTTGAACCTGGGAGGCAGAGGTTGCAGTAAGCTGAGATTGTGCTACTGCACTCCAGCCTGGGCAACAGAGCGAGATGCCGTCTCAAAAAAAAATAAAATAAAAATTAGCCAGGTGTGGTGGTGGGTGCCTATAATCCTAGCTACTCAGGAGACTGGGAGGCTGAGGCAAGAGAATCACTTGAACCCAGGAGGCGGAGGTTGCAGTGAGCCAAGATCGTGCCACTGCATTCCAGCCTGGGTGACGGAGTAAAACTCCATCTCAAAAAAAAAAAAAAAAAAAGAAAGAAAGAAATTCACCAAAAAGCAAATTCTGAAAACATAAGTTGAATTTAATTTTCAAGCAGAGCCCTTTGGTCGTGGGAGGGATGGGGAAGTACATCTTAAAAACATGTCTAAAAAGGGAATCCTGTGGCATATTGGTACCTAGATGTGAGAGTTGTTTCGTGTCTCGACTGAGGAACGACACCCATGTTTTCCTTCATTTTGTAATCTCAAGTCATTGCTCCTTGGGATGCTCAAAGGTGACCCATAGGTGGCCTCTCATGTCCAGATGCCACACAGCATTTCACTAGACTCGGTTAGATAGGTGGTCGTGTCAAATACACGCTGCCCTGCAGCATGGATCACGAGCACGTGTACAGAAACCTTTCACTTTGCTATTGTCACACCTTCAGTAGGTCTCTGGGACCAAGATACTACCGTGCTGTATTCTGGGTAGTTCTTTTATTTTTTTATAATCTAGTACTATGCAGGCCCATTCAAAAAAAATGCTGATAGTTAAAACTTTATTTTTCTCAGCTCCGTTTATATTTTGTAATCGTGCTTTATAGACTTAAATTCATCTCTATTCCCCAAGTCCCCACCACTGAAAATTCTTGGTTCTCTTTTTTTTTTTGAGATGGAGTCTCGCTCTATCGCCCAGGCTGGAGTGCAGTGGCACGATCTCAGCTCACTGCAAGCTCCGCCTCCCAGGTTCCTGCCATTCTCCTGCCTCAGCCTCCTGAGTAGCTGGGACTACAGGCGCCCGCCACCACACCCGGCTAATCTTTTTTGTATTTTTAGTAGAGATGGGGTTTCACCTTGTTAGCCAGGATGGTCTCGATCTCCTGACCTCAAGGTTCGCCCGCCTCGGACTCCCAAAGTGCTGGGATTACAGGTGTGAGCCACCAAGCCCGGCTGAAAATTCTTGGTTCTCTTAAATCAGAAGTAAATGATTTTTTTTTTTTTGAAGCAGAGTTTCACTCTTGTCACTCGGGCTGGAGTGCAATGTCATGGCCTCGGCTCACTGCAACCTCTGCCTCCCGTGTTCAAGAGATTCTCCTGCCTCAGCCTCCTGAGTAGCTGGGATTACAGGCATGCATCACCATGCCTGGCTAATTTTGTATTTTTAGTAGAGACGGGGTTTCACCAAGTTGGCCAGGCTGCTCTGGAACTCCTGACCTCAGGTGATCCCCCCACCTCGGCCTCCTAAAGTGCTGGGATTACAGGCATGAGTCACCGCGCCCGGCTAATGATCTTTAAATAAAAATATTTTCTAGGCCGGGTACGGTGGCTCTCGCCTGTAATACCAGCACTTTGGGAACCCAAGGCAGGCAGATTCCTTGAGGTCAGGAGTTCAAGAGCAGCCTGGCCAACATGGTGAAACCCTGTCTCTACTAAGAATACAAAAATTAGCCGGGCATGGTGGTGGGCACCTGTAATCCCAGCTAGTCAGAGGCCGAGGCAGGAGAATCGCTTGAACCTGGGAGATGGAGGTTGCAGTGAGCCAAGATCGCACCACTGCACACCAGCCTGGGCAACAGAACCATCTCAAAAAAAAAAAAAAGAATGTTCCAGCATCCACCCCCAGAAGCCCCATCAGAGGACTCTTCACTTCCTCAAGATGAGTTTTCTCTCACCCCAAGTCTAGCCCTAGCATCTTCTCACTGAAAACGACTCAACATTAGGGGCTGGGCGAGGTGGCTCACGCCTGTAGTGCCTGTGGTTCAGGAGGCTGTGGCAGGAGGATTGCTTGAGCCCAGTAGGTAGGTCAAGGCTGTAGTGAGCCTTGGTCATGCTGCTGTACTCCAGTCTGGATAACAGAGCAAGACCCCGTCTCAAGCAATCTTCCTGCCTCAGCCTCCCAAGTAGCTGGGACTATGGGCATGCAACACTGTGCCCAGCTAATTATTTTTTGTAGAGGTAAGGTCTTGTTATATTGCCCAGGCTGGGCTCGAACTCTTGGCCTCAAGTGACACTCCTGCCTCAGCAACCCAAAGTGCTGGGATTACAGCTGTGAGCCACTGTGCCCAGCCTGAGACCCAATCTTTAAAAAGAAAAAAAAAAAATGGCCCCTTCCTAAGGGACAGAGACCTGGTGCTTTCAGACAGGTGAAATGCATAACCAAAAAATAAATATGTATGTCGGTGATTCAAAATGATTCTCAAATCAATCTAGAAGGAGAAATTAGGAATAACCAGGAAAATGTTGAAAAGGAAGATGTAAGAGGGAGAGCAGATATTAGATACTAGAAAGTACCATAACACCACAACACCAGTTTAAAAACCTGTGGTGCTGGCTCAGAAACAGACTAAAATGTAGCCAGGCACAGTGGCTCATGCCTGTAATCCCAATACTCTGGGAGGCTGAGGGGGGATCGCTTGAGCCCAGGAGTTTGAGATCAGCCTGGGTAACATAGGGAGACCCCATCTCTACAAAAAAAAAAAAAAAAAAACCACAAAAATTAGCCCAATGTGGTGGCACGTGCCTGTGGGCCCAGCTACTCAGGAGACTGAGATGGGAGGATCGCTTGAGCCCGCGAGGTCAAGGCTGCAGTGGGTGACAGAGGGAGACCCTGTCCCCAAAAAATTGAAAAATAAAAGTAAAAGAAAAAAAGCCTCAAAAACAAACCAAAAAGTATAAAAGAAAGAAATGTTGAGAGTTCTACAAAAGGGCACTGTCCCACTTTTTAGGGGGAAGTGTAAGTTGGGACACCCTCTGAAGAGTCACTTAGCAGTGCATGACCGCAGCCTCAGAGAGCAGGAAGCCAGCAGGTGAATATACAAAGACGTGTGTGCACACAGCTTTTGTTTGTTTGTTTTTCTTTTGAGATGGAATCTCGCTCTTGTTGCCCAGGCTGGAGTGCAATGGCGCAATCTTGGCTCACTGCAACCTGGGTTCAAGCAATTCTCCTGCCTCAGCCTCCTGAGTAGCTGGGATTACAGGCGCACGCCACCACGCCCAGCTGATTTTTTGTGTTTTTAGTAGAGATGGGGTTTCACCGTGTTGGCCAGGCTGGTCTTGAACTCCTGACCTCAGGTGATCCACCCGCCTTGGCCTCCCAAAGTGCTGGGATTACAGGCATGAGCCACCGTGCCCGGCCAGCTTTTTATAGTAGCAAACATTTTAAAGCAACCTGAAAGTCCATAAAGAGATAATGGATTGAGCAAACTGTGCTCTACACACACACTCCCAGCAGAACACACACCTGCCAAAAATGGAAGTGGTCGAGTACGCCTGTTGGTGTTGAAAGGCATTTCAGTATAAATCAGTGAATAAATCAGGTTACAAAACACTGTGTACAAGATGATCGTACATCTGCTCTACACACACACATACAAATCCAGAAGCACGTCACACAATTTTAACCGACCCTATAGACCGAGACTCATAATTTAAAATTTTTTCTGTTTTTACCTAACACTGATTTTCCTGCAGAAACATACATTGTTTATATAATTATTTTCATTTTTTATATAACAGGAAATAAACTTACCTACTTTAAAAAATATCCAGGCCAGGCCGGGTGCAGCGGCTCACGCCTGTAATCCCAGCACTTTGGGAGGCAGAAGCAGGCGGATCACGAGGTCAGGGGATCAAGACCATCCTGGCTAACACGGTGAAACCCCGTTTCTACTAAAAATACAAAGAATTAGCTGGGCGTGGTGGTGGGTGCCTGTAATCCCAGCTACTTGGGAGGCTGAGGCAGGAGAATTGCTTGCACCCAGGGGGCGGAGGTTGCAGTGAGCTGAGTCATGTCATTGCACTCCAACCTAGGCAACAAGAGCAAAACTTTGTCTCAAAAAAAAAAAAAACAAAACAAGGCTGGGCATGGGGGCTCATGCCTGTAATCCCAGCACTTGGGAAGGCCGAGGCGGGTGGATCACCTAAGGTCAAGAGTTTGAGACCAGCGTGACCAACATGGAAAACACCATCTCTACTAAAAATACATTAGCTGGATGTGGTGGCGCATGCCTGTAATCCCAACTACTCGGGAGGCTGAGGCAGGAGAATCACTTGAACCCGGGAGGCGGAGGTTGCGGTGAGCTGAGATCGTGCCATTGCACTCTATCTCAAAAAAAAAAAAAAAAAAATCCTTTGCTCATGCCTGTAATCCCAGCACTTTGGAAGGCCAAGGCAGGAGGATTGCTTGAGCCCAGGAGTTTGAGACCAGCCTGGGCAATATAGTGAGATCCTATCTCTACAAAACCTTTTTTTTTAGAGAGAGGATCTCACTGTCATCTGGGAGTGCAGTGGTGCCAGCCTCAGGGCTCACTGCAGCCCCGACCTCCTGGGGTCACTGCAGCACCGACCTCCTGGGCTCAGGTGATCCTCCCACCACAGCCTCCCAGCTCACTGGAACTACAGGCACATGCCATCGTGTCCAGCTAATTTTTTTGTAGAGACGGAATTTCACCATGTTGCATCTAACTCCTGGAGTCAATCAATCCACTCGCCTCGGCCTCCCAAAGTACTGGGATTACAGGCATGAGCCACCGCTCCGGGCCTATAAAAACTTTGTTTTTTCGTTTTGTTTTGTTTTGTTTTGTTTTTGGAGACTGAGTCTTGCTCTGTCGCCCAGGCTGGAGTGCAGTGGCGTGATCTCAGCTCCCTGCAACCTCCGCCTCCCGGGTTCAAGTGATTCTCCTGCCTCGCCCTCCCGAGTAGCTGGGACTACAGGCGCCCGCCACCACGCCCAGCTAATTTTTTTTATTTTTAGTAGAAACGGGGTTTCACCATGTTAGCCAGGAAGGTCTCCATCTCCTGACCTCGTCATCCCCCCCGCCTCGGCCTCCCAGAGTGCTGGGATTACAGGCGTGAGCCACCGCACCCAGACAACTTTTTGTTAAAAATTCTTATCAGTCGATTAATAGCATGTGTGTGTTCTTCATATGCTAGTTAGCCACAGTTAATTCAAAATCACTTATTTTTATTTTTTGTACCGCCGCACAAAAAAGTCATGCATTTTCTCAGCTGTGGAGTGTTTGTTTTTCTTCCTTTTCCTTAAGTTGCATGTGATGCCCATAACACAGACTCTTCCTGCTGCCTCCTGCTCCCTGCCTGCCCCTCCCGCCTCTGTGGTTTTCTGCCCTCTCAGTAACTGCACAGAATGAGTCACCTCTTGGGCAGAGCCCCAGTGGTTTCAACACAAAGACCTTTTTAGAAGCTGCTGCTATAGGAAGAAGCGTCGAGGAGCCTAGTATCCGGGTGGGAGAGTGGGTAGAGTTATTATAGGGAACACAGCTGTGGCCACTACCCATGGATCTTCCAGATCCCAAAAGATGAAATCCACCACCCGGTTTATATTCCCATCTTCTGAGAAACTCTTTTGTCTTCAGAACCCAGCTGAGGCTGGGTGCAGTCGCTCAGGCCTATAATCCCAGCGCTTTGGGAGGCTGAGGTGGGAGGATCGCTTGAGCCCAGGAGTTTGAGACCAACCTGGGAACCATAGCAAGACCCCATCTCAAAAAAAAAAAAAATCTTTTTTTTGAGATGGAGTCTCGCTCTGTCGCCCAGGCTGGAGTGCGGTGGCGCTATCTTGGCTCACTACAAGCTCTGCCTCCCAGGTTCACGCCATTCTGCCTCAGCCTCCCAAGTAGCTGGGACTACAGGCGCCTGCCACCACGCCTGGCTAATTTGTTGTATTTTTAGTAGAGATGGGGTTTCGCCGTGTTAGCCAGGATGGACTCGATCTCCTGACCTCGTGATCCGCCTGCCTCAGCCTCCCAAAGTGCTGAGATTACAGGCGTGAGCCACCGTGCCTGGCCAATTTTTTTTGTTTGTTTGTTTTTGTTTTTGTTTTTGTTTTTGTTTTTTGAGATGGAGTCTTGCTCTGTCTCCCAGGCTGGAGTACAGTGGTGGGGTGATCTGGGCTCACTGCAATCTCCACCTCCCAGGTTCAAGCGATTCTCCGCCTCAGCCTCCCAAGTAGCTGAGATTATAGGTGTGTGCCACCACACCCGGCTAATTTTTGTATTTTTTAGTAGAAACAGAGTTTCACCATGTTGGTCAGGCTGGTCTCGAACTCCTGAGCTCACATGATCCATCTGCCTCAGCCTCCCAAAGTTCTGGGATGAGGCAGGAGAATCGCTTGAACCCGGGAGGCAGAGGTTGCAGTGTATTTTTTAGTAGAAACAGGGTTTTACCATGTTGGTCAGGCTGGTCTCAAACACTCACTCAGGCTGGTGGCTCACAGCGTGAGCCACTGTGCCCGGCCTCTACAAAAACTTCTTTAAAATTAGCCAGGCATGGTGACACATGCCTGTAGTCCCAGCTGCTCAGGAGGTGGAGGCAGGAGGATCATTTGAGCCCAGGTGCTCAAGGCTGCAGTGAGTTGTGATCGCACCACTGCAGTCCAGCCTCAGAGACAGAGCGAGACTCTCTCTTAAAACAAAACAAAACAAAACAAAACAAAAGGCCAGTTGATATTTATACTTCTTCCAGTGAAATTTCTTGATAATATTCCCCAGTTTTCTACTCTGTAAAAATGAGGTGTTAACAGCTCCCTCTCTGGGCTGCTGTAGGAACTACACTTATGGCATCGATGCCCGGCCACACCTGGGGCCTCACTGGCCCCCAGGCTCCTCAGACCTTTTATGAGCTGCTTTTATTTTGCAAAATGTTTTCTTTTCACTTGGTTTGATAATAATTTTGTCCTGAAACTTACCACATAAGGTTAAGATTCCAAACCTAGACCAATCCCCCTGCCTTTTTATTTAATGACTAGGAGCAAGACTGTGTTGCTGGTTATCCCAGTAACGATGGTGTCCTGAGCTGAGCTGCAACTGACATGCAGAAAAGTAGGCTCAACCTTGTTCTTAGGCGTGGAGTTGAGGGGAGTCAGATGACTCCATTGCAAACAGGACTGGCTGTGTGCTCATGGATCCCAGTGTAAAAATGGAAACACAGGGCTCTATGTTCAAAAATTAGCAACATTTCAAGATGGCAGCAGCCAAGCCAAGCATTGGGCCTTCTGAGTGCAGGGCCCCGCATTGCTGCCCGGGTCTCATGCAGCCACGAAGGCAGCCGTAATTGGAAACAACAGGCTCCCTTCACAGCAAATCCTCCCGGGAGAGGAGGGTGCAATCATGCAGTCCTGGAGGGCTCTCCCGCCCTGCCCTCATGGCTCCTCACTGTGCCTGAGGAGGGTGGTGGCCACAGCCACGTGGCGGGAAGCCCCCATTCCGGCCTGGCCATGGGCCAGCTTGTGGCCCTGGGGACATCTTTGGCCCCTGGGCCCTCAAAGCCTGCGGCCCTTCAAGTGAAAGGCGGCTGCTCCACACTCACTCCTGATGACTGCTCTTTCCCTCCCTTCCATGCACAGAAATTCATTGAGTTTGAAGATGCTCTGGAACAAGAGAAGAAAGAGCTGCAAATCCAGGTGGAGCACTACGAGTTCCAGACGCGCCAGCTGGAGCTGAAGGCCAAGAACTATGCCGATCAGAGTAAGTGGCTGGCGGGAGCCTGGAGGCGCGCTTGATGGGCGCTGCTCTGGGACGGCTCTGGTTGGGGTGGGCATGGAGCGCCTTCCACACAAGGGGACGAGAGGAAGCCCAGTGGGAGCCTCAGCCATGTATTCCAGCTCTTTGTACTGCTGCCTGTTTCTGTAATGGGCCCCAGATTGTGTGTGGAAATAAGTAAATCAGGCCACTGTGGCCCCATAGCACTTTTGCTTCAGAGTGAATTCTGACCCCCAGATCACAAGTCTGTGGTCCTGAAGGTCCTTCCTGAATCTTTTGAACAGAGCTCCTGCAGCCCCTGGGGTCCCCACCTCTTCACACTGCTGAGGAGTGATGGCTCCTTCTCAGGCAGGAGGGTGGGCCCGCTGGTGTAGCCCCATTGAAGTGACAGCGCCTAGGTGGGGGGCACAGCTGATCAGGGTGTCTGTCCCCTGCAAGGCGAAGTAGCAGAAAGGGTTTATTATTATTATTATTATTATTATTATTATTATTATAAGAACAGTTGGTTTACTTACCTTTAAAAGTCTTTGCTTAAACTCTACTGTCAATGTTTTAGGCCAGGCGTGATGGCATGCGCCTGTGGTCTCAGCTGGGCTGAGGTTGATACTGCCGTGTGGGCACACAGAGACCTCATCTCTTAAAAAAAAAAAAAAGGCCGGGCATGGTGGCTCACACCTGTAATCCCAGCACTTTGGGAGGCCAAGGCGGGTGGATCACCTGAGCTTAGGAGTTTAAAACCAGCCTGGCCAACATGGCGAAACCCCGTCTCTATAAAAATATAAAAATTACCCGGGCATGGTGGCGGGCGCCTGTAGTCCCAGCTACTCGGGCAACTGAGGCAGGAAGATCGCTTGAACCCAAGAGGCGGAGGTTGCAGTGAGCCAAGATCGTGCCACTGCACTCTAGCCTGGGCGACAGAGTGAGACTCCATCTCAAAAAAAAAAGAAAAAATTTAAAAAAGAAGAAGTGATGATTTCCTGTGTAATTTTCCTTTTCTGTAATTAGATGTTTTGTTTTGTTTGGAGACAGAGTTTCGCTGTTTTTGCCCAGGCTGGAGTGCAATGGTGCGATCTCAGCTCACTGCAACCTCTGCCTCCCGGGTTCAAGTGATTCTCCTGCCTCAGCTTCCCAAGTAGCTGGGACTACAGGTGCCCGCCACCACACCCAGCTAATTTTTTGTATTTTTAGTAGAGATGGGGTTTCACTGTGTTAGCCAGGATGGTCTCGATCTTCTGACCTCGTGATCCTCCCAAAGTGCTGGGATTACAGGCGCGAGCCACCGCGCCTGGCCCCAGATGTTTTAATGATTGAAACCAATCGGCTGCGGTTTCCCTAGCTACCTCAACAGCAGGTTCCTTTATCTCTAAAAAGTTAAGATCAAATTTGGGAAAGAAACTGTTTTGATATGTTAGACTTACTCCTATCCCCAGCCAAGGCCTAAAGGCTGCTGTGCTGACAATGACCTGCTGACGAGTCTGGGGGCCAGAGGGTGACCACGGTGGCAGCTTCCACACACATGGAAACACACTGGCATTCACAATGCAAAGCAAACCTAAGACCCGTGCTGAGCATACCTAGGTAATGCCTTTCCATAATTACAGAGTCTCTCCTGGTCCCTCGGCTTTCAGTACATTTCATGTGTGAAACATTCTCAGCTCTCTTCTTAGAAGGAGAAAAACATAAGCTCAAATTACAGGCAAGGCTGGGAACAGTGGCTCACACCCATAACTTCCACACTTTGGGAGGCTGAGGGGGAAGGATCCCTTGAGCTCAAGAGTTCAAGACCAGCCTGGGCAACCTGGTGAAACCCCATCTCTACAAAAAATACAAAAATTAGCCAGGCACGGTGGCTCACAGACTTGTGGGCCCAGCTACTCGGGAGGCTGAGGTAGAGGATTGCTCAAACCCAGGAGGGAGAGGCTGCAGTAAGCCTTGATCACGCCACTGCACCCCAGCCTGGGTGACAGAGTGAGACCCTGTCTCAAAAAAAATCAAATTACAGGCTGAGGCTGTTCACTGGGCCAGCACCAGGAGTTGGGGCCAGATGAGTGCAGAGAGCAGGCCCCGGGCTCCCTCCAGGTGGTGGCTATACTCTGCCCCAGCGGGAGCTCACAGAGAGGCTGTGGGGCTCTGACCTCACACAGACAGGTAGCCTCTCCCGGGGCCACAGCCGTTGCCGGGGTCAGCACAAGCCTGGGATGGCTGGTTGGCTCCCTCCTGCAGCAGCCAGTTACATGTGTGCAGCGTGCAGTGTCTATAACTCGTGTGCTGTGTGCAGTGTCTGTGTGTTGTGTGCTGTGTGCAGCGTCTGTGTGTCATGTGCTGTGTGCGGCATCTGTGTGAGTCATGTGCTGTGTGCTGTGTATGAGTGTTGTGTGCTGTGTGTGGCGTCTGAGTTGTGTGCCGTGTGGAGCGTCTGTGTGAGTGTCATGTGCTGTGTGCGGCACCTGAGTTGTGTGCTGTGTGGAGGGTCTGTGAGTGTCGTGTGCTGTGTGCGGCATCTGAGTTGTGTGCTGTGTGCGGCGTCTGAGTGACGTGTGCTATGTGCGGGTCTGTGTGACTCTGCTGTGTGTAGCGTCTGTGAGTTGTGTGCTGTGTGCAGCGTCTGTGTGAGTGTCGTGTGCTGTGTGCGGCGTCTGTGTGAGTCGTGTGCTGTGTGCAGCGTCTGTGAGCCGTGTGTTATTTACCATGTGTGTTAGTCACATTTGCTGCATGCAGCGTCTGTGAGTCACATGTGTCACGTGTCATGTCTGTAAGTCTTGTGTTGTGTGCGGTGTCTGTACATCGTGTGTCAGGTGCAGCGTCTGTAAGTTATGCATGTTTGGTGCTGTGTCTAAGTCGTGCGTGTGAGGTGCTGTGTCTAAGTCGTGTGTGTGAGGTGCTGTGTCTAAGTCGTGCGTGTGAGGTGCTGTGTCTAAGTCGTGCATGTGAGGTGCTGTATCTGAGTCACGCGTGTCAGGTGTGATGTCTGTAAGCACCTCAGGCTCCTTAGGGAAGACCAGACTGACTGCTGGCGCTGACGCCTATGCTGCTCCTCGGGGTGAGATCCCCGCGCCAGCAGTGCAGCTTCCCTGGGTGCCTGGTAGAGATGCGAGAGCCCAGCGTAGGCCGCCGCGGCCTCCAAGGATGTGCCAGGCCAGTTACCCCCCAGATCACAGAGCAGGATGGCCAAAGTGAGATGTTGAGCCACATAATCTGTGGAGTCATTTCTAAACAGACACCAGAAAGCTGGGGAGGATGGGAGGGCACCACGCCGAGGACAGGGCACAAGCTGGTGGAGCACCTTACCAGCTGAGTCCCGGCCACGCACTCCCTGGGGCTGTCTCTCACCTCGTGGCGTCAGCCCTCCCCATTGGTGGGCTGCAGGACAGAGCTGAGGTTTGAACACAGCTGTGGAGGCGGCCATCAGGCCGGGGGCACGCATGCACCATTGGCGGGACATAGAGTGGGGTCCCCTGGCTGCGGCTGCCCGTCGGCCTGTCATGCTGCTTCTGTGTCTCTTGGGCAGATCACGTCTGGGGCCAGAGAGGCCCGTGTTGGTGTCACGGGGGGCCTCCCGTTTAAGGGAGACATGACTGTCAGCCCAGAAGGCACATAGTCATGATTGGCCTCCCCAGCCCTCGGCGTGTGTGAGGGACCTCGCTGCTTGTTCTGCCAGACACGACCCTTTGACGTGTCCAGGAGGTTACTCACTTTGAATCCCGCCTCCTCCCGCAAGCTTCTTGTGCACCTGTTGCCTGTGCCTGGCGTGCCTGGGTTTTGCCTGCATCTCAGAAGCTTGTGGCTGACTTTAGCACAGAGAGCGCCTGTGGGTTTCCCCACCCCCATATTTAACTCCCAACAGAGCTGAGTGTTTTCCCATGGCACAGGGCACACACAGCAGCCCCCCAGACGGCCTTCACAGAGCTGAGTGTTCTCCCATGGCACAGCACACACAGCAGCCCCCCAGACGGCCTTCACAGAGCTGAGTGTTCTCCCATGGTACAGGGCACAGCAGCCCCCCAGACGGCCTTCACAGAGCTGAGTGTTCTCCCCTCGCACAACGCACGCAGCAGCCCCCCAGACGGCCTTCACAGAGCTGAGTGTTCTCCCATGGCACAGCGCACACAGCAGCCCCCCAGACGGCTTTAACAGAGCTGAGTGTTCTCCCATGGCACAGCACACACAGCAGCCCCCCAGACGGCCTTCACAGAGCTGAGTGTTCTCCCATGGTACAGGGCACAGCAGCCCCCAAGACGGCCTTCACAGAGCTGAGTGTTCTCCCATCGCACAACGCACACAGCAGTCTCCCAGACGGCCTTGCACTTGCCGGGCTGCTGCTGGTTGCCTCAGGACCCAGAGTCCCAGCCTTGTCCTGGAACCCCCTCCCTCTGTGGTTACAACCCAAGAGTTCAGGGCCATGGAGAAGCGTCTTGTGCGGCTCAGACAGTGATTGTGTTTTCCAGTTTCCCGGTTGGAGGAGCGGGAGTCGGAGATGAAGAAGGAGTACAATGCCCTGCACCAGCGGCACACAGAGGTGGGCGCCCAGAGGCAAGCGCGGAGACGAGGGTTGGAGACAGGGCCGCGGCCTGACGCCTGCGACTCTTGCGGACCGTGGTTTTCTTCCCTGGCATGTCCCTTTTCTAGCATTTGCTGCCAGGCTTGAAGGCTGTCAGCCCCAGGCTGGTTAGATTCCCCTCCAGGACGCTGTCTTGATTTCTGCCTGCACAGGGCAGCCGGAAAAGCCTCACAGGTTAGAGGGGACGGAGACAGCCCCCCACGGCAGCGCTAATGCAGGCGTTTCCCTCCTCGCAGATGATACAGACCTACGTGGAGCACATTGAGAGGTCCAAGATGCAGCAGGTCGGAGGAAACAGCCAGACCGAGAGCAGCCTGCCGGGGCGGAGGTACGCGGGGCGCGGCGGGGTGGAGGTACGCGGGGCGCGGCGGGGCGGAGGTACGCAGGACGCGGCACATGCCAGGGTCGTAGTGCTTGTTATGGCCCGCGCTCTGGGCTCAGGACGACAGGGAACACTCTGGAGACCCAGGAGGAGGGAGCTGGTTGGAGCGTGGCTGAGCAGGGATGTGGGGGGGCGGCCCTGGGCGACGGACATGTGTCGAGCCCGTGTGTCCCTTCTGCTCGGTCCACAATTCAGTCAGGGAGGCCCCGGGCAGCTTGCGCATATTTAACCCTTACTATCCACAGATTCTGTGTTTGCAAATGTATCTACTCGCTAAAATATATCTGTGACCTCAGCCGGGCACAGTGACTTATGCCTGTAATCCTAGAACTTTGGGAGGCCAAGGCAGGAGGATTACTTGAGCCCAGGAGTTCGAGCTCAGCTTGGGCAACCAGCAAGATCT
Organism: Homo sapiens; assembly: GCF_000001405.40. Classification (NCBI taxonomy): domain Eukaryota; kingdom Metazoa; phylum Chordata; class Mammalia; order Primates; family Hominidae; genus Homo; species Homo sapiens. The sequence goes on from NC_000016.10 coordinate 1,730,036, forward strand.
TGTCTCTACAAAAAAAAAAAAAAAAAAAAAAAAAAAAATTGTTTAAAAATTAGCTAAGCATGAGGTGGCACTTCTAGGACATACTGCCTCAAATAACTACCTGTAGTCCCAGCTACTCAGGAGGCTGAGAGAGGAGGATAGCTTGAGCCCAGGGGCTGGAGGCTGCAGTGATCTACAGTCGCGCCCCTGCACTCCCACCTGGGCAGCAGAGTGAGCCCCGTCTCTAAAAAAATAAAAAAAGAAAATCATCTGCTCATGTGAGGTCAAAGAATAAACAACAAAAAAGAGGCTGGTATGGTGGCTCACGCCTGTAATCCCAGCACTTTGGGAGGCCGAGGTGGGTGGATCACTTGAGGTCAGGAGCTCGAGACTAGCTTGGCCAATGTGGTGAAACCCCATCTCTATTAAAAATACAAAAATTAAGCCGGGCTCAGTGGCTCACGCCTGTCATTCCAGCACTTTGGGAGGCCGAGGTGGGCAGATCACGAGATCAGGAGATCAAGACCATCCTGGCTAACATGGTGAAACCCCATCTCTACGAAACACTCCTGTAATCCCAGCACTTTGGGAGGGCAAGGAGGGCGGATCATGAGGTCAGGAGATCGAGACCATCCTGGCTAACATGTTGAAACCCCATCTCTACTAAAAATATAAAAAATTAGCCGGGTGTGGTGGCGGGCGCCTGTAGTTCCAGCTATTCTGGAGGCTGAGGCAGGAGAATCACTTGAACCCGGGAGGCAGAGGTTGCAGTGAGCCAAGATCGCACCACTGCACTCCAGCCTGGGCGACAGAGTGAGACTCTGTCAAAAAAAAAAAAAAAAAGGGTAGGCACAGTGGCTCACACCTGTAATCCCGGCACTTTGGAAGGCTGAGGCCGGCAGATCACTTGAGGTCAGGAGTTTGAGACCAGCCTGGCCAACACGGTGAAACCCCGTCTCTACTAAAAATACAAAAATTAGCTGGGTGTGGTGGCACATGCCTGTAGTCCCAGCTACTAGAGAGGCTGAGGCAGGAGAATTGCTTGAGCTTGGGAGGCGGAGACTGCAGTGAGCTGAGATCACGCCACAGCACTCCAGCCTGGGCGACAGAGAGTCCATCTCAAAAATAAATACATAAATAAATAATAAATCATAAAAATAACAAAATTAGCCAGTGTGATGGTGCATGCCTGTGGTCCCAGCTACTCTGGAGGCTGAGGCAGGAGAATCACCTGAACCCCAGGGGCGGAGGTGGCAGCGAGCCAAGATTGCGCACTGCACTCCAGCCTGGGTGGTAGAGTGAGAGCCTGTCTCAAAAAAGAAAGAAAGGGAATCAGTACTCAGAGCACTTAACAGTCCTTTGCAGACAGGCACACATTAGGGAGAAACGGGAGTCCCTGTGCTGGCTCCCCACAGAGGTGGGACAAGGCGATGCTCTGCCCTCCTCTTCACCTCCTACCCAGATGCCCGGAGAGGAGACAGGAGGGCCAGGCAGTGTCACGTGTCACGCATGAGGCCAGTTCTAGGGTTAGTTCCAGGGGCTCCAAGCCCAGCTGTGGCACCTGTTAGTGGGGTGGCTAGTCACCCTATATTTCCAACTTCCTTTAAAATAAAGGAAATAGAACTGACCAGGATGCATTGCTTTGAGGATTTCCTGTTAGTAGGGTGGCCAGCCACCCTATATTTCCAACCTCCTTTTCGTTTTTGTAAAATAAAGGAAGTAGAACTGACCGGAATGCATGGCTTTGAGGATTTGAGATCACAATCTTATACGCGTACCTGCATGTGTACATATTTTTCCCCTAGGGGCAATGGTTTAGTGTTTGAGGGACTTTCTAGAACATACTGCCTCAAATACTGTGTGGATGAGCCCAGGAGCCTTGGCCAGCCCTGCACTGAGTCTTATTCCTTCCACAGGGTGGGGGTACCGGTGGGTTTCCAGGGCTCGGTGCTGGTTTTCCTCAGAGAGTCGGGGGAGCCTGCCTAGAATGGGTTCCTCTCCGTTTTCTGTGCCCTTTGAATCAGGAGAAAGCCGGGCTGCAGGCCCCAGGGAGCAGAGCATCAGAGATCTTGCCAGGGTATTGCAGCTCCAGGGGACCGGCCATGGGAGACCAGAGACGCGACCTGGGCTGGGGAGGTTGGCGCTCTCGTTCTGAGTCTCCAGCAGCGGGGAGGAAGGGCCTGAAGTCAGAAGCTGCCGTCCTACAGAGCTGGGGCAGCTGGAAGGGGGGAAGCCTGTTTCTGCCCCCAAGCCTCCCACAGCCAGGGCTGCGATGGCAAAAGCCTCCCTCACACCCCATCAAGGCCTGGCCAGCTGCGAAAGCTGCATCGTGCCTGCCTGTTCTGGGGGTTACACCTGCAAACGAGAAGGGTCAGAACGTCCAGCTCTGGGCTTCATGGGTCACGTTCTGGATGATACAGAAGAAGCTGTCAGACTCTGCTTCCGAGTCTCTGGACGTGAGAGCAAATGCACGGTGTGCGCAAAGGCCCAGCTGGCCAGGGGCGTGCCGTGGAGCCTGCAGCAGCAGGTCCTCAGGCAGTCTCGCTGCTCTCAGCTGGAGCAGGGACCTGCAGTTCTCAGGGACTTGCCCTGAGAACGGGCGGCGCCGGCCATCTGCCCACCCAGAGCACCATGAGAACTACGCCAGGGCGTGTGGATGCCAGCTTGCCCCGAGAACAGGTGGTGCCAGCCATCCGCCCACCTGGAGCACCATGAGAACTACGCCAGGGCGTGTGGATGCCAGCTTGCCCCGAGAACGGGTGGTGCCAGCCATCCGCCCACCTGGAGCACCATGAGAACTACGCCAGGGCGTGTGGATGCCAGCTTGCCCCAAGAATGGGCAGCGCCAGCCATCCGCCCACCTGGAGCACCATGAGAACTACACCGGGGCGTGTGGATGCCAGCTTGGCAAGCTGTGAAAGCCTTGCAGGTGTTTCCATCAGATCCCACAGTGGGAGATTCTCATTCGCAGCTCCCGTCTCGTGGCATGCACGCTGGGACATCCTCACCTCTGGCTCTCGGCAGTTGGAAGAGGATTCCAAGCTAACTGGAATTAAAATCGAACCTGGACCCGGGATCTTTGTGTTGTTTTTCAGGGGAGCTGGGGGCAGAGGCAGGCAGTTTGGCCATCCCCTGGGAGCTGCAGCATTCCAGAACCTTCAGCTGCCTCCTTGCCAGCGCAGCCTCAGACAGGAGTGCCTCTGAGGCTGTGTCGGAGGGCGCCTGGGCAGGAGGAGCCCAGCAACAGTGTGCCCAGCTCATCCCAGATCCCAGAGGTGTGACGTGTGAACTCAGGACGCCGGCCGAGAGCCCAGGTTCCGAGTTGCAGTGATCCCCACCCCAGGCCCACAGACAACACCCGAGAGGTCCTGAGAGCCCCAGGGCCATGTGAGCTCAGCCAAGAGCAGAGGCTGCCCCAGCTCCAGAGCCGCCTGATGCTGCCGTCGTCATGGGCCAGGCCAGGCCTACCTGGAAGAGGCGCGTGGCTGCGGGGCAAGGAGTACTTCGTCCTGCATGTTTCTCTCATGGTGTGGGGCAGAAGGTGGCCCAGGAACCTGCTGTCGAGGTGTCCCCGCGGGACCCAGGGACCTGAGCTGAGTCTGGGCTGGGCGCCGCCCCCGTCCCTTGGCTCGTCCTGGCGCCGAGAGTTCAGTGGGAAGCCCCATGGTGGTGCACCTCGTCCTTGTCAGGGCCCCACTGCTGGGGTCCCCTCTGCAGCTCTGCCACGGCTCCTGAAGGCTATGTCAGGGCTGCTGCACTCCCCTCAGGGAACCAGACGGTGCCCTCTGGAAGAAGCCCCTCGATCATTTTGTAAGGGATGGATCTGGGGTGCTCTCTTGTCAGCGCTGCCACAACCAGGTCCTTCTGCCTGACCTGGCCCCAGCCATTCACTTCTTCTGGGCACACAGGACCTTTGGCACCGGCCGTGGGAGCAACGCCAGCAGCAGTGGCTGTGTGGTAGGGGCCTTCCCCAGCCACGGACCCCAGGAAGCCTCCATTTGTGAAACAGGACCCCTGCACCTCTGTGGGAGAGGGAGGGGTCTCATCCAGGTTTACACCAAAGCCTTGGTTGCCATGACTGGATCCAGCCAGAAGGCACCCTGCAGTGGGGTCTGCGCAGCTACATTACTCTGGCCCCTGGGCCTCCTTGCCAGATCTCCACAGCACGTGAGAAGACGTTGGCCCTGCGGGAAGAAGGCGCTGGGGCTGGCGGCCCTGTCTCCCTGAGCATGCCGAGGCCCTGACGGGAGCATGCTCCATGGGGGCGACAGAGGGGCAGGGCTATGGCTGGGCTACCCCTGCCTCCCTCCCTGGCCGGCGGTGGTACTGAGCCGCATCACCAGCGCACGGAATCGGTCACGCCTGCTGTTGCGGTGGTGGCATTAAGAGCCACCTCCGGGCTCGTGTGTCCCCTGCCTCCCCAGGCCGAGACCCTGGCCAGGAAGGAGAGGGTGGGGCTCACGTGCTGTCTGCCACCTGCCTGCAGGCGTGGATGGCAGCCACAGCCTTGTGCCTCTGAAGGCATGAGCCAGCTAAAGGAGGAAGGCACGGCCCCCCTCCCCTGTCCCGAGTGCTTGCCTTTGTGGGGTCAGGGGTGCTGGGACAGGCCTTGGTGATGTATGCTGTTGCTGGGCAGTTGAGCTGGAAGGAGCCCGTCCCTGCTGGACACCTGCTCTCTCTTCTCTGGTGTGGATTCTGTCCTGCCACAACCTTTGGTCCCTTGGGGGACACATATTTGAGTCAGTCCCATCTGCTCAGCCAAAACCCCTTGATTCACCATGAGGGCGCCGTCCATCCTCAGCGCTGGGCGCCCTCCTTCCTGACCCAGATGGACATTTTCCTTCACGCCTGGCGTGGCTTAGTGAGTGTGTGTCTGGAATGCAGTCGGTGTGAGTGCAAACGCCAGGCAGTGTTCTCGGGCCACTGCTGCAGAGTGTGTGTGTGTCTGTGTGGCCACATGTGTGCCGTCACCACGTGCCATGTGTACACACGTGCCAGGCGCTGTCTTGAGACATTCGCGCAGTGCACGGCACTGGGGACACGTGGCACTGGCTGAACTGCCACACAGCCCCGTTCCAGGGCCTCTTGTCAAAGCCAAGAGGGCTCGTGTGTCGCATGTCTGTCCCTCTTGGGTGCCTGTGTGTGGCTTCTGTCTCATCGGGGTACGGCCGCCCTGCGTGTCTCACATCACCACATCCTGGCCGTCCGTGTGAGCGTCCATGTGACCATCGGTGTGAGCATCCGTGTGAGCATGTGACCGTCTGTGAGTGTGCGACGGTCCATGTGACTGTCCGTGTTTCCGTGTGTGTCCATGTGAGTGAGCGTCCATGTGAGCGTGTGAGCGTCCATGTGAGCATCCACGTGAGCGTTCGTGTGGAACGTGTGACCGTCCATGTGAGCGTCCGTGTGACCATCCGTGTGAGCATCCGTGTGACCGTCCGTGTGAGCGTCCGTGTGAGAGTGTGACCGTCCATGTGAGCGTCCGTGTGACCATCCGTGTGAGCAGCCGTGTGACCGTCCGTGTGAGCGTCCGTGTGAGAGTGTGACCGTCCATGTGAGAGTCCGTGTGACCATCCGTGTGAGCATCCGTGTGACCATCCGTGTGAGCATCCGTGTGACTGTCCATGTGAGTGTGACCATCCATGTGAGCATCCGTGTGACCGTCCGTGTGAGCGTCTGTGTGCCTGTCCGTGTGAGCATCCGTGTGACCGTCCATGTGAGAGTGTGACCGTCCATGTGAGCATCCGTGTGACCGTCCATGTGAGAGTGTGACCGTCCATGTGAGCATCTGTGTGACCATCCGTGTGACCGTCCGTGTGAGAGCGTGACCGCCCGTGTGAGCATCCATATGACCGTCCATGGAGCATCTGTGTGACTGTCCATGTGAGCATCCGTGTGACCATCCGTGAGCATCCGTGTGACCGTCTGTGTGAGTGTGACCGCCCATGTGAGCATCCGTGTGACCGTCCATGTGAGCATCCGTGTGACCGTCCATGTGAGAGTGTGACCGTCCATGTGAGCATCCGTGTGAGCGTGTGACCGTCCGTGTGTGTGACCATCCGTGTGAGAGTGTGACCGTCCATGTGAGCATCCGTGTGACCGTCCGTGTGTGTGACCATCCATGTGAGCATCTGTGTGACCGTCCGTGTGAGCGTCCGTGTGAGCGTGTGACCGTCCGTGTGAGCATGTGTGACCATCCGTGTGAGCGTCCGTGTAAGCATCCGTGTGAGCGTGTGACTGTCCGTGTGAGCGTGTGACCATCCATGTGAGCATCCGTGTGACCGTGAGCGTCCGTGTGAGCGTGTGACCGTGTGAGCATCCGTGTGAGCGTGTGACCGTCCGTGTGTGACCGTCCGTGTGAGCATCCGTGTGAGCGTGACCGTCCGTGTGTGACCGTCCGTGTAAGCATCCGTGTGAGCGTGTGACTGTCCGTGTGAGCGTGTGACCATCCATGTGAGCATCCGTGTGACCGTGAGCGTCCGTGTGAGCGTGTGACCGTCCGTGTGTGACCGTCCGTGTGAGCATCCGTGTGAGCGTGTGACTGTCCGTGTGTGACCGTCCGTGTGAGCGTGTGACCATCCATGTGAGCATCCGTGTGACCGTCCGTGTGAGCGTCCGTGTGAGCGTGTGACCGTCCGTGTGAGCGTGTGACCGTCCGTGTGAGCATCCGTGTGACCGACCGTGTGAGCGTCCGTGTGAGCGTGTGACCGTCCGTGTGAGCGTGTGACCATCCATGTGAGCATCCGTGTGACCGTCTGTGTGACCATCCGTGTGTGACCGTCCGTGTGAGCGTGTGACCGTCCGTGTGAGCGTCCGTGTGAGCGTGTGACCGTCCGTGTGTGACCGTCCATGTGAGCATCCGTGAGCGTGTGACCGTCCGTGTGTGACCGTCTGTGTGAGTGACCATCCATGTGAGCATCCGTGACCGTCCATGTGAGCGTGTGACCGTCCGTGTGACCGTCCGTGTGAGCATCCGTGTGAGCGTGTGACCGTCCGTGTGAGAGTGTGACCATCCATGTGAGCATCCGTGTGACCGTCCGTGTGAGCGTCCGTGTGAGCGTGTGACCGTCCGTGTGAGTGTGACCATCCATGTGAGCATCTGTGTGACCGTCCGTGTGAGCATGTGACCATCCGTGACCGTCCGTGTGAGCATCCGTGTGAGCGTGTGACCGTCCGTGTGAGCGTGTGACCATCCGTGAGAGTGTGACCATCCATGTAAGCATCCGTGTGACCGTGTGAGCGTCCGTGTGAGCGTGTGAGCGTCCGTGTGAGTGTGACCATCCATGTGAGCATCTGTGTGACCGTCCGTGTGAGCATCCGTGTGAGCGTGACCGTCCGTGAGTGTGTGACCGTCCGTGTGAGAGTGTGACCATCCATGTGAGCATCTGTGTGACCGTCCGTGTGAGCGTCCGTGTGAGTGTGTGAGCGTCCGTGTGAGTGTGACCACCCATGTGAGCATCTGTGTGACCGTCCGTGTGAGCGTCCGTGTGAGCGTGTGACCGTCCGTGTGAGTGTGTGACCATTCGTGTGAGAGTGTGACCATCCATGTGAGCATCTGTGTGACCGTCCGTGAGCATCCGTGTGAGCGTGTGACCGTCCGTGTGTGTGACCATCCATGTGAGCATCCGTGTGACTGTCCGTGTGAGCGTCCGTGTGAGCGTGTGACCGTCCGTGTGTGACCATCCATGTGAGCATCTGTGTGACCGTCCGTGTGAGCATCCGTGTGAGCGTGACCATCCGTGTGTGTGACCATCCGTGTGAGTGACCATCCATGTGAGCATCCATGTGACCGTCCGTGTGAGCGTCCGTGTGAGCGTGACTGTCCGTGTGTGTGACCATCCATGTGAGCATCTGTGTGACCGTCCGTGTGAGCATCCGTGTGAGCGTGTGACCGTCCGTGTGTGTGACCATCCATGTGAGCATCCGTGTGACTGTCCGTGTGAGCGTCCGTGTGAGCGTGTGACCGTCCGTGTGACCATCCATGTGAGCATCTGTGTGACCGTCCGTGTGAGCATCCGTGTGAGCGTGTGACCGTCCGTGTGAGTGTGTGACCATCCGTGTGAGAGTGTGACCATCCATGTGAGCATCCATGTGACCGTCCGTGTGAGCGTGACTGTCCGTGTGTGTGACCATCCATGTGAGCATCTGTGTGACCGTCCGTGTGAGCGTCCGTGAGCGTGTGACCGTCCGTGTGTGTGACCATCCGTGTGAGAGTGTGACCATCCATTTGAGCATCCGTGTGAGCGTGTGACCGTCCGTGTGAGTGTGACCATCCATGTGAGCATCTGTGTGACCGTCCGTGTGAGCATCCGTGAGCGTGTGACCGTCCGTGTGTGTGACCATCCGTGTGAGTGTGACCATCCATGTGAGCATCCGTGTGACCGTGTGAGCGTCCGTGTGAGCGTGTGACCGTGTGAGAGAGTGACCATCCATGTGAGCATGTGTGACCGTCCGTGTGAGCATCCGTGTGAGCGTGTGACCGTCCGTGTGTGTGACCATCCATGTGAGCATCTGTGTGACTGTCCGTGTGAGCATCCGTGTGAGCGTGTGAGCATCCGTGTGAGTGTGACCATCCATGTGAGCATCTGTGTGACCGTCCGTGTGAGCATCGGTGTGAGCGTGTGAGCGTCCGTGTGAGTGTGACCATCCATGTGAGCATGTGTGACCGTCCGTGTAGCATCCATGTGAGCGTGTGAGCATCCGTGTGAGTGTGACCACCCATGTGAGCATCTGTGACCGTCCGTGTGAGCGTCCGTGTGAGCGTGTGAGCGTCCGTGTGAGTGTGACCACCCATGTGAGCATCTGTGTGACCGTCCGTGTGAGCGTCCGTGTGAGCGTGTGAGCGTCCGTGTGAGTGTGACCATCCATGTGAGCATCTGTGTGACCATCCGTGTAGCATCCATGTGTGTGAGCGTCCGTGTGAGAGTGTGACCACCCATGTGAGCATCTGTGTGACCGTCCGTGTGAGCATGTGAGCATCCGTGTGTGTGACCATCCATGTGAGCATCTGTGTGAGCGTCCGTGTGAGCGTCCGTGTGAGCGTGTGAGCGTCCGTGTGAGTGTGACCATCCATGTGAGCATCTGTGTGACCGTCTGTGTGAGCATCCGTGTGAGCGTGTGACCGTCCGTGTGTGTGACCATCCGTGTGAGTGTGACCATCCATGTGAGCATCCGTGTGACCGTCCGTGTGAGCGTCCGTGTGAGCGTGTGACCGTCCGTGAGAGTGTGACCATCCATGTGAGCATCTGTGTGACCGTCCGTGTGAGCATCCATGTGAGCCTGTGACCGTCCGTGTGAGTGTGTGACCATCCGTGTGAGAGTGTGACCATCCATGTGAGCATCCGTGTGAGCATCCGTGTGACCGTCCGTGTGAGCATCCGTGTGACCGTCCATGTGAGCATCCCTGTGACCGTCCGTGTGAGCCTCCGTGTGACCGTCCGTGTGAGCTTCCGTGTGACCGTCCGTGTGAGCATGTGTGACCGTTCGTGTGAGTGTGTGACCGTCCGTGTGAGCTTCCGTGTGACCATCCGTGTGAGCATCTGTGTGACCGTTCGTGTGTGTGTGACCGTCCGTGTGTGACCGTCCGTGTGAGCTTCCGTGTGACCGTCCGTGTGAGCTTCCGTGTGACCGTCCGTGTGAGCATCTGTGTGACCGTTCGTGTGAGTGACCGTCCGTGTGAGCTTCCGTGTGACCGTCCGTGTGAGCATCTGTGTGACCGTGTGTGTGTGACCGTCCGTGTGTGACCGTCCATGTGAGCGTGTCACCGTCCATGTGAGCATCCGTGTGACCATCCGTGTGAGCGTGTGAGCATCCGTGTGACCGTCCGTGTGAGCATCCGTGTGACCGTGTGAGCCTGTGAGCATCCGTGTGACCGTCCGTGTGAGCATCCCTGTGACCGTCCGTGTGAGCTTCCGTGTGACTGTCCGTGTGAGCATCCGTGTGACCGTCCGTGTGAGCGTGTGACCGTCCGTGTGAGCATCCGTGTGACCATCCGTGTGAGCGTGTGAGCATCCGTGTGACCGTCCGTGTGAGCATCCGTGTGACTGTCCGTGTGAGCGTGAGCATCCGTGTGACCGTCCGTGTGAGCATCCCTGTGACCGTCCGTGTGAGCGTGTGACTGTCCGTGTGAGCTTCCGTGTGACCGTCCGTGTGAGCATCTGTGTGACCGTTCGTGTGAGTGTGTGACCGTCCGTGTGAGCTTCCGTGTGACCGTCCGTGTGAGCATCTGTGTGACCGTTCGTGTGAGTGTGTGACCGTCCGTGTGAGTGTCCGCATAACCGTGTGAGCATCCGTGTGATCATCCGTAACCGTGTAGGCGTCCTTGTGAGCCTCCGTGTGAGCGTGCAACCGTCTGTGTGACCGTCCGTGTAAGCGTGTGACCGTCCGTGTGAGCGTGTGCACACGCTGCTGCCCACACCCTCTAACACCTGTCTCCTTATCGTCACATGCTGACCGTCCGTGTGAGCATCTGTGTGACCGTCCATATGAGCGTGTGCGCACGCTGTGGCCCACGCCCTCTAACACCTGTCTCCTTGTCTCGCCCTCTGTGCCATCACCACATGCTGACCATCCATGTGGCGTGTGCGCATTCTGCTGCCCACGCCTTCTAACGCCTGTCTCCTTGTCTTGCCCTCTGTGCTGTCGCTGCCGTGTGCTGCCGTGTCTGTCGCTGCCCTGCAGTCCTCGTCAGTCGTGGAGGAAAAGGTAAAACCCAAGAGGTGTGTCCACTGTGGTGCTGGGGGACGACCAGCAGGCACATTAGGGCATCAGTTACCAGCCCAGGGCGGCTGCTTGGTCTGCTGTGAGGTGTTTCCTGTGGCAGATGTGAGAGGTCGGAAGGGCCATCTGGCCACATTCACGAGACTGACACTGAGAAGGTGGCGACCACTGGGTCCCCTGCACAGCCATGCAGCTGGGCAGCGCCGTCCAGGTCGCCCACACTCTGCCCTCGCTCCACAAGCACTGCCTTGGTCACAGACGAAGGCACGGCGCCGACTCCTGCTAAGGAGGGGTGTGCATCAGGTGGGGCTGGTGCTGACTCGGGGGGCGACGGGCCAAGGAAGGGCCCCTCTCTGCATCAGTCGGACCTGGACTCATAGCCCAGCTCCCTCACTCACCAGCCTGTGTCAGAGCCGGTGACACACCCATGACCCCCAAGGGCAGCGTGACCCCCGAGGGTGGCGTGACCCCTGGGGGTGGTGGTCTCTGAACTAGGGAGCATCTGCATCCCCTGAGGGAGCTGCGAGGACAAATCGGGAGGACGGGGTCAGTCGGCAAACGCTCACGAGCCTGAGGCCAGGGCCTGGGGGCCGGTGGGGAGGAGCAAAGGAAAGAGTGAAGGCAGCTCCTGATCCTGGGTGATTTCTGTCGGAGGTGGTGGCCTGGCTGAGCCGTGGCCCAGCATGGAGCTGTGTGGGTGGGAGAGCCGTACATGCATTCCCTTGGCCTCCTGGGAGACCAGAGGCCCCTCTGACCCTGCTGTCCCCTGTAGCATCTGGTGACAGCCAGGACCGCATCGGCTTCGGTCTAGGGACTGAGACGTGTCTGATGGCGTCAGAACTGGGCCTCAGCAGAGGCGCTCCCCGCACCAGCGTTGGGAGCGCAGTGGAAGTGGGGCCAGGAGGCCCCTGGTGCAGACAGGGCGGTTGAAGCCCAGCCTCCCACTGGGGTCATGCTCCCTGGGCCTGGTGGCTGGCTGCCTTCACGGTGGCCAGGGAACCTCATGGCTGTTGTCACAACAGCTTGAGTGCCATGGACCAGCAGCCAAGATGGCACAGCCCAGTCCCAGCCGGCCCTGGTTCCCTCGTGCTACAGGATACGGTGTTGTCCTGAACATAACAGAGCAGGCGGCCAGTCCCCAGAGCTGTATGCACCCCACAAAGAGACCCCTTCCCAGGGTCATTCTTCATAGCTCCCCACCCAGGTAGCGGAGCTCCTGGTCAGCGGCGGCTGCTGCGTTCCCCTGTCGCCGTCTGCATCCTCCAGGCATGGCCAGAGCAGGTTCCTTGAACCCCTGAGGAAGCTCCCTTCCCTCCTACAGTCTCAGGGCTGAGATGTAAGCAGCTGAGGCTGTGGTGCAAGCAGACTCTTAATTCTTGTCCTGAATAGCCCTGAGCAGTGTGGGCTCCAGCATCTGACCACGTGGCCTGCCCCCCAGACCTGAGGAGGTGAGGAGCCAGCCTGGCCTCTGGGACCTCTGGGCTGTTGACTGGAAACCTCCCGCGGAGGAGGACGTAAAGGGAGACCTTGGGCTCCATCCCTGCTCTTGCTTATGGCCCACAGGAGGTCATCCCTAGGGACTGAGCCCACAGCAGGGGGCACTGAGCACTGTCCTGACAGCTCCAGCTCCCAGGCGCTCCCACTGTCTTGCCAGGCTGTCCGAGGCCAGGCTGTCCCAGGGTCCGTCTTCAGGTTCGGGGCTCCCTGACAGCAGAGAGGACACGTGGGGAGGGAGAAGACGCCCCTCAGGCTCAGGCTCCGGCTGCAGCAGATGAGACGGGGTCAGTCCTTACTCTGGATGTGTCGTGTTCAGATATTTTGCAGTGAGGCAGCCTCATGAACAGGAGTAATGAGGATGGGCAGGAGGGGCCAAGGAACAAGGCACAGGGGCAGGAAGGCTGGATTCCCTCTGCTGGCGCCAGGGGAACAGGCAGGGCTGGCAGTAACACCACAGGGAGGCAGGGCTGGGCACACATAAGACAATGGTCCTAAAAGGCATTGCTCATGGTGGCCGTGCAGCGCTGACCGTGATGCCAAGTCCCGTGGCTGGCTCTGCTGTGGGGTGTCTAAAGCACACCCGGCTTGTGTCTGTTTAAAATTGAACTTAGGCCGGGCGCGGTGGCTCACGCCTGTAATCCCAGCACTGTGGGAGGCCGAGGCAGGCGGATCATCAGGTCAGGAGATCGAGACCATCCTGGCTAACACGGTGAAACCCCGTCTCTACTAAAAATACAAAAAAAAATTAGCCAGGCGTGGGAGGCTGAGGCAGGAGAATGGCGTGAACCTGGGAGGTGGAACTTGCAGTGAGCCAAGTTCGTGCCACTGCACTCCAGCCTGGGTGACAGAGCGAGACTCCGCCTCAAAAAAAATAAAATAAAATAAAATAAAATAAAATTGAACTTAATAAAAATGAGAAACTGCAGCATCATGGGAGGGGAAGCGCCACGTAGGATCATAACTGAGTAGCTGCTCGAGCTGGGCTGCTGGCTGGCATGGAGCGGCCCCATCACTCGAGGTCTGCTTGCCCTGGGAGGGCTTGGGAAATCTTCACGGCCACCCTCTAACCATCGCTTCCTCTCCTCTCGCCCCCCATTTCAGCAGGAAGGAGCGCCCCACCTCCCTGAACGTGTTCCCCCTGGCTGACGGCACGGTACGTGCACAGATCGGGGGCAAGCTCGTGCCTGCGGGGGACCACTGGCACCTGAGTGACCTCGGCCAGCTGCAGTCCAGCTCCAGCTACCAGGTTTTGTAGCCGTGCCGTGGAGTGAGAGGCTCCTCCCTGTTGCTGGTGTTCCCCGTTCACTGGGGCGGGAGCCTCGTCTGCAGGCAGCCCTTCACGGCTCTCTGGGCCACTCGCCCTCTCCCTTCGTGTGTGGCAGGATGGAGAAACCCAGCCAGGGTGTCAGGGGCTCAGGCTGCCCAGCAGGCCCTGTGTGGCTGTGGCTGTTCCACGCGGCCTCGTGTCGGCACCTGCTAGTCCAGGCTAGACCTCCCTGCCCTTGGATAGACCGCTCTGTAGCCAGGGGTGTACAGTGCCTGTCAGGGTTGAGCTTAGTGATCCTCTCTCAAACCACACCCCCACATAAAGCCTCATGCTCACCCGGGCTCCAGCCAGACACATCCTGCCCCTGAGAGCCACGCCTCTACTCTCGGAGGAACGTCAGTGTCTAGAGTGTGGGGTTTGCCCTCCGTTGGCAGAAAGGTGAGGAGAAAGCTCCTCTTCTCTGGGCCCCTCCCTGCCTGTCCCTGGTAACGCCTCCTGGGTCCTGAGTTTGAGAAAGCAGAGCCTCGCCCCAGCAGGTACTCACAGCCAGAGTGCGGGGGCCCCAGCAGGTTCTCACAGCCAGCCGGTGAGTGCACCTCAGAGCACAGGGGCCCAGAGCCAGGCCACTCCTTCAGGGCCCCAGGTCGCTTGCTGCCAGTTTTGGCCTGTGAGCTCACTGGCCTCAGTGCCAGGTAAGGACAGCCACCTTCCTGGGAAGAAGAGGTGACCCCGGGTCTGGTGGATTTCCCACAGGGGCCGTCAGAGGATGTCCACAGAGGCAGAGCCCTTGGGGCCTGTGGGCTGGGTTGGGCTGGTGGATGTGGGGCCTGGGACTTCTCCAGAAGCTTACTTCCTGCTGCATGCTTTGCCGACTGTCCTTCCACCTCTAAGTGTCCATCGTGCCTGTGGGGGCTGCTGCAGGCTCCTGCTCCGTCAGCCCACCTGCTGCTGCGCTGCTCTGGGAGCGAGCTCCCTCATGGCATCTGGAACGCTCTCCTGTCCTCCCTGTGCTCAGGGCTGGAGAGAGGGTGGCGGGGCTGCGGGCTCCCCGGGCCTTCTGGGCCCAGCCCTGCCACCTGGGCCCACCTCCTCTCACTGTCTCTGGCTCACGCTTCCCGGGCCTGGAGCTGGGACCTGCCCATAGGCATCTGAAGACACGTCAGCCTCAGCCGGGGGGAGCCCTTGCTTGACGCTCTCTGGCCTCCGGGCTGCCTCTCGCGCCCGCTCTGGGCCCGCTCTTCTTCTCATGATGTCTTTCCTTTCACCTCCTGCGTTGTCTGACATCGTCGCTCTCTTCATAAATTGTAGCGTTTTATGTTTTCGTTCATAGGAGTGTTTTATTTGATTTTTCTTTATTTTAAATTATTACATTTAAGTTCTTTTTATTTTATGCTCTAGGTTTTGAAGTTTTTCTAATTTCTTAATTTTTTTGTTGTTTTTTGTTTTGTTTTGTTTTTGTTTTTATGTACTGTATTTTCAGTGTTTTAACCAAACAGTTGTGGCTACTCATGGTGAGGAATGACCGCTAAGAGTTTGGGTTCTTTCAGTGCATTTGGAGGTCACTGCTACACGTTGATGTTTAGGAGGTTGAGAGGTTTGCCTTTAGGTAAGTTGTGGCCAGGGGGAGTGTCCCATGGGTAAGTGGTGGCCCTGTAGGGTGACGGAGAGCTAGGGGAGGCGCAATCAGACTGCAGAATTCCCCGCAGCCACCATGAGGGTCAGGAGCAGGCCGGGGACCCAGCGTGGAGGAAGGTGGCCCAGAAGCGTTTGTCTGATGTGCACAGCTACACCCTGCCTGGCCACATGGGGTTCCCTGTTTTCTCTCTGCCGGGTGGTGGCAGAGTCGGTGAGACACCAGGTGCCTGTGACACATTGGGTAGACAGGTTCTTTGAGAACGTCAGCACAGACTTCTTGCATGAGCGGTACTCGCTTCCTCCAGCGTGGGGAGTGACATGAAGAGCAAGGGTTTTCCTTTCAAACTGGGCATAGCTGCAGAGCCACAGGCCGTCTCAGACATTTCTACAAAGCCACTCCGGGAGGCGGGCTGCGCCCGTGTGAGGGCTCTCCCTCGGCACTGCTCATCTTTTGGGGCTGGACATGCATGGCCTGGGCCGCTGGGACGCGGTGGGTGTGGAGCAGCATCCCTGGCTTCCACCCACGAAAGCCAGGAGCACCCCCTTCATTTGTGACCACAAAAATGTCTCTGGACTTTGCAAGCATCCCCTCGGGGCAGTCAGCCCAACTGAGAATAGCTACTATAGAGGAAGGTGTGTCATTTTGAGATTCCTTCTAGAGAAACTTAGGAGCCTGGTAGATGAAGCAGAAATGTGTCCTCTGAGTGAGTGGCCGTGTCCGGTACTGAGAGGCCCCGTGCCCTGAGTCTGGCGGTGACCAGAGAGGCTGGGCAGAGGCAGAGGTCAGCACTGGCCATGACTTCTGGAAGTCCCGTCTGCCCTGGTCACTTAAAGGCCAGTATAAGTCAGCTGTGGAGAGGGCTGGATACCCCCTCGACAGCTCCTCCCTGGGTGAGATCCTTAGCATTAGAGTCCCCCACGGTGCGCCCTCTGAGAGACCACGGGAACCCACCCAGCGGCTGCCTGGGACAGGCACAGGAGCCACCTGGGTGCCTCTGAGGCCTTGCACTTTCCCACACCTCAAGGAGGGCCGGGGGCCACGGGCAAGCTCTGCCATAGCGGGTGATCAGGTCAGCTAAGACGAGAACGTTTGGGGCTCTTTTTCTCCAGCTGGTTCAGTATCTTTGTTAGGAAAGACCATTGGAAAGAATGTTTGTTTCGCATTCCGCATTAGTCACATAGAATGCGCTCCTCCCTAGCGAGCTTCCTGAGGTAGACGGCTGGTTGCGGTTTCTCGTAATCCGGGCTGCCCCCACCCTCCAGAATGTCTTGGTGGCGTCCCTTTCTGTGAGCAGGGATTGTGGTTTCTTTGCGCTTGCTCATGTTCAGGGGTGAGCTCTGGTCCAGTCAAGCCACAGGGTCAGCACCTTCTGGTCACTCCCTGGCCCTGACCTGAGCCCGGGGAGGAACGTGGGGCAGGCGCGGGTGGGCCCAGCCTCGAGCTCTTCAGCACAGTGATGGTGACGGGGCAGCGGTGGCGGCACAGCCAGCCCTTCTTGGGTCCCCAGTCAGAGCCCTCTGCCCTACCTGGGCTGGACTTGTTTCTGAACAGCCACAAGCTACAGGGGGCTGCCGCTGTGTCCCTGGCGAGGCACTGGCCCATTACAAGCAATCGTCTGGGGAGGGCACCAGTGGAAAGCCCCGTTCCAAGCCATTTCAGGAGGGTGGCCCTGCTTCCGAGGAGCCGGAGTCAGTGGCCGGATAAGCAGAGCCACTCGGGAGTGGTGAGGCCCGGAAGGGTTAGCCCGGTGGGCGGCAGAGGAGCTCTGGCCCGCAGGGTGTCGGGCGAGGCAAAGTGCAAAGCATTGGTGCGCGGGGCCTCAGGCAGCCACGGCGGAGCCGCAGGCCAGGGACCTGCAGTGACTCGCTCTCCCTCCTCCCTGTGTTTGGCCTTAGTGTCCACAGGATGAAATGTCCGAGTCAGGCCAGTCCTCGGCGGCCGCCACACCCAGCACCACAGGCACCAAGTCCAACACGCCCACATCCTCCGTGCCCTCGGCCGCCGTCACACCCCTCAACGAGAGCCTGCAGCCCCTGGGGGACTATGGCGTGGGCTCCAAGAACAGCAAGCGTGCCCGGGAGAAGCGCGACAGCCGCAACATGGAAGTACAGGTCACCCAGGAGATGCGCAACGTCAGTATAGGTGGGTGCCCACCTCCGGGACTCTGGGCTCCCTCGGGCAGGAGGCAGGGCTTGGTTTGGGTAGATGTGAAACTAATGCACCAGGCGGGCAGTGCAGGCAGCAGAGACGTGTTCCTCACAGCCCGGAGGCTGGGGTCCAAGATCAAGGCGCTGGCAGGGTAGGTTCCTCCTGCGGCCACTCCTTGGCTTGTAGACACCACCTTCTCCCTGTGTCCTCAACAGGCATCCCCTGGGTGTGTCTGTGTCCTCATCTCCAGCTCCTACAAGGACATAGCCCCATTGGATTAGAGCCACCACGTGACCTCATTTTACCATAATCACCTCTTGAAAGGCCCAGCCTCCAAATACAGTCATGCTAGGGGGTATCTATTAACATATGGATTTGGGGAGACACAACTAAGGCAGTAGCCTGCGTCACCCCACGGCACACAGCCCCACTAACCAGTAACCTGCATCGCCCCACGGCACACAGCCCCACTAACCAGTAACCTGCATCGCCCCACGGCACACAGCCCCACTAACCAGTAACCTGCATCGCCCCACGGCACACAGTCCCACTAACCAGTAGCCTACGTCACCCCATGGCACACAGCCCCACTAACCAGTAACCTGCGTTGCCCCACGGCACACAGGCCAGTGAGGGAAAGAGAAGAGGGGAATGAGGGCCGAGAGGAGGTCCAGCCACTGGCTTGCTTGGACGTGGGATCTCTGGGGACTGGGCTTACTGCTGACACTCCCATGCAGAGAGGCTGCTGCAACCCACCCCGCTCCAGGCCCCGCCTCAGACGTCTACTGTGCTGGGGTTCGACCTCTGCCCAGTCAGCCTGGGAAGAGCTGTTTTCTGATCATCCCCACCTAGCAGGTGGTCCAGCTCCAGCCCACCAGACTCAGGTTCCGAGGGCAGCCGTGAGCAGGGCAGAGGCTGCCAGACCCTCTCCTGACCCCAGGTGCCCCTGTGCTCTCCCCTAGGCATGGGCAGCAGTGACGAGTGGTCTGATGTTCAAGACATTATTGACTCCACGCCAGAGCTGGACATGTGTCCAGAGACCCGCCTGGACCGCACAGGAAGCAGGTACTGGCTCAGCCCAGGCCCTGGGGTCCTGGGGGCTCAGTATTTATCCAAGTCGGTGTCTTTGGTGAAGTCTTCCTCTGCCACCACTGGGAGAACCATCAAGGCTGTGGCCTACCGCCTCCATCCACGACCGGCCTGCAGGGCAGTGTGGGCATTGAATGGCCACGGTGGGAGGTGTTGGAAGAGTCTGCAGACGCAGCCACTCCGGGCTGCCCACTGACTCTGCTCTCTCTCCCGACCTGTGGATCCCAACAGCCCAACCCAGGGCATCGTGAACAAAGCTTTCGGCATCAACACCGACTCCCTGTACCATGAGCTGTCGACGGCAGGGTCTGAGGTCATCGGGGATGTGGACGAAGGGGCCGACCTCCTAGGTAAGCGCAAGCCTTCCCCCGCACCGCTGTGCCTGCACAATGCTGGGGCTTTCTGCTGTTGGTTTTGTTTGTAATGAAAGGAAAGTCCTCTGTCAGCTGTGAGCTAGGAACCTTTTTTTTTCCAGCTTTGTTGAGTTGCGTTTCACATGGAATTGTCCCTCCATCTCCACAGGGGATTGGTTTCTGGACTGCCCCAAGGATGCCAAAATCTGAGGCTTCTCAAGTCCCTGCTCTGAAGTGGTGTAGTGTTTGCACCCTCCCGTGTACTCTAAATCACCTCTAGGTTATGTTGTAGATGCTGTGTAAGTAGTTGCTGTTATGCTGTGTCGTTTAGGGAATAATGACAGGAAAAAAGTGTACACGTCAGTACAGACACGGCCACCACAGGCCTGTACATTTTCTGTGAGGCTGGTTGAATCCACACATGCAGAACTCGTGGGTATTGAGGGTCGACTGTATCATAAAATTCACCCGCTTCGAGTGCACGGTGCGGTGGGTTACAGCGTACTCACAGGTGGGGCAGCCACCCCCATGATCTCAGTTTAGAATGTTCCGCCATCCCTAAAAGAAATCCATGCCTGTTAGCCTCGCCCCATCTTCTGCACACACCCTCAGGGCTGCCAACTCTCCAGGAGGTTGGGAGGGTGCCCGCTTCTCTGCTCTGTGCCCATTAGCCTCGCCGCACACCCTAGGACCATTGACTTTGGAGGAGGTTGGGAGGGTGCCCACTTGCCCACTCCTCCGCAGACAGCCCTGGCTTCACCTCAGCGCCACAGGTCTACACCGGACCCCTGTGCCTAGGTCTGTGGCGGCTGCAAACATCAGGACCTGCTTCCTGTCAGCACGTGGAGTCTCCTGTGCTCATGGCATCTGCTGGCAGCTGAGCACTGGCCATGTGGCTCTGAGCCCCAGGCTTTCAGGCATGACAGGCGGGCAGTAGGACAGCGCAGTCTGTCCCCTTGCACGCGTCAGGGTCCGAGCCTTTCGCCATGGCCTTGCTTCCCCCAGCCCGCAGGGTGAGAAGCTCCTGGATCCCAGGCTGCCTCCTGGTGTACTCCTGAGCTGATTGTCTTATCTGGGGCAGGGGGACCTCCAGGGAGCAGAGTAATGTGGGGTGCTGAGCACCAGCAGGGCCTCACCCTGACAGGGAGGCCTGTCTCATCCTGGCTTGAGTCAGAAAGTGCCCCAGTAGAGGCCATGTATGAGTAACATAATATTCACCATGTTAACCGAGTTGAAGTGTTCAGTTCAGTAGTGTTGGACACACTGTACTTGGTGGTGAAAGATGGAATGCTCCCCGAGATCAGGACGGCGGTGAGGGCGCACTTTGGTGCTGTGAATTTTCTGTGGAACTTTTCTCATGTGTTGCAAAAATATATATAAAAAATCCAAAGGAGATTAATCTTCAGAAAAATCCTGCTAAATAGGGGTAATCTCTTTTAATATTTTGCTATCCTTCCACTCTACATAATTCAGATAATGTTTATTTATTTATTTATTTATTTATTTCTTAGACAAAGTCCCGCTCTGTCGCCAGGCTGGAATGCAGTGGCGCCATCTTGGCTCACTGCAACCTCCGCCTCCCAGGTTCAAGCAATTCTCCTGTCTCCGCCTCCCAAGTAGCTGGAATTAGAGGCACGCGCCACCACGCCCGGCTAATTTTTGTATTTTTAGTGCAGACGGGGTTTCACAATATTTGCCAGGCTGGTCTTGAACTCCTGACCTCCGGTGATCCACCCGCCTCAGGCTCCCAAAGTACTGGGATTACAAGTGTGAGCCACCATGCCCGGCCGATAATGTATATTTTTTAGCTATTTTTTTTATTTTTTGAAAAAATTATATATGCTTATAATAATATTTAAATAATATCAGCAAATGCCAAGAAGAGAGTAAAAACCAGAGGGAACCTCCCCACCATGCTATAATGATTTTTTTTTTTTTTGAGACGGAGTCCCACTTTGTGGGCCAGGCTGGAGTGCAGTGGTGCGATCTCGGCTCACTGCAACCTCTGCCTTCCCGGGTTGAAGCAATTCTCCTGCCTCAGCCTCGTGAGTAGCTGTGATTACAGGCATGCACCACCATGCCCAGGTAATTTTTGTATTTTTAGTAGAGATGGGGTTTCACAGTGTTGGTCAGGCTGGTTTTGATCTCCTGACCTTGTGATCCACCCGCCTCGGCCTCCCAGAGTGCTGGGATTACAGGCGTGAGCCACCACTCCTGGCCGATTGTTTTAATGTCTTGGTGACACCTACCAGACACCATGGCCCATGGCCCACAGAGGTATGACACATGTGTACGCAGAACACACAGTGTCAGGTCGCAGCTGCCCTTCTCATTGTGGGCGGTGTCATTTCCGTGGGTGGCAGCACTGACGGGCACGGCCACCGTCGGTCCTTACTGCAGCATCAAGCCGCCCTCCTGCCAGTGTCCCCATTTATAGATGAAGAAACTGAGGCCGGGCACAGTGGCTCATGCCCGTAATCCCAGCACTTTGGGAGGCCGAGGCGGGTGGATTGCTTGAAGTCAGGAGTTTGAGACCAGCCTGGCCAACATGGTGAAACCCATCTCTACTAAAAATACAAAAAGAAATTAGCTGGGCCTGGTGGCGGGCACCTGTAATCCCAGCTACTCGGGAGACTGAGGCAGAAGAATTGTTTGAACCCAGGAAGCGGAGATTGCAGTGAGCTGAGATCGCACCATTGCACTCCAGCCTGGGTGACAGGGAGAGGGACTCTGTCTCAAAAAAAAAACTGAGGTCAGGGAGGGTGAGATGACGGTGAGAGCTCGGACTTGAACGCAGGTCCCACCCAGAACAGCAGCCCTAACTCTGAGCAAGGTCTGTGCTGTTCAGTAGCTCTATTGAGATGTGATTTCCACACTGTGTAATTCATTCACTTACGGTGTACAGTCCAGTGGGTCTTAGCATGCTCGGTGTTGACAGTCACATCGTCTTCACCCCCAAAAGGAAACCCCGTGCCCATGAGCAGTCGCTTTGTCTGCCCCTCGTCCCCAGCCCCAGGCAACCACAAATCCATGCTCTGTCTCTGTAGATTTGCCTGTTCCAGACGTTTCACAGCAATGGGCCTTTTCTGCCTGGCTTCTTTAACGTTGCATCACATCTTCAAGGTCCATCCCAGCTGCAGCGTGTCAGTGCCTCCTGGCTTTTCACTGCTGAGTAGTGCCCGTTGCATGGACAGACCACGTTGTGCTCACCTGTTTGCCCTAATGGGCCCCTGCTTGGTGCTTTCCACCTTTGGGAGGCTGTGAATCGTGCTCCAGCCACACTCTGACCCCCGCCCGGCTCCAAGAGATGACCAGGATTGGCAGCTTCCTCACCAACCAGGGACTCTGTGGCCTGCGCATCCGCCCATCCTGTTGGCTGTGGTACCCTGTGCTCAACCCGTGGCCTTTGTGCTGCCTCGCCCTGCTGCACAGCCACCCCCTGCAGCACCCACCTAGAGGGCACTGGCCAGGAGTCTGCTTTCCCACGAGACCGTGAGGCAGTCCTTTTCTCATACCACGATGGAGGCCGAGTCACTGTGCGCTCCACGATGAGGCTGCAAGTCACTATGCGTTCCACGCCCTCCGTGCACTCTGGGCTCTGCCACCCTACTCTGCAGGGTGCTGGTCATCTGGGCATCGCCGAGCTCAGGCTGGCACGACAGGCTGCTCTTGGGAGTAACAGACCTTTTGGTGCCTTTCCAGAGCCTTAAACGTAATGCGTATAAGAAAGGCAGGGAGGCCAGGCACAGTCACTCACACCTGTAATCCCAGAGCTTTGGGAGGCCAGGGCAGGAGGATCACCTGCGCCTAGGAGTTCAAGACCAGCCTGGTCAACATAGCGAGACCCCATCTCTACAAAACATTTTATAAAAAAATTAGGCAGGCATGGTGGTGTGCACCTGTAAGTCCCAGCTACTTGGGAAGCTGAAGTGGGAAGATCACTTCAGCCTGGGAGTTTGAGGCTGCAGTGAGCTGTGAGCACACCACTGCACTCCAGCCTGGGTGACAGAGTGAGGCCCTGTCTCTTAAAAAAAAAAAAAAAAAGAGAGAAGGAAAAGAAAAAGTCAGGCAGTCCTGATGAGTGGGGACCTCCTGCTGCTGCAATCTGTTGATGGAAGGTTTTTGAAACAGAGGAGCCTGCTCTCTGGCAACCAGGATGGACAAATGAGCTGGGACCTGCGCCCCTCTGCCCTAATCAACTCGCCCCATGTCCAGCTCAGCTGCAGAATGGGCATGAACTCCTGAAGACAGCAGGAAAAGGAGTACGCCCTTGTGTGGCTGCCAAGCAGGGGAGAGCCTGGAGCCTGCACAGATCTGGGAAAGAGCATCATTTCAGAAACACGTCAGCTTTGCACGTGACGGGAGGGTGCTTCTGCCAAAAGTCGGCAGGTGGAGAGCGACATCCCTCCGTCCAGCGTCTACGTGGGCGGCCCTGCACCTCTCTCAGCATTTTTACTCTGAGTTCCTTTGGTGATGGAGAAATAAAAAGAGCCCAGGTCGGGCATCTGTTGTATTCCATCGAATCTCAGACAACACCAATTTTAAGACTTTTTTGTTTGTTCGTTCGTTTGTTTCCTATAGAGGTAGGCTGTTGCTGTGTTGCCAGGGCTGGTCTCAAACTCCTAGACTCAAGTGATCCTCCCACTTTGGCCTCCCAAATCACACTGGAATTACAGGTGTGAGCCACTGCACCCAGCCCACATACCATTATTTATTTATTTATTTATTTATTTTTGAGACGGAGTCTTGCTCTGTTGCCCAGGCTGGAGTGCAGTGACACGATATCAGCTCACTGCAAGCTCCGCCTCCTGGGTTCACGCCATTCTCCTGCCTCAGCCTCCCGAGTAGCTGGGACTACAGGTGCCTGCCACCATGCCCGGCTAATTTTTTGTATTTTTTAGTAGAGACGGGGTTTCACCATGTTAGCCAGGATGGTCTCGATCTCCTGACCTCATGATCCGCCCACCTCGGCCTCCCAAAGTGCTGGGATTACAGGCGTGAGCCACCGTGCCCAGCCCCACGTACCATTATTTTAGGAATCTTCAAGAAAGAAAAAACTGCTGCAAATTAAACTATAATGTGACAGTGATTGTTTAAGACCTACTGAAATTTCAGAAATGTTAACATGAGGAAAAAAATGTACGTCTTAGAATTGGTATACTAGGACCGGCCGGGCACAGTGGCTCACGCCTATAATCCCAGCACTCTGGGAGGCCGAGGCGGGTGGGTCATGAGGTCAGGAGTTCAAGACCAGCCTGGCCAAGATAGTGAACCCCATCTCTACTAAAAATACAAAAGAATTAACTGAGTGCAGTGGCAGGTACCTGTAATCCCAGCTACTTGGGAGACTGAGGCAGGAGAATTGCTTGAACCTGGGAGGCAGAGGTTGCAGTGAGCCGAGATCGCACCACCGCACTGCAGCCTGGGCAGTAAGAGCGAAACTCTGTCTCAAAAAAAAAAAAAAATTGGCCTAATAGGGAGTAAGGGAATTAATACTCACTGAGTATGTCGCTGGTGCTGGGAGCTGTACCAGCTATTACCGCACTACCTGGTGGGAATTTCACAGCAAATATTCACTAAGGAACTTATTTTTCTGTTTCACAAATGACTAATACTCAGAGAAGTTATACTATGTGCCTTGCATTGCTGAGCGGAATCTGGAATCCACGCAGCTGATCTTTCTCTCCGCTCTGCTCTGCATGGACGAGGCAGCCCTCAGGAGAGATTCCACCGATGTAGTAGCCAGATGTAGAAACTGTCCACAAATAGGCCGGGCACAGTGGTTCATGCCTGTCATCCCAGCACTGTGGGAGGCCAGGGTGGGCGGATCACAAGGTCAGGAGTTCGAGACCACTCTGGCCGACGTGGTGAAACCCCATCTCTACTAAAAATACAAAAATTACCCGGGTGTGGTGGCGGGCCCTGTAGTCCCAGCTACTCAGGAGGCTGAGACAGGAGAATCACTTGAACCTGGGAGGCGGGGGTTGCAGTGAACTGAGATCATGCCACTGCACTCCAGAGCGAGACTCCGTCTCAAAAAAAAAAAAAAAGAAGAAGAAAATATCCACAAATAACCTTGAGAAAAGACAAGCCTGTGTAAGATTCAGAAGCACCATTGAAAGACATAAAAGAAGCTGTACACGCAGAGGGTGTTGCCACGTGCCCGGACCTGAAGACACACCCTGTGAGCTGTCTGCTGACATGACAGGCAGCCCCACCGTTCCCACAGGAATCCGTTCATTACCAGTAAAAATACCCACATGCTTGTTGGAGATTTTTCTGGAACTCTATGAATGGATCTGAAGTTGATCCAGTAGAGGAAACATGTGAGAATATCCCAGAAAATGTGGGGAGAGAAAAAGCTTGCAGGATTCCACATAAAGCTGCGGCAGTTGAGGCAGGCAGCAACAAACCTGTGATACGAGCTCATGAGCTCAGGGCCAAGAGCCAAGACAGACCTGGAGCCATGGGGAATTCATCTATGTATGACAAGTATGGCATCTCAAACCGTGGAAAACGGGCAGATGAGTCAGTAAATGTACTGCCTTAGTTGCTGCTGGTGTAAAATGAAGTCTAAGCCTGACCTCCCCGTAAACAGCAGTGATTTCCAGGTGGATTAAAGATCTAAGTACACAATTACGAGGACAACAGAATGCAGCCGGGTGTGCTGGCACCTGTGGTCCTAGCTACTTGGGCGTCTGAAGTGGGAGGATCACTTGAGCCTGGGAGTTCAAGGATATAGTGAGCCATGATTGTGCCACTGCACTCCAGCGTGGGGGACAGAGCAAGACCCTGTCTCAGAAAAATAAGAACGTCAACAAAGGATAGTAGAACTGGAAAAGGGGCCGGGTGCGGTGGCTCATGCCTGTAATCCCAGCACATTGGGAGGCCAAGGTGGGCGGATCACGAGGTCAAGAGATCGAGACCATCTTGGCCAACATGGTGAAACCCCATCTCTACTAAAAATACAAAAATTACCTGGGCCTGGTGACACATGCCTGTAATCCCAGCTACTCAGAAGACTAAGGCAAGTGAATCGCTTGAACCCGAGACGTGGAGGTTGCAGTGAAGTGAGCCAAGATCGCGCCGTTGCACTCCAGCCTGGTGACAGAGTGAGAGTCTTTCTCAAAAAAAAAAAAAAAAAAGGAAAAGGAAGTTTATAGGCTATACCAATAAACATCTGAAAAGATGCTCAATTTCGGAAATAATAAAGAAATAAAGAGAAAATCAAGAAAACTTTTTCCCTAAAAGATTGAAAATAAGACAATCGAGGCTGACTAGGGTGGAGCAGGTGCTGCCCTACGTGCCAGCCAGGGGTGATGGGTGCAGCCCCACCGAGCACTGGCGGGTGGTAATGGTGGTGGACCAGCAGCTGGAGATGCTCCTTCGAGGGAGCAGTCGGGCAGTCACAGGGCTGAAAAGTACCTCAAGCCCTCACACAGGGACCCCAAGTCTTGGGGGAGCGGGTACAGTGACAGATGATGAGATATTCCCATAGAGAAACACTACAGGGCATTGAAAGCAACCAGGCCAGGGGCGGTGGCTCATGCCTGCCAAGGCAGGTGGATCATTTGAGCTGAGAAGTTCAAGACCAGCCTGGGCAACATGGCAAAACCCCGTCTCTACCAAATACTTAGCTGGGCATGGTGGTGTGCACCCATGGCCCCAGCTACTTGGGAGGCTGATGGGGAGGATTGCTTAAGCCTGGGAGGTGGATCGCGCCACTTCACTCCAACGTGGGTGACAGAACGAGACCCCATCTAAAAAAAGCAACCGGGGTCAGGCACAGTGGCTCACACCCGTAATCCCAGCACTTTGGGAGGCCAAGGTGGGCAGATTGCTTGAGCCCAGGAGTTGAAGACCAGCCTGGGCAACATAGTGAGACCTCATTTTTACTAAAACACACACACACACACACACACACACACACACACACACACACACACAAATTAGCCGGGCGTGGTGGCATGTACCTGTAGACTCAGCTACTCAGGAGGCTGAGGTGGGAGGATCTCTTGAGCCTGGGAGGTCAACGTTGCAGTAAGCTATGATAGTGCCACTGCACTCCAGCCTGAGCAACAGAGTGAGACCCCGTCTCAAAAAATAAATAAAGGCATCCAGGAACCTCAGCACAGGAAAGTCCCATAAAAGTGCTGAGTGGAACACAGGAAGCCTCCCAGAGAGATGGATAATGGGGTCCCGTTTTTGTTCTTTGAAACCTGTTGCTTATCTAGAAGGAAACCTGAGAGGAGAATATTGGCCGTGAGCAGTGGTTGCCCTGGGAAGCCGAGATGAGAGAGAAGGACATCTGCTCTCGAATTGGGAATTGCTTTATTATTGGAATTCCGATAACAAACAGCCGTTTTGTCATCTAAATCAAGTGACATTTTTTTTTTAATTGAGGCGGAGTCTTGCTCTGTCGCCCAGGCTGGAGTGCAGTGGCGTGATCTCAGCTCACTGCAAGCTCTGCCTCCCGGGTTCAGCCACTCTCCTGCCTCAGCCGCCCGAGTAGCTGGGACTACAGGTGCCCGCTACCAGGTCTGGCTGATTTTTTGTATTTTTAGTAGAGACGGGGTTTCACCGCATTAGCCAGGATGGTCTCAATCTCCTGACCTTGTGATCCGCCCGCCTCGGCCTCCTAAAGTGCTGGGATTACAGGCGTGAGCCACCACGCCCTGCTCAAGTGACTTTTTAATGCCATTTTCCTTTCTGTGTGAAACAACCAAGTAGAAGAGAACCGCGTCCTCACCTCTGTTGGAGGAAGTGGTGTTTTCCCGCAGAGCGTTTCCCTCGCCAGCCTCCTGTGCAGGGAGGGGCCAGGACCCAGTGAGGATGCCTCGCCCGCCCCACGCTCCCCAGCCCTCCTCTGCTTTCTGGCATGTTCTCTCTGCCCTCCACAGTGGGGCCCTTGCTCCCATTGTGACTTCAGTCATCCTTCACCGAGGTCCTGCCCTACCCAGGCTGACCCAGAAGCCTAGGAGTCCAGCTCCAGGCCTGCGTCTGCGGTGTCTCCCTCGCCGCTCTCTCCCTCGCCCACGCTGGGGGGCTTTTGGAGACTGGGTACCTGCCACACCCTGCCACACACACTCTCCTCTTCACAGGCCTGCATCATGGGGGCTGCGGGGGGCCTGCCCTCCTGATGGGCGATGGGAGCAGAGGGCAGCAGGCTTCCGGGTCAGGGCTCGGCAACACAGCCCTGGGCTGGACCACGGCGCCTGGGCCTGGTTCCCTGCAGGCCTCTGCCTGGGCACACGGGGCACCGGGACCTGCTGGAGGCTGCTCCCTCTCTCTCCTGCCCTGCAACATGGGAGCAGCCGAATCATTGCTGGGTTTTCTGTAATAAGAATGTATTGTTAGTTCCAGTCCCTAATTGACCTTTGTCCCTTCCTTCCCCTGCCTCTCTGTGCGTCGCTGGACTCGCCAGGGGAGTTCTCAGGTGAGTATCTCACTCTCCTGTCTGTCTCCCCTCTGTGTGACGGGGGGAGTGGGTGGACGGGGGATGCCCCGAGCTATCCCGTCACCGTGGCTGTGTGGACTGCCCCCCACGTCGCCGCAGCGCCTCTGCTTCTGCTCGCAGCCACCGCCGCTCGGAAGCTTGTTCGGTTTGCTCCACCAGCCACTTGACAATGACCTGGATATCCAACCCCCCCAGCCTGAGGAGTCCCCCGCGGGCCATTTCTGAAGGCCCTGCGGAGCCCTAAGCCACGCACGGCAGTGACTGGACATGGCCAAGGCCAGCTCTGGGGCCTCCCCTGCTGTCAGGCACACCCCAGAAGTCAGGGGTCCTTGAAGCCCCTACGAAGCCCAGCCCGGGGTCCCCTCCCCACGTGGGTGGACAGGCCGAGTCCTGCTCTCTGGCTGCACAGCAGGAGGCTCCGAGGCCCCACCCAGAGGCTGTCCAGATGCAGCCCCCCAGCCTCCAGGCACAGCCCATCCCCACAGGGGTGCCTTCTGCCCTCAGCCCCACCCAGCCCAGAATTTGGGGTGAGATGTTAGCTTCCTGCTCCACAGGTGACACTGGCCTGGCAGTCTTCATGTAACCCCAAGGATAAACTTTCCAGAAGGAATAGCTGGCTCCATCCCATCTCCTGCCCTCCTAACTCCCTCCTGCACCCACCCTAACCCAGCAGACCCAGCTCTGAATTCCTCCCAGCCTGCTGTCCACACGGGCTTAACGCGCTTCTCTTCTCTCCCTTTCTCCCTCTCCTCCCGCCCTGGTTGCCCATCTCCTGTGGGACGGGGACGGCTCCCTAGTGCGCGATGATTTCTTTGGTAAGGCTGAGGCCCCGTTCCAGCGTGCGTCGCTCCTCCACCCCGACATGGTCTCCTGCTTCATGAGCCGTTTGCTTTGTTCTGCATGATGGGGACAGTGTTGGGGCCGCCGGGGTCAGGGGGGCAGCCCTGAGTGAAGCTCGCTCTGTCCAGGCTGCCTCTGGGCTGTGGGAGGTGGCGACTTCCCCAAGGGACAGACTTGAAGGCCCGAGGAGGGCAGCCCCAGCCTCTCTGAACCCCACAAGCGCCGGGCAGACCCTGCCTGTGGGGAGGAAGGCCCATGTTTGAGGCAAGGGAGGTCATAATAGAGACAGCAGGCAGGACCCCTGAGCCCAGGCACAGAGGCGTGTGATGCTGTTTCATGACTGCATACACAGTGGGGGAGTGTGTGGGAGGGCAGGACCTTGGAGTTTCTTTCCATCCTTTTGGGGTTTCTGGGGCATGCTTGCAGGGAGATCAGTCCAGGTCCACTTGGGGCCTCGTGGTAGAGGAGCCTTCAGTCCTGCCAGGGAGCCCTGTCCTCACAGCCGCGCCCCATCGCCGCACCCCAGCCCTGCTGGCCCTGCCGTGAGGGCCAGGCCTCTCCTTGCCCACCTGTCCCCTCACCGCAGCTCCAACATCACTCGCCTAGGGTGGTGGCTCCGAGAGGGCCTGCCTGGTGACAGACCTGCTGGGGGCACTGAGATGGCAGCCCAGCGGCCATTCAGGGGCCTGCGTCCGGCCAGCTGGCCTGTGACATTGGTCGGACATGAGAACCACCCCAAGGCCTGGGAGCCTGCTCTGTGCACAGACTGCGGGCCCAGCATGAGCCCCGCCCTTCACGGCCCCCGCTCCCTGTAGATCGGGCGTCATCCCCAGCCAGGCTACCCTCTTTGGAAGCGTTGTTGCCCTGAGGCAGGTGCGGCGGCATCAGTGACCTGTTTTGAAGGGCACAGGTGAAACCTCCGCACCTTCTGTTTCAGGAATGGGCAAAGAAGTGGGGAATCTGCTACTGGAAAACTCACAGCTTCTGGAAACCAAGTAAGAGTGCCCTTCTCCTGTGTGGTGGGGCTGAGGCAGCCCTCCTTGTCAGGGCTGGGAGAGTGAGCCGGGCCAGAGGGCGCCTTGGGGAGCACCTGGCTCCAACGCCAGCAGCTGTCCTCATCTCTGGCGGGAGGAACTTGGAGCAGGACTCTGCCTGGTTTCTTTACGAAGCTTGTCTCCAGGAGCCTCTAACAAGGGTGCTATAGGGTTTAGCTAAGATGGGGATGGGGTCTCCCATTCAGCCACCTTCCTAACCAGGCTGTGCCTTCTCCAGGGCGGAAGTGCAGGCGCCCCTGGCAAGGCCCCTTCACGTACCTGTATGCCGCGCCCGTGGCACTCCCATCTTTCTGCTTTTTCAAAGA
Source organism: Homo sapiens (assembly GCF_000001405.40). Lineage (NCBI taxonomy): Eukaryota > Metazoa > Chordata > Mammalia > Primates > Hominidae > Homo > Homo sapiens. The sequence continues at coordinate 1,760,381 of NC_000016.10, forward strand.
AACGCCTTGAATGTGGTGAAGAATGACCTGATTGCCAAGGTCGACCAGCTGTCCGGGGAGCAGGAGGTGCTGAGGGGCGAGTTGGAGGCTGCTAAGCAGGCCAAAGTCAAGCTGGAAAACCGTATCAAGGAGCTGGAAGAGGAACTGAAAAGGTGAGGGCAGGGCATGGAAAGCTGGTCAGAGAGGGACCCCGGCCTCAGGGCTCTGGAGTGGCTGCCTCCTCCAGTGCCTGCTCTCCAGCCTGAGCGGCTCTGTGCATAGCCTACCTACCTCCAGCTCCAGCTCACAGCCACTCCACCCCAACCAGCAGAGTGGGGCCGTGGTCTCCTCCTGAGCCTCCTACAGCACACGCTGGGCCTGTCTCACGCGTTCCTTCTCTGCACAGCTCCCACCATCCCACTCCTCCAGCCCTTTGATCAGCCAAGGTTTGGCCACGGCCCCCGGAGAGCTGTATGTTGGGGCTCCAGCCCTTCTCTGATGGACAGAGGAGGTGTGGGCGCTCCGAGACCATGCCTCTGCCTAAGAAGGGACCCAGATCTGCTCTGGGTTTGCCAAAGCCAGGGCCCCTCTGCTTTGCTCCCCCTCCGCATTCCCGGGCAGCCAGGATGGACGGCTGGGCTTCAGAGCACTCATGCAGCAGTGGCTCAGGGCCACCTGTCCCCAGGGAACTGGAAGAAGCGTTCAGGGCCCTGAACCAAACGGCTGCTGAAGGGGTCCCTGTGGGGAGAGCCCCCAGCCCTGCACAGAGGCAAGGACACAGGTTCGGGGCGGGCACTGCCCGCTATGTGTTCCCGAGGCCCCTGGGAGGCCCTCACCCTCCCTGCCTCCTTCCCCTTCCCACAGAGTGAAGTCCGAGGCCATCATCGCCCGCCGTGAACCCAAAGAAGAGGCGGAGGATGTAAGCAGCTATCTCTGTACAGAATCGGTACATCCACTCTTCACTCTTCACATGCGGGGCGTCCACCATTCACTTTTCACAGGCGGGGCGGCCACCGTTCACCATTCACACACAGGGTGACCACCATTCACCATTCACAGGCAGAGCGGCCACCATTCACCATTCACAGGCAGAGCGGCCACCATTCACCATTCACAGGCGGGGCGGCCACCATTCACCATTCACAGGCGGGGCGGCCACCATTCACCATTCACAGGCAGGGCGGCCGCCATTCACCATTCACACACAGGGCGACCACCATTCACCATTCACAGGCAGAGCGGCCACCATTCACCATTCACAGGCGGGGCGGCCACCATTCACCATTCACAGGCGGGGCGGCCACCATTCACCATTCACAGGCGGGGCGGCCACCATTCACCATTCCCAGGCGGGGCGGCCACTGTTCCCACACATTCACACGCCGGGTGACCACTGTTCATACGCATTCACACGTGGGGCAGCCATCATTCCCACACATTCACACGCTGGGCGGCCACCATTCACCATTCACCATTCACACACAGTATATCCTACTATTCACACTCGGGGCATGGGGATGCGGGGTGCCTCCCGGGGACTCACCGGCGCTTCTGTCTCTGTACAGAATCAGTATATCCCACAATTCACATGCAGGGCTGGGGTGGGCACGGGCAGGGGGCCCAGGCGGGCTCCTGGGGACTCGCCGGCTGTTCTGGGCTGACAGCTCTCCCACCCCTCCTGGGTGACACCTGACCCCAGCGGCATCATCTGCCACCCCACTCCTGAGACCACATGGAGTCAGAATCAGGCCCTTGGGCAGGACCACAGCCCTGGCAGGATGCCGGGTCCCCTGTCAGCACCCAAGTCCTGGTGCATGCCTTTTGTATGGTTCCCCTCCCCGCTTGCCGACACCCCTCCACACCGCTTCTTGCCTGAGGATCTGAAGGAAATTGGCACTGAGATCCACCTATACGTGTAGGCACCCCAGGAGGAAGCAGGTGTCACCCGGCCTCCGAGGGCTGGCTGAGCCTCTGTGCCCCTCCCTCCGCAGGACAAAATCCCCATGGCCCAGCGCCGCCGCTTCACGCGGGTGGAGATGGCCCGTGTGCTCATGGAGCGGAACCAGTACAAGGAGCGGCTGATGGAGCTGCAGGAGGCTGTGCGGTGGACTGAGATGATCAGGTGGGAGTTGCGGCCACCCCAGGAGGGGCTGCGGGATCATCCCTGACGGCAGGACTGCGGCTCCCTCCTCTGCACCTCCCTGTCTTCTGGGGGGACTGAAGTGCGCTGGGTGCTTCCTGGCGGGAGCCAGAGAGTCGCAGGTAAGGGAGGCGTGAGGGCACTAGCAGGTTGCTCCCTGTGCCCTCCCCTGCAGAGCGTCCCGAGAGCACCCATCCGTCCAGGAGAAGAAGAAGTCGACCATCTGGCAGTTGTAAGCTGGGGGCCCCTGGGGGATGTGGGCAGCAGCTGCAGGGGAAGGGGCAGGGAGGTTCCCTGGTCCTCTGCCCACCCCTCACCTCCCTGTGCCTCTGGCAGCTTCAGCCGCCTCTTCAGCTCTTCCTCCAGCCCCCCTCCGGCCAAGCGCCCCTATCCCTCGGTGAACATCCACTACAAGTCACCCACCACTGCCGGCTTCAGCCAGCGCCGCAACCATGCCATGTGCCCGATCTCGGCAGGCAGCCGGCCCCTGGAATTCTTCCCTGACGAGTGAGTGTCCCGCAGCCCCCACTTGTGGCCTGCAATGGGGTTGGGGAGGCCCTGTCCTGAGGCTCCTCCCCTCCAGGCCCTGAAGCGGGACTTTGAGGGCAGCCTCCACCTTGCTGGCCACATGCCAGGGGCCGTGACCTCTCCCTGCACACTGCCTGCCCCTCCCTGCAGCGGGGAGCTGGGCTGCTTTGGCTCCACGGTATTTGGTTCAGGATGTCCCTTGGCAGAGGCTGTGCCCACCAACAGTCAGGGGGCTGTGCTGGGCTCCACGGTGGCCTCTGCAGCAAGGAGCCGTTTCAGGCGTCTGTCCAGCAGGGAGTCGCTGGTCATGCCTGTGCCCCGGCGGCACTCCAGGTCCCGGTCTGTGGAACCCTCAGTGACTGTGGCAGCAGAGCAGCCTCTGGGTCGAGCAGGGGCCAGCTGTGGCCTCCAAGCCCAGGGGCATAGCCGGTGCCAGGAAAGCCACCCTTCCCAGCTGGGCACCCAGTGCCGGGAAAGCCACCCTTCCCAGCTGGGCACCCGGTGGCCGGGAAAAGGCGAGGATGGGCCCAGGCGGGCCTCCCTGCCGTGACCTCCCCCAGGACAAGCCTGGGGCACTGTGGGGGCCGCTCACCCTGGACAGAGACATCACCCATCATTCTTCCACTCAGCGACTGCACGTCCTCCGCCCGTCGAGAGCAGAAGCGCGAGCAGTACCGCCAGGTGCGTGAGCACGTGCGTAACGACGACGGCCGTCTGCAGGCCTGCGGCTGGAGCCTGCCCGCCAAGTACAAGCAGGTGCGGGCGGGCGCTGCGGGGACCGGGCGGGGCCCCGCAGAGGCGGGGCGGGGGTAAGGGGCGGGGCGCTGTGGGGCGGGGAGAGGGCGGGGCAGTGCTAGGGGGTGGGAGAGGACGGCGGGTGGGGCGGGGCCTGGCAGGTTCCTAGTGAGCCTCCTGGGCAGGGGTCTGGAGGGTCGGAGAAGGAGCCCCGCGGCTCCCACGCCCCCACCTGCCTCCAGTCTTGAAGTGGCTGTGCCGCCAGAAGCTGGCAGCCCTACCTGTCTCAGATTTCTGGAGGGATGGGTAGGAGCCAGGGTTCGTGCCCACGGCGCCTCCCTGCTCCCTGCAGCTGAGTCCCAACGGGGGCCAGGAGGACACGCGGATGAAGAACGTGCCGGTGCCGGTGTACTGCCGCCCTCTGGTGGAGAAGGACCCCACCATGAAGGTGAGCCCGCGAGGACCCCGCTCAGGCTGGCTGGGCGAGCGGGAGGCTGGGGAGTGCCGGTGACACCCGACCTCGGCCCTGCCCTTGCAGCTGTGGTGTGCCGCGGGCGTCAACCTGAGCGGGTGGAGGCCCAATGAGGACGACGCTGGGAATGGAGTCAAGCCAGCGCCAGGCCGCGATCCCCTGACCTGCGACCGCGAAGGAGACGGCGAGCCCAAGAGCGCCCACACGTCTCCCGAGAAGAAGAAGGTGAGCATGGCCGAGGCCACCGGGCACCCTCCCTGGCTTAGTCTCAGGACAGCTCAGCTGCAGAGCATGCTGGGAGTGAGACACAGGACAGCTGGGGACAGCACCCGGAAGCAGGGCAGCGCAGGGGCTCCTAGACTGCGGGAAGCAGTGTCTTCCCTCACCAGGACTGAGCCGCCTTCTGGGTTTTCAGTTTTCACCCCCCAGGTGGCCTGGAGTGGGCCTGCACTGGGCTGCAGGGGTCAGGCAGGCAGCAGGCACAGAGGAGCCCAGGAGCGGCAGAGCTTGCCTCCCAGTGGTGGGAGGCTTAGTTTTATGCCCAGCTTGGGCCTCTTGGAGCTCAGGGGCCTCTTCTGTGGAGGCGAAACCGTGTCTGTGAGTGCTTTAGAGTGCAGTCCTGAGTCCGCATTGTTCTGGTCCTGGGGGAGGACAGCCATGTCCCCTCAAGCTGTAGTCAAGGCTGGATCCTGACAGATTCTGGGAGCCCCATGGCCCTGTGCTGCCACCGGGTAGCCTCAAGCTCGGGCTCTGACCTTGATCCCGTGCCCTGAAACAGGCCAAGGAGCTCCCTGAAATGGACGCCACCTCCAGCCGGGTGTGGATCCTGACCAGCACCCTGACCACCAGCAAGGTGGTGATCATCGACGCCAACCAGCCGGGCACGGTGGTGGACCAGTTCACCGTCTGCAACGCGCACGTGCTGTGCATCTCCAGCATCCCCGGTGAGCAGCTGGAGTGGGCGTTTCCACTCGGGCGCCACTCCCTTTTACTAGCAAGCTAAGTAAAAGCCCTGCCACACAGCAGCTGCCTTCTCGGGGTGTCCTGTGGACACGGGAATGTGGCAGTGGACGGTGGGAGGGGCAGCACCCAGTCAAGTGAGGCCCTGGGCCCTGTTTCTGGGAGGAAGCTCGCGGCAGCCTCGGCCTCTTCTCCCTACCTACTCAGGACCCCACGCTTACCTGGTTAGAGGGTGACGGGTGGGCACGGCCTGCAGCTTGAAGCATCACTCGGAGACCACAGGAAAACATTTCCTCATGCTGAATGTGAAACCTCCAGTTGGGCCGAAGGGGCTATGGGGGTGTGGGTGAGGAGCTTCGTGTCACCCCTGTGGGCAGTAGCCTTGGTGATGTTCTGGGCCAGCCCCAACACTGGGAGGACGAAGGGGTGCCGAGGGCTCTGCCAGGTCTCTGGTGTGAAACCACAGGGCCGTCTGGGGTCCTGAGGGTCTGCCACAGGATCACAGGTTGTTTGCTCCCAGAACCAGAGTCTTACTACTCAGCTCCCCTTGGCCCAGGGGCCTACCCAACAGAGCAGGCTTGCTGGAGTCCCAGACCTCCAGGCAGAGGGTCGTGGGTGGGCTGTGGGTGGAGCATGTGTGGAAGCTGGGTCTGCTGGGAAAGTGGAAGGCCAGCCCCGGCTTCCTCTGCCCCTGTGTAAGTGCTGGGCACGCCCTTGCAGTAGTGGGTTCCCCCGCACAGGCTGACGGGCCGTCCCTCTCCCCAGCGGCCAGCGACAGCGACTACCCTCCCGGGGAGATGTTCCTGGACAGCGACGTGAACCCAGAGGACCCGGGCGCAGATGGCGTGCTGGCCGGTATCACCCTGGTGGGCTGTGCCACCCGCTGCAACGTGCCGCGGAGCAACTGCTCCTCCCGAGGGGACACCCCAGTGCTAGACAAGGGGCAGGGTGAGTCCTGGGCGAGTTTCCCCCATCCCCTCATTCCCACGTTTCTGCCCAGCCCAAGCTCACCTCTCCTAACACAGGGGAGGTGGCCACCATCGCCAACGGGAAGGTCAACCCGTCCCAGTCCACAGAGGAGGCCACAGAGGCCACGGAGGTGCCAGACCCTGGGCCCAGCGAGCCAGAGACAGCCACATTGCGGCCCGGGCCTCTCACAGAGCACGTCTTCACTGACCCAGCCCCGACCCCGTCCTCTGGCCCCCAGCCTGGCAGGTGAGCTCTTGGGCTGGGGCAGGAGCAGAGGGAAGGCTTGCAGAGGTGGGAAGGGCCTCGGGGTCTTGGGGCAGGTGCGTGCTCCGTGGCCCCCCCTGGAGCCACCGTTCTTCCTGCAGCGAGAACGGGCCAGAGCCTGACAGCAGCAGCACACGGCCAGAGCCAGAGCCCAGCGGGGACCCCACGGGAGCAGGCAGCAGTGCTGCACCCACCATGTGGCTGGGAGCCCAGAACGGCTGGTAGGAAGGGCCCGGGGCAAGGTGGAGGGAGGGTCCTGGGTGAGCCCCTCGCCCATCGCCGCTTCCTTCCCTAGGCTCTATGTGCACTCGGCTGTGGCCAACTGGAAGAAGTGCCTGCACTCCATCAAGCTGAAGGATTCTGTGCTGAGCCTGGTGTGGGTGACCCCAGACCGAGGGCCGGGCGGCGCGGGGGAACGGGGCGGAGGGGGCTGGCACAGCCTGGCCCAAACCAGGCTCACCGCATTCCTGTTTCAGGCATGTCAAAGGCCGTGTGCTGGTGGCTCTGGCGGACGGGACCCTGGCCATCTTCCACCGTGGTGAAGGTGGGGCCTGGCAGCACGGGGTGTGTGGGTGGCAGCTGATGGCCCTGGCATTGTTTAGCCAAGGGGCTCCCGGGGTTCCAGGCCTCTCCTTAGTCTGGCAGTGGGTGTCTCAACCCGATGCCCTGAGCAGAGGTGGGGCCTGGCCAGGCCTGAGCAGGTGTCCGGGGCTCCCTCCAGATGGCCAGTGGGATCTGAGCAACTATCACCTAATGGACCTGGGCCACCCGCACCACTCCATCCGCTGCATGGCTGTTGTGTACGACCGCGTGTGGTGTGGCTACAAGAACAAGGTGCACGTCATCCAGCCCAAGACCATGCAGATAGAGGCGAGTGCCGGCCAGGGCCCCGGGGAGGGGAAGAGGCTCCTGCTGGCCAGCAGCTCTCCCGCATCTTCCATACGGAAGTCCACGAGGCCCTACGTGGGTCCCATCTCCCCTGTACCACCTATGACTCAGGCTCGAACAGGCGCAAAGCAGGCGCTGGCTGGGAGGTCTGAGGGGACTGCAGGTGGCCCTGGAGCTGTGGCAGGTTTGGGGCTCCCCACTTCCTCTCCTCTCCCCAGCCCTGTTGATGGGCAGCCATGACTCCACAGAAGTCATTTGACGCCCACCCGCGGCGGGAGAGCCAGGTGCGGCAGCTGGCGTGGATCGGCGATGGCGTATGGGTGTCCATCCGCCTGGACTCCACCCTGAGGCTCTACCATGCACACACGCACCAGCATCTACAGGACGTGGACATTGAGCCCTACGTCAGCAAGATGCTAGGTGAGGGGCCACGCCAGATGGGGTGGTGGGGTGCTCAAGGCCAGCCACCCTGACCGCTCTCCCCCACAGGCACTGGCAAGCTGGGTTTCTCCTTCGTACGCATCACGGCCCTGCTTGTCGCGGGCAGCCGGCTCTGGGTGGGCACCGGCAACGGAGTGGTCATCTCCATCCCCCTGACAGAGAGTGAGTGGCCTGCACACCTGCAGGGGCAGTGGTGCTGCCAGAGGTGTACGTGGGTTCACGGGGTGGCTCTGCAGGGCCACCTTGGAGGGTGCCTTGCTGCCCCTACGCTGACCGCTCTCCTCTTCTCCCATGCTCCTCCCATGTCCCCAGCTGTGGTCCTGCACCGAGGCCAGCTCCTGGGGCTCCGAGGTAAGCCCAGCCACCTCGTGTCCCCTCACGGGAGCCTCTCCCACTCTCCACCTGTATGCGGGCTCAGCGCCTCTGGGTTCTCTCCCTGCAGCCAATAAGACATCCCCCACCTCTGGGGAGGGCGCCCGTCCCGGGGGCATCATCCACGTGTATGGCGATGACAGCAGTGACAGGGCGGCCAGCAGCTTCATCCCCTACTGCTCCATGGCCCAGGCCCAGCTATGCTTCCATGGGCACCGCGATGCCGTGAAGTTCTTTGTCTCGGTGCCAGGTGAGGCTGGGCCCCTCCTGCCATCCACATCCCCTGCATGCCAGTGGCCGCCGCCTCCCCCAGGAGGCCGCTGTCCTGAATCGCTTCTGCCATCCCAGGGAACGTGCTGGCCACCCTGAATGGGAGTGTGCTGGACAGCCCAGCCGAGGGCCCTGGGCCAGCTGCCCCTGCCTCGGAGGTCGAGGGCCAGAAGCTGCGGAACGTGCTGGTGCTGAGCGGCGGGGAGGGCTACATCGACTTCCGCATTGGTGAGCGGGGCCCAGGGACAGGGCTGAGGTTGGGCGCGGGGGGAGCCTGGCCGTCACTCTGCTGCTTTGCCCGCAGGAGACGGAGAGGACGACGAGACGGAGGAGGGCGCAGGGGACATGAGCCAGGTGAAGCCCGTGCTGTCCAAGGCAGAGCGCAGTCACATCATCGTGTGGCAGGTGTCCTACACCCCCGAGTGAAGCTGCTGCCCTGCCTGGCCCGACCTGTACATAGGACCCCCGACCACCTGACCCCCGCCCGGCCCGCGGGGTAGCCAGCCAGGCGCCGCCGCCCCTCTTCTAACCTCTCAACCTGCAGCTTTCACCTGAGTCTGGCCCCTCCAGCGGGCAGGGAGTGCGGGGATGCGGATCAGCTGGGAGGAGGAGGGGAGGGGAACTTCCACCCGAGGGGAAGATGCTCTCGGGACAGTTTCCCGGGCAGCTCCTGGCCAGCTTCCAGCCCAGAGTCCTCAAGTCCAGGGCACCTTGGGCCCAGCGCAGGCAGAATCCGAGGTGGTCCTGGCTCTACCCTGGGCCTCCTACTCCCCAGCACCCCTGGAGGAGGCAGGGGCTCCCCGCCGCCGAGGCTGCCTGCCCTGGGCCCACCTCTGCATGCTGCTCATGGGGCCACCCTGCCTCCTGGGCCCTCACTCTGCCTAGGGGAGCTGGGCCAGGCACTAGCCTTTGCCCAGGGAGGTGGGCCTCAGGCTGCCCAGGTGCCTGCACCCCAGCCGGCCTTCTCTGGGGCCTCCCCGTCGTCAAGCCTCTATCCTGTCTGTCCCCACCCCAGCTGTCCCCTGCCCAGGGAGCTGGCATAAAAGCACGAGGCCCGGCTCCCTGGGGCAGCTGCTTGAGAACAGAGACTGCTACCCCATCCTGCCCATGCAGGCAGGCTCTTGCCAGCCCCGTTCTGACCCGTGTCCCCCCAGGCTCTGCCTGGGCAGAAGACTCACCTTGGAGGAGTGGGCCCTGGAGTCCTGTCCCTCCCAGAAGCCCCCAGGGTGGGATTTCTCAGGCTGCCAGGGCAGGCCCAGGCCTCAGGAAGAAGGGGAGGCCCCTGGCCTCTCCGGGATCAGTCCTAGGACACAGGCTCAGCCTCAGGTTGATGGGGGATGATGTGCTCCCGGGGCCTGCCTCCTGCACGGGGCTCCACGGAGCCCAGCTCCCAGACACGCTACTAAGTGCCTAGGGTTGCCCGCTGTGGCCTGCTTCCAGGGAGCAACAGAGAGGCCACCAAGCAGAGGCCCGTGGGGCTGAGGATGGAGCCGCCCCCAGCCGACTCCAAGCCCGCAGAGGGCAGACGCCACCCTGGACTGCTCTCCCTGCCCAGCTGGGCCTCTCTGGCCTATTCCTACCTTCCAGGCCCACTGCACTCCTGTCTGGGAGGCCCTTATGAGGGCAGCCCAGCCCCCGCACCCACCCCCAACCAGAGAAGCACAGATCTTGGGGAGCTGCCCCACAAGCCCCGCTGGCCACCGAGGGCTGCAGCCGCTGCGCTGCCGGCTTCTCCCCACCACCCTGCCACCTCCACTGTGATGTATGTCCGCTCCCTCGTCTGTTCCCCCAGGATCTCGAAGTGACTCCGGGCTGAGCAGTGGGGCGGCTGGGGGAGGGGTGACGATTCTCCTCAGGCTTTGGCCCTGCAAGCAAACCCACATATCTGCTCTGTATGTAATAAATGTCTTAACGTCGTAGCTGCCTGTTCCTGGGCCCAAATCGAAACGAAAACGAGGACTTTATTATAAAAAAACGTTGGACCACGTTGGGCTGGGCACCAGGACAGTGTCCTGGCACGTTTCCAGGCGAGCCGCGCAGGCTCCTGGAGCAGCTCCTCGGGCAGGAAACCCTGTACGCCAGGGATTGGAGAGGCCTGCGCCACCCTCCATGCAACGTCCAGACAGGTGGATGTTCAGCAGCCCGTCCAAAGGGATGCTCCAAGCGCTGTGGGGTGGGGCCAGAAGCCCGCCCACCTGGGCCCTGGAGGAGGCTGGAGTGTGAGAGCCTCTGTGACGCGCATCTGCCGGGCTACTCATACAGCCAGTGCCCAGCGCTGTCCTCCCAGCAGAGGAGCTCGTCTGCGCGGAACCAGAGAGCGATCTCGCGGCGGGCACTCTCCACCGAGTCGCTGCCGTGAATCAGGTTCCTGCGCGGAAGAGGCGCGTGTGAGCGTGGGAAAGAGACCTCCGGCACGGGTACCACGCAGGCTGAACAGGGGGAGGCCGGACGGGGCTGGGACCGTCCCCGGGGCGGGCCTTACTTGCCAACCTCGATGCAGAAATCCCCGCGGATGGTGCCGGGCGGGGCGTCGGCCGGGTTCGTGGCTCCGATGAGCGCCCGCGAGGTGCGCACCACGTCCAGCCCCTGCCATACCTGTGCGGAGGAACGGGCGCGGTATCACGCGGGGGTGGGGGTCCCGGAGCCGCCCGCCCGCTTCCCGGATACTCACCATGGCCACCACCGGCCCGGAGGCCATATACTTGACAAGGCGGCCGTAGAACGGGCGTTCACGCAGCTCGGCGTAGTGCTCACGCAGCAGCTCCTCGGAGGCCTGCGGAAGGGTCAGGCCGCCTGCGCCCGCACCCGGCACCTAGGCGTCCCCAGGTCCCCGCTCCCCTTCCCCCCACACCGCGCCCCCGCTCGCTCACCGCGCCCCCACCTGCACCAGCTTCAGCGCCACCAACTTGAAGCCCTTCCTCTCGAAGCGCCGCACAATCTCGCCCACCAGCCGCCGCTGCACGCCGTCCGGCTTCACGGCCAGGAAGGTGCGTTCGTGTGCGCCGGTGCAGGCTGCGGGGCAGGCGGGGACGGGCCGTCAGGCCGGCCCAGCACCGGCCACCCGCCCCCGGCCCGCGCCGCGCGGCTCACCCGCGGGGAAGAGGTTAGCGAAGATGGTCAGCACCAGGCAGATCATGATGGCGGTGCGGGAGCGGGATCCGCGGGGCGGGGCGGTGGCGCCCGGGGCGGGGCCTGCGCTTAAAGAGGCCTGGTCGGGGCGCTGCGGCCTCCGCGGGGAGGCTGCTTCACTTGCACCCCGGAACCCGGCAGCCGTGGGGGGCCGGAGGGCAGCTGCGGAGGCCAAGTCTCCTCCAGCAGCTCGGACACTAACTGTATCCCCCACAACCCGCCCAGGTGGTTCCACCCACGCGGCGCCCTGCTCCGCACCGCCCGAACCCCGCCCCCCCCGCGCCCCCCCGGCCAGGGCCACGACCACAGCGTCAGCCCTTCTCTCCCCGGTCCTAAAGACAGAGCGCAAAGACACCACGACCCTGGGTACTTCTTTTCTCTTTATTCCCTTTCATAGCTTCTGCCGGGATCCAGGCAGAGAGAGCACTAATGGGGGAAAGGGAGCGAGCGCTTCCCGCTTTCCCCAGCGTGGGCCCTCGGAGTTGGGTGTGGGGGCAGCAGGGCCAGAGGAAAGGCACAGGTGGCGATTTGCCCCAGCCCTCCCCCCTAAGATGCAGACCCTCAGAACACGTCGCGGAAGGTGAGCTCCCTGCTCCGAGAGGCAGACTCGGGTGTAACGCAAAGACGGTTTCTTTCATCAATAAGGTCCCCACTGCCTCACAGCCCCTAAGGCCACCCGCTGGTTCTGGCATTCTAGACGGGGGTGCCCTTGGCCCTTCCTTTGTCTTCCTGTTTTGCAGGGTAATCCCAGGGTTCCATGCGTATCCTCTGCACATTCAGCATGGGCTCCTCGGTGCTTGTGTCTCCATTTTTCTGTCGTTCTGCGATAATCATGGCCCGGAGGAGAGGCGGGTACGGCACGGAGGCCAGGCTGTCTTCCGGCGCCGGCGTGAACGCGGTGAAGGCCTCCTCCTCGTGCTTGGGCACCAGCCGCCAGTCATGGTACATGACGTGTTCGATCTCCCGCGCCTCGCTCTCAGTCTTCCCTGATGAAGAAAAAGAGGCGTCTGCACACACTTGCTGTGCCGTCGGCGGTCGGCATCGAACTGCCGGGCACCCGCTCTCCCGAGCCTTACCTTTGAAGGTCAGGATGCCCCAGGCCTTCCCGTGGTCCAAGTTCTGCAAAGCCAGAAGGAAGCGGGGTCAGCTCGCAAAGCTCTCGGCCCCCGAGGTCAGGAGGTGGGAGCCTCAGCCACGCAAACCTGCAGGGAGGAGGGGAGGCGGGGAGACCAGGCGGCTGCAGGGGCGGGGTGCGGACGGGGTGCACGCACCTGCGCCGTGTAGTCGGGCCGCACCCGCGTGAGGCGCCAGTAGCACGGCTCGTCGTGCTGCCACAGCCAGGACTTGCGCGTGACCAGGCGGCCCAGGCCGAAGAGCGGGAGGCGGCCGAGCAGCTGCAAGAGGCGGCTCTCGCGGCGCACGTCGGCCCAGGCCCGGACCGGCAGCCGGCGTCCAGAGAACGGCCGCGTCAAGGTCTCGTAGTCCACCGCGTAGAGCTGGGAGTCGCGCGGCCTGTTCAGTTGCTCCCGCAGGGCGCGCACGCGGCGGGCCAGCTCCGCGATCAGCCGCGGACGCACCTTCTTCCGCGCCATGGCGGGTCCGCGTCCTCAGCGGTCCGGCCGGAAGTCACCGGAAGAGGCCGGTGTCCCAGGCTAAAGTGTTCGGTCGCGGCCGGAAGCGAGGAAGAGGTCGGTCCGGCCATGGCGCGGGTTGGACCCGGGAGGGCGGGGGTCTCTTGCCAGGGCCGGGGCCGGGGACGGGGCGGGAGCGGTCAGCGGCGACCTCCAACCTGGGAGATCTCAGACTCCGACGCTGAGGACTCCGCCGGCTCGGAGGCCGCCGCGAGAGCCCGGGACCCAGCGGGTGAGCGCAGGGCGGCTGCCGAGGCGTTGCGGCTGCTGCGGCCGGAGCAGGTCCTGAAGCGCCTCGCGGTGTGCGTGGACACAGGTGCGGCGGAGGGCACGGGCGATACTCGGGGTAGGAAAGGCCTTTCTCCGCCAGGCGGCGCCCTCTGTCCGACTGGGCGGGGCGCGCGTGCCGAGGGGCCTGGGGCCGGGCCCGCCTCCCAGTCGGGGGTTTGTGCCGAATGGAGACTCCCCGGTCCGGCCACCCGCCCAGGTAGGGCGCTCGCGAGGGTGGAAGGAAGCAGTGACCGCGCTCCTCTCCCCCGGTCCCAGCCATCCTGGAAGACGCCGGTGCCGACGTCCTGATGGAGGCCCTGGAGGCCCTGGGCTGCGAGTGCCGCATCGAGCCCCAGCGCCCGGCCCGCAGCCTGCGGTGGACCCGAGCGAGTCCCGACCCCTGCCCCCGCAGCGTGAGTGGTCGCGGGTTCCCGAGGGCCAGCCGCGAGTTGGCTGTTTTGCTTCCATGATTTCAGCCCTGGAGCTGTCCCTGAGGCAGCTGCCCTGGGCCGTGCGCGTCTCGCGGATGGGTAAAGCAAGGATGGAGAACGGGAAGTGGAGGTGCCCAAGCCGTTCTGCTGGTATAGAGCCGAGCTGGCTGGAGAAGGTTCCGTCTCGATTCAGGCTGTGGTCTGGATTCCTGCCAGCCACAGAGACCTGGCCTGAGCTTGGCCTTGGCAGGAAAGGGAACACTGGGCTTCTGTAGAGCAGGCCTGTCAGGGCCTGGGCTTGGCTGGGGCCACGAACCGCTTTGCTGCTGGACTGCCCAGGCAGGGCCCCTGGGGCACCCGGGGTTGAGACAGGCAGCAGCGCGTCCCCATGTCCCCACAGCTGCCTCCTGAAGTGTGGGCTGCAGGTGAACAGGAATTGCTGCTGCTGCTGGAGCCCGAGGAGTTTCTGCAGGGCGTCGCCACACTGACCCAGGTGCTCGGGTGGTGGCAGTAGTCCCTCTCTAATCAGGAGGGGTGGGTTCCCAGCCGGGAGGCGCCTGCTCCGCCGGTCCCTGCCCCTGTAGACGGGGCTGGAGGGGGCATGGGGCAGGCCAGGACTCCTCTCTGATCCAAAGCCGTAGAGGTTTCTAGGGTGAGATGGAGAAAGCTCCTGGGCACCTGCGGAGGCTACAGCTGCTCCTAGAGGATCCTGAGAAGTGTCAGGAGGCCGGGGTCCGGGCAGTAGGCTGCAGGCTTCGTCCTCTGACAGCAGACAGCCTGGCCCCTGCCTGCGGGGAGCAGTGCTCAGGTGCTGTGGTGCCAGGTAGCGTGGGGTTAGGCTAGACCCCCTGCCAGGTCCCTGTGTCCCAGGATCAGTGTCTCTCAAGCTGCTGCTTTGTGCTAGGTCAAAGCTAGGCTGGAGTACAGAGGTGGACCAGGATGAGGGGCTCAATGGAACTGACATGTGCCCGAGCAGCCACTCCAGGGTCTCCTTAGCCTCTTTGGCCTCGTGGGAGGCACAGAGCTGGTTTTCTCAGAAGGGGTAACGGAACAGAGGCTCCTCTCGGCACCACTGGCTCTTTTTCAGGCTTGCTGTTCTGCAAACCAGCTGTGGCCTGGTGGCCCATGGCCATAGGCCGCAGCCTCCTGTGAACAACTGTGCCACACGTTCTCATCTTCAGATCTCTGGCCCAACCCACTGGGTGCCCTGGATCTCCCCCGAGACCACCGCCCGGCCCCACCTGGCTGTCATCGGGCTGGATGCCTACCTGTGGTACCGCTCACTCTCATGCCCACAGCAGGGCTGGCTGGGACGGGGGTTCAGGGGAGGTGGGCACACTTCTGGGGTTGCTGTGGCACAGCTGATCCCACTTCTCCAGGTGGGCTCTGGCAGAGGCCAAGCTCGGGCAGGGCAGGCCCCATGGGGAGCGGGGAGGAATGGTCACCTCTGCTCAGGTCTCGCCAGCACGTTTCCCGGGGGACACAGCAGCCAGAGAGCCCGAAGGTGGCCGGTGCCGAGGTGGCCGTCAGCTGGCCGGAGGTGGAAGAGGTGAGGGCCTGTCTGAGCTGGGTGAGTCAGGTGGCCTGGGTCCCAGTGATTGGGCTGCTGGCTGGGTTTGGTTCCCAGCGTGGTACATGGGGCAGCTATCAGCTGTGTGTCCCGGGTAGCCTTCCTCTGGCTCGTGCCCATCAGCTTGCCTCCTCCCCAGGCCCTGGTACTCCTGCAGCTCTGGGCAAACCTGGACGTGCTACTGGTGGCCTCTTGGCAGGAGCTGAGTCGGCACGTGTGCGCCGTTACCAAGGCTCTCGCCCAGTATCCCCTCAAGTGCGTGATGCCAAGGCTGAAGGGGGGCAGGATCACCTCAAGGTAGTGGTGCCTCCCCGGCCTTTTGGGAGCTGCTCACATGAGGTTCTAAAAGGCTTCTCTCTGTCCCCAGGCAGTACCGGGAATCCCAGGCCTTCTCCTTCTGCACAGCAGGGCGCTGGGCAGCCGGCGAGCCAGTGGCAAGAGACGGCGCAGGGCTGCAGGCGGCCTGGCGGAGGCAGATCAGGCAGTTCAGTCGGGTCAGCCCAGCCGTGGCTGATGCAGTTGTCACAGCCTTCCCCTCCCCCCGCCTTCTGCAGCAGGTGGGCCCCTGCCTCCTCCAAGCCCTCCAGGTGCAGAAGCCCCGTCCCCAGGCGCCCTCTCATGCCTTTGCCTGCTCCTAGGCGCTGGAGGCCTGCAGCACGGAGCGGGAGCGCATGGGCCTCCTGGCCGACCTTCCTGTGCCGCCCAGTGAAGGCGGGCGTCCCCGCAGGGTGGGGCCTGACCTCTCCCGCCGCATCTGCCTCTTCCTGACCACAGCCAACCCTGATCTCCTGCTGGACCTGGGCTCCTGACCACACGTGGGACCACCAGGACAGCATGCAGCCTTGGGGACAGACCAGACACCCTGGGCGGTGGGGGAGGACCCCCAGCCACATGTGGACCCTCAGCCTGGGTGGGTTCTCTGGCTGAGCAGGTCTGACCTCAGGGGAAGGGTGGGTGGTTGCAGGGGAAGTTTTAGGTAGCTGGGAGAAGAGGGGCTTCTGGCTGGCAGATGGCTGGCGGTTCCTGTGCTGAGTCCTGAACACGTAGGCCCCAGGGGAGGCCTCAGCAGCAGGGCTGTGCCCCCCCAACACACACACACACTCGGCAGGGACCAGAAGGCAGCTCCAGGGCCCCACTGCCACCTGGAGGCTTGGGGTGTGGCACCCTCAGCCAGAAGCAGTAGGGGACTCCCAAGGATGTGGAGGGGCAGTGAGGCCTGGGAGAAGGCCCAGGCTGCTCGCAAGCCCGGCCTCTGCACGGATACGTTTCAGCTCACGCCATGTGGGTGTTAGACATCAACTCTACATTTATTGCAGTCCTTTAAGTCTATGACGGCGGGGCAGCCGCTGACAGCATGCAGAGCAAGTTAGGAAAAACCGAGGCCCTGTGGGAACAGCAACGCGGGCTCCAGCCAGGCTCTCGTCCTCGCAGCCTCCCACAAGACCTGGGGCTCAGGGCAGCCGCTTCCCCACCCAGCACAGCAGCAGAGGGGCCCTAGAGCCCCCACAGAAAGGACTGTCCCAGCCTCGGGAGCAAGAGATGGCTCCCTCCGGACGGGCCTCATCCAACTCCGCCCTGGAGTGTGGCTGGAAGGAAGGGACAGAGAAAGAAGGGACAGAGGAAAGGGGCTGTCCCAGCCCAAGAAGGCAGTTCCACTGGGAAGTCAGTCAGGTCCGGCGGCAGCGCTTCCTCTGGCAGGGCCGAGGCTCGCGACTGCTGGGGTGGGCGGAGGTCGCTGCCTGGGGATCGGACACTGGAGCCTTGCGGCGGCTGCAACTCATGCTCAGGACCCAGCCCAGCTTGTTGTGTAGCACCTGCTTGAGGCCCGGCGGCAGCGGCAGACCCTCCAGCGTGTCTCCCGAGTCTGGCCGCAGCTGGCGCAGGCGGTGGCAGCACAGGTACTGGAGGGAAGTGGCGCTGGCACAGGAGCGGGTGACCTTCATGCTGCTCCGGGCCGCCGTGGAGCACACCATCGGGTAGAATCTCTTGTTCTGCAGCTTGGTGGCTGCCACACCTGGAAGGGAGGGGCCCAGCCTGAACCCCAGGCAGGGAAGGGGCCAGCTACTGGGCGCAGCCCCTCAGACCTCACGCTACAGTCACCCGGGTGGGCAGCTGGCACAGCTGAGGCAAGGCAGGGTGCACGCGCTGGCCCTGCCACTCCAGCCTGGCCTCACTGTCCCACCCCCTGGGACCCTGGGGCCTCAGGCTTCTGGGAGGAACCCTTTCAGAAAACCTCAGTGTCCCCTGGGCTGGGGCGGGGTGGCTGCCTCCCTCGGGGTGACAGCTGAGAGGAGCTCAAGTCCTGTGACGGCCTCACCTATACACTTCCTGTTCTTGAAAAAGGTGAGTGTGCCGTGCCAGGTGTCCAGGTGCACGCCAATGATGGAGCCCTGGCCGAACCGCGATGAGAAGCTGGTCTTGTCGCCCTTGTGGTGGAGGAGGCCTGGGGGCAGCCAGGGTCGCAGTGAGCCCGGGAGCTCCAGGCTCGGCCCCGCCCCACCCTGGGCCTCACGCACCCGTGTAGGAGAGGCCCCAGCTGTCCTCATCCCTGCCCAGCAGGCTGCAGAACGTGTGGCGGTATTTGTCCAGGTCCACATCCGACGTCCCGATGCCCACCATCTAGGAACAGGGGCCAGGCAGAGGGCGCGGGGCTGGGCTGCCGGAGCCAGGTTCCCCAGAAGCACCCTGGGCCGAAGCAACTTACCATGTCGGTGCCGTAGACGGGAGAGGTCATCTTGATCTCCCAGAAGTGCTGGCCCTCCCCCAGCTCCTTGGTGCCCCGGATGGCCGCTGTGCCGCAGCTGTACTCCATGTGGAAGCTGACCTTACGGTTGTCACAGCTCAGCAGGGTGGCTGATGACTTATTTAAGTCATCCCAGACCCAGTCGAAATCTGCAAGAGAGGCCCAGGCTGGGGCAGCCCTGAGAGCTCCATGGGGCTCTGCCCTGCCCACCCCCAGGCCCGCCCGCAGTGCAGTCCCAGCAGGGGCTGGGCCCCACGCTCACACTCGTCTTCCTCTCCGCAGCGGCAGTCCCTGCCCCGGTGGGCCGAGTGCAGGCTGCTACAGAAGGAGGCCTCGCTCTGCCCAGCACAGTCACAGAAGGACTCGCCGGTCACGGGCACCGCACTGGGGATGGATGGCGGCAGCGTGGAGTACTCGGGGTCGGAGTCCGAGTCGCTGTGCTGGGAGAGAAGGGCCGGCTGTTACTACCTGTTGCCCGCTCTCTACCCTCTCACCCTTGCCCTCTGTCCCTGTCCCACCCTGTCCCTGACCCACCCAGGAAAGGATGGGGGTCCAGGCCTCCAGGGACTTCACAGTACCCCGAGCGCACAGCCCAGGCTCCCTCCCAACGGGCTCCGGCTCTGCCCCATTCTGCATGACCAGGAGGGCCCTGGAGGCCCAGCCACAGAGCAGTAGCCAAGGCTGCCTGGCCTCCAAGTGGTTTCTAGACGGTGGATAAGCCCCAGGTCCACCCCACCTGCCCAGAGCTGAGATGGTGTGGACACCTTCCCTGCTAGGCCAGCCCTGCAGGGGCCCCCAGGCAAGGCCACCACCCCCACACCAGGCCCAGCTGCAGCCACCCGGCCTCAGGGCAGTCCCCACCACACTGTGGCCCAACGACCTTCCTGTTACCTGAGCAGACCTGGCTCACCACAGGGTCCTACTGCCCAGTGCCCACTACAGGCCCCGCCCCTCCTGGTGCAGGTTTCAGCTGTCACCTCCCTGAGGCTTCTCCAGCCCCTTCACCCCTGTTCCATTTTTCTTCTTTTGCTTCACTGAAGTTCTCCTTGGTCCTGATTCTTGGCCTCCTCCCACCAGAACGTGAGCTCCTTGTGGGAGGCAGTGCCCCTCCCAGCCTCCTCCCTGTCACAGACTGTGTGGGGGCCACCCAGGGGCTGAATGGACCAGGGGGTCAGCAGGGAGAGTGCTAAGTGGTGGCGGGGGGCCTGTGGCAGAGGCCTTGTGACAGTGAGGGTTGAGGGCTGGTCCAGAGAGATGATGTGATCCCCAGGAGAAGCCACAGGGGACCATGACATGGGCGCCACCAGCTTCCAGGTGAACGTGGACCTATCGAAAGCCAGCTTCAGGGCAGGACACTGTCCTTTCTGGAGGGGATGGCCCCACCCCACAGACAAGGCAGGCCCAGACAACTCTACCCCACTGCCTAGAAGTGCGGGTCCCCAGAGCCAGGGTAGACCCCCTGAGTCAGGAGCCCGGGCACAGAACTGAGCACCTGCACTGCAGGCCCAGGGCCGGGTTCCCTGGAGAAGGAGAAAGACTGAAGCCACTGCCTACCTCCTGCCCACAACAGACTGCAGGCCCATTTGGTGACACAGGACAAGCAGCACATGTGTCGAACACTGCCGAGCCCGCAGGCACGCCTGCATCCCACAGCCACGAGCCTGTGAGGCTCAGGCATGTGACCTGCAGGAGCTGGAGGCGGGCGGGAAGGCAGGTGGGGGCCTCTCCCTGGCTGGAGCAGGGAGCTCCAGGAGACCTCAGGACGGCCCCCACCCGGTGGGTAAGGACCCTGTTTCCCAATTTGCCCCCAAGGCCTAATGGACCCACCGGGCTTAGGGAGTCCTCACTCAGAGGAGAGGAGCCCACCCCTCCCAGGACACCTGGCTGAGCCGGAACAGCAGCGCAGGGGAGCTGTGACAGCAGAGAGCAGCACCAGGTCACACAAGCAGCCGCCCCGGAAGGACACGGCCCATGGTGACAGAGGACAAGCAGCATGCGTGTGTCAGACACTGGCCTGGCCTGTGGACACGCCCGCGTCCCACAGCCATGACCCTGCGAGGCCAGGAGAGACTGCTCCAGGGCACATGACCTGTGGTAGCTGGAAGTGGGGCAGGGAGGCGCAGCCACACTCCTGCTCTGGTCCGAGGGAGATCTCAGGAAACCGACTGGGAAATCACCCCCCACAGGGACCCCCACCCCTCCCAGCCTCACTGCGCCCGTCAGGCCAGGCAGCTGCCCTCAGGGTCTGCCAAGGTGGGGGTCAGGGGCCATGGGGGCAGGTAGCTCTGCCTGCAAAGCCCACAAGCATGTCAGATCACCTGGGCTGCAGACAGACAAACACCTGAGCTGTTCTGAATACCTTCAGGTTCCTGGCCTCCCTGAGCAAGTGCAGAAATTTTTACCTTCAAGGATCAGGGTTTTTCTGTTTGTTTGTTTTTTAACACACATATATGTGAACAAAGAGTATGCGTTTGTACTGGCAGAAGAAGCGTCTGGTAAGACAACCAGCAAGTTAACAATGGTCACCTCCAGAAATGGGCTGGGTAAACCAAAGAATTTTTTTGTTTTTGTTTTTTTTGAGTCAGGGTCTAGCTCTGTCACCCAGGCTGGAACGCACTGGTGTGATCACGGCTCACTGCAGCCTTGACCTCCCTGGCTCAAGCAATCCTCCCAGCTCAGCCTCCTGAGTCGTTGGGACTACAGGCACGTGCCACCACGCCTGACACATTTTTTAAATTTTTGTAGAGACAGTGTTTCACCATGTTGCCCAGGCAGGTCTCAAACTCCTGGGCTCAAGTGGTCCTCCAGCTTCAGCCTCCCAAAGTGCTAGGATTATAGGTGTGAGCCACAGTGCCCAGCCCCGTAGTGGAGAATTTCTGTTGAATGAACCAAAAGCAACTGCCAACCTCTCCATGCACCATGTGTTTCAGAGGAGAAAGCACAGTGAAGAATGCAGTGTGTTCTGAGGTCCTGTCACCCCTGAGGCTGTGTGTGTCCTTTGCCAAATTAAAGAGTCTTACTGAATGCGGTGCATCCAGGAGACAGGCCCAGGTTTGGACTGGTCCTCTAGCCTCAGAAGCATCTTTTTCTCCGACTGATTCCGTGTTCAGGTAATGTCTGCCTGCCTGCCTAGGGCATCTCCACACCTTAGGCCAGCCACGTCCGCCTCGCCCGCTGGAACCTACCTGCCCATCAGAGTCGTAGCCCCAGTTAGTGGAGCCTGCTAGAGCCACGGCCCGGGCATCTGCGTCTCGGCGGGCTGCACTCAGGACGAAGTGCCAGGCCCTGCTGTTCCGGGGGCGTCTGGCCATGGTGGAAAGAATCTAGAAGAAAACACAGGCTCTGGGCAAAGGAAGACTCACAGCACTCCCAGCCCTGAGCTTCCAGGCTGGGCCACGGACCCACTCAAAGTGGGGACTGCAGGGGCCGCACCGGTGCCCAGCCAGGGCTCCAGAACGCTTCAGGAGCCCGTACCTCACTCCAGGATCTGAGCAGCTCAATAAAACCCAGGTAGATCCTGTGAAACGCCACCCAGACACCCATGACTCCGGAATGCGAATCCCAGCCCCTCTCTCCGGTTCCACCTCACGAACCTGGCTGCCCCGCCCGCCTGTCCCGCAGGCATCTAAAACCTCCACTCGCTCCTCCTCTGTCGTCCGGTTTGACAAATGGCATCTCCGGCCTCCCAGTTCCTCATGCCAGAAGCACCGTGACCGCTCCCCGACACCTTCCCCTCACGCCCGGCCCGACCGCCGCACCCGCCTGCATCCTCCTCCCGCCACCGTCTCCTGGGCCGCGCAGCTCGCCTTCCCCTCCGCTCGCTACCGCCAGGGCTCCTCGTGAAACACAAATCTTAAAACCTGCTCAGCGCTGGCCGCTGTTATGGTATAAAATGCAAAAGGCTGCGAGGGCCAGGTCTGCGCTTCCCAGGCCACCTGCCTGGCACCTCCCTCGCCAGCTCCGGGGTTCCCGCCTAGCCTTCCAGGGCCGACCCCTGCGCCGGGCTCGCGGCTGGCAACGCCCGCTGGGCCCCGGGTGGGGTTCCAGGGAGGCCGGGGCGGATCGCGGCGCCCGGACCGCCGAACCCTGCCCAGCCCCAGGCGAGCGCGTGTGCAGCGGGAGCCGCCCTCCCCGGCGGCAGCCCGGCCTGGCTGTTCCCTCCCGCGGGCGCGCGGGTTCCGGAGTCGGCGGCACCGGGGAAGCCTCTCTCGGGCGCGGCCCTCCGGAGAGGAACAAAGGCGGCGCCCTGGCCGCGCTGCTACCGCCGCGCCCGCAAGGTCAGCGCGCCCGCCCAGAGCCCGAGACGTCGGCCCGTGCCCCGCCACTCACCTGCAGCCCCCGCTGCGCGCTCCGCCGGCCCGGCCCTGACCCACTTTCCGCCCCGGAGCGAGACGTAAACAATCCCCGCCCCCTGCGCCCATTGGCTCCGGCGGCGAGGGGCGGGCACACCTGTCTCGGAGCTTCGGGAGAGGGGGCGGGAGTCGGGTGACAAAGCTATTGCCGAGAGGTTTCAGGAACTGTCAGTCCTAATCCAACGTTCCTATTGGTCAGTTCCCAAGCGGTTGGAGACAAAGCTCGCGCGCACATTGGACCCGGGTGGGAGGTGGTACCGCAGGCCGCGTTGACCGGAAAGTAGGTCCGTGTCATCGTCTGCGCCGGAACCTGCGGGACCGGATCGAGAGCTCCTCCGGCAAGCTGATTGGCTGGGACAGCAGGATTAGGCCTGTCAAGAAGAGCCACGGGCGGGCACGCACTGCCCATTGGTTGGAAGGCCCTTCGCTCTAGCTGGGAGGCTGACGGCCCGCGGGCGTAAGCGGACTGCAGCCGCGAGCTCCTGGAGGCGGCGGGATGGAGGCGGCGGCCGGTGAGTGGCGGGCCAGGGTGCGGAGCCGCTCCAGGGCCTCGCTTGGGGCCCCGCCGCGTCCCTTCCCGGGGCGGCCTCGCTGCGTCGCGCGCCTCCGGTGCGACCATCACCGGCCGGCGTGGCTGGGCCGGGCCAGAGGCCGCGGCGCGGGCATTTTCTAAACAGGGTCGTTTCCCGCGTGCTCCTGCTTCGATGTGGAAGCTCCGTGATCTCGGAGGGCCTGAGTCGTGGAGTTGGGGGAGCTTTTAAAGTTAACTTTGTTGAGCACCGCGTTGTAGGCGGGCGCGGTGGCGCCTGTGGGCCCCGCTATCCTGGAGGTCGCGGTTGCAACTGCACCGCAGCCCGGGCAAGAGCGAGACCCTGTCTCTAAATAAATCACACGCGCGCAGTCATGAAAGTAAGACGGACGCCAGAATCTCACATGCTTTTAAGTTCTTTGTGGAAGTGGCGCTCTCAGTGTTCAGAAAAGTGTAAGTTGCGCGGGACAGAATTCACACCAGTGGGGACGATCCGTTCGCCAGATCAGCGCCGTGGGCCCTCCTGAGTAGTGGGAGCCGCATTTATCTTCTAAGAGACCTCGAGTCCGATACCAAAAGGAAAACATTCCTCGGACAGCAAGGTCTTGCAGCACAACTCTGACAGATTAGAAACCGAGTGCTGGAGTCTTTTGTTTTTGAGACGGAGTCTCGTTCTGTCGCCCAGGCTGGAGTGCAGTGGCGCGGTCTCGGCTCACTGCCAGCTCCGCCTCCCGGGTTCACGCCATTCTCCTGCCGCAGCCTCCCGAGTAGCTGTGACTACAGGCGCCCGCCACCACGCCCGGCTAATTTTTTGTATTTTTAGTAGAGACGGGGTTTCACCGTGTTAGCCAGGATGGTCTCGATCTCCTGACCTCGTGATCCGCCCGTCTCAGCCTCCCAAAGTGCTGGGATTACAGGCGTGAGCCACGGCGCCTGGCCCAGTGCTGGAGTCTTATTCCAGAGGAGAAGCCTGGAAAAGCCTGTCCTTATTATCAGGACGGATTTACTACAAAGTAAGGATATTACTGAGATTGATAGAAGCTTTTTTTTTTTTTTGAGACAGGGTCTTAACTGTCGCCAAGGCTGAAGTGCAGTGGCACGATCATAACTCACTGCAGCCTTGACCTCCTGGGCTCAAGCGACCCTCCCACCTCAGCCTCCTGAGCACCTGGGACCACAGGATGCACCACCCCGCTTGGCTACATTTTTAATGTGTAGACATGGGGTCTGAATACGTTATTGAGAGTGGTGCGGAACTCCTCCTGGACCGAAATGATCCTTCCACTTTGGCCTCTCAGAGTGCTGGGATTACTGGCGTGAGTCACTGCACCTAGTCCAAGCTTTCGTTTTTTTGTTGGGGGGAGACGGAGACTCGCTCCGTTGCCCAGGCTGGAGTGCAGTGGCACAATCTCGATGACGGCTCACTGCAATCTCCACCTCCCAAGTTCAAGCAGTTCTCCTGCCTCAGCCTCCCAAATAGCTGGGATAACAGGCACACGCCACCACGCCTGGCTAATTTTTTTTGTATTTTTAGTAGAGACAGGGTTTCGCCATGTTGGCCAGGCTGGTCTCGAACTCCTGACCTCAGGTGATCCACCCACCTCGGCCTCCCAAAGTGCTGGGATTACAGGCGTGAGACACCGCGCCCGGCCCCAAGCTTTCTTTAAACGGGGAAAATATGCACATAAAAATTCAAAAGGCCTAGGCTGGGCAAGTTGGCTCATGCCTGTAATCCCAGCACTTTGGGAGGCCGAGGCGGGCAGATCACTTGAGGTCAGATTTGAGACCAGCATGGCCAACATAGAGAAACAGTCTCTACGAAAAAAATAAAAAATTAGCTGGGCATGGTGGCGCACGCCTGTGGTCCCAGGTACTCTGGAAGCTGAGGCGTGGGAGGCTGAGGCACGAGAATTGCTTGGACCCAGGAGGCGGAGGTTGCAGTGAGCCGAGATTGCGCCACTGTACTCCAGCCTGGGCGACAGAATGAGACCCCCTCTCAAAATAAAAATATACATTTACTGTAAAAATATATTTGTCCACCACGTGGAATGATCTGGATTTGCTAACCCATAAAGCTGACCGGGACTCATTGTCCATGGAGAGCGCACTCGCCTTCCTCGGGGAGATGGTGCTTCGCCTCCTTCCTGCACTTCCAGCCCCACTGCCCCACCCGGCAGGCTCATGCTGACTGTGCTTTGCTGACAATCTGCTTAGGAGCTGCCTCAGTTTGCTGAGAAGTGAAATGTTCTTGGGGGAACCCTCAGGGTTGTTGTCCCGGTTCCTGACACTAAGGCCTGCATTTACCATGGTGCTCAGCCCAACACACCAGACAGGCACCATTCCCCCACCTCTGCCAACGAGGAGAGCCCCTGGGGGTTAACACTGCCGCTGGTGCCAGCACTGATGGCAGCATGGCAGTCAGGACCCAGGCCTGACAGAGTCCCCGGCAGCTACAGAAGTGCATGCTCCCTCTCTGCACGGGCCACTTCTGGTACCTCTTGGTGTTGAAGTAATTTAAGTCAGAACCCCTTTTATTGCCCCAGGGGTGACCGGGAGGCCGTGGTCTCGGGGCTTTGTGTTTGCAGGAGTGTGGGGCTGGGGCTGCCTTTTCCGCGTCCCCTGGAGGAGACCTCAGGCAGCCTCTGTAGGTCTGAGGACCCGCCTGCATGCCAGGTTCTCCGGGAGGCTTTGGACTTGGGAGCCTTTGAACGTGCCCTTGAGAGGCGGATCAGAAGGGGGCAGGTTTTACGCATCATGTGTTGAGCCCCTCACATGCACCCTCCAAGGACCTGTCGGGGATGGAGCAGCTTGCTGGAGACAAGGGGCATGGCCTCAGCGGTGGCGCCGGGGTGAGAATGCAGGGGTTTTGCCAAGGTATCTGCACACAGCAGCCCCTGCCGTGTGGCAGGGACAGGATGGGACCCTGGAAGGAAGAGGAGCTGGAGCTGTGCTGGAAGCAGCCGGCTCCCCTCACTTACCGCACATTGCAGGGACCGAGAGCCGGGGACGCTGGTGTGTGACAACGCGTGGTTGTTGCCACCCACCCTGGGCCCTCTGCTGCCTCTGCCGAGCCCAGGTGCACTGGCTGGGGAAAGAGTGGAGTCTGGTTCCCGTTAGAAATAGCAGGGGGCTGGCAGTTTCATGATCATGTGACCCACGTGTGTGTTTGCACACGCGCACGAAGGAACGCATGCACCCTTCCACACAGCGAGAGGAGTTGGGCAGTTTCCACTCTCAGCAGCGCCGCCTCAGGCAGGTGCAGGGAGTGCCGTGGTCTTAGAGGGTCCCCCCGGGTCTGGGGCTGCAGGGGACCTGCCTGGAGGTCTTTACATCGGGGCGAAGTGGGGCACGGGCTGCCTCTGGGTCTGGCGATTCACCACTGCCCCGCTCAGAACGTGGGTGCAAGAGGCAGTGGGTGACCCCGCGTGTGTGGGCACAGTGGGCACCAGGAGCCCTGACCTTCTCTGTCGTGTTTCCGCCCAGAGCCTGGAAACCTGGCCGGCGTCAGGCACATCATCCTGGTCCTCTCAGGAAAGGGGGGCGTTGGGAAAAGCACCATCTCCACGGAGCTGGCCCTGGCACTGCGCCATGCAGGCAAGAAGGTGAGCGCCCTACCCCTCACTGGGCGGAGCCCCGGGCAGCTGCCCGCATCCCGGTGGAGGCCTGGCGGTGCCCCCGGCCTAGGCTGTGCCGCTCCTTGCAGGTGGGAATCCTGGATGTGGACCTGTGTGGCCCCAGTATCCCCCGCATGCTCGGGGCGCAGGGCAGGGCTGTGCACCAGTGCGACCGCGGCTGGGCACCCGTCTTCCTGGACCGGGAGCAGAGCATCTCGCTCATGTCTGTGGGCTTCCTGCTGGAGAAGCCGGACGAGGCCGTGGTGTGGAGAGGCCCCAAGAAAAACGGTAACGGCCGGGCGGCGCGTCCGCCGTCCTGGTGAAGGGGGTTAGCGTCCGTGCCGGCCTCTCCTGTGGAAATGTTCCTCTTCAGCAGCCAGGCCTGTTCCTGGGGACCTGCACATGACACCCACGACCAGGCACAGGGCTCAGGCTGGCGGTGTGTCTCCAGTTGGGTCCGTGCTGCCACACAGCTGTCCCCAACTCCCGGTCAGAGGGAGTGGGGTCTGCTGAGACCCTGGCCATGGCATGCAGGGACCTGAGGCCCCAGTGTGGCAGGTCATAGGGGCAGAGCTGAGGGGGTTCTGGTGCCTCTGGAGCAGGTGGCATTAGACGCCCCCAAAGGCAGGGAGAGGCTGGTGGGAGTGAGGCGCAGGCTGTGGGTGCACCAGTGGGGCATCCACCACGGAGAATGTGGGTGCTCCCATGTGTGGGTACAGACGCCTGGAGGGTCCTGGCTCCGTGTTCTGATTTGGGGCCTCGGGGAGTCAGCGGGGGCTCTGTGGGCAGGGGCCAGACACTGCAGAAAGGGACGCTGTAATGGCCCCGGCCCCATCTTTGCACTCCTGCAGCGGGCCAGGGCCTCCCGAGAGCCTGTGATGGAGGCTGGTGGCAAGTGACACCTGATGGACTGCAGCCCCTCGGCCTGACCTGGCTGGTTCTTAGTGGCGCAGGGCCACGTGTGCAGACCTGCCCTGCCCTGACCGCCCCGTCTGCCCCGTCTTTGCAGCGCTGATAAAGCAGTTTGTGTCCGACGTGGCCTGGGGGGAGCTGGACTACCTGGTGGTGGACACGCCCCCGGGGACCTCCGATGAGCACATGGCCACCATAGAAGCCCTGCGTCCCTACCAGCCCCTGGGGGCCCTCGTGGTCACCACGCCCCAGGTAGCGCTGCGGCACCTTCCCGAGTCCCTGTGGGTGGCTTCCCAGAGGGCTGGGCGGGTGTCCCTGCTGGTGCGCCTGGCTGACCGTGGCCTCGGCTCCTGCCCCGCAGGCGGTGTCCGTGGGGGACGTGAGGCGCGAGCTGACCTTCTGTAGGAAGACGGGCTTGCGGGTGATGGGAATCGTGGAGAATATGAGCGGCTTCACCTGCCCACACTGCACGGTGAGTCCCGGGGGTTGCAGAGGGGGCGAGGCAGCACCTGGCCGGTGGGGGCTTTGGGCAGTGCTGGGCTCACCACCGTCTCCTAGGAGTGCACCAGCGTCTTCTCCAGGGGCGGCGGAGAGGAGCTGGCCCAGCTCGCCGGGGTGCCCTTCTTAGGTGAGTGTCCCAAGCTGGTGCTGGGGTCGCGGCCTCCCATTCCATCTCTGCCCTGGGCGGGTTTGACCTCCATGCCCCCAGTGCCCAAGGGAGAGGAGGGGACGGGAGCGGTTTCCTCCTCTCTTCTCGGGCCACACGCCATGCCGCTGAGACCTGCAGGTCATTCGCCCGCGCCCTTCTCAGGGCCCTCTCGGGTGGCAGGACCCAGCCTGCTGGGAGGGCCGCGGGTCTGGAGGTGGAAATCGTCTGGCAGCGCCTCAATCCCCTCTAAGGCCACGGGTGGTTCGGGTGCGTCCAGCTGAGCCAATGGTGGGAGTGGAAGGTGCGGACATGGCGCCACCGCCTCCACTGTGCCCTGCAGGCTCCGTGCCCCTGGACCCTGCGCTCATGAGGACCCTGGAGGAGGGCCACGACTTCATCCAGGAGTTCCCTGGGAGCCCCGCCTTCGCTGCACTCACCTCCATAGCCCAGAAGATTCTGGACGCGACGCCCGCGTGCCTCCCCTGACTAAGGCCACCTTGCAGCCGCTTTCCAGGGCCACCAAGGGCTCTGCTCCAGCCTCTCAGAGAAACAGAGGCCTGGGCTCGGTTCCCGGGCCCTGCAGGGGCAGGCCCAGGCAGCGTCAGCCGGAGAGCTTCTCCCCGACCAGCCCAGCCCCAGGATGTGTCGCACCAGCAGCTCTGCCTGGTTGGCCTGCAGTGCCGTGGTCTGCGTGCTCTGCAGCTGTGAGACGGGGGCGGCCTGGGCTCTCTTCCCATCCATGTTGCCTACCTGTGCCCCTGGCAGCCGCGTGTCCACACAGTTAGCGGAGCGCGGGACTTCTGCAGTCCTCAGGTGACCCCGGGCCTCCAGCACCCTGGGTCGCTGTCATCTGTGTTTAGCTCGGGGAGTGCCCCCTAAGGGGGCGAACTGACCTCAGGCATGTTTTGTAACTGTAGAGGCGCCTGCCATTAAACGTGTCCGCTGCTGTGGCGACAGATCTGATGTTTCTAGAGTCTTCTGTCCTTCGGGGTCAGACAGCACCTGCTTCTGTAAGTTTCTGGGCTGGACTGGGCCAGGCCGGCAGGTTCGTTCGTTCCGTTGTCAACAAGCCCCTGGGCCCAGGTGCTGATGTGTTTGCATCTTATTTGGTGGGAATTCGGGGAGATTTTGTGATAAACCTGACAGCTGGCCCCTTCGCCGTGGAAGAATGGCCTCCCTGGGACACTAAAGGGGCCCCTCCCGGGACAGAGACCAGAAGTCAGGTTGAGAAGGGAGCTCCAATCCCAGGGGTCCCCTGCACCTCTTCCCAGTGAGACCCGAAAGGAAAGCCCTTCCAGAAAGCAGAACGCGCCATTTTTCCCAAAGGAAGAGCTCAGCCTTCAGCAGGGGAGGACCCTGGAGGTGGGGGCCCGGAACCAACCCGGGCGGCCTCTGGGTGGGTGAGAGGGCACCAGGAGCACCTGGGCTGACGATGCCGGTGCCTGGGGGGGGCAGAGACAAACGCCCACGGCATCTGCAGGGGGTGCGGCTTCCCACGCAAGGCGGACGGCCCGCCCCGCGCTCCCTCCTCACCCCACCTCAGCCGCGCCCTGGCTGCCTGGACCACACCCCTCGGGGACACTGCCTGGTCCTCAGGGCGATCCCTCAAAGAGGAGGGGTGAGACGCAGAGCCCCTGGGGATTCGAGTTGGTGCCATCATTCCTGGAGGATGTTCTGGGGAGCCCGAGGGGCAGCCACGGGGACCAGGAAGACACATGGGTGTGGGGCAGTTGGCCAGGGCGGTGGCGGGGCAGGATCCAGGCGGGGGCCCTGGGCGTGGCCAAGCCGGGGAGGAGAGAGGTGAGGAGACCAAGGCGTACCCAGGCAACACCATCCTCCCCTCCCCTGAGCCAGGTGGGTTTTTTTGAGACAGGGTGTTGCTCTGCCGCCCAGGCTGGAGTGCAGTGGTGCAGTCTTGGCTCACGGCAGCCTCTACCTCCCAGGCTCCAGTAGTCCTCCTGCCTCGGCCTCCCTAGGACCACAGGCATGGGCCACCATGCTATGCTAATTTTTTTTATTTTTTGTAGAGACGGGGTCTCTCTTGTGTTGCCCAGGACGGTCTCTCAAACTCCTGGGCTCAAGCGATCCGCCCGCCTCGGCCTCCCAAAGCTCTGAGACCACAGCTGCGCGCCGAGCCCCCAGCCCCCTCCCTGGTTTCACGTTCGCAGTCACCCACTGTGCCTGTTAGATTCGATTGCCTTTGCCTTTAATTGATGACAGCTGGGGGGGCCGCCATGCCTTCCACCCCATCAGGCCCTTGCGTCTTCCAGCAAGTGCACTGGGCAGGCCCCTGAGGACACTGAGGACCTGTCCCCAGCACAAGGTGAGCCAGGTGGGGGCCTGAGTCCGGGGCTTGAGTCCGGGGACCTGGTCAGCAGGGAGCAAAGTGGGCCTCGCTGAGGTCCCGCAGGTCGAGCCCCACGACCTCGGGCGGGCTGGCACAGGTGATGTTGTTGTAGGTGTACGCGGGCGGCTGGCAATCGTCCCCCTCACAGATGGCCTGGACGAAGCGGGGCACAGCACTGGGGTTCTGCAGGGCGAAGTCCCGCAGCGCCTTGAGAGGGCAGCCACAGTCCCAGGGGTTACCCTCCAGCCACAGGCGCTCCAGGCCCGGGGGCTGCGGCGTGAAGGTCCGCAGTGAGTTGTTCCTGAGGCTGAGGTAGCGCAGCCGCCCCAGTGGTGCCAAGAGGCTGTTGGGCAATGCCTCCAGGCGGTTGTGCGAGACGTCCAGCCAGAAGGCCCGCTGCAGGGGGCCCAGGGCGTCCGCCGGCAGCTCTGCCAGGCGGTTGCGGGAGAGCAGCAGGTACTCCAGCTTGCCCAGGCCCTGGAAGAGGCGGTGGGGCAGGTGCGTGAGCTGGTTGGAGGTCAGGTCGAGCTCCAGCAGCTCCGCCAGCCCCCACAGGCTCTGCTCCTCAATGCCCACGAGGCCGTTGTCCTTGAGGAAGAGTCGGCGGAGCCCCGAGAGGCCGGTGAAGGTGTGCGGGCGGATGCGTCCCAGGCAGCTGCCCTCCAGGTGCAGGCTGTGCAGCTTGCCCAGGCCCCGGAACACCTGCTCCGGAAGGTTCCGGAGACAGTTCCCAGAGAGGTTCATGACCGCCACGTTGGTGAGGCCGAGGAAAGCGCCCGCCTTGACCTCCTGGAGCTGGTTGTGGTCTAGCGTGAGCACCTCAAGCTGCCCCAGGCCCTCAAAGCTGCGCTCAGCCAGCTGCCGGATGCGGTTGTGGCCCAGCTGCAGCTCCTCCAGGAAGTGCAGGTCCTTGAAGGTGCGGGGCCGCAGGCTGGCGATGGCGTTGTGGGACAGCCGCAGCACACGCAGGCCCAGCAGACCGGGGAACGTGTCCTCCAGGAGGCCAGCCACGCGGTTGTGGGACAGGTCCAGCCATCGCAGCGCCTTCAGGCCCAGGAAGGCGCCCGGGGCCACGGCAGCGATGAGGTTGCGGTCCAGGTAGAGTTTCTGGAGCCGGGGCAGCTGCACGAACACGTTTGCCTTGATGGCCCGCAGCGCGTTCCTGCTCAGGTCCAGCTCCCGGAGCTCGGCCAGGCCGCTGAAGAGCGCGGGCTGCAGGTAGGCCAGCCTGTTGCCCGCCAGCACCAGCTCGCGCAGGCTGCCCAGGCCGCGGAACGCCGCATCGGGGAGCACCGCCAGGCTATTCCAGCCGAGGTTGAGGTCCCAGAGGCTGCCGAGGCCCTCGAAGAGCCCGTCCTCCAGCCTGCTCAGACGGTTGTTGCTGAGGCCGAGCGAGGCCAGCGCGGGCGTGTGTGCAAACGTGCCGAGTGCCAGGCTGCGCAGCTGGTTCCGCTCCAGGTGCAGGTGGCACAGGTTCTCTAGGCCCAGCAGCGCCTGTGGCTCCAGGCTGCCCAGCTGGCCGCCCTGCAGGTTGAGGAAGCCCAGGCTGGAGAGGTTCTGGAAGGCTGCCGGGGGGACGGACGAGAGGTTGTTGCCGTCCAGCCACAGGGCTTGGGTGCCGCCCGGGACTCCATCAGGCAGGCGCGTGAGGTTCCTGGAGCTGCAGAAGACGCTGAGCTCATCCGCGTCGTCATCGTAGCTGCAGACACAGGCGGCCGGGCACGCTGGGCCCTCGGCTTCCCCCGGCGTTCCGGGGTCTGCTCCCTCCAGGCTGCGGGGGCCCAGTGCCACCCAGGACAGCAGCAGCAGCGCCAGGGCCAGGCCTCCTGCGGGGGGAGAGGCTTGGGGAGGCGGCCCGAGGAGGGCTCTGCCCGAGTGAGCCTGATACCAGCACAGCCGGAAGCGGCGCTCAGGTGTGAACTGAGGCTCGAGGTCACCCGCTGAGATGCGAAGAAGCCGGTGAGCCCCACAGGTCCTCCGGCTCAAAAGCTGACACTGCGCTTCCCACCCCATGGGACAGAGGAGTGGCCGCCCCGCCCCGCTGCACAGACGCTCAGGGCTTGGCTCTCCAGCTGTGCGCAGGCCACGTGGGCTCGGCCAGGCTGGGTCTCGGGCTGTCTGGCCATGTGGCAGCCGCACCCCCAAGGCAGGCGCTTGAGCCAGGCCAGTCTGCCACGTTGGCCTAGAGGAAGGGGAGGGAACTGAGCCATTGGCCAAGGTCCGGCCATTTTCAGAATATTCTGCAGCAGGTCTTGGTGGGCACTCGCTCACTGCCCTCAGAGGCTGGACAGGGAGCTGGGCACCTCCTGCCCCAGTTAGGCCCCCCAGCGGGGTCTCACCTGCCTGCATCCAGGCCTTGGTCGGGTGCTGCGGGAGGGGACCGGGGCACCGCCGTCGGGGGACAGGTAGGAACCCTGGACCGTCGGCCACCAAAGCTCACATTGCCTTTCAGGACAAGGGGCCACAGGCCCCACAGACCCAGCCAGCAGGCTCCCAAGCAGCGATGACCCAAAACCTCTACTGTATGGCCCCCCCATCCTCAGAGAGTGTGGAATTGCTGGGATGGTGGCAGGGGCGAGGTGGGGCCCCCCCGACTGCCCTTCTGTCACGATGGGTTGGGAGTGGCCTGAGCCAGCTCTGGAGCTCAGCTCAGGCTTGGGGGTGGCCGAAGCTGCAAGGGGTCACCCCACAGAGACAATGGGGTGTGAGCCAACGTCTCCTGCCTGGGCCGGGCCCACAACGCGGGCCGTGCGGGGCACTTCCCGCCGCTGTGCTGGGAGCTGAAGGGTCCGGCCTGCACCTGGCCCTCCTCCCCTGTGCCGCCGCCAGCGCCCTTAGGGTGGAGGACGGGACAGAGACCCCTGGTGCCAGGCACAGCTGTGTCCCCCTGCCAACCCCAGCAGCCGCATTTCCGACTGTGGGCTCCCCAGAGTCCCCCGCAGACCCCCAGAGCTGAGCCCCCCAGAGCTTCCTTGGGGGCTACCCCGGCCTCTCCCCAGCGGGCTCAGGGTCACAGACTGGCCACCCCTAGAGTGGGTGGCGGGGCACTCGGGGGCCTCACCTTTCCTCAGGGCCATCCTGCATGCAGGGCAGGCTGCAGGCAGGCAGCGAGGGAGGGTACGTCTGCTGTGCCGGCCACCCCTGCCCTCTGGATTTCCCCACTGCGGGGCAGCCCGCGCCTGTCACCTGGCTGGCCCAACCCAGCTGGCCCTGGCTCTGTTAACCCCCTCGTGCCGGGCGGCCGGCATCAGCCCGGAGCCCTGGGGTGCAGACAGTGCAGGGGGTGAGGGAGCTTCAGTCGGGGCCCGAGGTAGCCGTAATGCGGCCCTGGGGGCTGACGGCCAGTGCCCGGGCCCCCTGCAGGGCTGACTGGGGAGGGCTGGGCAGCCAGGTTGGGGTGGGGACCCCTTGCAGCAGCCTGGGAGGGGCTGGGGCTTGAGGCCGGTTTGGGGAGCCCAGGGTTTTACCAGGTCCTGTTGCGGGCAGGGGGCTCCTCGGGCAGCTCCTGGGGTCTTGAGCCCACCCCTGGCCTGAGTAGCCAGCCGTGTGGGGCTAAGGGGCTGCCGCCCCTTCCCCGTGCCCCACCCAGCCATCCACCCGCCCTCCCGGGGGTTCCCTACAGCCTGGGTGGGAGCTGCCGTTTGGGCTTCAGGCCCACGGTGCTGTCCAGGGCCCAAGCTCACCCTGCCTCTCCCGTGACCCCAGGGGCGCTGGTGTCTGGCCACTGCCCCGCCCCCAGCCTCTTCTAGGAATGCCTGGCAGGGCTGCAGGCGCCTGTTTGCTTTTGCCCTGCGCCATCCTCGGGGAGTGTGTGGGGGTGGCCTGGCCATGGGAGCCAGGTCTTGTGCCTCAGACAAGCCTCACCTGCCCCTTGCTGTCCCCCAAGGCTCTGGTGAGGGCCTGGCCGCCCCACAGTCACCGCTTGTGTGCAGAGAGGCCACAGGAATGTGTGCCCAGCCATGTCCAAGGCCACCCCTGGGCTCCGTCTCCACCTGCCTCCAGAGGCCCCTGGTTCCCCTCCACCTGCTCAAACCACTTCCCAACCAGTCGCTCTCTCCCCCAGGGCCTGAGCAGGTGCAGCCCCTCCCCTCCAGGTCCCTGCAGGCCCCTCCCCTGGCTGTCAGTGGGGCCTGCCCACCAGTCCCTCGGCAGTGGGAAAGTGTGCAGGGAAGCAGCCGGAAGGGGTGCAGGCGGGGGCACAGCCAGGGCTCGGGGAGACCACAGTTTTCCAGGGCCCTACCCCATCCTCAGCTCCGGCCTCACCTGGCAGGCCCCGTGCAGAGCTGTGGGAAGCCGCCGGCCCACTGTCATCGTCTTCCCTTTATCGAGAATTGATCATTTTCCAGGTGGCGTCTCGGCTCCTCTTCTGAGAAATTATAGATCCACGGGGAGAAAGTCCACACCCAGAAAGACCCACGATCCGTTTACTCAGCAGAAAACGCAGACTCAGCAGGGGCCTGGGGCCTGAGGCCAGCAGACCCGGGCGGCCTCCTCTCAGGAGAGGTCCCCGTGGGGGCCCCGGCCTCCGTCAGGCCGCGCACCCCACCTGGGAGCCCCACACATTCCAGGTGGGAAGGGAGAATCTGTCCCTGTTCTCTTCCTTTGGGAGGGGCCGGGTGTCGCGGGCGGGCAGAGCCTCACCAGGGTTGCGGCAGCCGCGTAAGGGGGCTCCAGGCCTCTTTGATTCCTGTGGTAACGCAGAGGCCTACACACACATTCAGCCCATTGAGTTCCAGAGGCCCCCATCACTGCCGCCACCCCCAATGGCCCCACTCCCCGTGGCCTCTCCCAGCTCAAGGCCGGTGGCCTCCCAGGCTCCTCCATGAGCCGCATTCTGCCTGTCTTCAGGCCGCACAGGGCCTGGCTTTCTGTAGGACAGGACCCGAGGGAGGTGAGGCCATGTCTAGGTCACGTCCTGGAATACATCTGTCCCTGTCCTTCTCACTGTTTCCAGCAATGCCACCGAGCCCTGTGGCTCTGCATCCTGTGGGTGCATACCTGTCTACACTCAGGCCAGTGGCGAGTGGACGGTGGCCATCACCTGGGAGACCGAGCATCTTGTCCAGCACACAGCCACAGGGTCATCTGGCCTCAGCCACTGCTGGTTTCGGTCTCTTGCCGATTTTCTAGTTAGCTGGCTGATTTCTGATTTGCAAGATACAAGAAAAAACAAAAGCATTCAGCACGCACACTCAGGTGTGTGGCCTTTCTGTCCTCTCGTTAGGATTCTGGTGAGTTTTTTTTTTTTTTTTTTTTTTGAGATGGAGTTTTGCTCGTTGCCCAGGCTGGAGTGTAATGGTGCGATCTCAGCTCACTGCAACCTCTGCCTCCTGGGTTCAAGCAGTTCTCCTGCCTCAGCCTCCCAAGTAGCTGGGATTATAGGCATGAACCACCACACCTGGCTAATTTTTATTTTATTTTATTTATTTATTTTTTGAGATGGAGTCTCAGTCTGTTACCAGGGCTGGAGTCCAGTGGTGTGATCTCCGCTCACTGCAACCTCCACCTCCCATGTTCAAGCGAGTCTTCTGCCTCAGCCTCCCAAGTAGCTGGGATTACAGGCATGAGCCACCACGCCTGGCTAATGTTTTGTATTTTTAGTAGAGACAGGGTTTCACCATGTTGGCCAAGCTGGTCTCAAACTCCCGACCTCGGGTGATTTGCCGGCCTCGGCCTCCCAAAGTGCTGGGATTACAGGTGTGAGCCACCGTGCCCAGCCCCTAATTTTGTATTTTTAGTAGAGACAGGGTTTCTCCATGTTAGTCAGGCTGGTCTCAAACTCCTGACCTCAGGTGATTTGCCTGCCTTGGCCTCCCAAAGCTCTGGGATTACAAGCGTGAGCCACCGGGCCGGCGAGAGTTCTTAATTTTAATTGAGATGATATCCCTTAAATGTTGAGGTTGATTCCTCAGATACCAACAACAAAGATGATTTGGTTTGGCCTCACATCCCCACCCAAATCTCACCTTGAACTGTAATAATTCCCATGTGTCAAGGGCAGGGACAGGTGGAAACAACTCAATCAGGGGGCAGTTTTCCCCATACTGTTGTGGTAGTAACTCTCATGAGACCTGATGGTTGTTTTTGTTTTTTGTGTGTTTGTTTGAGATGGAGTCTTGCTCTGTCTCCCAGGCTGGAGTGCAGTGGCACAATCTCGGCTCACGGCAAGCTCCACCTTCCAGGTTCATGCCATTCTCCTGCCTCAGCCTCCCAAATAGCTGGGACTACAGGTGCCCACCACTACGCCCGGCTAATTTTTTGTATTTTCAGTAGAGATGGGGTTTCACCGTGTTAACCACGATGGTCTCGATCTCCTGACCTCGTGATCCACCCGCCTCAGCCTCCCAAAGTGCTGGGATTACAGGCGTGAGCCACTGCGCCTGGCTGAGACCTGATGGTTTTATAAATGGGAGTTCCCCTGCAGACGCTCTCTTGCCTGCCGCCGTGTAAGACCCTCTGCCTTCCGCCATGATTGTGAGGCCTCCCCAGCCATGTGGAACTGTGAGTCCATTAAACCTCTTTCCTTTATAAATTACCCAGTCTCAGGTATGTCTTTATCAGCAGCATGAGAAAAGACTAATACAGTAAATTATTACTGTAATAATTATTATTACAGTGGGACACTGCTGTAAAGATACCCAAAAATGTGGAAGTGACTTTGGAACTGGGTAGCAGGCAGAGGTTGGAACCGTTTGGAGGGCTCAGAAAAGGACAGGAAGATGTGGGAAAGTCTGGCGCTTCCTAGACTTGCTGAATGCCTTTGACCAAAATCCTGATAGTGATATGGCCAACAAAGTCCAGGCTGAGGTGGTCTCGGAGAAGAGGAACTTGTAGGAAACTGGAATAAAGGTGACTCTTGCTATGTTTTAGCAGAGACTGGTGGCATGTTGCCCCTGCTCTAGAGATTTGTGGAACTTTGAACTTGTGAGAGATGATTTAGGGCATCTAGTGAAATAAATTTTTTTTTTTTTTTCTGAGATGGAGTCTCACTTTGTCACCCAGGCTGGAGTGCAGTGGCGCAATCTCGGCTCACTGCAACCACTGCCTCCCATGTTCAAGCGATTCTCCTGTCTCAGCTTCCTGAGTAGCTGGAACTACAGAAGCACGCTGTCACACCCAGCTAATTTTTGTATTTTTAGTAGAGACAGGGTCTCACCATGTTGGCCAGGAGCGTCTTGATCTCCTGACCTTGTGATCTGCCCGCCTTGGCCTCCCAAAGTGCTGGGATTACAGGCATGAGCCACTGCGCCCAGCCAGTGAAAGAAATTTCTAAGCAGCAAACTGTTCAAAATGTGACCTGGATGCTGTTAAAAGCATTCAGTTTTATGTATTCACAAAGATATGGTTTGGAATTGGAACTTATGTTTAAAAGGGAAGCCAACCATAAAAGACTGAAAAATTTGCAGCGTGATGATGCCATAAAACAGAAAAGCCCATTTTCTGAGGAGAAATTTAAGCTGGCTGCAGAAATTTGCATAACAAGGAGCCAAATGTTAATCACCAAGACAGTGGGGAAAATGTCTCCAGGGCATGTCAGACGTCTTCAGGGCAGCCCCTCCCATCACAGGCCCCGAGGCCTAGGAGGAAAAAATGGTTTAGTGGACCAGACCCAGGGCCTTGCTGCTTTGTGTAGTCTCGGGTGCCCTGCCTCCCAGCCATGGCTAAAGGAGCCAAGGTACAGCTCAGACTGTTGCTTCAGAGGGTGCAAGCCCCAAGCCTTGGCAGTTTCCATGTGGTATTGGGCCTGCAGATGCCCAGAAGTCAAGAATTGAGGTTTGGGAGCTAGGTGCAATGGCTCACGCCTGTAATCCCAACACTTTGGGAGGCCGAGGCAAGTGGATCACCTGAGGTCAGGAGTTTGAGACCAGCCTGGCCAACATGGTGAAACCGTGTCCCTACTAAAAATACAAAAATTAGCCAAGCATGGTGGTGCACGCCTCTAGTCCCAGCTACCTGGGAGGCTGAGGTGGGAGAATCACTTGAACCTGGGAGGCAGAAGTTGCAGTGAGCCAAGATCATGCCACTGCACTCCAGCCTGGGTGACAGAGCAAGACGCCATCTCAAACATAAATAAATTAATAAATTAAAAATTCAGGTTTAGGAACCTCTGCCTGGATTTCAGAGGATGTATAGGAACTACTGGATGTCCAGGCAGAAGTGTGCTGCAGGGGTAGAGTCTTCACAGAGAACCTCTGCTAGGGCAATACGGAAGGGAAATGTGGGGTTGGATCCCTCCACAGGGTCCCTACTAGGGCACTGCCTAGTGGAGCTGTGAGAAAAGGGCCACCATCCTCCAGACCCCAGAATGGTAGATCCACCGACAACAGCTTGCACCATGGACCTGGAAAAGCCACAGACACTTGTCACAAGCCTGTGAAAGCAGCTGGGAGGGGGGCTGTACCCTGCATAGCCACAGGGGTGGAGCTGCCCAAGGCCTTGGGAACCCAGCTCTTGCATCAGTGTGATCTGGATGTGAGACATGGAGTCAAAGGAGATCATTTTGGAGCTTTAAGATTTGACTGCCCTGTTGGATTTCAGATTTGCCTGGGGCCTGTAGCCCCTTTGTTTTGGCCAATTTCTCCCATTTGGAATAGGTGTATTTACCCAATGCCTGTACCCCCACTGTATCTAGGAAGTAACTCACTTGGCTTTTGATTTTACAGGCTTATAGGCAGAAGGGACTTGCTTTGTCTCAGATGAGACTCTGGACTTGGACTTTTGGGTTAATGCTGGAATGAGTTAAGACTTTGGGGGATGGCTGGAAGGGCATGATTGTGTTTTGAATTGTGAGGACATGCGGTTTAGGAGGGGCCAGAGGTGGAATGATATGGTTGGGCTGTGTCCCCACCCAAATCTTATCTTGAATTGTAGTTCCCATAATCCCCACATGTTGTGCACGGGACCCAGTGGAATGGCCGAATCATGGGCGTGGTTCCTGCCATCCTGTTCTCTTGAAAGTGAGTTCTCATGAGATCTGATGGTTTTATAAGGGGCTTCCCCCTTCACTGGGCACTAATTTCTCTCTCCTGCTGCCATGTGAAGAAGCACATGTTTGCGTCCTTACCCACCATGATTGTAAGTTTCCTGAGGCCTCGCCAGCCTTGTGGAACTGCAAGTCAATTAAACCTCTTTTCTTTATAAATTACCCACTCTCAGGCAGTCCTTTATAGCAATGTGAGAATGGACTAATGCAGATGGGAAAACGGCAAAATTCTTAATGTCCTCTATTTTATTTTTACGGTTTCAAGTACTATTTTGTGCCAACACTGTCCTGTTTTCCCTTCTAATCGGCCTCTTAAGAGGGAGAGGCCAGGCTCAGGGTTAACTGTTCCCGTGTGGTGGTTACCATCAGCCTCTGTGCCGTTTGGTGGAAGGGGTGTCACTGCCCATCATAAACCAAGCCCATCTAAGCCTGGGCCCCTTTCTGGATTCTTGGCCCCCTTTGTCTGTCCACTGCCATGCTCTCTGCACAGTGGTGGCTTTTTGGTAAGCTGGAGTTTTTTTTCTTTCTTTCTTTCTTTTTGGAGACACTGTCTTGCTCTGTTTCCCAGGCTGGAGTGCAGTGGCGCCATCTTGGCTCACTGCAGCCTCAACCTCCCAGGCTCAGGTGATCCTCCCGCCTCAGCCTCCCAAGTAGCTGGGACTCACAGGTGTGCTGTGTGCCACCATGCTCAGCTAATTTTTATTTTTTTGTAGAGATGGGGTCTCCCTGTTATTTTCAGGAAATTCTCACATCTGGTAGAGTAGGGCCTCATTGTTTAAGAGCATCTTGGCTCTTCCCAGTCCTTTGCGTTTCCATATAAACCTTGGAAGCAGCTGTTGAGTCTCTAAAACAAAACCAAATTCTGAGTAGCCCTGCAGTCTGTGACGTCTTCCTGTACTGAGCCTTCCCACCTGGGGACATGCAGTATTTCCTCCTTTACCTAGGACTTGCGTCTCTTGTGTTTTTGTAGATTTTCTATGTTGTGCTCTTGCATGTATTTTTTTCGGTTCTTTTTATATATGATTGTTGCTTTTATACTATTATGCATTATCATTTTCTCTCCTCAATTTCATTTGCTGTCTGTCAGGGTTGGAATTGTTTTCTAGACAGGCTGAGATAACTAAGTATGAAGTAATGTGTTCCCTTTACTCTATGATTCTGTTTCTAAAACAGTTTTATTGATTTATAATTTATAGAGCATAAAATTCTCTCACTGTTAAGTGTGCAAGTCGGTGACAGGAAATGCGTGTTGTGCAGCCAGCACTGCCCTCCGCCTTTCCCACATGAGCTGTACACTCTGCATCTGGTTTCTTCCCTGGATGCGGTGTTTTGGAGGCTCATCCATGCCGTGACACGGAGTAATGCTTCGTGCTTTGCAGCTGAACGATGCTCCGCTCTGTGGCCACATTTGTTCATGGCGCCTCCTTAGTTGCTGGAGGCTTGGACTGTTTCCATTTGGGGTTACTGTGAAAAATGCTACTCTATTTGTGTGCAAGTCTTTGGACACAGGTTTCATTTTTCTTGGGTACAGTCTTAGGAGTGGAGTTGCTGGTTCATAGTGTTGTATCTCCTTTAAAAAACTGTTTTCTAGTGTGGGCATAATTTTTTTTTTTTTTGAGACAGAGTCTTGCTCTGTCCCCCAGGCTGAAGTGCAGTGGCGTGATCTTGGCTCACTGCAAGCTCTGCCTCCTGGGTTCATGCCATTCTCCACCCTCAGCCTCCTGAGTAGCTGGGACTACAGGCACCCACCACCACGCCTGGCTAATTTTTTGTATTTTTAGTAGAGATGGGGTTTCACCGTGTTAGCCAGGATGGTCTCGATCTCCTGACCTCGTGATCCATCTGCCTCGGCCTCCCAAAGTGCTGGGATTACAGGCGTGAGCCACCACACCCGGCCCCCATATTTTTTTAGACAGAATCTCACTCTTATCGCCCAGGCTGGAGTGCAGTGGCACAATCTCGGCTCACTGCAACCTCCACCTCCTGGGTTCAAGCGATTCTCTTGCCTCAGCCTCCTGAGTAGCTGGGATTACAGGCACCCACCATCATGCCCAGCTAATTGTTTTATTTTTAGTGGAGATGGAGTTTCACCACGTTGGCCAGGCTGCTCTCGAACTCCTGACCTCAGGTGATCTGCCCACCTTGGCCTCCCAGAGTGCTGGGATTACAGGTGTGAGCCCCCACGCCCAGTCGAGTGTACTGTTTTACAAAGTATGCAAGTTGCAGTTGTCCCACATTCTCACCAGCATTTGGTATGTTCCTGTAAACTATTCTAACTCATGTTTTTCTGTTAACTAGTGATGTCAAACCTCTTCATGTGTTTATTGGCCATTCTTATGTCAGTCTTTGGTGACATAATCTAAGTCAATCTTTTTGTTTTTATTTTTTTAACATGTACAAAGCTGCTGGTTACCCATTTTTAATTGGGTATGTTCTTGAGTTGTAAGACTTTGTATATTACTTATAACTCTTAGTGATGGATCAACAAGCGGGAAAAAAAAAAGACTGGCAAATATTTTTCCCAGCCTGTAGCTTCTCTATTTTTTTAAAAAAAGCTGTCTTTTGGCCCAGTGTGGTGGCTCACATCTATAATCCCAGCACTTTGGGAGGCTGAGGCTGGAGGGTTGCTTAAGCCCAAGATTTCAAGACTGGCCTAGGCAACATAGCAAGACCCCATCTCTACAAAAAATACAAAAATTAGCCACACATGGTGGTATGCACCTGTGGTCCCAGCTACTCGGGAGGCTTAGGCTGGATCTGGAGGATTGCTTGAGGCTGCAGTGAGCCACGATCATGCCACTACACTCCAGCCTGGGTAACGGGGCAAAGCCTCATCTCAAAAAGAAAAAAAAAAAGTTGTCTTTTTAAAGTACAAAAGTTTTTCACTGTGACAAGTTCCAACTGATTTTTTCTTTCCTATAACAACTCTTTGCCTAACCCAAGATGACAGAGATGTTCTCCTGCAGCTGCTTCTGAAAGTCTGATGGCTTCAGCTATTGCATTTAGGTCTGTGATCCGTTTTGAGTTAGTTTATGAGGATATGAGGAAGGGTCTCGAGTCACTTCTTCCACAGATACCTAATTGTCCCAACACCATGTGTTAGACTCTCCTTTTCCCAACTGAAATGTCTTGGCATCTTTGTTGAAAAATCAGATGGCCTCGAATACAAGGATTTATTCTAGACTCCGACCTGCTGGTCTCCATGCCCTTCCTTGTACCACTGTCACACTTTATTTTTGAGATGGAGTCTTGCTCTTGTGGCCCAGGCTGGAGCGCAGTGGCACAATCTCAGCTCACTGCAACCTCCACCTCCTGGTTCAAGCGATTCTCCTGCCTCAGCCTCCCGATTAGCTGGGATTACAGGCATGCACCACCACACCCGGCTAAATTTTGTATTTTTAGTAGAGACAGGATTTCAGCATGTTGGCCAGGCTGGTCTCAAACTCCTGACCTGAGGTGATCCACCCACCTTGGCCTCCCAAAGTACTGGGATTGCAGAGTGTGAGCCACTGTGCCCGGCCCACACTTTTTTTTTTTTTTTTTTGAGACAGAGTCTCACTCTGTCACCCAGGCTGAAGTGCAGTGGCATGATCTCAGCTCACTGCAACCTTCGCCTTTTGGGTTCAAGCAGTTCTTCTGCTTCAGCCTCCTGAGTAGCTGGGACTACAGACACCCGCCACCACACCTGGCTAATTTTTGTACTTTTAGTAGAGACGGGATTTCAGCATATTGCCCAGGCTGGTTTTGAACTCCTGACCTTGTGATCTCCCTGCCTCGGCCTCCCAAAGTGCTGGGATTACAGGTGTGAGCCACCATGCCTGGCCTGCCACTCACACTTTATAGTGAGTTTTGAAATCAGGCAGCCTGAGCCCTCCAACTCATCCTGTTTCAAACCTGTTGTGGCTTGTCTAGATTCTTGTATTTCCATATAAATTTAGAATCTGCTTGTCTGCTTGTCACTTTCTCCAAAATACCTGGTGGGATTTTTTTTTTTTTTTTTTTTTTTTTTTTGAGACAGAGTCTCGCTCTGTTGCCCAGGCTGGAATGCAGTGGCGCAATCTTGGTTCGCTGCAAGCTCTGCCTCCCAGGTTCACGCTGTTCTCCTGCCTCAGCCTCTGGAGTAGCTGGGATTACAGGCGCCTGCCACCACACCCAGCTAATTTTTTTTTTTTTTTTTTTTTGATTTTTAGTAGAGCTGCGGTTTCACCGTGTTAGCCAGGATGATCTCTATCTATCTCCTGACCTTGTGATTCGCCCTCCTCTGCCTCCCAAAGTGCTGGGATTACAGGTGTGAGCCACTGTGTCTGGCCCCTGATGGGATCTTAATAGGGACTTCATGGGATCTATGGGCCCATCTGGGGAGACAGAAATCTTAATAGGAGTCTCCTACCCAATGAACATGGGCTGTCTTTCCATTTCTCTCAG
Organism: Homo sapiens; assembly: GCF_000001405.40. Lineage (NCBI taxonomy): Eukaryota > Metazoa > Chordata > Mammalia > Primates > Hominidae > Homo > Homo sapiens. The sequence goes on from NC_000016.10 coordinate 1,803,984, forward strand.
CAATGTCTCGTATTTTCAGTGTATAAATCTTCAGTTTCCTTCACCAAGGTGGCCCCTAAGTGTGTGTTCTCGTTTCCATGCTAGTGAATGGCGTCTTAGTTTTGTTTGGATTGTTCGTAGTCTATAGAAAGGCAATGAATCTGTTAACTCTGGGTCCCGGGGCCCAGCTGAACTTCCTTGTTCCGGTTGTGTGTGTCCCGTAGGCCTTGCTATGTAGAGGATCCTCGTGCTATGAACAGACACTTTTACCTTTTCCTTTCCTCTATATATATATATATATATATATATATATATATATATATATATATTTAGCATCTTATTAAACCCCTTGTTCCTGCCTTTAGAGGGAACCATCGTCACCCACCATGAATTACGCTGCCAGCTGTGTTTCTCACGGATGCTATGGGAGGCAGAATAGTGCTCACCGCAAAGATGGCCACATTCTAACCCCTGGGCCCTGGGATGATGTGAGGCCACACCAACAAGAGGCGGTGCCAATTTCAGGTCAGTTCCCCAAAATGGAGTAGCATGGCTTTTCCAGATGAACCTAGGGAGCTGCGCGGTCCTTAAAAGCAGAGGAGGAGTTGCCTTGAGGCACGGAGGACTCGACCTGCTGTTGCTGGCTTTGAAGATGGCAGGAAGGGCCACGAGCCAAGGGTGCCTGTGGAAAGGATGGGGATACAGAGCCTCCCCCAGGGCCTCTGCAGGGAACGCAACCCTGCCCACACCTTCCTTTTAGTCCCATGAGACCCATGTCAAACTACCGACCTCCAAACCGCAAGGTACACTTGGGTTTTGGTTTTTGGGTTTGTTTTTTTTTTTGAGATGGAGTATTGCTCTGTCACCCAGGCTGGAAGTGCAGTGGCACGATCTTGGGTCACTGCAACCTCCACCTCCTGGGTTCAGGCACTTCTCTGGTCTCAGCCTCCCAAGTAGCTGGGATTACAGGCATGTGCCACCACACCTGGATAATTTTTGTATTTTTAGTAGAGATGGGGTTTCGCCATGTTGGCCAGGCTTGTCGTGAACTCCTGACCTCAAGTGATTCAGCCGCCTCAGCATCCCAAAGTGTTGGGATGACAGGTGTGAGCCATACCTGGCCTAAACTTGTGTTGTTTTAAATCACTGAGGTGGCGGTGACCTATCCCAGCAGCAATTGGAACCTAACACAGATGGCCTTTTCCAGCTGGGGACTTCCCCTTCTGTTCCTGGGTTGTGAGAGTCTTTATCAGGAACAGGTGTGGGACTTTTGTGCTGTGCTTTTCTGCATTGATTGAGATGTATCTTGTGGGTGCCTTTTTTTTTTTTTTTTTTTTTGGAAACAGGCTCTGGCTGTTTCCCAGGCTAGAGTGCAGTGGCACGATCTCAGCTCACTGGACTTGCACCTCCTGGGCGCAAATGATCCTCTGGTTTCAGCCTTGTGAGTAGCTAAGACCATAAGCATGCCCTCCCATCCATGCCTGGCTAATTTTTGTTTTTTTTGTTTGTTTATTTTGGTAGAGACAGGGTTTCGCTATATTGCCCAGGCTAGTCTTGAACTCCTGGGCTCAAGCAATCCGCCCACCTCAGCCTCCCAAAGTGTTGGGATTACAGGCATCTGTTTTTCTATTAATGTGGCTTATGACGTTAAGTGCTTCGTAGATGTTTAAGCAACCTCACTTTGCTGTGATACACCCACGTGGTCGTGGTGTATGATGTTGCCGAGTTTGGGTTGCTAATATTTTGTTAAGGATCTTTATGTCTGTATTCATGATGGACATTGTTCTGTGGGGTGGGGGCGCGGATCATGATGCCTTTCGCTGCCTTTAGCCTCTTAGACTCAGATGGGCGTGTCTCATCCTCCACATTCTGAAGATTGTGAATGGTTGGTGTTATTGACAGTATACAGTGGCAGCCACGTGGGCACAGGCTTTCTGTAGGAAGACTCAGGACTTTTCATTACTATAATTTCTTGTTATAGGTCTATTTAGATTTTCTATTAAATTTCTCAGATTTCTGAGCCAATTTAAGTGATTTGTGTCCCTCTAGGAGTTTGTCAGTTTCACCTAATTTGTTGGTACAGAGTTTTCCTAGTATTCCAAGTCCTGTTCATTTCTTTTTCTTTCTTTTTTTTCTTTTTTTGAGACGGAGTCTTGCTCTTTTGCCCCGGCTGGAGTGCAGTGGTGCGATCTCAGCTCACTGCAAGCTCCACCTCCCAGGTTCATGCCATTCTCCTGCCTCAGCCTCTCTAGTAGCTGGGACTACAGGCGCCCACCACCATGCCCGGCTAATTTTTTGTAGTTTTAGTAGAGACGGGGTTTCACCATGTTAGCCAGGATGAGTCTGGATCTCCTGATCTCGTGATCCACCTGCCTCAGCCTTCCAAAGTGCTGGGATTACAGGCGTGAGCCACTCTGCCCGGCCAAGTCCTGTTCATTTCTGTAGGATTGGTAGTGATGTCCCCTCTTTCATGCTTTTGGTAGTCAGTCTAGCTAAGAGTTTGCCAATTTTGTTGATCTTTTCAAGGAACCAACTTTTGGTTTTTCTGCTTTCTAGTTTACTAATTTCCTCTCTAATCTTTCTTTAGGTTTCATTTGTTCTTCTTTCTAATTTAAGGTAGAATTGTACTTTTTTTCTTTTTTGAGACAAAGTCTCACTCTGTCACTCAGGCTGGAGTGCAATGGCATGATCTTGGCTCACTGCAACCTCTGCTTCCCATGTTCAAGCGATTCTCGTGCCTCAGCTTCCAGAGTAGCTGGGACTACAGGCACATGCCACCACGCCCAGCTAATTTTTGTATTTTTAGTAGAGATCAGGTTTCTCCATGTTGACCAGGCTGGTCTCAAACTCCTGACCTCATGTGATTTGTCCAGCTCGGCCTCCCAAAGTGCTGCGATTACAGGTATGAGCCACTGCACCTGGTTGAAGACATTTTTTTTTTTGAGACAACAGTCTTGTTCGTTGCCCAGGCTGGAGTGCAGTGGCATGATCTCGGTTTACTGCAAGCTCCACCTCCCAAGTTTACGCCTGGCTAATTTTTTGTATTTTTAATAGAGACAGGGTTTCACCATGTTAGCCAGGATGGTATCGATCTCCTGACCTCATGATCCGCCTGCCTCAGCCTCTCAAAGTGCTGGGATTACAGGCATGAGCCACCGTACCCTGCCCAACATTTTTTATTTGAGACCCCCTTTTATTACATAGGTGGTTAAAGCTATAAATTTCCCTCTAAGCACTGTCAACTCCCACAACTACTGCCTGCCCCACCACCCCTACCATTCAGATCAGACATCAAGGCCAGGTGCAGTGCCTTCCACCTGTAATCCCAGCACTTTGGGAGGCAGAGGTGGGTGGATCACCTGAGGTCAGGAGTTCAAGACCAGCCTGGCCAACGTGGCGAAACCCCATCTCTACTAAAAATACAAAAATGTAGCCGGGCATGGTGGTGCACACCTGTAATCCCAGCTACTCAGGCGGCTGAGGCAAGAGAATCACTTGAGCCCAGGAGGCAGAGGCTGCAGTGAGCCGAGATTGCACCACGGCACCCCAGCCTGGGCAACAGAGCGAGATCCTGTCTCAAGAAAATAAAAGATCAGATGTTCAGGCATTTGTTGCATCCAAAGAGGGCTGTTAAAATTACTTATTGGTTGACAAATGAGCACAGTGTTTGTTATAGAATGGAAACATTTAAGATTCTGGCCTAAGAATATTTGCTGAACAATAGAACAAACTCTTTGCGCTGGGGCGGGGGTAGTGGGAGAAGAAAGCCGGAGAAGCAGTCTGCCCTGCCTCCTCACACACGCCTGGCTTCCGTGGCATCCCAGAGGGGTCTGCGAGTATGCGAACAGACCAGTGACCCCTCCGGGGGGAGGGCATGCATGTGGTCTGAAGTGCAGTGCCAGCCTTCCTCTTCAATCCACAAGCCTCGGGCCAGGCTTGCTCCTAGGTCCCAGGGCCGCTCTGCCCCTCCACTCAGAAGAGTCTGTCTATAGGACCAGGTGGCAGAGGGTGTGGGCCCCACACAGAGTCACCTCCCCTCACAGCTCACTGACAGAGCAGTCAGTCAGTCAGTGAATAGGTCAAATGTTTCAGAACACGCGAGAGGCGGCTGCAGCATTGTGAATGGACTAAATACCACTCAACTGCATGATTAATTAATTTCTTTGAGACAGGGTCTCCCTGTTCCCCAAGCCAGAATGCAGTGGCACAAGCAATGCTCACTGCAGCCTTGGACTCCCGGGCTCAAGCGATCCTCCTGCCTCAGCCTCCTGAGTAGCTAGGACTACAGCTGCACACCACCCTGCCCAGGTAACTTTTTAAAAAGATTATTATTAAATTTCATATTTTTTTTTTTTTGAGACAGAGTCTTGCTCTGTCTCCCAGGCTGGAGTGCAGTGGCGCTATCTCGGCTCACTGCAAGCCCCGCCTCCTGGGTTCACACCATTCTCCTGCCTTAGCCTCCCGAGTAGCCGGGACTACAGGTGTCTGCCACCACACCTGGCTAATTTTTTGTATTTTTAGTAGAGACGGGGTTTCACCATGTTAGCCAGGATGGACTCGATCTCCTGACCTCGTGATCCACCCGCCTCGGCCTCCCAAAGTGCTGGGATCACAGGCTTAGCCACCACGCCCAGCCCTAAATTTCAGATTAGCCTTAGGGGTTGCCTTTGTCCTGCCCTTCCCTCATAGACCCTCTGCCACCAGCCACACCCAGAGCCGGGGCAGGACATGTGGCCACCTACCCAGCCCTCCCGGGGTCACAGGCCGAGAGCACTCCCCAGCTGGCTGCTTCCCCAGAGGGCGGTTTGTGCTTTCTCAAGCAGAGGCAGGTGGGTGCTGCCGAGTAGGAGCACTGCCTGGAGGTCGCGCGATCTGGCCGCCTCCAGGAAGAAGACGCGGCCACCTCTCCCTGCCGGGGGCCTGAGCAGATCAGACCACAAGCACAGGCTGCAAAGGTACCGACCGCAGCAGTGGGCCTGACAGTCCCATCAGCACCCAGCCAAGGCCACAGCAAAGGCACCGGCTCACGCCTGACCTGAAGCGTGGGTGGGGGGACTGCAGTGGCTCACGGAGGAGGAAGGAGGCCCGAGGGGACAAGCAGAGGCCTAAAGGCCAGAAGAAAACAGTCTGCAAGGGGAAGTTATGGGAATAAATACTTGTTAAACTTCTCTTATAAATATGCATTAGAATGTCCGATAACACAAGCCAAGGGCTGTAAAATTAAGGTTAAATCAAGACTGAATTTCCCGCACGGACCAGCAGGAAAGCCAGTTACCTAAAAGAGCCTAATCCCCAAATCCGCTGAAGGTGCAGGGCGGCCTCAGTCCCGGGGCATCTTGAACTGGTCCTTCTCCCTGCGCACGGCCCGCATGGTGGTCACCGGGTCCGTCTCACCTGCGTGCTGCTGCACCGTCTTCTCCCTGCGGAGGCCAGCACCGGGCTGCAGGCTGTGCCGAGCCACGCCCACCGGAGGAGCCAGGGCCACTGCAGAGGAAGGCGACTCGTGCTGGCCGAGCCCAGCCCTCAGAGGACACGGAGGGCGGGGAGGCGGCAGCCACTCCCCTTCTGACAGGTTCTGAACTCCAGGGTCCAGAAGGACTCACACCCCGGCCAAGGTGCCAGGAAAGGCCGGACCCCCCTCAAGAAGAGTGCTCGGGCTCTGCGGCTGCACCTGTGACAGCTCCCCAAGGCAGCCTCAGCCATCTGGGGTCTCGGACGTACCGGCTGTGTGTGCAGCAGTGGGACTGCCAGAGGGGAGGGGCCCGCGCCCACCACCTGCCCTGGGCCTCACCTCACTCTCATGAAGGGGTTGTAGGTAAACTCCTCTGCCAGGGTGGATGGCACTGTGGGCTCCCCGATGCTGTACTTCTCCTGCAAGAGAAACGCACCACTTTATCACGGGAACTTCACAGGATGGCAGACCAGGCACGGAGGCTCACGTCTGTGATACCAGCACTTTGGGAGGCTAAGGCAGATGGATCACTTGAGCCCTGGAGTTTGAGACCAGCCTGGACAACATGGCGAGACCCTGTGTCTACTAAAAATACAAAAAACTAGCCAGGCATGGTGGCAGGCACCTGTGGTCCCAGCTACTCAGGGGGCTGAGGTGGGAGGATCGCTTGAGCACAGGTCGAGGCTACAGTGAGCCAAGACTGTGCTACTGCCCTCCAGCCTGGGTGACAGCGACATCACGTCTCAAAAAATGCTTCAGAACACCTCCTGGTAACCTTAGGACACTGCCCGACTGACAAGGCTGAGAAGGCAAGGTGAGCAGAGCCCGGCGGGTGTGCGCGTGTGGAAGAGGGAAGAGAAGCCAGCGTCCGGGATGAGCCACACATCCGCCTTCCCGCACCGGCCTGGAGAGGACGACAGGGACGGAGCTTCCTTTTCATTCACATGGTTTACATTTCACATTATGGAGGTAACAGCAATGCAGGAGACACAGAAAAGAAACCGCCACAGCTGCAGCCTCACAGCAAGCACGGGGAGGAGGGGCACAGGGACCAGCAGCAGGGGAGGCCACCCAAGCCCCTGCAGGCAGGCAGCTGGTCACCTCCTCTCGAGATGGAGATGGTCTCCCTTCCGACCAGCACTGACCAGGGCAGATGGGGTGGGGGCGGGGGGAGGAGAATGCAAACCCAGCCACGGGGCCAACAGTTAGCAGGAAAACACAGGGCGGCAACAGCGGGGTCTCCACACAGCCCCGGCCCTTCTACCGCAGCCGCACCAGGAGGGCCTCAGGGCAGAGCTCTGACAGAAGCTGCTGGTGCCCACGCACAGGCTCAAGACCACCGCGCCTCACCCCCGAGGTTCCCCACCCGCTATGGGCAGTGGTGTCGGTGAGTGACTCTTCAGCTGGTAGAGCTGCACCAAGCGGGGGTCTGGTAGATGCCAAGATGGTTTCTCACTAATCTGTTCTTCCCTTCTGGCGAAAAGAATCTGAGAATGTTTTAAAATATTCCCTGTGTTCCCACCAACATTCTCAATCCTAAGAAATCTCCCTCTGCCTCCTACGAGGGAAGCAAAGTTAACACTTCTAAGGAGACCTTTAAAACAGAGGAAGTACAAATTGTCATAAGCTTTTAGGTTACCTATTAAAACGAGTTTTAATGTTCTAGCTATTTTTCCTACAAAGTACGAAGCATTTAAAGACAAAAATAAGGTCAGTCAGCCGAGCGCAGTGGCTCACGCCTGTAATCCTAACACTTTGGGAGGCCGAGGTGGGTGGATTGCCTGAACTCAGGAGTTCGAGACCAGCCTGGGCAACACGGTGAAACCCCATCTCTACTAAAATAGAAAAAATCAGCCGGGTGTGGTGGCGGGTGCCTGTAATCCCAGCTACTGGAGAAGCTGAGGCAGGAGAATCACTTGAACCCAGGAGGTGGAGGCTGCAGCGAGCCAAGACCATGCCACTGCACTCCAGCCTGGGCAGCAGAGCAAGACACTGTCTCCCAAAGAAAGAACAACAGGCCGGGCGCGGTTGCTCACACCTGTAATCCCAGCACTGGGGGAGGCTGAGGCAGGTGGATCACCTGAGGTCAGGAGTTTGAGACCGGCCTGGCCAACATGGTGAAACCCCGTCTCTACTAAAAATACAAAAATTAGCCAGACGTGGTGGCACATGTCTGTAATTCCAGCTACTTGGGAGGCTGAGGCAGGAGAATCGCTTGAACCCGGGAGGCGGAGGCTGCAGTAGTGAGCCGAGATCGCACCACTGCACTCCAGCTTGGGTGACAGAGTGAGACTCTGCCTCAAAAAAATAAAAATAAAAAAATAAGGTCAGTCCTTGCAGCACAGCTCAGAAGAGCTCCACCTCGTGTGGGTTCTGGACTCCAGGGTGCAAAAGGAGTTGAAAACTCTCAACGTCCCTCCTATGGGGATTGGTAAAATGATTTATGGGTGACACCCACGCAATAGTATATTTTACACCTATCAAAAAGAATGAGGCCGGGTGTGGTTGGCACATGCCTGTAATCCCAGCACTTTGGGAGGCCAAGGCAGGAGGATCACTTGAGCCCAGAAGTTCAAGACCAGCCTAGGCAACATCGTGTAAACCCCCTCTCTACCAAAAATACAAAAATTAACCAAGCATGATGGCACAGGCCTGTAGTCCCAGGTACGGGAGACTGAGGCAGCAGAATCGCCTGAACCCAGGAGGCGGAGGTTGCAGTGAGCCGAGATTGTGCCACTGCACTCCAGCCTGGGCAGCAGAGCAAGACGCTGTCTCTCCCCAACCAAAAAAAAAAAAAAAAAGAATGACAGGCCAGGCACAGTGGCTCACGCCTGTAATCCCAGCACTTTGGGAGGCTGAGGCGGGCAGATCACGAAGTCAGGAGTTTGAGATCAGCCTGGCCAACATGGTAAAACCCCATCTCTACTAAAAATATAAAAATTACCCAGGCATGGTGGCACATGCCTGTAGTCCCAGCTACTTGGGAGGCTGAGGCATGAGAATCGCTTGAACCCGGGAGGCAGGGGTTGCGGTGAGCCGAGATCGCGCCATTGCACTCCAGCCTGGGCGGCAAGAGCGAAACGCTGTCTCAAAAAAAAAAAAAAACAAAAAAAAAACACACAAATTGTCAAAATCAGGAATGAAAGCAGGAATATCATTACAGATCCAGCAGACATTTGGGGGGTGGGAGTTCATACTAAGTTTTAAAACTATACAAATTCCAAAAATAAAATACAGGAGAAAATTTTTTGACCTTGGGATAAACAAAGATTTCTTAGATGGGAGACAAAAAAGAATGAAGCATAAAAGAATCTATTGGACTTCATTAAAATTAAAAATGTTGGCTCAAAAGATACTGCTAAGAAAACCAGAGGCCGCAGAATGGGAGGCGCCCTGCAGGAGGCGGCCTCTCACCAGGGACTGGGCTCCAGCACCTCCTTTCAAACGGCTGGCTCCACCGCGTGGGCTGGCTCCACCGTGTGGTGTGCCGAAAGACACGGACCAGCTGGTGTGCCCACGCCTTCCCAGCAGGAAAGCAAACACCACAAGCACCGGGGAAGGGGAGTTTGGCAGTTTCTTTAAAAGTCAAACACACCTCCCGTCCAGCCCGGCCACTCCCTTCTCCTGGGTGTTCACACGGGGCTGCGGCTGGGATGTCCATCCCTCCAAACGCATGCTCAAATCTGATCCCCAATTAATGGAGGTGTTTGGATCATGGGGGGAATCCTTTGTGAACGGCTTGGTGCCCTGCTCCAAGTGCGAGTTTTTGCTGTTAGTTCCCACAGGATCTGGTTGTTTAAAAGAAACTTTTGCCTCCCCCACTCTCTCCTTCCTCTGGCCACATGCTTCACACCCACCAGCTCCTTTCGCCTTCTGCCATGAGCAGAAGCAGCCTGAGGCCTCACCAGGTGCAGACGCCCAGGCCATGCTGCTTATATAGCCTGCATAACCATGAGCCACATAAACCTCCTTTTATAAGTCACCCGGCCTCAAGTATTCCTTTATAGCAACACCACACAGACTAAGACACCCAGGAAGTTAATACGCATCCACTGTATTTATAACTAGTATCAACAAATAATCATGACCAGAAGTGCTTAGGGATCCATTTAGTAACACGTGCAAGACCTTGAACACGCAAATTTCAAAACACTGCTGAGAAAAGCTAAAGACATTCATAGATGGAAAGCTCACAGAAACACTCAATGTTAAGATCGCAATTCTCGCCACATCAGTTATCACAACAGTCCCAATCAGCAGCCAGGCTAGCTTTTCTGATAGAAGTTCACGAGATGATTCTGAAAACGGAAATGTAAAAGGCTTAAAACAACTAAAACCATTTTGAAAAAGAACACTGGAGGATTCACACATACCAGTGCCAAGACTCAGCACAGAGTTACAGTCATCAAGGTGCTGTCCTCGGACACCGTGGCAAGTCATAGAGACCAACGAAACAGAGCAGAGACCAGAAGCAGACTCGGGCATAGAGGGCCCATTCTTTTCAGAAAGGTGCCAAGGCAATCCAGGGAGGAAAGGACAGTCCTTCGACAGACAGCCCTGAACACCTCGGGATCACACTGCGAGAGGGTGAACCTCTACCCTCACCTCGCACCACACACAAACACCATCTTGAAAGGGAACACTGTAAATTGTTTGTAAATATAAAAGCTAAGACTTTAAAACTTCTAGGAAGAAACACAGGAGAAAGTCTTTGTGAGCTAAGGGTATGCAAAGATATCTTAGAAAGGGCACAAGAAACATAAAAGAAAAATTGAGTAGGCCGGGCGCAGTGGCTCACATCTGTAATCCCAGCACTTTTGGAGCCCAAGGTGGGCAGATCACCTGAGGTCAGGAGTTCGAGTCCAGCCTGATCAACATGGAGAAACCCCATCTCTACTAAAAATACAAAATTAACCGGGTGTGGTGGTGCATGCCTGTAATCCCAGCTACTCGGGAGGCTGAGGCAGGAGAATCGCTTAAACCCAGGAGGTGGATGTTGCGGTGAGCTGAGATCGCGCCGCTGCACTCCAGCCTGGGCAACAAGAGTGAAACTCCGTCTCAAAAAAAAAAAAAAGAAACAAACAAAAAATAAGTAAATGGAACTTCACCAAAACTATAAACTATTTTCCAAAAGACAATGTTAAGAAAATGAAAAGGCAAGCCATGAGCTGGGAGAGAAAAACATCTTTTAAATATATATCTCAGCTGGGCGTGGTGGGTCACGCCTGTAATCCCAGCACTTTGGGAGGCCGAGGCGGGTGGATCACGAGGTCAGGAGATCGAGACCTTCCTGGATAACACGGTGAAACCCATCTCTACTAAAAATACAAAAAATTAGCTGGGCGTGGTGACGGGCACCTGTAGTCCCAGCTACTTGGGAGGCTGAGGCAGGAGAATGGCTTGAACCCGGGAGGCAGAGCTTGCAGTGAGATGAGATCACACCACTGCACTCCAGCCTGGGCGACAGAGCAAGACTTTGTCTCAAAAAACAAACAAATAAATATATATATGTATATACACACACACACACACACACACACACATATATATATATATCTCACAAAGACTTGTTTCCAGATGATATAAGGAACTCTTACAAGAGCAGCCCAACAGGCCAAACCCAATATTTAAAATGGACAAAAGATTGAACATAAACTTCATGAGAAGGCATCCAAAGGCCGACACACATGAAAAGATGGTCACATGGGGAAATCCACATTTTAAAGGCAGTGAGACGCCACCACAGGCAAGTTAGAATGGCAAAAATTGGAGAGACCGACAACACCAAGCAGTGCTGGCACAGCATGGAGGCCCCGGAACTCAAGCATTGGTGGGGGACTGTAGAACAGTACAACCATTTTTGGAAAACGGTTCACACCTTTAACCACACAACACAGCAATTCCACTCTTAGGTAGTATCCAAGAGCAATAAAAACATGTTCACAAAAGACTTGTACACAAATGTCCATAGCAGCTTTATTCAAATAGCAAAAAACTGGAAACAGACAAATGCATAAACAAATTGTAGCATTTCCACACAATGGGCTACTCAGAAGCAAAGAGCGTGGCTGACCCTCACCAACATCAGCGGGGCCGAGAATGCCACAGAGATGACGGAGCAATGAGATTCTGTTCATGGGAAACTAGAAAGTGACCTGAGGTCACAGCAGAGCAACAGCTGGCGGGGACGCCACATGGGAGGGACACAGGAGCCTTTGGGGTAGTGGTAAGTTCCACATCTGGACTGTGGAGGGGATTACACAAGTGCAAACATCATCAACATTCCTCAAACTGCAATCTGTCCACTCAAGACAGACACACGGGCCAGGTGACGTGGCTCACGCCTGTAATCTCAGCACTTTGGGAGGCCAAGGCAGGCGGATTACCTGAAGTCAGGAGTTCAAGACGAGCCTGGCCAACATGGCAAAACCCTATCTCTACTAAAAGTAGAAAAATTAGCTGGGCGTGTTGGCTGGCGCCTGTAATCCCAGCTACTCAAGAGGCTGAGGCAGGGAGAATTTTTTTTTTTTTTTTTTTTTTTTTTTGAGACGGAGTCTCGCTCTGTCACCAGGCTGGAGCGCAGTGGAGCGATCTTGGCTCACTGCAACCTCTGCCTCCTGGGTTCAAGCGATTCTCCTGCCTCAGCCTCCTGAGTAGTTGGGATTACAAGCGTGAGCCACCACGCCCGGCCAGCAGGGAGAATTTCTTGAACCCGGGAGGTGCTGGTTGCAGTGAGCCGAGATTACGCCACTGTACTCCAGCCTGGGCGACAGAGGGAGACTCCGTCTCAAAAAAAAATTAAAAAAAAAAAAAAGATGAGTATTTATGATTCATCTGATTTAGAGTTGGAATTTGCATGAGTAAATACTGTAAAATAATGTTAACCTCTACTCTAAGAAATTGAAAAAGATGCTCAAAAAACCGGGTGATTTATTTAAAACAACCCTGTCAGAGGCAGCGACTCTCACTCCACTCAGCAGAGGGAGCCCACGCCTGAGACCACCCAGGCGTGCGTGCTTGTGACACCGTTTCCAGTGAATTCGGGGAAACACACCCCTGGAGAACCCCGTCCTGCTCCTGGCAGACTTTGGCCCAGCTGGCCTGGGCTACGCCATGGAGGCTCACGTGGGGCCACCGTGGAGATAAGAGTCCTTTGGACACAGAGCCACGTTCTGTGGCCTGGAGAGCCAGCAGAGCCACGTGCTGCCAGCCTGACCCTACTGCTCAGAATGTGGGAACAGGCTGGGCGCTTTTTACACACGCAGCGTCTGAGGCCTACTCCAGACCCTCCGAGGCAGAGGGATCTCCATAGAACCCCTGGGTTTGCCGTGCAGGGCGAGCTGGGCCACACTGGCCTGAATCCCAGGCCTGCTCTCTGGGCTCAGAGTGTGAGTGTCTACCCACTCTGGCGACCCCGCTGTGCACAGCGGCCCTGAGCAGCCCACAGGAAGGCACTGCGCAGTGACGGCCCCACTCACCTTGGCCCAGGCCAGCTTCTCCCGGATGGCGGCATTGCCGGGCTCCACGTGGCGTGCAAACTTGAGGTTGTTGATGGTGTACTCGTGGCCACAGTAGACTCTCTGAGGAGAGAGGTGACAGGTGAGCTCGGAAGGCTGTTACCACCTGTGAAAGTCCTCAGGGACGGGACCTGGATGCCCCCGGGGGGTGTCCGGTGAGAGGGTGCCAGGAGGGAGAGCAGCCCCGCCCTGGTTAAGGCCCCCCACACCCCGGCCCGCAGGGAGGCGCTGCCTACTGTGTCCGGGGGGAGCCGGCCCAAGACCTCCAGCAGAGCTTTACACATCTCATCCGCAGTCCCTTCATAGAACTTCCCGCAGCCAGCCACAAACAAGGTGTCACCTGGAAACAAGGACAGCCACGAGGTGGGGGCCACTTGAGGCTGGTGGCTAGGACTCAGGAGGGGGCCAGGAGCAGGGTGACACTCACCGGCAAGGCCCAGGCCCCGAACCCTGGCTGCCCTCCGGCCACGGCTGCCCAGACTCAGCCCCCCTGCATTCCGGCTCCCACATCTCCTTCCAAGTCTCAGCTGACAGTCCAACCACCCAACTGGCCGAGCAGACCCGAAACCCAAGTCACTCCTCCCTCACTGCCCCCAATCCCACCAACTGTGGCTCTGAGACCCTCACAAATCCAGCCCTCTCCCCAAACACGCAGCAGCCCCTCTCAGGCCCATGCCTGGCTCCCATCTTCCCTTGGCCCCAGCAGCCAGCGCCACCCTGTGACCAAGGTCTCACCACCCTGGCTGAGCTGAGCGGGACCACCTCTCACCCATGGCGGAAGATGCGGCCCACACCGCTGGGCACCTCAGGCGCACCCAGGCTCCTTCCGGCCTCGGCCTCAGGACGGCATCCCCACCCCATCACTGCCCAGGCCTCTGTCCCCGCTTGCCCTCCTCTTGCTGCTTCGCGGCTGTCCTGGCCTCGCTGACCTCACGTGGCCGTCTGCCCCAGAAACAGGGCAGTCCCCTGAGAGGAGGGTGCCCAGCACCCAGCACAGTGGAGGCCGCCCCACTTCTCACCACCTGGGGCAGAGAAGCATGCAGCGGTGCTGGGCACAGGCCAAGGCCAGGAGTCCTTCTGGGCACGAGAGATGGGAATGGACGGTGGGGAGCCTGTTCCCCTGAAGGGCCCTAGACCTCGAGTCTGAGGACCAGCAGGAGGCCATGGAGTCCCCAGAGATAGGGAAGGGCAGACAGAGGCGAACTTGGGGCCTGGGGCTTCTGCTCCACAGGGCTGTCCTTGCGCCAGGCACACAGCCCAGGAGGCACAGGTGAGACCCAGGGACTCCGTGCTCGCTGCCCTGAGAAGAATCCTAAATCTGAGGTCCCCAACTCCATCCCTCCCACACCGGCACCACCCAGGCTCATCCCCCAGCCCTGCGCACTGCAGCCTGAAGGCACCTTATCCCTCACAGCGAGGCGCCCGTCCCTCCCGCCATGCCCTCCGCCCTCCTCTGGGGCTCCCTGGCCACACCTTCTCCCTGCACCCCTGGTTTGACTCCACCCAGGGGTCCGAGTGTGGCCCTGGGTCACTCCCACCTGGGTTCAAGGCTGGGGCTGCCACCTCCCACCAGGAGGCCTCCCAGCCGTACAAGGCCCACATCGAGTCACCGGGTGAAACCCCGCACTGTGAGGCCAGTCGGGACAAGGCCACAGTAACAAGCACGGGAGGCAGCCCCCACCACCAGCAGCCTCCGCACCGCCTTAGAAGGCCGCAGCCATGAAGGGCCCGGCCTACAGTGAGGCCGTCCCCCGGCCATATGACCTCCACAGGTGGCTCCACAGGTCTGCAACCACCCTGGGAGGCAGGCAGGGCCCCCAGACTAGCACAGGTCCCTGAGTCCACACTACGGCATCAAGGAACACAGCCCCAGGGCTGAGCCACCCCTCGCCCTGCTGGAAGAAACTGACTCCTTTCCCGTGGGACCCGCCCGGACCCCAGCTGTCCAGCAGTCTCCGCCAGCACAGCCCTTGCTGCAAGCGTAACTTCCTTCCAGACCACGATCCAAACCCATCATGGGAGGAATCGGCCAGCCCCACCATGAGGCTCCCCAGCACCCACCCCTGGGCCCCCTCACACCGGTGCAACAGAGAAGGCCACGAAGCTGCCCCGTGAGCCTGCCTGGCAGGAGACACAGGGTCTTCACGAAGAACCCCCGCCCCCACCCACACTCGAACACGCACCTGTGAACACGGCAGGGGGCTCCGAGCCTCCGGGCTTGCTCACGAAGTAACAAATGTGTCCTGAAGTGTGGCACGGGGTCGCCAGGCACTTGACGTTCAGAGACCCCACCTTCAACAAAGCAGGCGACCGCGTGTGCTCCCAGACACCCTGGAGAGCCATCTCCCGGGGTCACGGCGCGCCGCCTGGGCCCTACTGGGCCTCCTCAGCTCTGAGGGAAATGCCCGTGAAGGTGGGGCAGGTGCTCCCCACCACGGGACTGGGGGACTCGCTCACTCCATGGGTGCGCCCCAAGTGCAGGGCCACCCTGGAACAAGAGCGTGTAAAAAACCAAGGGGCTTGTTTCCTCCTTCAAAACTGGGCCAAATCCACGCTCGCCGTCTGGCTAGGAAAGACGGCTTTCCTTCCCACACATGGCCTTTTGTTTTCCTGTCCCCATCTGCCCCAATTCTTTACTTCAAAAATGTTCACACCCTCAAAAAGGCTGAAGACACCCTCGCAGGGCCCTCCCACCTGTGTGCTGTGCTCTGGCACCAAGACCCTGCCCACATGGCCCGCTCCCCAGGGTCTCAGAGCCCTGCTTCACAGCCCCGCACACAGCCGCGTTTTGCACACTCCTCTCCTTGTGCCTAGACAGAGAAGACCATCCACGCTGCCACAGAGGACCACTGAGAGCACTCCCGGGTCACTGGGGTAAGGGAGCAGAGAGAATGCGGGGAGGGACCCCCCTCCCCCACGCTCCTGACAGGGCCACGCTGGAGCACCTCCAGGGCTCACTCCTTACCTGCAGTGTGGACAGGTGAGTGATCTTGTGAGTCAGGGCCCCGATACGGTCGTCACCCCCGTACACCTTCAGTCCCGACTCCAGCTTGACCAGTTTCTCATTCCCGCCAGCATGGTCCCTAGAAGTCAAACAGGAGACCTGGGCTGCCTGCTGAGCTGAGGGGGCTGCCTGCTGAGCTGAGGGGGCTGCCTGCTGAGCTGAGGGGCTGCCTGCTGCTCTTAAACCCTAGTCAAACGCAACACTTATTTTCCACTCACAAAGGAAACCGAGGAAGCAAATCACAGACACCTGGATGATCCTGTGGCCAGGGTTCCGAGCGTGGGGGCCTGGGGTTACCACCTGCACGTCTTTACAAAGCACCACCTGGTTCCCACCCCCACATCCTAGGGCAGTGGGTCTGGGGCGTGGCCTGGGGGTGGATTTCTTGTCCTGGTGCAGTGGGTCTGGGGAGAGGCCTGGGGTGGATTTCTTGTCCTGGTGCAGTGGGTCCAGGGCATGGCCTGGGGGTGGATTTTTGATTTTTGAAGGCCCCCAGGTGATCCTGATGTGCTGCCCAGTTTGTGGCCCGACACTCTGGCAGGAGATCAAACTGTTCAGCATGGGAATCACCTGGGTGCGTCTGGGATGAGCAGCTGGCCCTAGACGCGGCCTGTCTGCAGGGGAGGCCAGCCTGGGCCAGCTCCAGCAGGTGGAGGTGCCTCCTACGCGCCCAGGTTTCCCCAGGGGAGCCTGCCTGACCCGCAGTTCAGAAAGGGGCGGTTGAAGGGGCCCTTCCCGGGTCTCACATGATATCACAGACTCCTTCGTGTGCCTCCCATGAAGACTCCAGCAACCACACCAGAAACCGCCTGCCTTGGCACCACTGGGCCCCAAGATAACAGGGTGGAGTGGTGGCCGCTGCCCTCTGCCCCTCCCACCCTTCAGGAGGGCGCGGCACCACAGGCCTTGGTCTGCCCATCACCACCCACCATCGGTGAGCAAACCCCACCCCGCTGAAGCTATGGCCTGGCTTAGGACTTCACGTGTCGGCATGAATGTTAGAGGGGCCGGGGAACTAAAAAGCACCACAGTGTTAGAAAGAGACGTCTGCGGCGAGGCCGGGAGAGGCAGGGAGCTGCAGCAAGCTGTGATGTGCCAGGCAGCCACACAGAGGCCACCACCAGGGTCCCCAGGAGGAGGCATGGTGGCAGCAAGGGCCTCGCACGACAGGCAGGCCAACGTGCTGAGAGACAGCAGCTCAGCCACACAGGACAAGGGCCAGGGAGGCTGCAGGCACCGCCCCTCAAGCCCAGGTCCCTGCACGGACACCTCTGATGACCCCGAAGAGGCTCGAGGGGCCCAACTCACAGAGCCTGAGACTCTCCAGGCCTAAGTCCAGCTGCGTGTGAACCATGACGCTTCCATCAAACCTTGGCCAAGCCACCAGCACAGCGCTCCCACCACCAAGGAGAGGACCAAAGGCTTCATTTCACCCCAACACAGAGGCTGGGGAAGCCACAGCTGAGAGGCCCTAGGGCAGTGCCAGACGGGTCCTGGCTCAGGAGAAAGGTGCCGGTTGCCCTCGGGCGCTTGCTTGGCAAAAAGAAGTAAGTCTCTCTAGCTTTGAAGAGCCTCAAAAATTTCTAAAAGCCAAACAACGGCCTTGAGCAGGCAATGCCAGCCCTAGAACCCAGACAGGGCATTTTATTCATCCATTTTCAAGGATTTTTAAAAACCCAACCTCTCCAGATATGGCTGCTTGTCTTTGTTTTTTTTGAGACGGAGTCTCGCTCTGTCACCCAGGCTGGAGTGCAATGCCACGATCTTGGCTCACGGCAACCTCCGCCTCCCGGGTTCAAGTGATTCTCCTGCTTCAGCCTCCCGAGTAGCTGAGATTACAGGCGCCCACCACCACGCCCAGTTAATTTTTGTATTTTCGGTAGAGACTGGGTTTCACCGTGTTGGCCAGGCTGGTCCTGACCTCAAGTGACCCAACTACCTCAGCCTCCCAAAGTGCTGGGATTATAGGCATGAGCCACCGTGCCCGGCTGGCTGCTTGTTTTTTTTTGTTTTTTTGTTTTTTTTTTTTTTAAAAACCACTCACCTGTAGACTCATTTCCTCCCCAACATTGAGGCCAACGTGCCAGGGCACAAACCCGCATGGCCCAGGAGAGAGCCGGGGGGTGGGGCCTGAGGGTAAGGCTGTAACCTTCTCCCCTCACCCTCGGGGCCTCAGAGTCACTGAGCACCAGACTTGCCCCTTGGGGGCTACGGTGAGTCCCGGGTCTTTCTCAGAAGTCTGCTGGGGGCTTGTCCTCACAAAGCAGACAGAGCCGTGGGGGGAGACAGGCCTTGATGTCCCTAAACCCACCGGGGCGAGAAGTGAGCCAGGTCCCACACCCCCAGGTGAGACGCGGCACTTACCAGTGGTGGTGGGTGGTGAGCACTGTGGTCAGTTTCACCCCGTGCTTTCTCGCCGCGTCCACGACCTGCAGTGGCCCCGGGGAAGGACAAAGGCCTGTCACACTCCTAGGCCTGGCTTGCTGGCCTATATGGTAGGGTGCCCAGCAGAACCCAGGACACGCCATGAGGGGCCGCTGACATGGCCCGTCCTGACCCTGCCAGCTTGCCCTGCTCCAGGAGAGCCAGTGAAAGCACCTTCTCCTTCCTGCTCAGCCTGACACTCTTGCAACCACCTACGACCGCTCCAAGCCCCTCCAGCTCTGAGGGCACCACCCCCAGAGGCAGCATGCAGGGGCAGAAAGCCCCCAAGAAGACTCAAGTGCCCAGGATTGTACTGCACAGCGCTTTCTGTGTCACTGCCTCTCGCCTCCACCCTTCTTGGAGCCCTGTTAACAGAGTGGCCGGAGACTAATTTCCATTTAGCTTAGGCAAAGTTGCAAGGACACTGCGGTTAGGAAACCCATCGGGGGTGAGGACTCCGAGCTGGGTGACCAGGGCAGGGAGAGCCAGGCACAGCCATGCGCACCTTCTGGGGCTGCACCGGATCCACAATGGCAGCCTCCTTGGTCTCATCATCAATGACCAGGTACATGTAGTTGTCGGTCAGGGCAGGCAGCACCTCTACCTTCATGGTGCCCTCGTCCACGGTCAGGTTCTTCCGCAAATCTGTGTGGCAGAAAACTCCCAGCAGGGCTGGACCTGCAGACACAGAGCACAACTCAGCGGGCAGCCGCGCCAGGCCCTCCACGACAGGACGCGCAAGCTGCAGTGCTTCCCAGCCTTTCTAGGTTCCTTTGAAAAGGAATATTCTGGCCAGGTATGGTGGTTCTTGCCGGGAATCCCAGCGCTTTAAGAGACTGAGATGGGAGGACTGCTTGAGGGCAGGAGTTTGAGACCAGCCTGGGCAACATAGCAAGACCTTGTCTTTTTTTTTTTCTTTTTTTTTTGAGACGGAGTCTCGCTCTGTCGCCCAGGCTGGAGTGCAGTGGCGCGATCTCGGCTCACTGCAAGCTCCGCCTCCCAGGTTCACGCCGTTCTCCTGTCTCAGCCTCCTGAGTAGCTGGGACTACAGACGCCCGCCACCATACCCGGCTAATTTTTTGTATTTTTTAGTAGAGACGGGTTTCATGGTGTTAGCCAGGATGGTCTCGATCTCCTGACCTTGTGATCCGCCCACCTCGGCCTCCCAAAGTGCTGGGATGACAGGTGTGAGCCACCGCGACCAGCCAAGACCTTGTCTTTGCAAATTTAAAAATTAGCCAGGCATGGTGGTGCATGCCTGTGGTCCCAGCTACTCCGGAGGCTGAGGCAGGAGGATCACTTGAGCCCAGGAGTTTGAGGCTGCAGTGAGCTATGACTGTGCCACTGCACTCCAGCCTGGGTGACAAGACAATAACCTGTTCCTTAAAAAAAAAAAAAAAAAAAAAAAAAAAAAGGAATATCTTCATATATCCCTGAGGAGAACACAGGAACTAACTCATGCTCACATTCATGGAAATCAATTGTTTCAGACTTACGATCTCTATTTTCTTTTTTGAGAACTCTAAAAGGACAGGAAGGCCAGCTTGTGATTGTGAGGCGAACCACTGCCAGTGCTGGATTATTCACACCCCGGACTCAGGGACAGAATGTGAAGAAGGGAACACAGACTAGGGGTGCCCCCGCCTGGCCATCTGCCCTCCAGCAAGCTGTGCTGCCACCACTGACTAAGCGAGCCTGCGTTCCATGCAGTTACAGCCCTTCTCAGCCTCTAGCCAGAAAGAACCAATACTTGACGGCAGGCTGAGGCAGGAGAATTGCTTGAATCCGGGAGGTGAAAGTTTCAGTGAGCCAAGATCGCCCTACTGCACTCCAGCCTGGGCAACAGAGTGAGACAGTCTCAAAAAAAAAAAAAAACAAACAAACAATACTTGCTCTTGAACAGCACGAATCTGAGATATGCACAAAAATCAGCAGTTCCTTTGAGACGGAAAGTTGGCCACAACTGCCCCCAGATTCAAGTGTGGAGGACACAAAACCACCATCCAACTGACCCAAAGGACTCTGCCACAGGGGCCCAGAAGGCCCAAGAGCTGGGAGGAGTGGGTGACCAAGGGACAAAAGTGTCTGCCACCCAGTCGACCAATGCAAAAATATTTTCAGCAATGAAACTCCTACTAAATCTAAAAATACCTGGGGGCCCCGACAATACCTTCAGTTCCGCTCTACACGGGGAAGAAACCACAGAAGGTGGCAGAGGACAGTGCAGTCCTGGGGTAGGTGCCACGGCAGGGGCTTCTCCCAAAAGGGATCCAGAAATGGGCAGCAGCCACCAACTGACAGACACACGCGTCTCCAGGGCCCACCGAAATGCGGAATCCGACCTTATTTCCACAGCCGGGGAAACTGCCCAAACTATAGTTTCAATCACTGCACAAAGATATCCTATTACCCGCCTGACAACCAGCTGGGCATTTTCCAGATCATTCTCCTCAGGAACAATAATACCAAGATTTCTATATGAGCAGCTTCCTGTGTTATTCCCCTTCCCCTTAGCCTCAGCACCACCCCAGCCCAAGGAGCACAACAAGCAGAGTGTGGGTGCTGGGGGCTGCAGGTGGGGTGCAGAAGGGTTGTGACAGGATTCCGAGTGCCGGGCGTCCTCCTGGAAAGGAGCTCCATTACAAACAAGGAGCAGAACATTACAAACAAAAATACTGCCCACGTGCGGTGGCTCACGCCTGTCATCCCAGCACTTTGGGAGGCCGAGGCGGGCGGATCGCGGGGTCAGGAGTTCGAGACCAGCCTGACCAATATGGTGAAACCCTGTCTCTACTAAAAAATACAAAAATTAGCTGGGCGTGGTGGCGAGCGCCTGTAGTCCCAGCTACTCAGGAGGCTGAGGCAGGAGACTCGCTTGAGCCCGGGAGGCAGAGGTTGCAGTGAGCCGAGATTGGCCACTGCACTGCCCAGGCGAAGAAAATGTCATTTACAACTGGTGCTCAGCCTCCCCTGGAGACCATCACAGCCTCCTGAAGAAGCTGACAACCCAGGGAGGTGCCTTTATTTCTGAGGAAAGACGCAGCTGGTGCCAACACCAGCAGAAACCGTATTCCCTTTCCATATCACTCAGCCCAGCACTGCCTGGCAAATGTTCCCGGCTTGCTGTTTTGTAACTGTAATACTTTGTACAAACAGGTCAAGGACCTGCAGCCTGGGGCCTGGACCAAGTCCAGAAACATGTTCGGTTTGGCCCCAAAAACAAAAAAAAATTGAGATATGGTCTCACTCTGTCCCCTAGGCTACAGTGCAGTGGTGCGATCAAGGGTCACTGCAGCCTCGACCTCCTGGACTCAAGCGATCCTCCCACCTCAGCCTCCAAAGTGACTGAGACTACAGTTGTGTGCCACCACGCCCGGCTGATTTTGTTTAGTTTTTGTAGCGATGAGGTCTCAACATGTTGCCAGGCTGGTCTGGAACTCCTGGACTCAAGCGATCCTCCCGCCTCGGCCTCCCAAAGTGCTGGGATGACAGGCGTGCGTCACTGCACTTCTTTTTTAAATCAGGAAGTTTCACAGCATCTTGCTTCCCTTGAACTGGGCGGCACCAAATACGGGGGCTGGGGCCTCCCTTAGAATGGGGTACGCACGCCCTGCCGATGCACACAGTCCCGCTGGAACTCTCTGCCTGGACCCTTATGAATGTCCCTAAAACTGTAATTCTGAGGACCTCAAAATCCATGTCCTTTCCTTAGCAATGGCGACATTCTACCCCCTGCAGAGCCTTGACAGCTTTCGGCGAGATCTGGAAACCGCCAGGGACGCCTCCCTGTCTGCGCCTCCGCCCGCCCAGTGCCCTGCGCTGCGCACCCGCCCGGGGCGCTGGCCTGGCCCGGCCGCGCGACCACCTCGGGCGAATGACACGCCGGGTCCCCAGACGGGGGCTCCGGCGCCGGGCGGGCAGCTCCACCACCGCAGGCGGCGCCGCGAGACCGCGGTCCTTGCAGCGGGGCAGCAGGTGCGGGGTGGGCCAGGCGTCCCGGGGCCCTGCCCGCTGCGCCTCAGAGCCGCGCCCCAGGCTCTCCTCGGCGCCGGCCCGGGCAGGACGCGATGCCCTGGAGGCGTCAGGGGCGCGGCCGGCCCAGCCCGAGCGTGGAGGCCGCGGCGGACGCAGGCCTGGCCCTGCTTACCTAGCGCTTTCCGCACCCGCGGCCCCGCGCCCGCTCCGCGCCAGCCTCAGCGCCTGCGCCGCCTCCGCTCGAGCCCGGCAGCGCGGCCTTAGGCACCTGCGCAACAGACACCGCGTCAGCGGTCGCCAAACGACGGCCCGGCGCCGCCCGCTGCCCGCCCCGCCAGGCCCGCGTCCCCCGGCCCGCACCGCCCCGCCGCACCCACCGAGGCCTCGGCGGGCGCAGGCGGCTCCCAGCGCGGCGAGGCTGCGGCGGCCGAGCAGCCCTCGGCCCACCACCATGACCCGGGCCGGGCTGGACTGCCGAGCTGCCCAGGACTGCAAAACACCGGCGTCGGCGCGTCGCAGCCAATCAGCGCCCGCCTCGCGCTGCCCTCAGCCAATCAGCGTCCACCTCGCACCGTCCGCCAACCAATCAACGCGCTCGCGCTCAACTTGTTTTGTCCGCGAGCCCCGACTGCCACGGGCCGGGAGACGGGCCTGGGAGCGGCGGCGGCGGCCCGAGAGCTGCGCCGGGAGAGCTGTGCCGCGAGCCTCCGCCTCTTTTTTGGCACCGCACAGTGGATCCCTGGAGGCCGAGCGCCACGCCGCCCGGGTACCCGGCAGATCGCGAGGTGGAACGGGCCGTCGCTGCGGGGGACAGCGTTCCGAGGCAGTTGGTCCTCTCCGGGATGCCGTAGGCATCAGCTGACCGGCCCAGCCCACGTGACTACAGGGGCACTTGATGGGAATCATGGCAGCATCCAGGCCATTGTCCCGCTTCTGGGAGTGGGGAAAGAACATCGTCTGCGTGGGGAGGAACTACGCGGACCACGTCAGGGAGATGCGCAGCGCGGTGTTGAGCGAGCCCGTGCTGTTCCTGAAGCCGTCCACGGCCTACGCGCCCGAGGGCTCGCCCATCCTCATGCCCGCGTACACTCGCAACCTGCACCACGAGCTGGAGCTGGGCGTGGTGATGGGCAAGCGCTGCCGCGCAGTCCCCGAGGCTGCGGCCATGGACTACGTGGGCGGCTATGCCCTGTGCCTGGATATGACCGCCCGGGACGTGCAGGACGAGTGCAAGAAGAAGGGGCTGCCCTGGACTCTGGCGAAGAGCTTCACGGCGTCCTGCCCGGTCAGCGCGTTCGTGCCCAAGGAGAAGATCCCTGACCCTCACAAGCTGAAGCTCTGGCTCAAGGTCAACGGCGAACTCAGACAGGAGGGTGAGACATCCTCCATGATTTTTTCCATCCCCTACATCATCAGCTATGTTTCTAAGATCATAACCTTGGAAGAAGGAGATATTATCTTGACTGGGACGCCAAAGGGAGTTGGACCGGTTAAAGAAAACGATGAGATCGAGGCTGGCATACACGGGCTGGTCAGTATGACATTTAAAGTGGAAAAGCCAGAATATTGAGTTATTTCTTAACAAGTTTCGAGAGAGAAGGGAGCAAGACAAGAGCAAGCAACGGCTATTAAATGTCACAATCCTTTAATTAGAAACCATTTATTGGCCGGACGCGGTGGCTCACGCCTGTAATCGCAGCACTTTGGGAGGCCGAGGCGGGCGGCTCACGACGTCAGGAGATCCAGACCATCTTGGCTAACAGGGTGAAACCCCGTCTCTACTAAAAATACAAAAAATTAGCCGGGCGTGGTGGCGGGCGCCTGTAGTCCCAGCTACTCTGGAGGCTGAGGCAGGAGAATCAATTGAACCCGGGAGGCGGAGCTTACAGTGAGCTGAGATTGCGCCACTGTACTCCTGGGCAACAGCGAGACTCCGTCTCAAAAAAAAAAAAAAAAAAAGAAACCATTTATTTTAAAAATGATTAGATTGCTATGCCTCAACTCATAGAAGATGAACCCTTCAAGAAAACGTGAAGTAGAACGGGTGGGCCAGAAATGAAAACAGGCAAGTAAAGTATTTCTTCGGAAAACATTTTATCAAACCAAATGTTAAAAAGACTTTCCTTTTGTAAAACTGGATTAGAGAAGACTTTTCAGTGGGTTATCTCTAGGATGATCAGTAGTTCAGCACTTAAAAACTGCAGAGAAAACTGAAAGTTATGTTCCAGATAACTTTCCGTTGTTTACCAAATTTTCTTAGATTTGGTCATCATCAGGAAGCATTTGTAAAAATAAAAATCTCCACAAATTACTGGCCCATCTCGGACTTGCTGAATCAATTTGATAGGATTAATCTCCAGTGAAGCTGTGTTTACAGGGCATTCCAAGTGATTCTTATCAGGAAATGTGAAAAACACTCCTGTACATAATCGGTTAATTTAAAATTTTACTTAATAAGTGAACAAGTAATGAAGATTTCACCTGTTTACTTAGGGTATCTACCCAGACCCATCGATTCTGAGTTCGGGAGATGATTTTGAAATTACTGTTTTCCAAATAAAGGTGCTCCCTTCTAAGTGGCTTACAAGGGTAATTTTTTTCCCCCCAGTAATGACGAGGAGGGATATTTCCTCCTTGTGGGGCTTCAGACCTTAGTCTTTGACCTTTGGCCTTCTGAGCACTGTGCTGTGTTAACACAGTTAATCAGCAACTGTACTTCCCAACCGGAGATAAGGAGGCTTTGTGGAAGTTGAATAGCCTGGGACTGCTGCTTTTGCTCTTGCCTGCACCCTCCTCTGAAAAAACATCCAGGCAAGATGCACAGCATAGCTGTCAATGCCTGGAGGAGTCCTTTGGGCTTCGGCAGGGGTTCCTGTTCGCGTTCACATCATCTGCTGGCCCCTGAAGAAAGCCTAGGACATCTGATTGAGTAGTAACGGTCCCCATGTATTGAACACAGTACTGTTAGGCACCATGCCAAGCAGTTTATTCTGTATTTCCACGTGTTATGTAACCAGCAACCAAGCCATAAGCTTAGTATGATCACTACCATCCCCATTACTCAGATGAAGACAGATCTAGAGGCTGCGAAGGCTGGCTAAAGTCACTCAGCTTAGTGGCAGAGCCGAGATGTAACCCAGCTCCCCCAAGACCAGAACGTGAAGTTTTGACCACAATGCAGGCTGCATCTTGTAAGTAGATACATAAGAAGAATCAGACACTTAGGTATGCTGCAACCCCATGCTTAAATTATAATATAGTATGAGGAAGTGCCATAATTGGATTTCTTTATTAAGTATCATGCTATCTTAACTACTTTTAGTATTATTTTTTCATTGCTTGGCAATGCATGTAATTACAGAAGAGTCAGAAAATAGAGATTAGCAATTAGAACAAAACACCAAAAATTTCATCTACCCAGAGACAGCCAAAGTTAAGCATTTATTGCAAGTTCTTCCAAGTCTGTGGATATAATTGTAATTTTTTAAATAGAGTTTGCTCATACCATACAATTTTCTTTTTTTTCTTTCTTTCTTTTTTCTTTTTGAGATGGCGTTTAACTCTTTTTGCCCAGGCTGGAGTGCAGTGGCACAATCTCGGCTCACTGCAACCTCTGCCTCCCAGGTTCAAGTGATTCTCCTGCCTCAGCCTCCCAAGTAGCTCAGATTACAGGCATACGCCACCACACCCGGCTAATTTTGTATTTTTAGTAGAGACAGGGTTTCACCATGTTGGTCAAGCTGGTCTCGAACTCCTGACCTCAAGTGATCCACCCGCCTGGGCGTCCCAAAGTGCTGGGATTACAGGCATGAGCCACCGTGCCCAGCTATACCATACAATTATTTAACTTGCTTATTTCACTGTATATTGTGACCATCTTTTTCCTTGTTAGCT
Source organism: Homo sapiens (assembly GCF_000001405.40). Taxonomy (NCBI): domain Eukaryota; kingdom Metazoa; phylum Chordata; class Mammalia; order Primates; family Hominidae; genus Homo; species Homo sapiens. Next base: position 1,830,229 of record NC_000016.10, read on the forward strand.
GACACATTTCTGCAGTACAACTTTCATGGATTGCATAAGATTCTGAAGTCAAGCCTCCATTTTTGGACCTTGAGATTGTCTCTAATGATTTGCTAGTATCAGCACATGTGCTGTTTTTTCCTTTGGCTAGGTTCCCATAAGTGGAAGAGTTGGATCAAAGGGCGTGCTCATGCTGGAAGTGTATTATTAGTCTGCTACCAGGTACACGGTTCAGCTGAGATATAGCTACCAAGTTGACAGACTATTAAAGTCAAAGTTATAAAGTAGAAGCAGTGCTCACATGCAGCCCTAGTAGGTGGCACAAGCCAGCACCGAGTACAGTGCCCCTGGGGTCAGTGTTCACCACAGTGGTAGAACAAGCTTTGTCACAAACATTGACATCAGCATTGCAGGTGTAGGCACACAAAGTCCTTAGATGCAAGAATCAAAAACAGAGACACCAAGTCCGACAATTCCTGATATTGCTAAAATCATAGTAATCCTAGCATTCAGAAGATAACGTTTTTCCACGTTTTGAATACATTTAAACCTATGAAAAAGTTTAAAAACCAATACAATGAACTCCATATGCCCTTTAATAGTTTCAACAATTACCAGCATTCACTATGTTTGTCCTCTGGTCCTACGTCTCTCCCTTCCTCCCCGCCATATATGTGTATATATGCAGACATGCACCTCTCTCTCTCTATACACACACACACACACACACACACACACCCATATTTTGGAAATGCGTCGGGATGGTGACTGCAGAAAGACTCTTCCCTTTCAGCATACATCTCCCAAGAATCAGGATATTCTCCTACATGGAAATGAGACCATTATCACGCTTAAGAAAATAATTCCACAGTGTATTAGTCTGTACAGAATATATGGTTTGACATCTGTTCTTCTGTTGTGTTTTTAAAACATGTTGATTGGCCTTTTATAAAAAAATGAGTATTACACATCCACTTAATATATCACGAACATATTTCCAGGTCAGTGAATATAAGTACAGGTACCCCTTTTTAATGGCTGTATCTCAGATCATGTACCCCAGAAGCACAGCCTAAGATGGGGATTCTTGTTCCCGTGATTTGCTGAAGGAGTGCTCTCAGGAGAAGAGAAGCGTAATGAAGCAGAAAGGGCAGGGAGCAAACTCCAAGGAAGAAAGTGGTCTCTGGGCTGGATATCAGCTTCAGTCAGCTGGTGAACCCAAGGGGAAGCTCTGGAGCGAGGAGTCTGTTGGCACCAGAATCTGCTCTCCCCGCCCTTTCCATAGCTTCCTCAGGTAATTTTCTGACCCTCATAGAAGCTGAGGGACTTCAGCAAGTGAAGATTTTCTGGGTGGAGCATCCCCGACAGATTGCACACTTTTCAGATGCTCTGCTATTAGAAACAATGATGCAAGGGGCATCCTCCATATACTCTACAGCAAGGGTCCCCCAACCTCCAGGCCACTGACTGCTACCAGCCCGTGGCCTGTTACAAACGGAGCCACACAGTAGGAGGCAAGTGAGCATTCCCGCCCGAGTTCTGCTTCCCGTCAGATCAGTGGTGGCATGAGATTCTCACAGGAGCGTGAACCCTTTTGTAAACTGCACATGCGAGGGATCTAGGTTGCGCACTCCTTATGAGTATCTAATGCCTGGATCTGAGGTGGAACTGTTTCATCCTGAAACCATCCCCGCCCCCCGACCCGGCAATCCGTGGAAAAACTGTCTTCCACCAAACCATTCCCAGGTGCCAAAAAGTTTGGGCCGCTGCTCTACATCATTGGCACTTGTTTGTTTCCTTAGGGAAGTCTTAGAAGTGAAATCAATGAAATGGTTTGCACTTTGAAATTTTGACACTTTTTGCCAAATTGCAGAGGAAAAAAAACTACCATGTTGCACTTGACAAGACTGTTTAAGAATACCTTTACACCGACACCCCAGCTAAGGCTGGGCATCATGGCTATGGTCATTCTTTTTTTTTTTTTTTGAGACAAAGTCTTGCTCTGTTGCCCACGCTGCAGTGGCATGATCTCGGCTCACTGCAAGCTCCGCCTCCCGGGTTCACGCCATTCTCCTGCCTCAGCCTCCCGAGTAGCTGGGACTACAGGCGCCCTCCACCACACCCGGCTAATTTTTTTGTATTTTTAGTAGAGACAGGGCTTCACCGTGTTAGCCAGGATGGTCTACATCTCCGGACCTCGTGATCCACCCACCTCAGCCTCCCAAAGTGCTGGGATTACAGGCGTGAGCCACCGCGCCTGGCCTATTTTCCTCTTTTTCTTAAAAATATAAGTGTCAGCTGGGCACGGTGGCTCACGCCTGTAATCCCAGCACTTTGGGAGGCCGAGGTGGGTGGATCACTTGAGCCCAGGAATTCAAGACCAGCCTGGGCAAAATGCCAAGATCACTGTCTCTACAAAATGTTTTAAAATTAACCGAGTAAGGTGGCTTCTCCTGAGCTCCTGGACACGGGGCTCAGTGGAGGGGGCACCATACCCACTCTTGCTGAACCAACAGTGGGAGCCAAGCCAGCACCAACCACGACACCCTCACTTCTCTCCTCTCCTTCCTTCCCTGTCCACCCTCCCCATTCACCTGGCTTCACAAACCCCCCAGTTCTCCCCAAGGGAGGATGGAAGGCCTGTTCTGCACAACTAGGTCAAGTCGTTCATTACCTTATCACCACAATTTGGACACTTAGGGGTGAACCTGCATCCCTCCTCTGTGGCTGCACATGGTAAAAGCCAGATAAAACATGACTGACGATGGTTTATCTCCCAACACCAGCCTTAGGAAACAGTTTCATATACTCACTTTTTCCTTTTTTTTCAATCCTGTGGTGGAGGGCATGTAGCCTTCTAAAGTACCAGGTCAAACCTCCCAGGCCGTGGGTCAACACTGACCTTAGCGGTGGGTCTTCACAGCTGGAGTCTGCGCCCTGAAGCAAGTGACTCTCAATGGTGTGCAGTTGAGCCGTTTACTTTGTGGCTGCTGCAAAGCAAACAGATAAAGTGGCAGCTGTCGTCCTCATGTCCTGAGTAGGTCCCCCTCAGAGTTCTGAGACCCAGGCATGCTCATGAACCTTTTGAAGTTGGTCTCCTCCCAGTTGATTCAGACTCAGTCATGTCAGCCCTGAGCCAGCAAGCCTCCACAAGCACTGGGCACTCCAGTGTGTCACCAGAGAAGACCAGGGACTAGAAGAGCCCCAGGTGCTCAAAGCAGTCGCACAGGATTGCCCACGACTTTGGCTATTCCCACCCAGCACCAAGAGCCCCTTGCCCTCATCCTGTCAGATCTGTCAGATGACGAGTCACCACCCAGCTCTCAGAAAGTAGTCTTTAGAGGTACTTTTTTTTTTTTTTTTTTTTTTTTTAAGACAGAGTCTCGCTCTGTCGCCCAGGCTGGAGTGCAGTGGCTGGATCTCAGCTCACTACAACCTCCTCATCCCAGGTTCAAGAGATTCTCCTGCCTCAGCCTCCCGAGTAGCTGGGACAACAGGCACGTGCCACCACACCCAGCTAATTTTTTGTATTTTTAGTAGAGATGGGGTTTCACTGTGTTAGCCAGGATGGTCTCGATCTCCTGACTGCCTTGGCATCCCAAAGTGCTGGGATTACAGGCATGAGCCACCGTGCCCAGCCCTTGAGGTCCTACTCTTTTTCCAGGGAACCAAGACAAATAATAAACTGGCTTAAGAAAATAAATCATTCACTCAGGATTAAGAAACTCACTCAAAGCCGTTCAACTACATGGAAAAGAAAATAAATCATTCAAATCTGTAGAAGATTAAATCTGTTTATTAATTCATGTAAACATTTTCCAACTTGGGAGGAGACAAGGCAAAGACAGTAGGAGGCCTTCTAAGAAGGGAGGTCAGATGAGAGAGGCCTTCAGACTCACCCAGACCACCTCCACCATAACAATTTCTAGAAACATGTTCACCACATGTAAACAAAATGCAATTTTCCCCATAATTTTCAAATTAATATTCCATTTTAAAGGGAGTTAAAACTCTTATACTTTTCCAGAGTTCAAAATGATAGACCGTTTTAAACATGTTTTTGTCCAGACAAGTTTCTGCTTGCCTCAGTAGGATCTGCAAGCTTGCACGAGAGTACACTAATTTTCAATCCACTCCTTGCTCTGTGTGATAGAACGAACTGCGAGGAGAAACAGAAAAAGAGACAAAAGGTTAATTTTTAAAATCCCCTTGTATATCAAGTTGAAAAATCAATGATCACGAATAGAGAACTGCAATGAAAGTTTTGTTTACAGATACTAATATAAACTTCCATTAGAGCTGTAAGATGATGGGAAGAGTTCCAGTCTCGGAGTACAGTTAATTTACAGGCCCAGCTTCTGACTGATTTTGTAAAAATTTTGTCACTTTTCATGCTATTTCTCTCAGGTAGGAAAGTTGGGATTAAAAGTCTAATGTGGCCGGGTGCTGGTGCAGTGGCTCACGCCTGTAATCCCAGCACTTTGGGAGGCCAAGGCGGGTGGATCACCTGAGGTCAGGAGTTCGAGACCAGCCTGGCTAACATGGTGAAACTCCCATTTCTACTAAAAATACAAAAAATTAGCCGGGCATGGTGGCACACACCTGTTATCCCAGCTACTCAGAAGGCTGAGGCAGGAGAATCCCTTGAACCCGGGAGGCAGAGGTTGCAGTGAGCAGAGATTGTGCCATTGCACTCCAGCTTGGGCAACTAGAGCGAAACTCTGTCCCCCCCACCCCCCCCCACTAAAAAAAATGTCTAATGCAGGGCTGGGTGAGGTGGCTCATGCCTGTAATCCCAGCACTTTGGGAGGCCAAGGCAGGTAGATCACTTGAGGCCTGAAGTTCAAGACCAGCCTGGCCAATAAAGTGAAACCCTGTCTCTACTAAAAATATAAAAATTAGCCAGGTGTGGTGGTGCACACCTGTGGTCCCAGCTACTCGGTGGCTGAGGCGGGAGGATCACTTGAGCCTGGGAAGGTTGAGGCTGCAGTAAGCTGTGATCGCACCACGTGCTCCAGCCTGTGTGACAGAGCGAGCAGAGTGAGACTGTGTCTCAAAAAAAAAAAAAAGTATAACATATGAAAAAGGGCTTAATGTGTGTTCAAACTACCAACTGTGATAGACTTTAAGCTGTAGCAGGGACTCAATCTGTGAGACTACAGGAATATGATGACATAATTTAATAATAGTCTTATTTTAATAGTCTTATTTTTTATAATTTATACAGCACTTTAACCAACATTTTATTTAATATAGAGTGGAAGGACATATCAACCACTTTAATTTCAAGACTGAGAGAAAAAAAAGTACCAACATCAGGGAAAACTGGGAAAGACTTTAAGTGGGCAATAACAATAAGTGGGTACCCTTTCAATGGAATGTTGTGGTAGTCTGACATTGGCTAGAACACGTTCAGAGCTGTCTGATTCTACAGGGGCTACACCTCCCATTGCACGGACTGAGCTGTTTTAGAACTAGGTTGTAGAAAGCTGACAGTGATTCGAATGACCCTGCTCATGGAATCCCCATGAAGTCTGTCTGAGTGAAGATGCACTGCTTCTGCCCTATAGAGGAGCCCAGAGGTTCATCTACAAGCAAACCCATTCAGCATTTTGCATTGCCTGCCTATGTATCTATTCTTCCAATTCCTTTTTCTTTTTTTTTTTTTTTGAGACACAGTCTCACTCTGTCACCCAGGCTGGAGTGCAGTGGTGAGATCTCGGCTCACTGCAACCTCTGCCTCCCAGGTTCAAGCAATTCTACTGCCTCAGCCTCCTGAGTAGCTGGGATGACAGGCACCTGCCACCATGCCTGGCTAATTTTTGTAGTTTTAGCAGAGATGGGGTTTCACCATCTTGGACAGGCTGGTCATGAACCAATTCCCCTTTGAATCCTTCTTCTCCCCTATATCTTACTGGTCCCCTCATTAATTAATGAGTTAAATCTTCAACATGTGTTATTTTTGTATGCATCATGGTTTTTGGATTTTGGTTTTGGATTTTACATCTTTTTATTTGTAAAATACTGTGTTACCTAATGCACGAAGCAGCTTGTCCATAATTATGAATATTTGTTAAAGCCACCTGGAACATCTGTTACACACATTCTCTGGGAAAGTGCAGTATCCACTTGAGGGTCATTCATTGTTGTATTTGAATCAAATTTAGAAAACTCTTAAGTTCCCATGAACTTAAGTTGATCAGACTCATTAGCAAGTGGTGCCTCCTGTCTGGAGGGAAAGTATACAGGGTCGGTCAAGGACCTAAGCATGCCCTGACTTGCAAAGAGACAGTATTTAGGGGCCCATGCTAACTGTTGAAGAGATGCAGCATCTTACTGCAACTTTACTGCCTTTGGCCTGGTAGTGAAGAGGCCTCAAGCCGAGGTCCTAGAAATATTGCTAAGGCCACTGGAGACTCCATGTCTGCAAACTATTCAGATGTGTTGGTGGCCATGGAAAATGGGAAAACCTGCTTATGAGGCTGAGATGGAGGAGATGCAGCATTCACAAATGCTCCTGCAGGATGTCCATGAGATGAAAACTAATTTCATAATAACACTAATTCTCTCATCAGCACGCAATGTTTTCTAGAGGCTCCATGATACCATTAGTCTGACACAAATGGAATGTGTGCTCTAGAATGTTTTAAAATTTTTTCAGTATTAAGCTGCAGTACAGCAAGTATCAGTAGATATAACCACACAAACGGGAGCACATTAACTTGCGGGAGAATACAAGAGAAAAGAGTTGAGAACCATGAAGTGAAGCAACTAGGCTGGCTGGGTCCAGTCTCACCTGTGACCCAGTGCAAGTGGCAACACTTCTTGGTCCCACTTTTCTCATCTGCAATAGGGGAGTTTGTCTCACTGCACTTTTCCTCCTCTGACACCTTGAACACAAAGACTCGAGGATCCTCCAACACTGAAGTGCCTCAGGAGGCAACTGTGGCCCTTCAGGGTTGGAGGATCATGGAATTTTGCAGGTTAGCAAATTTAATTAACCTCTGCAGGGTCTCACAGGCTGAGGTGTGGTGGGATTAGGATTCAGACCAAATCTGTCTCCCCGCAACAACCCAAGCACTTAATTGTGCTATCTTACACTGCCTCACTAACTGAAGGGAACACCACAGGGTGGGTGGGGGTGGGGACAACCTAGTCTGACCTTTTGGGGTTCAGGGGCCAAGAGAGGGGTCTCACTATGTTGCCCAGGCTGGCCTCAAACTCCTGGGTTCAGGTGATCCTCCCACCTCAGCCTACCAAGTAGCTGGGATTACAGGTGTGTACTATTGCACCCATCAGCTCTGATTTTAAAGCCCTTTCCCCTGTTTTGGATTTAACCTTAAAGGATATTTTCTTTGTTGGTCTATTTTCTTTGATGTCTTTGGTAACTCCTTTATACAATATGAAAAAACCCCTGGCTATTTCCTTTGCTTTTAGGATAGCTGAATCCTTATGCACATCTGGGAACTGGGCATTAGAAATAATAAATTCTCGAATTTATCTAGGTTTTTCTTATGGTTTGAATATACAGAATAATAAATATATAGAATAATATGGGACTATAAAATGCACTAACTTTTAAATAAATTTTGCTTCTTTCCAAGAGAAATTGCCACTTTAATGCTGTTTTCTGTTCATCTGTCATTGCAAGAAACTCATGTACCTGGTTAAAAAAAAAATATGAGACAAATATATTTGAAGTTTACAAAGAAAATTCATTTTTGACAACAGTGTGAAACAAACTTTCTCATTAGAAATGAAATTTTATTTGCAGTAATTACAGCTCAATCGTTTGTTTTTGTTTGTAGAGACAGGGTCTCACTCTGTCGCCCAAGCTGGAGTGCAGCAGTGCTATCACAGCTCACTGCAGCCTCGAACTCCCGGGGTCAAGCAATCCTCCCTCAGCTTCCCGTTTCTGAGGTTACAGGTATGCACTACTCTTCTCTGGCTAATTGTTTTATGTTTTATGTTTTGTAGAGACAGGGTCTCACTATGTTGCCCAGGGTGATCTTGAACTCCTGGCCTCAAGTGATCCTCCTGCCTCAGCCTCCCAAAGTGGTAGGATTACAGGTGTGACCCACTATGCCCAGCCAACTCAACTGTTTTGATAGAGAAGATAAGGCAGGAAAGGCTATATAAGCAAAATCTCCAAAGGTAATCAGGTATCTCAGCAAGGAAAAATCCCCTCAATAAAGTGGAAGCAGAATTTGGAACTAAAGTCTAATGGTAAATTTCATGAGCTGGTTTTAACAATAAAAAACAGGTGCCTATTGCCAAATGCACATGCTAATCCCTAAGTATCTGCTGCTGTTGTATAGCTGCAAATCAAGGAGAAAACGTGTAGCTGACTTTATGTAACTGAGTAGGTGAAACACAGCCAAATCTTCCTAGAAAAACCACCTTATGACTGATCAACATCTCCGACTTGTTGTTTTACCCATCGTTACTTGACTATATCAAACATCATGTTTCCTTAGTGTTTTGTTTTTTTTTTAATTATTTGGAGACAAGTCTTGCTCTATCACTCAGGCTGGAGTGCAGTGGCGTGATCTTGGCTCACTGCAACTTCCACATCCTGGGCTCAAGTGATTCTCGTGCCCCAGCCTCCTGAGTAGCTAGGATTACAAGTGCACGTCACCACACCCAGCTAATTTTTGTATTTTTAGTAGAAATGGGGTTTCGCCATATTGGCCAGGCTGGTCTCAAACTCCTGACCTCAAGTGATCCGCCCTCCTTGGCCTCCCAAAGTGCTGAGATTACAGGCGTGAGCCACGGTGCCCAGCCCTAAAACATCATGTTTATTTATCCATTTAGGCTAATGGCCTCAGTCATTACTCATAATAGTAAATATTAGCTAGGATTTTGATATAAAATATGTAACATTTGTTCATCAAAGCAATGTGTGTTTAAAGCAAGATGATTTTTTCCCAGGCTGTTTATTAGTGAATCAATTTCTATCAAATGTTTGACAAAACAACCTATATTTTTTTGGGAAAAAGCATTCACTTTGGAAATATTCTAAACATTTCTTCCTTTTTGCTATTTACCGTGCAGCCCAAAGTCTCCTCAGCAACACTTCCTGTGAGACTACAGGAATGAAGGGTGCCTGTGTGATCAGTCAGATCAATCAGCACATGGAAACTGAGAAAGACAGATTTAAAGTCCAAGGAGTTTTTGTTGCAAGTTGTGCACATGTTAGATGCTTCATTTACAATATAACCACAGCTGGAACTGAAAAGAAACAAAGACAATGATAAAATGTGATGCCCTAAGCTACAAATTTCATCTGTAGCAGAAAAAGAATTGTCACTAAAAACTCTACGACAGTGTGTGGAAAACTTACTGAGTGTTCAGTGCTATGCGGTCTACAAGACAGTCGTAAAAAACAGTAAAACACACTTTCTACGCAGCCATTCTCAGGAGTCATCTGAAACTGCGTACACCAGTCCTCTGCCTGCCCTCCTTCCCTCCCTCTGCCAAGCCCTCGAGGTCCATCCCAGTCTCATTTCCTTGCTGGGGCCCTCCCTTCTCGTATCCCAGCCTGCAGCCTTTCTCTCTTGGAACAGCAGCAGAGTGCACGCCTCAGGACTGACTGGTGCTGTTGCATCAGCTCCTTATTCTCACCTCCCTGGCTGGGAGTTCTGAGGGCAGGAACTGTGTCTTGTGCCTGGAAAGCACGAGTTCAACAGCTGCTCACTGGATGGGCCTGCACGGGGCCTTCTCTACAAATACAGAAAGCCTTGCAAGGCTGGCCGGGTAGCACCCAGATGCTATTAACACTGCTGGTGATACACTCTCCTCTCTTTCAGTGATTTATGCTATTCCATATTTCTGAAGCAAGCCTTACTTTAGCAATTTTAAACAGGGAAACTAATTCAAATTTCTCAAATAGGGGAAATGAACTGAAGATAGTGGTTTCTTATCTAGCCACAGATCACTTGGTCTAGCAAATTTTAGATGCTTTTCCTCAGATATCAATAATAAATGTACAGGAAAAAAATTAGTTTTTCAATTTTTGAAAACTATTTTTCAAAAAATGAATACAAGGCCTTACACAGCATCCTCCACATTACTTTTTTCAACTTTAATACCACATCATAAAATGTTTTAAAAATTCAGAGGTCAATATCTTGACTGTGGCAATAGATACACAAACTTACAAGTGTGATAAAACTAATGAGAACACACACACACGACTGCATGTGAACCTGGAGGAATCTGAATACGACCAGTGGATTGAATGGTGTTGATATCCTGGCTGTGACATGGTACTATCACTTGCAAAATGGTAACACTGGGGGAAACGGGGCAAAAGCCACAAGGGATCTCTCTTATTATTATTTTTTTTTTTTTTGAGACACAGTCTCGCTCTGTCGCCCAGGATGGAGTGCAGTGCAGTGGCGCAATCTCGGCTCGCTGCAAGCTCTGCCTCCCAGGTCCACGCCATTCTCCTGCCTCATCCTCTCGAGTAGCTGGGACTACAGGCGCCCACCACCATGCCCGGCTAATTTTTTTGTATTTTTTAGTAGAGACAGGGTTTCACCGTGTTAGCCAGGATGGTCTCAATCTCCTGACCTCGTGATCCACCTGCCTTGGCCTCCCAAAGTGCTGGGATTACAGGCGTGAGCCACCACGCCCAGCCCTCTTATTATTTCTTATACATCCATGTGAATCTAGGATTATCTCAATGAAAATTCAGTTATAAAAATCCATAGAGAGACTTTCCTAATAATATTACACATTTCTTGCCAAGCATCTTTTAGCTAAGAGTATTAAATCTACTGGAGTTTACTTTCTTTTCTTTCTTTTTTTTTTTTTTTTTTTTTGAGACAGAGTTTCACTCTTCTCGCCCAGGCTGGAGTGCAATGGTGCAATCTCGGCTCACCGCGACCTCCGCCTCCTGGGTTCAAGCAATTCTCATGCCTCAGCCTCCAAAGTAGCTGGCATTACAGGTGCCCGCCACCACACCCAGCTAATTTTTTGTATTTTTAGTAGAGATGGTGTTTCGCTATATTGGCCAGGCTGATCTCAAACTCCTGACCTCAGGTGATCCACCTGCCTCGACCTCCCATAGTGCTGGGATTACAGGCGTGAGCCACCGTGCCCGGCCTGCAGTTTACTTTCTATGCAAGTAAATACTAACTTCGATCTACAAGAGGTTTGATGTTTCCTAGGCTGGACTCAAACTCTTCAAACTCCTGGGCTCAACCGATCCTCCCACCTCAGCCTCCTGAGTAGCTGAGACTACAGGCGCATGCTACTGCACCTGGCTTGAAAATAATTTTTTTTTAATGCTGTCACTACATTGCTATAGGGCCTAGCAACCAAAATAGCTTTCTGCCAAATCATTAGACAAGTTTGTCAAAAGTTTCTCACATTATATCTTTATATGTTAGAATTATGGAAATACAGATTATATTTTAAAAGGCAATTATAATATTTTAATCTGGTTTGCTATGGAAACTTTTCAGTACAGTTTTTTACACATTTATCTCCAATACATAACCCCTGTTACATCAACAAACAGCTTTAACTTTTAGAGAGCTTAAAATTTATTAACAATAATTATTTCTTACAAAAATGAATTTGCTAAAAGTGACACGGATCCTTACCATCTATTTCGAACTACTTTTGTAGTTTCATCATCAATGTTGAGTGTGGAAATGTAGGCATAAAGGATGCCATAGGAAGGATCAGCTTTTCCTTCATTCTTCAAAGCTTTTCCCTTTAATTGTTCAACTGTGTAGACATCAACTATTGTACTTACTAAAAACAGAAAGAAGTATTACAGTTCTGTATATATTCTAAAAAATATAAAAGGTTACATCCGAATGGAAAGCTATGACAAATGAGAACATGCAGTAGCTTAAGTAACAGAAAAATTACTATGTTGGCTATATAAACACTGATTCTATAAATGGACATAAAAGCAAAACATAAGGAAAAAAAGGAAATGAAATTAGTCTTCATTAAAATGAAGAATTTCTGTTCATCAAAAGACACCATTAAAAAGTGAAAAGGCAAGCCACAGAGTGGGAGATGCTAGCAGTCTACAATGAGATAAAGGACTCATCCAGAATTATCTAAAGAATTCTTAAATATCAATTAGAAAAAGACAGTGACTCAGCTGGGCACAGTGGCTCATGCCTGTAATCCCAGCAATTTGGGAGGTCGAGGTGGGCAGATCACCTGAGGTTGGGAGATCGAGAGCAGCCTGACCAACATGGAGAAACACTGTCTCTACTTAAAAAAAAAAAAAAAAAAAATTAGCCAGGCATGGTGGTGCATGCCTGTAATCCCAGCTACTCAGGAGGCTAAGGCAGGAGAATCGCTTGAATCCAGGAAGTGGAGGTTGTGGTGAGCCAAGATGGCGCCATTGCACTCCAGTCTGGGCAACAAGAGCAAAACTCCATCTCAAAAAGACAGTGACTCGATTTTTTTTATTATTATTTTCATTTTTATTTTTTATTTTTTGAGACAGAGTCTCACTCTGTCGCCCAGGCGGTAGTGCAGTGGCGCGATCTCGGCTCACTGCAAGCTCCGCCTCCCAGGTTCATGCCATTCTCCTGCCTCAGCCTCCCGAGTAGCTGGCACTACGGGCGCCCGCCACCACGGCTAATTTTTTTTTGTATTTTTAGTAGAGACGGGTTTTCACCGTGTTAGCCAGGATGGTTTCCATCTCCTGACCTCGTGATCCGCCCGCCTCGGCCTCCCAAAGTGCTGGGATTACAGGCGTGAGCCACCGCGCCCGGCGACACTGACTCAATTTTTTAAATGGGGAAGAGAATTTAAAAGTACATCACACAGCCAGGCGCAGTGGCTCACGCCTGTAATCCTAGCACTTTGGGAAGCCGAGGCAGGTGGATCACGAGGTCAGGAGATCGCGACCATCCTGGCTAACATGGTGAAACCCTGTCTCTACTAAAAATACAAAGAATTAGCCGGGCGTGGGGTGGGCGCCTGTCGTCCCACCTACTCCAGAGGCTGAGGCAGGAGAATGGCGTGAACCCGGGAGGCGGAGCTTGCAGTGAGCCGAGATCGCGCCACTGCACTCCAACCCGGGCGACAGAGCGAGACTCCATCTCAAAAAATAAAATAAAAAAAAATAATAAATAAATAAAGTACATCACAAAACAAAAGTTATCAAAATGGCCAATACACGTACTGGGCCTCAATAATCATCAGGAAAATACAAATTAAACAAGAGTAGGCCGGATGTGGTGGCTCATGCCTGTAATTCTAACACTTTGAGAGGTTGAGACTGGTCGATCGCTTGAGGTCAGGGGTTTGAGACCAGCCTGGCCAACATAGCAAAACCCTGTCTCTACTAAAAATAAAAAATTAGCTGGGTGTAGCAGTGTGTGCCCGTAATCCCAGCTACTTGGGAGGCTAAGGAAGGAGAATCGCTTGAACCCAGGAGGTGGAGGTTGCACTCAACCGAGATCGCGGCTTTGCATCCCAGCCTGGGTGACAGAGCCAGACTCCATCTCAAAAAAAAAAAAAAAGAGAATTCCACTAAACACCTAACATTTAAAAGAGTAATAACACAACATTAGTGAGGATGTGAAGCAACAACAAAAATAAACTTTACAAAACTAAAGACAATAACCTATTATTCATTTTTATTTTTCTTTATCTTAGAAGAATCTTCCAGGAACTAATATTACTTGGGTTAGAAAACTTTTATGAGAACTTATCCGGTTCCTTCAGCACTTCATTGGTTTCTTTTCTTTTGTTGATGTCTAGTGCATGAAATTTAATTTTCTTCAATAAAAAGATGGTGATGTGTATCTATTTATCTATAATATTTTTATGTCTTTATCCTTCTATTAGTATATATGCACAAAAAGATAGATTAAAAGATGTTAACCAAATAACTATTTGGGGCTCTTTGTTGCATTCTGTATTATGTTTCTTTTTTTTTTTTTTTTTTGAGACGGGGTCTCGCTCTGTTGCCCAGACTGGAGTACAGTGGTGTGATCTTGGCTCACTGCAACCTCCGCCTCCTGGGTTCAAGCAATTCTCCTGCCTCAGCCTCCTGAGTATCTGGGATTACAGGTGCCCCCTACCATGCCTGGCTCATTTTTTGTATTTTTAGTAGAGACGGGATTTCACCATGTTGGCCAGGCTGGTCTCAAACTCCTGACCTCAAGTGATCCCTCCACCTTGGTTTCCCAAAGTGCTGGGATTACAGGCGTGAGCTACCACACCTGGCCAAGCATTCTGTATTGTGTTTCTTTTATTTTTTTATTTTTTGAGATACAGTCTTGTTCTGACACCCAGGCTGGAGTGTAGCCTCGCTCTGTCACCCAGGCTGGATCTCAGCTCACTGCAACCTCCACCTCCCAGGTTCAAGGGATTCTCCTGCCTCAGCCTCCTGAGCAGCTGGGATTACAGGCACATCCCATGATACCTGGCTAATTTTTGTGTTTTTAGTAGAGACGGCGTTTTGCCATGTTGGCCAGGCTGGTCTCATGAACTCCTGGGCTCAAAAGAAAAAGAAAAAGATGCCCACTATTTTAAGCTACCTTTAGAAAGTAGAAATATAGTAGTTACAGAATAGGAATCTGGTATCTTTTACCATGTCAAACAAACCTTTACAGGCCCAATTTCGGCCTTTAAAAAAATCCAAATATATTTAAACGGTCACTTACAATTTATGGATTCTTTGAAATAACTGTCAATTTCATCATCCAGAACATTCGTTTCTTTATTTTCTCGTATAAAATTCAGCAGAATGTTAGCTTCTGGTATATCTTAAATTGAAAATGCATAATAAGTAAAAAGCAAACTGATTATCATTTAAATCACATTTAAATCATCCAAAATCATTTTAATAGTAAAAAGTGAAGACATGTAAGAATACAATCAAATAGAATATTACGTGGCCATTAACAATGTGATGTAGAATTCTGTAAACATAGAGAGATGTACACCACATTACATCTAAAACAGATGTTAGTGAAAAGAGCAGCTTACTAACCTATGTGGTTCAATACCCTTTTAATTAAAAAATCTACATATATAAGGGACCGGGCGCAGTGGCTCACGCCTGTAATCCCAGCACTTTGGGAGGCTGAAGCAGGTGAATCACAAGGTCAGGAGATGGAGACCATCCTGGCTAACATGGTGACACCCCACCTCTACTAAAAATACAAAAAAATTAACCAGGCGTGGTGGTGGGCGCCTGTAGTCCCAGCTAGTTGGGAGGCTGAGGCAGGAGACTGGCATGAACCTGGGAGGTGGAGCTTGCAGTAAACTGAGATAGCGCCACTGCACTCCAGCCTGGGCAACAGAGCAAGACTCTGTCTAAAAAAAAAAATACATATATAAATGCAAAATTATCTGGAAGAATATATACGAAAAAATGATTCTCTCTAGACAGTGGGATTGTAGGTGATCTTTGTTTTCCTTGTTTATGTTTCTATATATTTTTTCTGAATTTTATACGTATTTCTTTACTTATCATAAAAAAAAGGTTTTCAAAAGGCAATTGAAATATATAAAATAGGCTCTATAAAAAGCCTAGCTCCCCACATTGGCACATGAGTGTGCTCAAGGGTCAGGGGTGCTGTGCCAGAAGGCAGGAACGCGAGTTTGGAAAGAGCTCCCCCATGATGCCCTTGGACCCCAGGACCCCAGCCTCCGGCATATGATTAAGTACCCCAGGCCCCCCTGAATATTTTACAAATTGTCCTGACAATGTCTGTACTTCCTAACTCCCCTGGGAAGATCTGGGCATTTCTTCCTCCTTGCTCCCAGAATACAAGTCTCCTACCTGTTCTTTCTCAGAACTAGGTTGTCAAATCCTTGCCAGCACGCAGTGTCCCACGTGATGACTATCCTCACATCCATCTGACCAGCCACTCATCTCCTTCCTTGTTCCAGAAATGTATATTATCTCAATTCTTGGCAAGTAAAAGGCATTCAAAAATACTGATAAGGTCATGGGCGAATGAATGAATGCAGAACTCTATTAACTTGGAGAGATATGCATCATGAATTGCTGTGCTTCAGATGGGAACATCTGCTGGAGTGAGGCCACAGAAATCCAGCCAATGAGCTTCCTGTGATGGGGGCTGGCAGGGATGGGTGGGTACCAGCACTGCAGGTCCTCACTGACAATAGCGTTATCCTGACTGTCAGAGAAAGGCAGGAATTGTGCCCTCCCTATCTGATAAGCACTCTCAGGGCAGAGAAAGAAACAAGGGAATCTGGACACCTGGCTAGGATGAACACAAGCCATTTAGAGCTTCTTAATTTCTATAAGGCAGGTGTAGCCCAGGAAATTAAAAGTAAAACTGATATAACTATTTACAATAGCAAAGACATGGAACCAGCCCAAATGACCATCAGTGGTAGACTGGATAAAGAAAATGTGGTACATGTATACCATGGAATACAATGCAACCATAAAAAGGAATGAGATCATGTCCTTTGCAGAGACATGGATAAAGCTGAAAGCCGCCATTCTCAGCAAACTAACACAGGAACAGAAAGCCAAATACCATATGTTCTCACTCATAAGTGGGAGCTGAACAATGAGATAACATGGACACAGGGAGGGGAACAACACACACTGGGGCCTGTTGGGGAATGGGGGGTGAGGGGAGGGAGAGCATCAGGACAAATAGCTAATGCATGTGGGGCTTAAAACCTAGATGATGGGCTGGGCGTGGTGGTTCACGCCTATAATCCCAGCACTTTGGGAGGGTGAGGCGGGCGGATCACGAGGTCAGGAGATCAAGACCATCCTGGCCAACATGGTGAAACCCCGTCTCTACTAAAATACAAAAAATTAGCCAGGCATGGTGGCACACACCTGTAGTCCCAGCTACTCAGGAGGCTCAGGCAGGGGAATAACTTGAACCCAGGAGGCAGAGACTGCAGTAAGCCGAGATCACGCCACTGCACTCCAGCCTGGGCGACATAGCAAGACTCCATTTCAAAAAAAGAGAAAAAGCTATTTTTGGGCCGGGCGCTGTGGCTCACGCCTGTAATCCCAGAACTGTGGGAGGCTGAGGCAGGTGGATCACCTGAGGTCAGGAGTTCAAGACCAGGCTGGCCAACATTGTGAAACCCCGTCTCTACTAAAAATGTAAAAATTAGCCATGTGTGGTGGTGCGCGCCTGTAATCCCAGCTACTTGGGGGGCTGAGACAGGAGAATTGCTTGAACCCTGGAGGCGGAGGTTGCAGTGAGCTGAGCACATGCCACTGCACTCCAGCCTAGGTGACACAGCAAGACTCCATCTCAAAAAACAAACAAACAAAAAAAGCCTATTTTAGGGCCAAGCAAGGTGGCTCACACCTGTAATCCTTCAGGAGGCTGAGGCAGGAGGATTTCTTGAGGTCAGGAGTTTGAGACCCCCCAAAAAAAAGAAGAAAAGAGAAGAGGGGAGGGGAGGGGAGGGGAGAAAGAAAAAACAGAGAAAGAAAGAGAGAGAAAGAAGGAACTACTTTGTGATTACTTTAATATGACCTACTGATCAGAAAACAAAGTTCCCATATAAATCGGGCTGCCCTTGAGTAGCCTAAAAACGGCTGTAGACACTATCATTCCTGTCCCCGTTTTAGGGTTGTGTGGCAGGGCAGGGACTGAAATACACTCTATCAAGTTTACCTCACAGCTCGCTGAATGCCTGTGTGCTCTCTCAAGTTTCCTGAAATGGCATTATCTACAAATGATAATGCCAACATTTTAAAAAATGTTTCCAAAGTAACAATCATGGCTTTATTTTATTATTATTATTATTTTTTGAGACAGGGTCTTGCTCTGTCACCGAGGCTGCAGTGCAGTGGCATGAACACAGCTCACTGCAGTCTCTACCTCCAGGGTTCAAGCGGTCCTCCTATCTCAGCCTCCTGAGTAGCTGAGATCACAGGCACGCGCCACCATGCCCAGCTATTTTTTTTTAATTTTTTGTAGAGATGGAGTCTCACTTATGGCTTGTCCCTTCTTGTAGGCAAAAAGATGATAAATTTTGATCCAGTAGTATCTTTTTCTATCAGTGACTGCTACTGATATTAAACACATTAAATATCCTCCACAAAAGCAATAGCAAAATTCCTCTTCCACACAATGTAATGTGGCTTGCAGAATACATTATTTCATGCTAAATTCCATTGTTACTCTCTTCATCTCTTCAGGTGAATTAAGCATCATCTATGATAACTAGGTAACTCATCTCCTAGAACTATGTTACAGAACATGCCTTCAGGGAGTGATCTAAAACTTCCCTCTTTTCCTCCTGGTCCCTCCCGCATGTCTGGCATAAGCCAGCAATAGCAATAAGGAGAATCCTATCATCTTATCCCTTCTCCTTTTTTTTTTTTTCCTTTTTTTTTTTTTTTGGAGACAGAGTCTCACTCTGTTGCCCAGGCTGGGATGCAGTGGCATGATCTCGACTCACTACAACATCCACCTCCCCGGCTGAAGCGATCCTCCTGCCTTAGCCTCCCTAGTAGCTGGGACTATAGGCACCATACCACCACGCCCGGCTAATTTTTGTATTTTTAGTAGAGATGATATTTCACCATGTTGACCGGGCTGGTCTTGAACTCCTAACCTCAAGTGATCCGCCCACCTCGGCCTCCCAAAGTGTTGGGATTACAGGCATGAGCCACTGCGCCTGGCCGGCAAAATCCTTTTAAAAGAAGAGCCTCAGCCTAGGCTTCATGGATTTCGGGTCCAGGAATATGACAGTTTATGCAAATTCTACACATGGGAATAGCACTTCTCAGGGGAGAGGGTCATAAGCTCCCATCAGATAGGCAAAAGGTATATAAGATGCTCAGGTGGGGCATGGTGGCTCAGGCCTGTAATCCCAGCACTTTGGGAGGCCAAGACCAGTGGATCACTTGAGCCCAGCAGTTTGAGACCAGCCTGAGAAACACTGCAAAACCCCGTCTCTACGAAAAGTACAAAAATTAGGCTGGGCACAGTGGCTCACACCTGTAATCCCAACACTTTGGGAGGCCAAGGTGGGTGGATCACGAGGTCAAGAAATCAAGACCATCCTGGCCAACATGGTGAAACCCCATGTCTACTAAAAATACAAAAAAGGCTGGGCGCGGTGGCTCACACTTGTAATCCCAGCACTTTGGGAGGCCAAGGCAGGCAGATCACGAGATCAAGACCATCCTGGCTAACATGGTGAAACCCCGTCTCTACTAAAAAATACAAAAAAATTAGCTGGGTGTGGTGGCGGGCACCTGTCGTCCCAGCTACTCGGGAGGCTGAGGCAGGAGAATGCTGTGAACCCGGGAGGCGAAGCTTGCAGTGAGCCAAGATCGCGCCACTGCACTCCAGCCTGGGTGACAGAGTGAGACTCCGTCTCAAAAAAAAAAAACACCTAGATGACAGGTTGATAGATGTAGCAAACCATCATGGGACATGTATACCTATGTAACAAACCTGCATGTTCGGCACATGTATGCCAGAACTTAAAGTAAAACTAAAAAAAAAAGTAAAGCTGATATAAACAAGCACACAAATTCGTGCATTCTCGCGAGTATTCTCCTTTAAATCTGTTTCCTTGACAGAATAAATCCAAGAAATCTAGATCTGCTGTACAACGTAGTAGCTATGATCAGTAACAACGTATGACATTCTTGAAAAGTACTGAGAACAGATTTTACGTGTTCTCACCACAAAAAAAATGATAAGTATGTGAAGTAGCACATATGTTAATTAGCTTGATTTAGCCATTCTGTAATGTATACATATTTCAAAACAACATAGTGTATAAAATGTATTCAATTTTTTGTCAATTAAAAAGTTAAGCAATAAATAATAAATTTTAAAAATGTGTCTCCTTGAGAAAGATGGCATTTTTTCTAATGATGTTGGTTATTGCTCAAAATACTTTGACATTTTTTTCTTTGAATCTGTCATCAGAGCCAAATGCACAACATCCTATAATATCTGTCTCATTAATGAGATCTTGAGTTTTTTATACCATTGTACAGTCAAGCTTGATCATCTTTTCCATCAGACAAATCTGTCTTTTAGAAACTTTTCCAGCTCAAATTTGCCCTTAGAGGATGAAGATTTTACTATCACTGGTATTACTAAATGTAAAAATAACAGGCCGGGCGTGGTGGCTCATGCCTGTAATCCCAGCACTTTGGGAGGCCGAGGCGGGCGGATCACTGGAGCCCAGAAGTTCAAGACCAGCCTGGCCAATATGGTGAAACCCCGTCTCTACTAAAAGCATAAAAATTAGCTGGGCATGGTAGCGGGCACCTGGGCAACCAACCCAGGAGGCTGGAACAGGAGAATCGCTTGAACCCAGGAGGCGGAGGCTGCAGTGAGCCGAGATTGTGCCACTGCACTCCAGCCTGGGGACAGAGCAAGACTCCATTTAAAAAAAAAAAAGAATAATAAACTATTTTTATTAATAAGTTATTTCTAATAATAAACCATACATAGGCCAGGTGCAGTGGCTCACACCTGTAATCCCAGCACTTTGGGAGGCTGAGGCAGGCAGATCACACGGTCAGGAGATTGAGACCATCCTGGTTAACACAGTGAAACCCCATCTCTAATAAAAAATACAAAAAATTAGCCAGGCATGGTGGCGGGCGCCTGTAGTCCCAGCTACTCGGGAGGCTGAGGCAGGAGAATGGCGTGAACCCGGGAGGCGGAGCTTGCAGTGAGCCGAGATCACGCCACTGCACTCCAGCCTGGGCAACAGAGTGAGACTGTCTCAAAAAAAATAAAATAAATAAAATTAAATTAAAATAAATAAACCATACATAGTACCTCCCTCCAGGAAAGAAAAAACTGAAGAGTGTTGCACTGTTGTCCTAAGTGTTGATAATAGACTATCGTGTGTCACCATCAATTTCCAACAGAGCAGTCAGAGCAAACCTCTCAGAGCCGAGTCAGATGCTGTCACCGCTCTGCTCCAAACCCCAGCCTGCTACCCCATCCAGAGCAGAAGCCAGTGCACTCTAACAGCCTCCGAGGCCTTCTTCCTGGGTGCCCCATCTCTTCTCAGAACAGCTCCTGCTGGCCTTGAACTCCTGGGCTCCAGCCACACCAGCCCCTGGGTGTTCCTCCCACACATAGGCACAGGGCTTTCCCTTGGTTATCCCTTTAGCCTCCTCATCAAGTCTTTGCTCAAACGTCACTCTCCCATGCAGCGTGCCCGACCACCTTGTGGCTCTCTAGGTCCTCCTGACTCTGTTCCACCTGTTCTCCTTAAATATTTCATAATTCACGGACATATTATCTTCATTATTTATTCTCTGTCTCTCCCTGCTGGAGGGTAAACTCCATGAGGGTGGAAATATTTATCCATTTTGTCGTTGCACCCCAGAACAGCACCCAGCATACAGCACATGCTCAGTAAATTAGTTCAGTGAAGAGCAATTCGGGGCATGCACATCTCCTCCCATGGTGCTGCCTTCAAGGAGACAACATCCATGTGTTGGATGTGCAAGATTCAGAGTACTCATATAAAAACCAGAGTCTCAGTATTTTACACCATTCCTCATAGTAATTCTATCTTTTAAAAATGCTGATAATGGTTTGGTCAAAAGCACACATTGCTTTATAATTCTGTCACTGCTGATGCTTTGTTACAGACCAGCAGCGTGAGCGTATGTTTTAAATGATACACTACATACTGTACTCATAGCTTCATGAGATGGCAAAGGATTGATTACTCCATTTCTTTAGCAGTACTGGCTTGACGGTTATGTCTGCACTATAAAGCACCCTGGGAATGCTCACAGGCACTAATCCCTCATCTCCCCAATCTGGCTTCCTTGATTTCATGCTGTAATAAACTGTAACTCCTTCAACAACCACTCCAGGGGATCATCTGGGCATTTAATGTGCAGTTATGAGCTAATGATACTACACAGAGAGTACTGTGTGCACGCATGCATGTGTTATCAATGTCCTAGCAGTAAAAGTTATTTGAATGTAGCAAAACTGAATTTACCTATTAGTCAATAATTTAGCATCCAAGCAATAAAATCGATCTCTCAAAAATTATCACAATGAATTATACTTTAAAATTAATCTGGTTTTTCACTTTTTTTTTTTTTTTTTTTTTTTTTTTGAGACGGAGTCTCGCTCTGTCGCCAGGCTGGAGCGCAGTGGTGCAATCTCGGCTCACTGCAACCTCCACCTCCTGGGTTGAAGTGATTCTCCTGCCTTAGCTTCCCGAGTAGCTGGTACTACAGGCGCACACTTTTACGCTCGGCTAATTTTTCTATTTTTAGTAGAAACAGGGTTTCACCATGTTGGCCAGGATGGTCTCAATCTCTTGACCTCGTGAGCAGCCCACCTTGGCCTCCCAAAGTGCTGGAATTACAGGTGTGAGCCACCGCGCCAGCCTTGTTTTTTTTTTAAGACGGGGTCTTGCTCTTGTGGCCTAGGCTGGAGTACAATGGCGCGATTTCAGCTCACTGCAATTTCTGCCTCCTGGGTTCAAGTGATTCTCCTGCCTCAGTCTCCCGAGTAGCTGGGATTACAGGCGCCCACCACCAAGCCCAGCTAATTTTTATATTTTTAGTAGAGACTGGGTTTCACCATGTTGGCCAGTCTGGTCTTGAACTCCTGACCTCAGGTGATCCACCTGCCTTGGCCTCCCAAAGTGCTGGGATTACAGGCATGAGCCACCACGTCCGACCTCACATTTCTTTAGTAAAGATATCAAAGTTCATTGTAAGTTTTTAAAAAAGTTATATAAAGCAATTTTTACTTCTAATTTGAATTAAATCCAGGCTGAATTTTCATTCTTAAATATACTGTATAAATATTGAAATGTGTTCAGTCATTTCCAAAGGGATAAAAGGTTTCACAAAGTTTTTTACCTGGATTAGTTGTAATAATGGTTTTTGAGATTACAGTTGCTGTCATGCAGTTCCGAAATTTGTCAAAATTTATTCTTACATCTGAGGCAAATATTACTGTTTGGGAAAAAAGCCATTTAAAATTATTACATGGGAGGATATAAATGACAAATATTGGACACAATCATTGAATGATAATACCTGTTTCTCGTGGCATCCAGCTCTGTGCAAGTAGAATGGATTCATTATCCCAACTGCATTTGTTTAAAAAGAAGTAATACAAATTGAATACACTAGAAAAAACTGATAGTGACATATTATTTACAACAATAAAAGAAAGCTTCAGTGGCTGGGGTCAGCCATCCCCAAGGTGGTCAAAGACCTCCTAGTCTTAAGCATGCCAGCTTCCTCCTAGGGAGAATTTAACAACTCCATGAGAGAACATTCCTTCAACACACACTCTCCTCTAGTAATACTCTGCTCTGCCAATTCTTAATTTATTTTTCCAACACTTAATCACTCCAGGCTAGTTAGAACTAAAGCCTGAAGACTTTAAACTCACACTTTCAGACCATGAAGGTGAGTGTCCCCCAGTGGATAAACTGCTCAGGGGCCTTGATGGGTTGAAGACATTTTTGAAATCAGTTCCTTTGGTACCCAGGCATCAGAGGTCTAGACAATGCCTTGTTGTACCTGGCAGTGCTTCAGGGTGCAGTCCCCACCCTGGCCCACGTGCCCCTGTGTCCTGCCCTGCTCCAGGATACTTCCCAGGAAGCACAGAGGGAAACTCTGGCTTGTTCCATGGGACCTAATAAAACATCATTTGTTACACGACAGAATTCAATAATAAAACTGGGCACGGTGGAGTCCCCCTAAGCAATTCCATGCCATCTAAAGACCTCATTTTAAGGTGGTATCCATAACAACTCAACATTCAAGAGTGAGATTTATTTTTTAAAATATCATTCATCTCCTATCATTATCCTCTCTTGATATGAAGTCCATCATATTTTTGATAAAATGAAAATGTCCTGGTGATAACTACAGGGATTTCACAGTTTGGAACAGACATCGGTGTTTACCATGTCATCGCAAAAGACGACTCTGTTTCATCATAGAGTCTAACTTCACACCTCTGGCCTTTTCTCCGGTCTGAAGTTGTAAAGTATTTTGGCTCTCCAACCTTAGAAATGGAAATAAATCATTACTCTTCACCTATATGTAGAAGTTCTTAAGTATTTGTTGATGAAAATACTCAAATGTTCACCTTTTAAACACCAAATTAGAAATATTAAACTAGCAAGAACCAGTAATATATAGTTGATTATTTTAAAGCATCTATCTCTAAACTACATGTACGTAGCTGAAGTTGTAAGTCACACAACACTTTGAAGAGACACAGGGAGACAGGTGCTTGAAGTAGAGACTGAAAGTCTTTTTAACATGTCACAACAAAGCTCCATGACAGGCCCCTCTGGGGCATCTACGTGGACTCCTCGAGGGCAGGGACTGTGTTTCCAGCACCTTTGTATCCCCATGGCTCAGCGTGGAACTCATGTGACTGAATGAACTCAGGCTCTCTGGGGCTCAGCACCTCCGTCTTCTTAGTGAACATCAAATACAGCATATCTGTGGTATAAAAAGTGTCCACAGGAAACAAACAAATATAGGATATGTCCTTTGCCTTCTCCACAGGGCTACCATGGTGAGAGCCACATGCGAGATACACAGGAAACTTTGACACTGTCCAATTCTGTCCATTGTGGGGTAAGATGATCAAAGAAGTGGAAATCCTCTTGCCCATTAAAGCAAGTTAAAAAAAAAAAAAAAGAAGAGTTGAAACTAGGACCCTTCTCTCCACCCAGTGGCTTCTCATGTGGGAACGGCAGGCACCTCTGAGAGATGCACAGCAGCAGGCCCAGCATGGACAGTCACTGGCCACCCCCACCTCTGCCACCACTGCATCTGTGGTGCCCAGAGAAAGGGACCTAGAAAGGACAGCCAGAGGCTGAGAGGTCAGCCTAACATCTGGGGTTGGGAAGGTGGAGAACACTGTATTAAAAAGGAGTTTTAAAGTGAAACGCCAGTGGGGGTGAGAGGAAGAAACAACAGGTTAAATGAAAGTGTGAAGAGTGGCCGGGAGGGGTGGCTCACGCCTGTAATCCCAGCACTTTGGGAGGCCGAGGTGGGTGAATCACGAGGTCAGGAGTTCAAGACTAGCCTGGCCAATATGGTGAAACCTTGTCTCTACTAAAAATACAAAAATTAGCTGGGCATGGTGGTACACGCCTGTAGTCCTGGCTACTCGGGAGGCTGAGGCAGGAGAATTGCTTGAACCCGGGAGGTGGAGGTTGCAGTGAGCCAAGATCACGCCACTGCACTCTGCACTCCAGCCTGGGTGACAGAGCAAGACTCCATCTCAAAAAGAAAAAAAAAGTATGAAGAAAAGAAAATGTAAGAGGGCTGAAAGCCAAAGGGGAGATGAAAGGCATGAGAAGAAGTGACGTGACACATGAAAGGTTCCAGACTCACTGAGGGGGTGGGAAAGCTGCCGCAGTTTCCTGCTTATACTACTATATTCATTCAGGGTTGTAGACAATTCTTACTTCATTATAAACGTAATAGCACTGTCTAGAATTTGGGGAAATCGCAAACAATTGAGCACTCCTTTGAACAACTGAATAGGATTGAACATAAACTGCCTACAAAGTGACTTCTCCTGTTTTTCAAGATGATCATATAGCGGGCTTATTCCTTCTCCCTAAAGTATACAGATGCTCCCCAGGTGGCAGGCATGTCCTCCACAGCCAGGGCCCTGCCATCTGAAAGGGTCACGTTCTCTCAGTCACCATTTAATATAACAAGCAATTCACATTTACTTACATGAACTATCATAAGCATGTGTGTTTTTTCCTTTTTTTTTTTTTTTGTCTCTTGACTATCATCCCTCTCTATATTAAGAAATTACTCTTGCCTCTTTATTTATTTATTTATCAACCCAGAATCTCGCTCTGTCGCCCAGGCTGGAGTGCAGTGGCGCCATCTCAGCTCATTGCAACCTCTGTCTCCTGGGTTCAAGTAATTCTCCTGCCTCAGCCTCCTGAGTAGCTGGGACTCCAGGTACCTGCCACCATGCCCAGCTAATTTTTTTTTTTTGAGACGGAGTCTCGTTCTGTCGCCCAGACTGGAGGGCAGTGGTACGATCTCGGCTCACTGCAACCTCCACCTTCCAGGTTCAAGTGATTCTCCTGACTCAGCCTCCCAAGTAGCTGGGACTGCAGGAACCTGTCACCATGCCCAGCTAATTTTTTTTTTTTTTTGAGTCGGAGTCTCGCTCTGTCGCCCAGGCTGGAGTGCAGTGGCGCAATCTTGGCTCACTGCAAGCTCTGCCTCCCGGGTTCACGCCATTCTCCTGCCTCAGCCTCCTGAGTAGCTGGGACTACAGGCGCCCACCACCTCACCTGGCTAATTTTTTGTATTTTTAGTAGAGACGGGGTTTCACCGTGTTAGCCAGGATGGTCTCGATCTCCTGACCTCGTGATCCTCCCGCCTCAGCCACCCAAAGTGCTGGGATTACAGGCGTGAGCCACCGCACCAGGCCACCCAGCTAATTTTTGTATTTTTAGTGGCGATGGTGTTTCACCATATTGGCCAGGCTGGTCTCGAACTCCTGACCTTGTGATCCACCCGCCTCAGCCTCCCAAAGTGCTAGGATTACAGGCATGAGCCACCACGCCAGGCCTTTTTTTTTTTTTTTTTTTTTTGAGACAGGGTCTCCCTCTATTGCCCAGGCTGGAGTGCAGTGGCATGATTTTGGCTCACTGCAACCTCAACCTCCCAGGCTCAGGTGATCCTCCCACTTCAGCCTCCCAAGCAGCTGAGATTACAGGTACACACCACCACATCCGGCTAATTTTTGTATTTTTTGTAGAGATGGAGTTTCACCATGTTGCCCCAGGCTGGTCTTGAACTGGGCTCAAGTGATCCCTCTGCCTTGGTCTCCCAAAGTGCTAGGATCACAGGTGTAAGCCACTGTGCCTGGACTAATTTTCATGTACTTTATTTTGTGAAACTTTACCGTTGAGGTCTACATCTCAATCTCCGCCTTGTGGCTCTGGTCTGTCCAACTACAGAGCTCAGAACTTGCTACAGTAATTCAGACAGACGCTGATGCACCAGAAGGGAACACCCCCCTGGTGCCCCACGGAGGGCCATCCTCCCGTGCACCTCACCAGCATGGTCCCACTGCACCTATTAGACCATGGAGCCCTACAGCAGGGCAGCGTGTATTCCCACTCCCTCCCTGGTTGCTGGGCAGCTCTGAGCACAAAGGCACAGAACTGATCCCTTAACTTATTCAACTACGCCCCTTCAAGGAAGGTCATGGAGATTTTCGAGTCAATAAGCTTACCCTTTCCATTTACATCTTTGTTTAAGCAATGTATAAAAAGTTCTCCTATAGTTAGCAGATCATTTACGAGCAGAGTGGAACACTGCATTTAGCATTCAAATACAATTTTATTTTACTACTCATCCACAGATAAAAAGCTAGTTTCCCTTTAATGAGAAGTGTTACTGTTTTCTTAATTCAGCATACTACCAAGATAGAGAAGAAAAGTTACCCCAGCTGATCGTGACCACTCCATCCCAAACACAGATCAAGTGACTGCACCTCCCCTGCCAGATTGCACTTGGCTTTGTCGGGGTTTTAACTTACCGATTTCACAGCTGCAAGCACGTTAATAATCCTCCCATTAAGACTGTGTCCATTTGCAACAATGTCACCCAGTGAATAATAATCATGAGACTCTTTAACAGGTAAATGTATCAAAGAAAGTAACTTTGTGTCCACTTCATAACTGGAACAAACTTTTACTGTTGAGTGATTCTCACTGAGCAACAGTTTACAGTTGCTAAATTGCAAAAACACAAGAAAGTTATTTGAAAGTGATCTTTGGAAAGAAAAATATTTCCAGGTCCACATTTAAACTACATTTTTCATTGAAATTTAGACAATACTAATATATACTTTTTACTCTTAGAAACATTGAATAATACAGCAAAACATTTTTTGTTTACAGTGCACTTTCATTAAGGAAATGTTTTGAGAATTGATTCGTGTCGGGGTTCTAAACATACCATTTGTCTGATCTTGCCCAAGACTCTGCGCTTGTTTCCTTCTCCAAAAAAATAGGAGCAAAAAAGCGCTCTGAAACTTTCAGGGGTTATACAAACCCAAGGACTGGTTGTTTCTCTCTCTTATGGACCTGGCTGTTCTGCCTTAGTGCCTCAGGTCAGGGACTGTGTTTTTCCTACCCCTACTGAGCTCTGCATGGAGCAGACGCAGAACACTGGCACAGTGAGCCCGAACTGAGGAGCTCTCCCTCCTGCACCGAGTCCCTCCCGGCCCTTGCACTCTGTGCCCCAGCAGTCCTCTAACCCAGCCCCACCTCCTCCCCACTGCTCGGCCTCACTTACCTACCTCATCACTTCTCTCCCAAGCCACTGCCTTGCTATCCTAACTAAGCTTCATTCCCCTACAGTCCATCCTCCATAAGCAAAGTGATCTTCCTAAACCACAAATATGAAAATATTATTTCCCAGCTCAAAGACCATCATTGTGGCTACCAGTCACAAAGGAAATAACTCAGTATGAAAGCAAAGCTGTCTGTAAAATATCTCTGCTTCCACCTTAAGCTTCTCCTCCTGCCCGTGCCCTGCATTCCAGCCGTATCAGACTATTACATTATGAAATTGGTATTTCTAGATGAAAAATAGTAAAACATCAGCAGTTTCATATGGCTCAAACTAATATTAACTGTTCTGGAAAAGACAGGAGGTTTCCTGTTTCTTCCCTCTACCAAGAATATTCTCTCCATCTAACCATCCATCCATCACTTCCATGAATACTGAGAATCTGTTATATACCAGACCCTATGCTAGGCACAAGGGATATGGTGGTGAAGAAGGCAGACAAGACCTTTGATCTCATGAGGCTCACATATGTGAGGGGGAGACCCAAGAACAATGAATCAAACAATCTCAGACGGTGACTTGGGTTATGCTGACAAAAGCCAGGGCAAAATCCCAGTAATTGACCATTAGCGCTACCACAAACAGAGTAGATGGGGAAGGTTGAAGAAGATGACATTTAAGCTGTGAGTCAATAACCCAAAGAAGCAAATAGTCAAACAGATGGGAGAAAGTTCTATGCAGAGAGAGAATAGAAAATACAAAAGTTTGGCCAGGCGCGGTGGCTCACGCCTGTAATCCCAGCCCTTTGGGAGGCCGAGGCGGGCGGATCACTTGAGGTCAGGAGTTCGACACCAGCCTGGCCAACATAGCAAAACCCCGCCTCTACTAAAAATACAAAAATTAGCTGGGTGTGGGGCGTGTGCCTGTAATCACAGCTACTTGGGAGGCTGAGGTGGGAGAATGGTTTGAACCCAGGAGTTAGAGGTTACAGTGAGCCGAGATCGTGCCACTGCACTCCAGCCTGGGCAACAGAGTGGGACTCTGTCTCAGTAAAAAATAAAAAATAAAAATAAAAGGAAATACAAACGTTCTTAGTGCAGAATGAGTTCACGGTGTTCATGAAATATAAAGAAATTCACTGTGGCTACAGAGAAATGAGGCTTGAGAGTCTGGCATAAGATGAGGTCAGAAAAGAAGGTGGGAACGGGTCACAGTTGATGCGAGTGTAAATGCTGTAGACTGCTGTGCCCACCAAGAGCCCTTTACAGGCTGGTACAGGGCACAGCTACACCCTTCTCTCCAGAACTGCCAGACCCGCCTTTGAGCTGATGCCCCGCCCCATCCTGCGGGTTTGGGGAGTGGATGGACTACAGCCAGGGCACTGCTCTAAGGGGCCACTCCCACTCCAGAGCTCCCTCCCGGCTCCTGCTGAGGCTCCAGGTGAACCCACTTCTCTGCTCAGCTGCTTCCTGGTCTATCCTCGCAGGGTTCCCCTGAGAGCTCACCCTCAACCAACCACTCCCACAAGAGTCCTCCTCTCAAGCTCTGCTTCGAAGGAATCTGCCCTAAGATGGTAAGCCTGTGAGTAGAAGGATACCTTGACATGAAAAAAGACAGATGTAATTTCCAAAGTTTATCTTTTCTCCTCATTCAGTTTTAACATGACAAAGTCAAATTTTTGTAAATCTAAGAATGAGAATCAAAGTACTAAAACCAAAGCCATTTATCATGTGACTCTGTATCAAAGTAAATTATGTCATAATCAAAGATGAATTTTGTAAGAGAAAATTAAACTCCTCATTTTTATTGAAATAGAAACAGAACACTTTTAGTAAGATCTCTGCTAATCTGATACAACATTATTAGTAATGATCATTCTCGCACAATCTCTGTGCTAGACAGATGCTTACCTAGGAGTTGCAGGGCTGAATTTTTCTTCTCTTTCTATTTCCTTTCTTTGGATCAGAGGATTTTCAATTATCACTAAAACAGAGGGCAAAGTATGATGATATTACAAAACAGTAACAAGATAAACACTAACATCCTAAATAACATCCTGTTTAATTTATGATCATCATCGACTCTAGGCTTTAAAAATTCCTCACCTCATTCATCTTCTCCATCATCAACATATAACATATTTTGATACTGAGATGTCAAAATTGAAATCTTTATCTCCATATGTAACTAATATTCCAGCATTTATTCAAGGGATGTCTATAGCTATACTGGGCCCTATGAAGTTTGTGAAGCTTTCTGCCTTCATAGTCCATATGTTCAATGACCCTATTATTCAACTAGAGAGATACCATACATTGTCCTGAAAGTTAACAATACAAGGCAATATATGATTAGGTTCTAAATAACCGGTATGGGGAGTCAGCTGCTTGAGACCACAGTATTAAAGAGGAGTGTTTTCATTACCTGCATTACTCTTTTCTCTTTTTCTATCGTGAAGAACTAGTATACATGCTTTCTTGTTCCTTTTATGAGGCTAGGGCTCATAAAAGTTATCTGTTGAGTGACTAAGTTCCACACGTTATACTAGGTACACCATCTCATTTAATATTTACAAGAACCTAATGAGGTATTATTTCATAGTTGAGACCCAACAAGATTAAGAAATTTTCTCAAAGCCATGATGTAAGTCAATGTTGGAACTGGGATTTGAATCTAGACCTCTGTGTTTTCAAAGTCTCCTGTTCTTCCTACTATATGAGGCTGTTCTGTCAAAGAGATACTGGGGTGAGTAGATGTAAAAGATTTGGTATTTCAACTAAAAGTAAAGTTCCTTAAAATCCCATTAACAATTTAAATATCAGTTTTTATCAAAATCTATTCAGTGGTCAAATGTCAACTTTTATCAAAATATATTCAGTGGCTGTATTATATGTCTATAGAAAGATAACCAATTATAACAATAAAATGGGTTGGTGCAAATTGAAATATGTAATAAACCAAAGACAGTAAGGTTATTTAGTAAAAATATAACTATCACATTTGTATGCTTCAAATAACATTCTGAATGCCTCGCATTGCAGTCTTTTTTTTTTTTTTTTTTTTTTTTTGAGACAGGGTCTTACTCTGTGACTCAGGCTGGAGTGCAGAGGTACGATGTTGGCTCGCTGCAACCTCCACCTCCAGGGCTCAAGCCACCCTCCTGCTTCAGCCTCCTTAGTAGCTGGTACTACAGGCCCACGCCACCACACCCAGCTAATTTTTTGTAGAAATGGGGTCTTGCCATGTTGCTCAGGCTGGTCTCGAACTCCTGAACTCACGCAATCCACCCACCTCAGCCTCCCAAAGTGTTGGGATTACAGGCATGAGCCACCGTGCCCCACTGCATTATACTCTTAACACTTGACTTTTTCTGATAAAGTTCTTGAGAATTACGAACTGTGTCTCATTTCAACTCCTTCAGTATAGTTACCATAAACATACCACAGGAATAACACTATGATGGAAAAAGTTTAAGAATCAATGCCAACTTACCACAGTCACCAACCCTAAAGCTGTCAGAAAGAGACTTGATGTAATCTTCATTGCCCCAGGAAGCTGCATTTACAAAATGTGCTGGTGAATCCCGAATGGTGAAGCTGAAAGTGTACCTTTCTGATCCAATATCTAAGGGAAAACCAATGCTTTTATTTTTCAAATGAAGAGTTTCAATCGCTTCTCTGCCTTTTGATAAGTGTTACATGAAAAGTTTCATTTCAATTATAAACAAATGATTATTTGTTTAATCAAATAACTATTGATTATGATAATAAAAATACTCAAATACATAGTACAAAATGTTCTTTCAGATGTATATTCTATAACATGCTTCTATGAATTTCAAGCTGAAGTGGTAACAGGTTGCCCCCTTGCTCCCTTCCCTGGTGATCTGTGTATTTGGAGGGAAAAACATGTAAACTTGAGCCATCCAGGTATTACCTTAGGTTCTCCTTTTCTCTCTTACTGTTGTTTCAACCTAAGTCATAATTCAGATCTAAATAGTTATTTCAGTCCCAGCTACTTAGGAGGATGAAGCAGAATGACTGCTTAAGCCCAAAAGTTCAAGGCTTCAGCGAACTGTGATTGCCCCACTGCTCTCCAGCCTGGGCAACAGAGCAAGACCCCGTCCCAAAAATAAAAGTAAAAATAGGCCGGGCGCAATGGCTCACGCCTGTAATCCTAACACTTTGGGAGCCCGAGGCGGGTGGATCACCTGAGGTTAGTTCAAGACCAGTCTGGCCAACATGGTGAAACCCTGTCTCTGCTAAAAATACAAAACTTAGCCAGGCGTGGTGGTGGGCGCCTGTAATCCCAGCTACTCGGGAGGCTGAGGCAGGAGAATCGCTTGAACCCAGGAGGCGGAGGTTGCAGTGAGCCGAGATCCAGCCTGGGTGACAAGAGAAAAACTCTTGTCTCAAAAATAAATAAATAAATAATAATAAAATAAAAATAAAAATTGGCCAGGCACAACAGCTTACCCCTGTGATCCCAGGACTTTGGGAGGTGAGGTAGGAGAATCACTTGAGGCCTGGAGTTCAAAACCAGCCTGGGCAACATAGAAGGACACCATCTCTACAGAAAATTTTAAAATTAGTGGTGGCACTCATCTTTAGTCTCAGCTACTTGGGAGGCTGAGGAGGAAAGGTTGCTTGAGCCCAGTTTAAGTGTGCGGTGAGCTTTGAATGCACCACTGCACTCCAGCCTGGGAAGAATGAGTTCAGGGTGTTCATGAAATGTACACCCAGGCTGGAGTTCAGTGACGCGATCTCTCGGCTCACTGCAACCCCTGCCTCCCAGCAGCTGGGACTCAGCCTCCTGAGCAGCTGGGGCTACAGACGCACACCACCATGCCAGGCTAATTTTTGTTTTTTGTTTTTTTTTTAGTAAAAACGGGTTTCGTTTTTGTTTGTTTTTGAGACGGAGTTTCGCTCTTGTTACCCAGGCTGGAGTGCAATGGCGCGATCTCAGCTCACAGCAACCTCTGCCTCCTGGGTTCAAGCAATTCTCCTGCCTCACCCTCCCAAGTAGCTGGGACTACAGGCGCCTGCCACCATGCCTGGCTAATTTTGTACTTTTAGTAGAGACGGGGTTTCACCATGTTGGCCATGCTGGTCTCGAACTCCTGACCTCGTGATCTGCCTGCCTCAGCCTCCCAAAGTGCTGGCATGAGCCACCGTGCCTGATGAGACAAGGTTTTTTAGTAGAGGTGGGGAAGAACAGAGTGAGACCCTGTCTCAAAAAAAAAAAAAATAAATTTTAAAAATAATTAAAATAAGTTATTTCAAAACAAATTATGTGCTACTTAATGAGGACCACTAGGGGTCAGCAAATACTTTTTTTCCAAAATAGAAATTTCATATTGGTTTTGCTAATTAAAAATTACAACCTGGCTGGGCGCAGTTGCTCCTGCCTATAATCCCGGCACCTTGGGAGGCCAAGGGGGTAAGATTGCTTCAGCCAAGGAGTTCGAGACTGGGCAACAAAGTGAGACCCTCTGTCTCTACAAAAACTCCAAAAATTATTCAGGCATAGTAGCATGGACCTGTCTGGGCTACATGCGAGGCTGAGGCAGGAAGACCACTTGAGCCCAGGGTTGAGGCTGCAGTGAGCTGTATTCACATTGCTGCACTCCAGGCTGAGTGACAGAGCAAGACCCTATCTCAAATTTTTAAAAAAAGTAATATAACTCAACATACATGTAAATTATAGACATATTCTGAACTGTCTATTAGTGTTTACCTCTGGGGAGAGGACTAGGATGGCAAGAGTGAGGAGCTGAAAGGGGAATTTCACTTTTCAAATCTGTGACCTTTGGTACTGCTGGAATTTTTGATACAAATATAATGTTATATGTACAATGTTTTAAGTCAGTAAGCATACTTCTTCCAAAAAAGGAATACCACAGATGTCATCATAAAAAGAAGTCAAACAACACAGAAGTTTTTCTCCTTCCCTCACAGTCTGATAGGTGAAAAACTGTGAATTTCTTTTTCTTTTCTTTTTTTTTTTTTTTTTTGAGACAGAGTTTCACTCTTGCTGCCCAGGCTGGAGTGCAATGGCGTGATCTTGGCTCACTGCAACCTGCGCCTCCCAGGTTCAAGCGATTCTCCTGCCTCAGCCTCCCGAGTAGCTGGGAATACAAGCGCCTGCCACCATGCCTGACTAATTTTGTATTTTTAGTAGAGAGGGGGTTTCTACATGTTGGTTAGGCTGGTCCCAAACTCCTGACCTCAGGTGATCCGCCCACCTCAGCCTCCCAAACTGCTGGGATTACAGGCGTGACCACTGTGCCTGGCAAAAAACCGTGTATTTCATTTTTATAATTTTAGCAAGTATTTTAATAACTACTTTTTTCTAATTCACACATTTTAAGTGATGCCTTCTGAAATTTGGTAAAAGGAGATATAGACTTCCTCAAACTATTTATTTAGTATTTCTGATCTAATTAGTTAAGATGAAATAAAGTGCAGGCACAAATGATATGGGTACCAGATGACAGCTTGGTTATTTACCTTAAAGATAAAAGCATCATGCCTGTAATCTGATCACTCTAGGAGGATGAGGTGGGATGATCACTTGAGCCCAGGAGTTTGAGACCAGCCTGGGCAACAGAGCAAGACTCTGTCTCTACAAATTTTTGTTTTTTTTAAATCAACCAGGGGCTGGGCATGGTGGCTCACACCTGTAATTCCAGCACTTTGGGAGGCCGAGGCAGGGAGATCACTTGAGGTCAGGAGTTCAAGACCAGCCTGGCCAAAATGGTGAAACCCCATCTCTACTAAAAATACAAAAATTAGCTGGGCATGATGGCATGTGCCTGTAATTCCAGCTACTCGGGAGGTTGAAGCAGGAGAATCGATTGAACCCAGGAGGCAGAGGTTGCAGTGAGTCGAGATCGTGCCATTGCACTCCAGCCTGAGTGACAGAGCGAGCCTCCATCTCAAAAAAAAAAAGAGAGAACACATGTACTCAAATATACATATATACACACACGTGTACACACATACACACACATACACATGCACACACATACACACGTGTGTGTATACACATAAACATATATACACATATGTGTGTATGTATACATATATATAGAGAGAGAGAGAGAATGTGGGAGGGAGGGAGAGAGAAAGCCTTGAATCAGGTACTTGACCATCCAATAGAGAGCATGACCATTGCTCTTAAGGAGTTAAACAGGCATAGAAAAATTAATCACTTCAATATACTTTGTTGTAGTCATAAGCCAAAGTTGATGAAAAATGAAACCAAGAGTTAAACAGAACTCAGCTTTTTCTGTCTGGAAAGCCTTTGACATCTGTTTTCCCAATAACTATACCGATAACTTTCTGAAAAACAAAAAGGTCACAGAAGACCAATATTAAACACAGATGTACTTGATAAATTTAATTTCATGGGCTTGTTATACTTTACTGGCTCTAACAAACATTTCTGACTAGGAACCATTTAAATGTATTTATTCCAGGCAAACATCTAAAAGAAGTTCATAAATGTTCAATTCCACAAGGAATAGTATAAAGTAATCCAAAAGTTAACTACTATTACAAATATAATCATTTAATACTTAGCATATTTCTACTTTATTTTCAATCACCAGATGGAGCATAATAACTGCCCTATGCTATCAATCCTTACTGAATTCATCCAAAGCACATGTATAATGCAATTTAATTTGCCACAGTCTTCAAAGCTTTCCTTTATATAGGGTTTTCTAACAATCCACATAAAATCACTTAGCTTCTTAATCCAAACATGCTGGACAGTAATATAAATTAGACTGTAACAAAACTTATATTTTGCTGCTAATAAATCTAAATTCTAAAGTCCTAGATCTTAAAACTTAGAGATATTAACATCTCCTCAAAATGTTTAATGTTCTCTTTAGTGACTACTGAAGAAAAATTTTAAATGTGTTTTAAGAAATAAAAATGGGCCGGGTGTGTTGGCTCACACGTGTAATCCCAGCACTCTGGGAGGCTGAGGCGGGTGGGTCACCTGAGGTCATGAGTTTGAGACCAGTCTGACCAACATGGTGAAACTCCATCTCTACTAAAAATACAAAAAATTAGCCAGGTGTGGTGGTGGGTGCCTGTAATCCCAGCTACTCGCGAGGCTGAGGCAGGAGAATCGCTTGAACCCAGAGGCACAGGTTGCAGTGAGCTTAGATCCCACTATTGCACTTCAGCCTGGGCAACAGAGCAGGACTCCATCGCAAAAAATAAAAATAAAAAAAAAATAATAAAAAATAAAAATGAATACCTTTTCTGAAAGGAAAAAAACTAAACTTATTTTGCTAATTGCAGCAACTGATTTTAACCTTACAATAATCTTGACATTTAAATTACAATCAGGCTTTTAAGACTCCTACATTCTAGCTGAGCTATTAGCTAGCTTTATTGCTTATTTAGACACATTGATATTATTTCTTCAATTCCTTATACTTGCAGATCTCACTGAATTTTGTTGGAAAATCCAATTAATGGAAATGTTGAGTAAAACTTTCTATCTGAAGAGACCATTATTAGCAAATAGTTTACCTTTCAAGAAAAACTATAA
This sequence comes from Homo sapiens, assembly GCF_000001405.40. Taxonomy (NCBI): domain Eukaryota; kingdom Metazoa; phylum Chordata; class Mammalia; order Primates; family Hominidae; genus Homo; species Homo sapiens. The sequence goes on from NC_000016.10 coordinate 1,867,064, forward strand.
CAACAATTGTTATTTTTTAATATTTTAAAATTTTAAATTATTAAAGTTATATGTAAATGTATCCCATTGTAAGAAATCTAGTTTGCAAAAGCAAAATATAAATAGCAGAGTGCTCAGGGGCAGGGAAGGTAAGGGTGTGTGGTAGCTGCTTTACAATAAGTTCTTTAACTTATAAGATGATTCCACTTAGTTTTCTTTTAAGTAAGTAACAGTCGAGATGTGTTCAAAATCATTGAATTCCCCTATAACTCCTACTCAAAGAGTCAATTTTCACATCATCATTGTAGAAAACACACATGTTATAAACCTATATCATAAAAGCAGCATAATGTCAAGTACTTAGACCATAAATTGGATAATTTGGTCAGAAAATTGCTACTGCTGAACAAAATGGTTTAATTTTTTTTTTTTTTTTTTTTTTTTTTTTTTTCAGAAGAGTTTTGCTCTTGTTGCCCAGGCTGGAGTGCAATGGTGCGATCTCGGCTCACTGAGACCGCCTTCTGGCTTCAAGCGATTCTCCTGCCTCAGCCTCCTGAGTACCTGGGATTACAGGCATGAGCCACCACACCCAGCTAATTTTGTATTTTTAGTAGAGATGGGGTTTCTCCATGTTGATCAGGCTGGTCTCAAACTCCCAACCTCAGGTGATCCAGCTGCCTCAGCCTCCCAAAGTGCTGGGATTACAGACATGAGCCACTGTGCCTGGCCTGGTTTAATTTTACAATGCTAAATTTGAGCATTTATTAAATTTTTCACTTTATAAAATATTAAGTAAAATAATACATCTATTGATCATTTTGAACAATTACTAGTCAAATCTACAATCATATCTTCTACTCTACACACAAAGATTAATTTTCATCTAGGTGGCATAAATACAAAGAAATTTAGGTATACTTAATATCTAACAATTATACCAATGCAATGAGTATCTATATACTTGCCAATTATAAAAGCATGTGTTGAATGAATCAATAACATTGATGTAATGTTATCACATAAAATGTCATCAGTAAGCAAATCACCACATTATTGAAACCTACCAGATTAGCCATATTTGTCTGCAGATCTGAAAGGGTAGTGAAAATCCTCGCTGCAAAGGAGTTTGCCATTTTTTTAATCTGCATTTTAGAAAATATAATTTAGATATATAAATTGAATAAATGAAATAAATCATTTAAAAAATTCCAAGAGTTTAAAATCTTATTTAGGGCCGGACATGGTGGCTCATACCTGTAATCCCAGCACTTTGGGAGGCTGAAGTGGATGGATCACCTGAGGTCAGGAGTTCAAGACCAGCCTGGCCATCATGGCGAAACCTCACGTGGTAGCGGGCACCAGTAATCCCAGCTACTCAGGAGGCTGAGGCAGGAAGAAGTGCTTGAACCTGGGAGGCAGAGGTTGCACTGAGCCGAGATCGCACTACTGCACTCCAGCCTGGGCAACAGAGCGAGACTCTGTCTCAAAAATAAATAAAACAAAATAAAATAAAATAAAATAAAATATTATTGGCCAGGTGCGGTGGCTCATGCCTATTATCCCAGCACTTTTGGAGGCCGAGGAGGGCGGATCACAGGGTCAGGAGATCGAGACCATCCCGGCTAACATGCTGAAACCCCGTCTCTACTAAAAATACAAAAAATTAGCTGGGCTTGGTGGCAGGCACCTGTAGGCCCAGCTACTCGGGAGGCTGAGGCAGGAGAATGGCGTGAACCCGGGAGGCGGAGCTTGCAGTGAGCTGAGATGGCACCACTGCACTCCAGCCTGGATGACAGAGCGACACTCCATCTCAAAGAATAAATAAATAAAATAAAATAAAATATTATTTAGGAAAGCACTGGATAGTTTACTGCTTTGGAAAATTTTTATTATAATGGTAAAATGTAAATTAATATCGATTAAACCTATAAAAAACATGTTCAGAATGTCCTTTTATAATTTTGAATGATATAGCTATTATAGGTTTCAATTTTTAACTTTCATTTCTAAAACCATGTAAAATTTAGTAGTTTTTGAGCACCATGTAAATTTAGTTTTATTTTATTTTTTAATTTTGTTTTAACTTTTTTTCTTTTTTTGAGACATCAGTCTCACTCTGTGCCCCAGGGTGGAGTGCAGTGGCACAATCTCAGTTCACCACAACATCCGCCTCCCAGGCTCAAGCGATTCTTCTGCCTCAGCCTCCCAAATAGCTGGGATTACAGGCGCCTGCCACCATGCCCAGCCAATTTTTGTATTTTTAGTAGAGACGAGGTTTCACCATGTTGGCCAGGCTGGTCTTGAACTCCTGATCTCAAGTGATCCGGCCGCCCCCAAAGTGCTGGATTACAGGCGTGAGCCACCAAGCCCAGCCAAATTTAGAGTTTTACATGCAAGATGATTCAATAGGACATTTTTTTTTTGAGATGGAGTTTCACTCTGTTGCCTAGGCTGGAGTGCAGTGGTGCAATCTCAGCTCACTGCAAGCTCCACCTCCTGGGTTCACGCCATTCTCCCACCTCAGCCTCCCGAGTAGCTGGGATTACAGGCACCTGCCACCACGCCTGGCTAATTTTGTTTTTGCATTTTTAGTAGAGACGGGGTTTCACCGTGTTAGCCAGGATGGTCTCCATCTCCTGACCTCGTGATCCGCCCACCTCGGCCTCCCAAAGTGCTGGGATTACAGGCATGAGCCACCACGCCCGGCCTCAGTGGGACATTTAAGGATTTAAATATATATTAGCATCAAGCTTACCTCAAAAAATACAGCAAAAATCTACGTAAACACCTCATATTGAGCATTTGATTATACTGTGTGAAGGGAAAGGTAGTGATTTTTTTTTTTTTGAGACGGAGTCTCGCTCTGTCGCCCAGGATGGAGTGCAGTGGCACGATCTCAGCTCACTGCAACCTCTACCTCCCAGGTTCAAGCGATTCTCCTGCCTCAGCCTCCCGAGTAGCTGGGACTACAGGCATGTGTCACCTCACCCAGCTAATTTTTTTGTATTTTTAGTAGAGATGGGGTTTCACTGTGTTAGCCAGGATGGTCTCGATCTCCTGACCTGATGATCCACCCGCATCAGCCTCCCAAAGTGCTGGGATTACAGGCGTGAGCCACTGAGCCCAGCCCGGGAAAATTATTGATTTTAAACACACCTCTACATAGTAAAACTACATGAGGGCAGAGGTGGCATCTTACGTATTTTTATGTATGTATTTCATAACTGAAAACCATAAATATCAGATGAACGAAATGGTGGTTTGTCCCTCAACATCATCACTCTAAAAGGTTCTATTGTAGAAAAATTGTAAGCTACACCAAACAGATTGACTTCACTTTATAATCCAGGGCCTCTTTAACTCTGGGAATGCCCACACCCACCCGCTCCAGTTCAAGGACGTGTCTCATGACACCTGAATTTCAGGCAGCCTGTGGAGTTAGTCAAATATGATTTTGAATTGCAACACCACTAGTTTGTAGTCGTGTGTTTTAACATTACTAAACATTAATTTCCTCATCCTTAAATTGTGGATAACATCCACCTGGCAGTGAAAAGTAGAAACAGTGTATACAAGATGCCTCGATGTTCACAGGCTCACAGTCAATGATGGCCCTGCTTGTCAATATTATCCAATGTACCAGTTTTTGTATTCAAGGCCTTTCAGTGCCAGAAGAAACATTTGGGAATTAAGCTGTGTCAAGTTTTTCATTCGTTCTTTGGCCTGGTCTGATGTGGCTCACAATGCAGTGTCACTATCTAAAACACTTGCCGAACTGTGACAAATTCATTCACTCATTCAACCATTCAACTAATATTTATTTACAGCCCAAAGTGCCAGACATGTGAGTCGAGAGGATGAGTCAGACATTTGACTCAGTGGCTGAATATTCTGTACAAACACAACTACCTACACACCAAGGGATTTCTCCACATTTTTACCCCTTAGCATCTCTTGGTGGGACATGGTATCCTATTATCTCTCTGAATTCCCTTATTTGTCTGCTACCGTTAGAGGTATATGGTAATAGACGTTAGTGTCTGCCCACAAAAAATATGACTTGCTTCTCTACCTGGTCACTTTAACAGATACAAAATTAACATGAACTAAAGAGCTCAATCTGAGAATTCAGAGATGACTTCATTCAACAACTACTGTCTCTTTTACCCTACAATTTTGTTTTGTTTTGTTTTTTGAGACAGAGTCTTGCTCTGTCGCCCAGGCTGGAGCGCAGTGGCGCAATCTCGGCTCACTACAAGCTCCGCCTCCCGGGTTCACGCCATTCTCCTGCCTCAGCCTCCCGAGTAGCTGGGACTACAGGCACTCGCCGCCACGCCTGGCTAATTTTTTGTATTTTTAGTAGAGACGGGGTTTCACCGTGTTAGCCAGGATGGTCTCGATCTCCTGACCTCGTGATCCACCCGCCTCGGCCTCCCAAAGTGCTGGGATTACAGGCTTGAGCCACCGCGCCCGGCCCTTTTTTTTTTTTTTTTTTTTTTTTTGACAGAGTCTTGCTCTGTTGCCCAGACCGGAGTGCAATGGTGCGATCTTGGTTCACTGCAACCTCCACCTCCCGGGTTCTAGCGAGTCTCCTGGTTCAGCCTCCACAGTAGCTGGGATTACAGAAGCCTGCTACCACACCTGGCTAATTTTTGTATTTTTTGTAGAGATGGGGTTGCACCTGAGGTGGGCAGATCGCGAGGTCAGGAATTTGAGACCAGCTTGGCCAACATGGTGAAACCCCGTCTATACTAAAAATACAAAAAAAATTAGCCAGGTATGGTGGCGCACGCCTCTAATCCCTGCTACTCGGGAGGCTGAGGCAGGGGAATCCTTGAACCAGGGAGGAGGAGCCGGGCCCTGACCCGCGCGGGCTCCCTTCCTCGGACGCCGCCCCACAGCTGGAGGCCTGGCCCGCGTCGCCACCTGGCCGTCCACGCCGCTGCTTACCCGAGGCTCGCCCGGCCGGCTGCTCCCCGGGCCTGCACAGCTGCCGCCGCGGCCTCGCGGACCTGGCCCGCCCGACCCCCGGGTCGCCCGCGCTTCGCGGCTTCTCCACAGGACGCTCGGGCCACAGCCTCGTGCAGGTGCGACGGCCGCGCGACCGTTAGCGCGAGGCCCCGCCCCGTCCTCAGCGACTCCGCCCCCACCGCTCACTGACTCCGCCCCCACCGCTCACTGGCTCCGCCCCCACCGCTCACTGGCTCCGCCCCCAACGCGCTCAGACTCAGCCCTCGGGGGAGGGGAGGGGAGCCCGGTTCCCGTTTCCTCCTTCTTGGGAGTTAGAGGGACAAGACAGCCGCAGGCGCGGGGAGGGGTCTCCGTGCGCTCTCACAGCCGCGTGTGGCTCTGTGGTCGCTGGATTCCAAAAGACGGTGCGCCGGAAAAAAATAAACATATCTCTCTATCTATAATATTATGAAGGGCGGGCGCGGTGGCTCACGCGTGTAATCCCAGCACTTTGGGAGGCAGAGACGGGCGGATCACCTGAGCTCAGGAGTTCAAGACCAGCCTGGCCAACATGGTGAAACCCCGTCTTTACTAAAAATACGAAAGAAATTAGCCAGGCGTGGTGGTGAGTGCCTGGTTGTCTTGTGGCGCCGCCCGCCCACCCGAGTAGTCCCAGCTACTCAGGAGGCTGAGGTATGAAAATCGCTTGAACCCGGGAGAGGTCGCTTGAACCCAGGAGAGGAAGGTTGCAGTGAGCCGAGACTGTACTACTGCACTCCAGCCTGGGCAACAGAGTGAGACTCTGTCTCCAAAAAAAAAAAAAAAGAAAAAATGAGCCAGGCACGACGATGCATGCCTGTAGTCCCAGCTACTGGGGAAGCTGAGGGGGGAGAATCGCTTGAGCCCAGGAGTTCAAGGCTGTGGTGAGCTATGATGGCGCTACTGCACTCCAGCCTGGGCAAGAGTAAGACCCTGTCTCTACAAAATTAATTAATTAATTAATTAATTAATATATCTACATCTAATGATAGATTTGGCATGTAGTACATCAAGAAAATACCCATAGATGGGCTGGGCGCGGTGGCTCACGCCTGTAATCCCAGCACTTTGGGAGGCCGAGGCGGGCGGATCACGAGGTCAGGAGATGGAGACCATCCTGACTAACAAGATGAAACCCCATCTCTACTAAAAATACAAAAAATTAGCCGGGCGTGGTGGCGGGTGCCTGTAGTCGCAGCTACTCCGGAGGCTGAGGCAGGAGAATGGCGTGAACCCGGGAGGCGGAGCTGGCAGTGAGCTGAGACCGCGCCACTGCACTCCAGCCTGGGTGACAGAGCGAGACTCCGTCTCAAAAGAAAAGAAAAAAGAAAAAGAAAGAAAAAACCCTAGATGTGTATATCTATGTATGAAAAATATATATATAATTAGATGTGCTAAGGATTGGACTTAGGTGAATCTGACAAAAATTTTCTCAGCTCTTCATGTTTTTAATTACTTCCATTTAGAAATCTTTTTAGTTTAATGACTTATACTAATTTTTGTTAACAGAGTACCAACCCAGGGCAAGTAAGATCCAAAAACTAAGTCCATTAAATTTGTCACCTACTACTGTCCACATGTAGCATTATTTAAGTTTCTCTTTAAAAAGAGAAGAACAACTTTGGTGCATATAACACACACATATTATAAAAGAAAAATACCACTGTAGAACCAAGTTTTATGTTATTATTAAAATACAGTTTTTCTTTTCCTCATTTTTTTTTAATTTCCCAAATAATACTGGGAAGCAAAATAAAGTACCTGCATTTCACCATTTCAAATATAATGGGAAGAGTTGGGTTTTTAAATCGTCCCTATTCCTTTCCAGTCTCTGCCTTTAAAAGAAGATATTTTTGGCCGGGGTTGGTAGCTCATGCCTGTAATCCCAGCACTTTGGGAGGCTGAGGAGGGCAGATTGCCTGAGCTCAGGCGTTCGAGGCCAGACTGGCCCAACGTGGTGAAACCCCATCTCTACTAAAAATACAAAAATTAGCCAGGCATGGTGGCGGGAGCCTGTAATCCCAGCTACTCGGGAGGCTGAGGCAGGAGAATCGCTTAAACCTGGGAGGCAAAGGTTGCAGTGAGCCAAGATTACGCCACTGCACTCCAGCCTGGGTGACAGATGGAGACTCCATCTCAAAAAAAAAAAAAAAAAAAAAACAAAAAAAAAAAACCTATCTTTATCTTTCCAAAAGAATAAACTAGTGGCCGGGGGCAGTGGCTCACGTCTGTAATCCCAGCACTTTGGGAGGCCAAGGTGGGCGGATTGCCTGAGCTCAGGAGTTGGCCACCAGCCTGGGCAACACGGTGAAACCCCATCTCTACTAAAACACAAAAAATTAGCCAGGCGTGGTGGCATGCGCCTTTAGTCCCAGCTACTCGGGAGGCTGAGGCAGGAGAATTGCTTGAACCCAGGAGGTGGAGGTTGCATTGAACCAAGATCGGGCCACTGCACTCCAGCCTGGGCAACAGAGAGAGACTCTGTCTCAAAAAAAAAAACACAAAATAACAAAATAAAATAAACTAGCATTTTAAGTCCATCTTAAAGGAGAGGAAAAAATATAAAAATAGTTTTCATGCATTTTTCATTTGAGCCTCAGTGAAGCAATAATATTCTAAAATTTTTTAAATTTTGTCACGTTTTAGTAAATTAATTTTTGCAGAAAGCTACATAAGGTTAAGCAAACAGTGTCAGCCTTGCCAGGACACAACAGGCTTCTCATAAGCCACGATGCTTCAAAATACAAGCCTAAAAGAGTGGAATTGCTTCACGCTCGTGAAATTAAGTCTCCCTTGTTGTGTACGGAATTTGTTTCTTCCATTTTTTATAGCAGTTCTGTGAAATTGGCTTGCTCTTAACAATAGGATTGACTTGTCAATATATTTTGGATGTACACGAACAGAAATAAGGACTAGAAATGCTAGCTTGCCCTTGCCGCTTGATGCAGAAGTCAAGGGTGAGCGAACAAGGGTCAGAGCTGAAATAGCTCACATGTCTGGCTAAAGAAACGGTAGTTGGCTACATGGTCAGCTCCCCAGAGCATGCCAGCTGTCAAAACATCTAGGAGCTGTCACAAAGGAGTGACAGGCAAAATATATAGTCATAAACTTTACACGTTCTAATCAGTAGAAACGTTGACAGTTATTTTAATGAATTACAAGATAGAAATTCATTAAAAATTGACAGTTATTTTAATGAATTACAAGATAAGCTTTTATTTATTTAACAAAACTATAACTTTTCCAGCATTGATCCCGTGACTATGGTCTTCCTCCCAGGAGCTGAAATACTAATAGATCAGTTACTGGCATAATTAGTCTCACCCCCACTCGTCACTCCATCAAAGGACTGATCATCTTTTTTGTTTTTCTCCCAAAACAGGGTCTCACTCTGTCACCCAGGCTGGAGTGCAGTGGCACGATCACAGTTCACTGCAGCCTCGACCTCCCTGGGCTCAGGTGATCCTCCCACCTCAGCCTCCCGTGGGACCGTAGGTGCACACCACCACGCCGGCTAAGTTTTGTATTTTTTTGTAGAGATGGGGTCTCGCTATATTGCCCAAGCTGGTCTTGAACTCCTGGACTCAAGCAATCTTCCTGCCTCAGCCTCCCAAAGCACTGGGATTATAGGCATGAACCACTGTGCCTGGCCTAATCATGTTTTAAATAGATTGTAGGCCAGGCGTGGTGGCTCACCCCTGTAATCCTAGCATTTTGACAGACTGAGGCGGGTGGATCACCTGAGGTCAGGAGTTCGAGACCAGCCTGGCCAAGATGGTGAAACCCCATCTCTACTAAAAATACAAAAATTAGCCGGCATGGTGGCACATGCCTGTAATCCCAGCTACTTGGGAGGCTGAGGCAGGAGAATCACTTGAACCCGAGAGGCGGAGGTTGCACTGAGCCAAGATTGCGCCATTGCACTGCAGCCTGGGCAACAAGAGTGAAACTCCATCTCAGAAAAAATAATAATAATAAATAAATAAATAAATAGGTTGTAGATACACTAACATTTACAGATTTTTTGTAAACTTTTGCAGAAGTTTATGTAGAGAAGAGGAGTGAGGTAACCTGCAAAAGGGACTGGAAGAACTAGATGTGGAAATCGTGTTTAGGGCCAAAAAGAAGCAATTTAAGAGCTACTGGAGGCCGGGCGTGGTGGCTCACACCTATAATCCCAGCACTTTGGGAGGCCAATGTGGGCGGATCACCTGAGGTCAGGAGCTGGATACCTACCTGGGCAACGTGGCGAAACCCCGTCTCTACTGAAAACACAAAAATGTATTGTGGTGGCAGGTGCCCGTAATCCCAGTTACTCGAGAGGCTGAAGCAGGAGAATTGCTTGAACCTGGGAGGTGGAGGTTGCAGTGAGCCGAGATCGCGCCACTGCGCTCCAGCCATTTGCAGCATTGCCAAGTATGTAAAGCTCAGCTCCTAAGCTCTTTTAAGACTCCGTCTCAAAAAAATAAATAAATAAATAAAAATTTTAAAAAAGGTTGAACGGTGAATTGAAACTGGAACTGAAAGCCTCAGGACAAGGTGAGAGGTGCTGAGCTGAAGTGAGTAACGTGCTGGGCTTGAAATAACTCAGCATCCGTAGTCCGTGCCCAGGGACCTGGAGTGGTTCCTGCGTGCTGCATGTCTGGCACCCCGTACTAGAGGGAGCAGAAGAGGGCATGAGCACACAAGGCACAGGCTTTGACCTTTGGAAGCCTATCCCATGGGAAATTTACTGAGGTGACAACAGAAGGAAGGGCCCATGTCTTGGGAGTGCTGTCATGGCCATGTTTCAGCACCATTTATATTAAACACACACACACACACACACACACACACACACACACATATATTTTTTTTTTTTTTTTTGAGATAGAGTCTCGCTCTGTCACAAAGGCTGGAGTGCAGTGGCACAATCCTGACTCACTGCAACCTCCACCTCCCGGGTTCCAGCGATTCTCCTGTCTTGGCCTTCCAAGTAGCTGGGATTACAGGTGCGCGCCACCACACCCAGCTAATTTTTGTATTTTCAGCAGAGACAGGGTTTCACCACGTTGGCCAGGCTGCTCTTGAACTCCTGATCTCAAATAATCTGCCCTCCTCAGCCTCCCAAAGTGCTGGGATTACAGGCATAAGCCACCGCGTTCAGCCATAAACACATATAATTTTTTAAACCCTCCTAAATCATTGCAGCGTACCTTTGCCAGCTATGTGGCCATTAACAACATCTCTGACCGAGCTGTTCCAGCCCCACCTTGCCAGCCGTCTGCAGCATTGCCAAGTATCTAAAGTTCAGCTCCTAGGCTCACCCCAAGCCAGCTCAGAACCTTCCAATTCTATGGAAAACACCTGGTAACTGAAGCTCAGCGTCTCAAAGGCAGCCTTGAATCCTCCCTTCTCCTCCACTGTCATCATCAGGAGCCAGGTTCTGTTTTTCCTTAGCACCTGCCCTTGTCTCTCCACGTCTGTTGCTGCCACCCTCCTGCGGCTCTGGCAGTGTTGTCAGGGGATGGAGCAGCACGCTGCAGGGGCTCTCATCTCCCCTGCCCCAGCCCATCTCATGCCCTCAGAGGGATGAATCTTACCACATGACGCTTCTCAGGGCTGCACCACAGCTTTCCCTAGGCGGAAACCTCCAATGCTATCTATCACAGGGGCACAAATTCTTCTGTAAGTTGCTATATGTAAAGGGCTTTGTGGGCCAGACAGTATCTGTTGCAATGAACCAACTCTACTCTACTTTTATTTATTTTATTTTATGTATTTATGTATGTATTTATTTATTTGTGTTTTGAGACAGGGTCTTGCTCTGTCACCCAGGCTGGAGTCCAGTGATGTAATCACAGCTCACTGCGACCTGAAACTCCCAGGTTCAAGTGATCCTCCCACGTCAGCCTCCCGAGTAGCTGGGACTACGGGCGTGCCCCCACCACACCCAGCTAATTTACTGTATTTTTTGTAGAGACAGGATCTCCCTAGGTTCCCCAGGCTGGTCTCGAACTCCTGGGCTGAAGCGATCCTCCCACCTCTGCCTCCCAAAGTGCTGGTGTTATAGGCGTGAGCCACCGCACCCGGCCAGGCTTTGTTCTTTATGGGGCTTATTTACATGGTTAAGGGTTTGCTCAGAGCTTGAGAACCTATTTATATTGTTCTCATATTTCGCAAATGTTTAAGGAAGCAAGAGAAAACTGCGAGTGCAAAAGACCAATTTCAGTTTTTAAAATTATCACTCTGAGAAAAGGACAATAGATATTTCTTAACCTGCTTAATTTCAGTGTTTATTAATCAGAGTGCTTTTATCTTAGCAGTGTTATTGCGCAGTTGTCTGAAATGAGAAAATAAATGGGGTTTAGGAGGAGTTAACATGCATGGTAGAAACTAAAAGTCAGGCTGTCTGGTCAAAAGTCTCAGCCTTGCCACTAATTAGCTGTGTCACTCAAGCATCTGAACTTCATTTTCCTTATCTGTCAAAAATGAAAAGTTTGGACAGATCCAGTGGGACGAAGATGAACACAAAATACGCGCCCTGTGGGAAACGTGATGTATTTATTTGCTTATATGTCCCACTCTCCTCCCAGACTGAAGCTCCTATTGCTAAGGTAGCACCTCCTGCATAGCTGGTGTTTACTGAGGGGATCATTCAATACTCGTAAGTAATATCCGCGTCTGATATGTAACAAAGCTGCAAAAAAAGGGGAGAAGGCATTAAATTCACTTGATAGGGCATATCTAGGTTGCTGCATGCTATGACAGGGAGACTGGCAGATTGGTACCATAGCGCTTGCTGCTAGTTTTAGCCCTTAATTTAATTTGCTGTATGATCAGCTGGGTGTGGTGGCTCATGTCTATAATCCCAGTACTTTGGGAGGCCGAGACTTGAGCCCAGGACTTCGAGACCAACCTGGGCAACCCAGTGAGACCCCATCTCTACAAAAAAAAAAAAAAAAAATTAGCCAGACGTGGTGGTGCACGCATGTAGTCCCAGCTACTCTGGAGGCTGAGGTGGGAAGATCACTTGAGCTGGGGAGGTTGAGGCTGCAGTGAGCTGTGATCGCACCACTGAACTCCAGCCTGGGTGACAGAGCAACACCCTGTCTGAAAAAATAACAGTAATAATAATTTGGCCAGGCGCAGTGGCTCGAGCCTGTAATCGCAGCACTTTGGGGGGCCAAGGTGAGCAGATCACCTGAGGTCAGGAGTTCGAGACCAGCCTGACCAACATGGTGAAACCCCATCTCTACTAAAAATACAAAATTAGCCGGGCGTGGTGGCCCACGTCTGTAATCTCAGTTACTAAGGAGGCTGAGGCAGGAGAATCGCTTGAACCTGGGAGGCGCAGGTTGCAATGAGCTGAGATCACACCATTGCACTCCAGCCTGGGCCACAAGAGCAAAACTCCATCTCAAAAAAATAAATATAAATAAAATAATAATAATAATAATAATTTGCTGTAAGATCTTAGAAGTTACTTCCCTAGAACCTTAAAACAATGTGTAAAATGTAGATAAACATAACTCCCTTAAAAAGCTCATAAAGGTCAAAGTTAGCATACTCTGAAATAATGGATGGGAAAATATGAAAGGCTACATTCTGTGGATAACTGTTACTAACATGGGTTGCATAAGACTGTACCTGCTGAACTGGCTTTACCATTCATTCCCCTCTTTCAGTTCATATTTTCCTTCAATTAAGTAGGGAAAAAAAAACAAAAGAAGCAGAGAATAGTCACTGTTAATAGACCAGCTTCCTCGGTGTGTCCATTCCTCCCACCACCTTCCTTCTTGGGGCTCACATGCAAATGGCCCCAGAGGGCTCATGGCCACAGCAGCGTTCTATAGGTGTCCTAGTTCCACTCAAGGGACACCCACAGCTCACAAAGTGGGAAATTCTTTCCCTTGTATTGGTTTCTAACACTTTTAACATCACATTTTCGCCAGGCATGCCAGCGCTGTAATCCCAGCACTGTGAGAGGCCAAGGCGGGAAGATTGCTTGATCCCAGGAGTTCGAGACCAGCCTTGGCAACATGGCAAAACACCATCTCCACAAAATCAAAAAATTAGCTGGGTGTGGTGTGTGTGCCTGTAATCCCAGCACTTTGGGAGGCTGCAGTGGGAGGATCCCCAGAGCCCAGCAGTTCAAGGTTGCAGCGAGCCGTGATCGCAGCACTGCACTCCAGCCTGGGCCACACAGCAACATCCTGTCTCAAAAAAAAAAAAAAATTTATTTTTCTCCACCTTTTTCTTTTTTTCAGGAGGCATCTCAATTGTTTCTTTCTTTTTTTTTTTTTTTTTTTTTTTTGAGACGGAGTCTCGCTCTCTCGCCAGGCTGGAATGCAATGGCGAGATCTCGGCTCACTGCAACCTCCGCCTCCCGGGTTCACATCATTCTCCTACCTCAGCCTCCCGAGTAGCTGGGATTACAGGCATGGGTCACCACACCCAGCTAATTTTTGTATTTTTAGTACAGACAGGGTTTCACCATGTTGGCCAGAATGGTCTCGATCTCTTGACCTCGTGATCCGCCTGCCTTGGCCTCTCAAAGTGCTGGGATTACAGGCGTGAGCCACCACGCCCAGCCACTTTTTTCTTAAAAAACCAGAAAAGCTTCCTCAGTATATAGTAGTCCCAGCTACTCAGGAGGCTGAGGCAGGAGAATCGCTTGAACCCGGGAGGCAGAGGTTGCAGTGAGCCAAGATCAGGTCATTGCACTCCAGCCTGGGCGACAGAGTGAGATTCCGCCTCAAAAAAAAAAAAATTAAATTACGAGTCCTCTCATTTCACTTTGTAAATTCTCGTTTGAAGTGTAGACAAGTGTCAAAGTATTTCACCAGCACATGAGGCAAATACAACTTTGTAATGTGACTTTGATCAACCTTTGAGGTTAAAATTTTACTTGGTAACGTTTCCTAAATAATTAAAATATATTTTCTAAGAGGCAGAATAAACAGGTGAATAAAATTCTTGCCTGCAAAGTGTGCAGTGTGGATGACAGCAACGTGAGCTCCCGTGGGAACATGGTGCTAATCTTGAAAAAATTACTTTGTGAATTACTGGATGCTATTGGGACCCTGTATTTGTGTTATCAGCAAATAAAGAAGTGATTCTCTCTGGGAATATTAGCCACAGTAAAATGTTCTAGACATCTCTTTATTAATTAAACAAGAGAAAAGGTAATTATAGTCTCTGCTAGGTCCCTTAAATCATTTCCTTTTTTAAAATGTCTTTTTATTTTGAGACAGGGTCTCATTCTGTTGTCCAGGCTGGAGTGCAGTGGCACGAACATGGCTCATTGTAGCCTTGAACTCCTGGGCTCAGGTGATCCTCCGACCTTGGCCTCCCGAGTAGCTGAAATTACAGGCATGCACCACCATGCCCGGCTAAGTTTTTTTAATTGAGATGGAGTCTCGCTTTGTCACCCAGGGTGGAGTGCAGTGGCGTGATCTCTGCTCACTGCAACCTCTGCAGCCTGAGTTCAAGCGATTCTCGTGCCTCAGCCTCCCAAGTAGCTGGGACGACAGGCATGCACCAACACACTCAGTTATTATTTTTGTGTGTGTGTATTTTTAGTAGAAAGGGGGTTTCGTCATGTTGATCAGGTCATTCTCAAACTCCTGACCTCAGGTGATCTGCCCGCCTCGGCCTCCCAGCATGCTGGGATCACAGGTGTGAGCCACTGCGCCCGGCTGTGCCTGGCTGTACCCGGCTAATTTTTGTATTTTTTTGTACAGACAGGGTTTTGTCATGTTGCCTGGGCTAGTCTCAAACTCCTGGGCTCAAGCAATCTGCCTGCCTTGGCCTCCCAAAGTGCTGGGATTTCAGGTGTGAGCCACTGCAGTGGCCTACTATTGTTATTTTTAGTAGAGATAAGGCATTGCTACGTTGCCCAGGCTGGTCTCAAACTCCTGGCTCAAGCGATCCTCCCACATCAGCCTCCCAAAGCTCTGGGATTATAGGCGTGAGCCACTCCACCTGGCCTCGGCATCCTGTATTTTATCTTGCAACTGTGAGGCAGGTGCAGTGGCTGTTGGGAGAAGGTAGTGATGTGGGGGAGAAATAGAACACTAAAACGAACCCCACGGGGAGCGAAAGCGGCCACTGATTCACAAACTATCTAAGGATCAGAGATAATTTCTTTCTTTCCTTTTCTTTTTTTTTTTTTTTGAGACCGAGTCTCGCTCTGTCGCCCAGGCTGGAGTGCAATGGCATGATCTTGGCTCACTGCAACCTCTGCCTCCTAGGTTCAAGCAATTCTCCTGCCTCAGCCTCCTGAGTAGCTGGGATTACAGGTGCCCGCCACCACGCCCAGCTAATTTTTTTGTATTTTTAGTAGAGATAGGGTTTCACCATCTTGGCCAGGCTGGTCTTGAACTCCTGACCTCAGGTGATCTACCCGCCTCAGCCTCCCAAAGTGCTGGGATTACAGGCGTGAGCCACCATGCCCAGCCACCTGGCCTTTATTTTTAAATTGTGATAAAATATGCTAACATGCTTGAGCCCAGGAGTTTGAGACCAGCCTGGGAAACATTAGTGAGACCCTGTCGCTACCAAAAAAAAAAAAAAAAGCATAACAAAATGTACCACTGAAACTTTTTTTTTTTTTTTTTTGAGATGGAATCTCACTCTGTCACCCAGGCTGGAGTACAGTGGCGCGATCTCGGCTCACTGCAACCTCCACCTCCGGGGTTCAAGCGATTCTCCTGCCTCAACCTCCCGAGTAGCTGGGATTACAGGTACATACCACCACGCCCGGCTAATTTTTTGTATTTTTAGTATAGACGGGATTTTACCATGTTGGCCAGCCTGGTCTCGACCTCCTGACCTCAGGTGATCCACCCGCCTCGGTCTCCCAAAGTGCTGGGATGACAGGCGTGAGCCACCGCGCCCGACTGGCCTAAACCATTTTTAAGGGCGTAAGTCAGTGCCACTATGTACATTAATAAGGTTGTATCACCATCATCATTGTCTATTTCCAGAATGTTTCCATCATCCCAAATAGAATTCAATCTTTAATACTCAAATATTTTAAAATTAAAATAAAGAACACTGAGACGAAGATAAACTAAATCCAGCTGGGCAACTTTTTCTTCTGAATAGGCAGACTCTCACTATCATATCAAACTTATATTCGTGGACATATATTCGTGTTGCAAACTCTGGAAGCACTCACCGAAGCAGATAAAGGCTTTTCAGAGGTTAATGGCCTGTGATGAGTCTTGCAACTAGACCGTGAATCCATCATTCCTGATTCTCACTCCTAATGACATTTTACTGGGTTGTCCAATGAGTTAATAAATGAAAAATTATATTAAAACTTATAAATGCAACATGTACCCTCTATCAGTATTTCCCATCATAAAATAATACTTTAAAAGTGAATTTGAGCCAGCTGCAGTGGCTCACACCTGTAATCCCAGCACTTTGGGAGACCGAGGTGGGTGGATCACCTGAGATCAGGAGTTGGAGATCAGCCTGGCCAACATGGTGAAACCCCATCTCTACTAAAAATACAAAAAATTAGCTGGGCATGGCGGCGCATGCCTGTAATCCCAGCTACTCAGGAGGGTGAGGCAGGAGAATCGCTTGAACCCGGGAGGTGGAGGTTACAGTGAGCCAAGATCAAGCCATTGCACTCCAGCCTGGGCAACAAGAGCAAAACTCCATCTCAAGAAAAAAGAAAAACAAGGTGAATTTGGGCTGAATGCGGCGGCTCATGCCTGTAATCCCAGCACTTTGGAAAGCCAAGGAGGGAGGATCAGTTGAGCCCAGGAGCTTGAGTTCCACCTGGGCAACAGAGTGAGACCCCGTCTCTATAAAAAAAATGCAAAAATTAGCCTGGTGTGATGGAGCTTGTCTGTAGTCCCAGCTACTCAGGAGGCTGAGGTAGGAGGATCGCTTGAGCCCAGGAGGTCGAGGCTACAGTTAGCTGAAATTGCGCCACTGCACTCCAGCCTGGGCAACACAATGAGATCCTGTCTCAAAAAAAAAAAAAAAAAAGAAACTGAATTTATATGGAATCACTGTTGTGACATTTTAACATCTTTTCTCTATAGTTATTGTACAAAGAATACCTTTTTTTTCAAAAAAATTTTCAAGAAAAAAATACTTTCAGGTTTTTCCACGGACTTACAAATATGAGACCGCTACAACAAATGTATCTAGCCTAGCAAAACATGAATGAAACGTTGTATGCAGTCTCTTTTTCTATTAGTCAGTGGCTGAAAGCCTTTGAAACAACCTGATGGGCGGTTGGTATTGTGTAAGACGGTGACCTAAAAACAGCCTGTCAGTTCCCTGCCATCCCATTTTTCAACAGCAGGGTGTGATCATAATGGGCTTTATTGACATCATAAATCTGAGAGCATGGATGGTATCCATTTCCAGTTGTTTAATTGAAGAAACGAAAGATCTTGTAATGTGGAGTTGATATGGAGAGTTTGTCGAGCTACAGTAAAATTTTGCAAGAGCTGTGACCTTGGGTCAGAAAATGACTGATCAAGACGGAACCTTTTGTCATACTGTGGAAGCGACTGTATTGACTTATTTTATTCTTAGCGCTAATGCCAACAGAGAGCACGAATTGCTTCTGACTGCTTTCTGTCTCAACCCAGAGTGACTCTGTGGGCAAATCAATACAAGTATCGTCTAAATAAGCTATGACTAAATAATAAAATATGATAAACTTTTATTATTTATTTTGAGACAGAGTTTCGCGCTTGTGGCCCAGGCTGGATTGCAATGGCACGATCTCTGCTCACTGCAACTTCTGCCTCCCGGGTTCAAGCGATTTTCCTGCCTCAGCCTCCCGAGTAGCTGGGATTCCAGCCATGTGCTACCACGCCCGGCTAATTTTTGTTTTTTCAGTAGAGATGGAATTTCGCCATGTTGGCCATGCTGGTCTTGAACTCCTGGTCTCAAGTGATCCTGGCCTGAGCTTTTCAAAGTGCTAGGATTACAGGCATGAGCCACTGCACC